>NC_000006.12:170125061-170745979 GCF_000001405.40 Homo sapiens | reverse complement strand
GATCCCAATTTTGTTACAACATCGAAAGCATCATAATCAGGAGCAAGTCGAACATATGCCTTGTTCTCTTTATCAGGACAAATCAGGGTGGTGACCTTGGCCACATCACTGTCATAGAGCTTCTTCACAGCCTGTCTGATCTGGTGCTTGTTGGCTTTAACATCCACAGTGAACACAAGCGTGTTGTTTTCTTCTATCTTCTTCCGGCCGACTCAGTGGTCAGCGGAAACTTGATGATAGCATAGTGGCCAAGCTTGTTTCTCCTGGGGGTGCTCTTCCGAGGATATCTGGGCTGCCTCCGGAGTCGCAGTGTCTTGGGCCGCCTGAAGGTGGGTGACATGCGGATCTTCTTTTTTGCGTGTGGCTGCGGACACCTTTCAACACTGCCTTCTTGGCCTTTAAAACCTTCACTTTGGCTTCGGCTTTAGGAGGAGCAGGAGCTTCCTTCGCTTTCGGTGCCGTCTTGTGAAAAGCGAAAAACATTATTTCAAAAATAATTTGTCTACAGTAAATCTGCCTAAGAATAGTTTCCAAAGTACTTTTGGTAATTTTTAACCTTAAAGTTAAGCTAAGTAAAAGATTTGCATTAAATATCTAGACCATTTATAAATAAGATACAATACTAAAACATTAATTACTGAACATAAATAATTCAAGTTTATATACTTTTGGCTTCCTGTTTTTACAGAGAGACTAAAGATATTTTGGCCCGTTAATAAACATGTTTTTTTCTGCCACACTGAGGAATTGTATTATGAGGAAACACATCCCTCTAGATGTTGGGAGATGGTATATTCATACATTTTCTAACCTACTATAGAATGCTAATATATGACAGTTTATAACTGTCTACTTCCTAGTTTTCTCTGGAAAATAAAAGATTACTAAGTATTAAAATTATAATCAATATATGTAAATAAAACTACTAGAAATAATAGAATAACTAGAAACAACTCTATGCAAAGCATGCAAGAAAAGTAGGGCATGTTTCGCAAGTAAAGTAGGTTGCATTTTTTATAAGGAAAACCATACAGAAGATACAAATAAAAAGAGATACCTAACCTTCCCTGTGTTATATTTGTATGGGTAAAATGTTATGTTTTCAGAAATTATATAAAATTCCTGGAAGTTTGTCAATGTCCTCCTTATCCATGCTATGTGCCACTATAGAGTAATGAGTCATAATTCCAATTATTACTTTAAATGTTGTGCCAGGCACAGTGGCTCATGCCTATAATCCCAGCACTTTAGGAGGCTGAGGCAGGTGGATCACAAGGTCAGGAGATCCAGACCATCCTGGCTAACTCGGTGAATCTCCATCTCTATTAAAAATATAAAAAATTAGCCGGGCGTGATGGCAGGCACCTGTAGTCCCAGCTACTCGGGAGGCTGAGGCAGGAGAATGGCGTGAACCCAGGAGACAGAGCTTGCAGTGAGCCGAGATCGCACCGCTGCACTCCAGCCTGGGCGACAGAGCAAGACTCTGTCTCTAAATAAATAAATAAATAAATGTTGTCTGCCACAGAAAAAATCGAATATTTTGGTAGAAACCCCGTCTCTACCAAAAATACAAAAATTAGATGGGCATGACGGCATGTGCCTGTAGTCCCAGGTAATCAGGAGGCTGAGGAGGGAGGATCGTTTGCACCCAGGAGGTAGAGGTTGCAGTGAGCTGACATTGCACCTTTGCACTCCAGCCTGGGCGACAGAGCCAGACCCTGTCTCAAAAAAAAATTTTTTAAAGGAAAACTATAGCCATTGAGAGTTATCAGATTCTAGTCTTGTTTCTTGTTTCTGGGCTATTTTTACCTCTTTGTAAACTGGATCCTGCCATCTGATGAATTTTGTCCCACAATGATACTTGGGGAACAAGAAGCCAAGTATTGTCTCTCCTACTAATGTATCTATTGTCAGTTAATTTGAAGGTCTCCAACCCTGGAACAAAGTTAGAAGAGGAAGGTTCTACTCCCCAAAATGCATAACCAAATTGTGCTACATTCATGTAATGGAATACTATTTAGCCATAGAAAGGAACAAGATATCAACACACACAAAGACATGAGTGAATCTTGCATGCACATTGCTAAGTGGAAGAAGACAGTCTGAGGAGGATACACACAGTGTGACCTCATTTAATGAGACACTGGGGAAGGCAAACTACACAGATGGGAAGCCATTGGCTCCATGGGGTGGGGGTTTGAGGCATTCCATATGATACTTTAATAGTGGGATATCTGCCACAATGCATTTGTCGAAATATGCAGAATTTTACAGCCAAATGGTTAAAGCAAACTCTATTCAAATTAAATCAAATTACTCAGGATGTGGAGTATCCCAGGACAGAATACATCATGTGAAAAAGAATTTATGCTACAAATTACGATGGTTTGGATGTGGTTTGTCCCCACAAAAACTCATGTTGAAATTTGACTCCCACTGCGTCAGTGTGGGGCGGTGGGGCCTAGTGGACGGTGTTTGGGTCATGGGGACGGATCCCTCATGAATAGATTAATGTCCTCCATGGGGGTGAGTGAGTTCTGTTCTCACAGGAATAGATAATTCCTGCAGGAGCAGGTAATTAAAAAGAGTCTGGCTTCCTTGGCTTCCCTCTTGCTTTCACTTCTGCTATGTGATCTCTGGTGCACCCCTTGCTCCCCTTCCACTTTCCACCATGAGGTGAAAAAGACTGAGGCCCCGCCAGATGCAACTGCCCAATCTCAGACATTCCAGCCACCAGTATTGTGAACCAAATGAAACTGTTTTACTTATAAATTACGCAGCCTCAGGTATTCTGTTACAGAAGCACAAAATGGACTAAGACACAAATCTAGGTAAAAACTTTGAAAATGAATAGAATCTGTAGGCTGAAGGCACATGAACTATACTTCATTATTGGATTCCATTTTATAAAGTTCTTTCCAACAGAAGTAATTGTGAACAATTGTAAAACCACAGTGTCTGTATCTGGAGTAAAACAATGACTTACATAAGTCGCAGATGGTGGGAACCAGCTTTCTCACTGTTGAAGTGGGAGGTTACAAATTAGCAAGACGAGAAGGCTAGAATGATTCCTGTGATAGTAGATCAGAGGTGGAGACATCAACGTAAACTTATGCTTAGTTTAATATAGATACACACAGTTCTACATAGAAAACTTTATAATTAGGTGTGTGTAGGTAGGTTAGACACGCACATATGCTTCCTAGCATTGCTAATGAGGGACAAGATACAATGTGCATTCAGCAGCCACATGTAAGTTTTCCCACCATTCTGAAAGGAATCAGGCTCTTTGAAGAAATGTCTGATACTAGAACTGGGACAGTAAATATAGGAGCCAGGATAATCTGGAAGTATCAGAAAGTAAGTACTAAAAAAATTAAAATATATCAAACAAAAATAAAAGCCAATAAAAACAGCTACCGATGGCCAACACAGGAAGGAATTGTGCAACATAATGCTATAGTGTCGAATAATAACTAAAGCTTAAAGTAATTATCTAGGTGTCTGTATTTGTATACCTAGGTGAATAAGCAAATGGAGTTGCATAGAAATCTCCTTTGCAAAAGAATTCCAAATAACTGATGTAGACACTCAGCCATCAAGAAGGTGGAGCCAACTCCTCACTCCGTAAGTGTGGGCTCTGCATAGTGACTTGCTCCAAAAGAACACATGCAGTATGGACAAGGAGGAAAAATAACTTCACAGTGGAGAAATCTGACAAACAGTAGCTCTGCCAAATGATCCAAGTGAACATCAAAGCTGACAGTTCACCTTGAGAACATGAAGTGACAATGGGGGACATTCTACAAAAATCCTGACCAATCCTCCTCAGTGCTATGAAGGTCATCATGAGATGGAAAGCCTGACACACTGTCACAGCCAGGAAGAGCCTATGTGATGACTACATGTCATGCGGGATCCTGGATGGGATCCTGGGTCAGAGTAAGATAGAACTAAGGGAATCCAAATGAAATATGAACTTTAGTTAATAACAGTCTATCAGTATTGGTTCATTAACTGTGGCAAATTATGTAAGATATTAATAAGCCATGTGAGACACACTGATAGAATATGTTAATAAGAGAGGAAACTAGGTTGCGGCTACATGGGAAATCTCTGCTTTTTTTTTTTTTTTGACGATTTCTGTGTAAGTAAAAAAAAGACGTAAAATAAAACTTTATTTAAAACACTTTTTTAACACTTCCTTGTTTAATTATTTATACCATGAATTACTAGTAATTGACACTGTTAACTAGTCCTGTTTTTTAAAATAAGAGCAATTATGACACAAAAAATTAAACAGTGCAGACTGATATATAAATCAAAACAAATGTCCTTTACATGTTTTCTGTTACAGTAGTAACAATATGTGTAAACTTAATTATCATATTTTTTTCTTGTGCTGTGGTTGTGTCCTGGGTTCATTCTCTAAAATGCTGTTCACCTTAGACCAGGAAAAATATTAACCATACAGACTCTGTTTCAAGTCATAGCTGAATATTTTCAAAAGAGTGACTTTGTAAAAACATGTTCCAATGGCAAATTGATTCATTGTGATGGGATCAATTATTCCAAAGACTTCTTGTCTTTATTTTGTTCCCATGCCTACCTTTTAGCCATAATACAACAGAATCAAATATTGGCCACTGGGAAAAAATATTCAAAGAAAGAAAGAATGTGAACGGAACTTATGACCATGATGATTCAATGTTTTACCACAATGCTTTCTAAAACAAAAGAGTCTAAAAGGATATTCAAAGTCAATTTCCTCAGCGAGGATTTGCAGAAAATGAGGAAACTAGAAAAACAAAAATGGCAGGACATTCTACGGGTGATTTTAAATGTTGCTATGTTTTATGGGAAAAAATACTTTACCTTTTAAAGAATCACAAAGAATTATTGGAAACCCAAACTCTGGAATGTTTGCAAATTTAGTTGAGCTTCTATGTAATTATGTCTATATAGGTAGCCATGAAGTTGATGATTTCTTAAAAATCTGTGCCTTATTTGTGTAATAAAAGACACAATGAATAATTAATACTCATAGGAACACTTATGAAGGGAAAATAAATCTTGGGGACTCAAAATCACTAAGCTAAAGGGAAAAGTCAAGCTGGGAACTGCTTAGGGCAAACCCGCCTCCCATTCTATCCAAAGACACCCGTCTGATCACCTAGATAAATGCATACCTGATTGCCTCACGTGGAAAGGGTAATCAGCAATGCAAAAGAATGAAACCATTTGTCTCTTACCTACCTGTGACCTGGAAGCCCCCTGTCTGGCCTTCTCACCTTTCTGGACTGAACCAATGTACATCTTACACATATTGATTGATCTCTCGTGTCTCCCTAAAGTGTATAAAACCAAGCTGTGCCCCGACCACCTTGGGCCCATGTTGTCAGGATCTCCTGAGGAGGCATCACAGGTGCACATCCTCAAGATTGGCAAAATAAACTTTCTAAAAAATCTGAGAGCTGTCTCAGATTTTCAGGGTTCACACATGTAATGTAAGATGTCAAAGTTTATAAAAGGGATGTTATTCTATCTACTATTAGAAATATGCTGTCAATTAACCTTAAACTTTCTCAACAAAATAAAAAATGATGAGATACAAATAATGTATCTAAGCTTAAATAGTGTTGCAGGTTTTAATATGCCTACTTTTCAATTTTTCAATACTATCTTTACTAATTTAACACTGTAAGAAAAATGAGTAATTAAAACATGAATAAAAGTGTTTACAGGGGATGCACATGTTTCCTCCAGCCTCTGCCTATACCCAACTTTCATCCCAACTGTCCTGATGGTGGCTCTAAGCATTTCTCCTTTCTCTATACCAAGATCTCTCCCCAGAAACAAACCCAAATCTTACTATATGTTATGGCACGCTATGATGATGAGCAGCGATGAGCAGCCGAAGCCTCAAGGAAGGGATGCTTTTGTAAAACAAGACTTGTGGAATATAACATGTGAAAGTAAAGCCCACGGCAGAGCTCCCTCCTCAGCACACGGGGAGCAGACAGGATGTTTTTCCTCACCTTCCTCAATGGCCTGCAGCCACGTCTCCCCAGGTCAGTCTTAAGGACAACGAAACTCTGGTCTTCACTGTGGACACGCCACACTACCAGGTGCTCCAAAGCCATGGTGACCCACCCTCGGGTGGGTCCTGAGGAGAACAAAGCTCTGGTTCTAATCCTAACCCTAACCCTGTCCCAAGACTTTGACCCTGAACCTAAACCCTGATCCCTACCCTGGTCCCTAATTCTGACCCTGACTTTGATCTCGACCCTGACCATGACCCCACCTCTAACCATACTTCTGGCCCTGACTCTGACCCAGATCCTAATCCTATCCCTAACCCTATTATTATCTTTACAATCTATGTCTAATCTTACCCTCTAGTGCTAAATAGCTGTACCCAAAAGCACTTTTAAATTATTTAACTTCTTTTCCTTGAATTCTCTAAGGACATCCTAAAGGAGATGTCAATATGTATTTTGCATTCCCTCTGAGTGGTATGGCTTCAGATAAGAAGTTCTAATACTTTTCAAGACATAAAAAGTTTGGAGGGTGACAGCACTGGGTTGTTAGGGATGCATGTTGGCATTCGTGGTAGTCATAGGTGCTGTTCTCCAGATATTTTCAGTTCATATTTTATGAATGCATTCTGACTGTTCCATCCCGCCTACTTACATTTTCACATGGCCACATGACTTTTTTTTTGCCAATGGAGGTGAGAAGAAATAACATGTGACTTTTTCAGGAGAAATCTCCAAGAAACAGAGTTCTATTCCGCATACTTTTTTCTCTTTTCTATAGCAATGGGGATCTTATTGATTGTCCCTCCTTCCGTCTGGATCCCTGTGTTAGGATGACACAGCACAGAGCTACCTCTCACCTGACCCATGATGAAATGTAAATAAATGAGGAAGAAGATTTTTGAGCCACTGAAATTTGGAGGTTGTTTGTCACCACAGTTTAACCTAGCCCCCATTTACTGATGCACGGCTGAAGAATGAGTCCGAACTGGATCTGGACAAGACATGTGAAGAGCGCTCCAGGCTGAGTAAAATTCAAGTGTTGTCTCAAAGATAACACTGAGCACGATATGTTATTGGGGTGGGTGTGGGATAAATAAGGTATATCAGGTGAGAATAACAAGAAACTCAACTTTAAAAGACGGTGCCGATTTGGAAGACACCAAATTGGAAGACAGCAGGAGCTGCCCCATAATACCAGTAAAGTGAGAAGCAGAGATAAACTAGTCCTAGACAGCTGACTCATGTTGGGGGCAGCCCACTCACAGTGGCCCTGACCCAACTCTGACTAGAGGCCACTTGCTCTCAACACCAGGGTGCTCAATGGCCCGTCCTGGTACTCTGCTCTACACTGGTTGTAGGAAGGAATCTACAGGTTGAAATAAGGAGATCATTTCCCTGAGGTTCCGAAGCTCATATTTACTCACCATTTGTTGTTTACTGCTAATATTGAGCACTGTCAGTAAAATACATAAAACCCTTTGCCAATCCAGGAAGTGAAAATGACACTTTACTGTTTTAGTTTGCATTTCTCTGCTTACAAGTGGATTACACACATTTTCATGTGCTGTTGGCTACTTATTCATTCATAAAACATACTAAGTGCTGGCTCTTTTTCATGTCCTTTATCAAGTTTGGATCATGTCATTTGCTATTTTCTTTCTGATGTAAACTCTCAAAGTCTGAAGGGTATTGTCTTTTCCTGACACATATGTTGTAAATAATTTTCTGGCTTACATTTTGACTTTTAATTTCATTCACGATGTTTTTAATGAATAATTTTAATTATTATGAATGCAAGTTAAAATAATTCTTTCATTGTGGTTTCTGACATGTCATGCCAATAAGGGTCTTCTCCTCCAAGAGCACAGAAATATTTGCCAATACTGTCCTTAAAATCGGTCACAGTTTCATTTTTTATATATGCATTTTACTTCAATTGGGGCTTCATTTTACTGAATGCCCTATTTGAAGCAAGTTTCTCAGTTAATTCTTTTCTCAAAGGGCTAAGTATGGTAGATTGCAAACATAAGTGGCCACATAATGCTCTCACCTCCTTTGCCTCCTCTCCCAGGAGGAGATAGCATCCATCTTTCCACTCCTTAATCTGGGCTTGGCCGTGTGACTTGCACTGGCCAATGGGATATTAACAAGTCTGATGTGCACAGAGGCTGTAGAATGTGCACGGGGGCTTGGTCTCTCTTGCTGCCCTAGAGACCAGCTGCCCCACGAAGGAACCAGAGCCAACCTGCTGCTTCCTGGAGGAAGACAGTCCCTCTGTCCCTCTGTCTCTGCCAACCAGTTAACCTGCTGCTTCCTGGAGGAAGACAGTCCCTCTGTCCCTCTGTCTCTGCCAACCAGTTAACCTGCTGCTTCCTGGAGGAAGACAGTCACTCTGTCTCTGCCAACCCAGCTGACCGCAGACATGCAGGTCTGCTCAGGTAAGACCAGCACAGTCCCTGCCCTGTGAGCCAAACCAAATGGTCCAGCCACAGAATCGTGAGCAAATAAGTGATGCTTAAGTCACTAAGATTTGGGCAAAAGCTGAGCATTTATCCCAATCCCAATACTGTTTGTCCTTCTGTCTATCTGTCTGTTCTTCCCTGCTCATTTAAAATGCCCCCACTGCATCTAGTACATTTTTATAGGATCAGGGATCTGCTCTTGGATTAATATTGTGTTCCCACCTCGAGGCAGCTTTGTAAGCTTCTGAGCACTTCCCAATTCCGGGTGACTTCAGGCGCTGGGAGGCCTGTGCATCAGCTGCTGCTGTCTGTAGCTGACTTCCTTCACCCCTCTGCTGTCCTCAGCTCCTTCACCCCTGGGCCTCAGGAAATCAATGTCATGCTGACATCACTCTAGATCTAAAAGTTGGGTTCTTGGACCAGGCGTGGTGGCTCACACCTGTAATCCCAGCACTTTGGGAGGCCGAGGCGGGTGGATCACAAGGTCAGGAGATCAAGACGATTCTGGCTAACATGGTGAAACCCCGTCTCTACTAAAAATACAAAAAAATTAGCCGGGTGTGGTGGCGGGCGCCTGTAGTCCCAGCTACTCAGGAGGCTGAGGCAGGAGAATGGCGTGAACCTGGGAGGTGGAGCTTGCAGTGAGCCAAGATCACACCACTGCACTCCAGAATGGGAGAGAGAGTGAGACTTTCTCAAAAAAAAAAAAAAAAACTTAGGTTCTTGGATGTTCGGGAAAGGGGGTTCTTTATCTAGGATCCTTGAAGCGCCCCCAAGGGCATCTTCTCAAAGTTGGATGTGTGCATTTTCCTGAGAGGAAAGCTTTCCCACATTATACAGCTTCTGAAAGGGTTGCTTGACCCACCACAGATGTGAAGCTGAGGCTGAAGGAGACTGATGTGGTTTCTCCTCAGTTTCTCTGTGCGGCACCAGGTGGCAGCAGAGGTCAGCAAGGCAAACCCGAGCCCGGGGATGCGGAGTGGGGGCAGCTACGTCCTCTCTTGAGCTACAGCAGATTCACTCTGTTCTGTTTCATTGTTGCTTAGTTTGCGTTTTGTTTCTCCAACTTTGTGCCTCATCAGGAAAAGCTTTGGATCACAATTCCCAGTGCTGAAGAAAAGGCCAAACTCTGGAAAAAATTTTGAATATTTTGAGCCAAATGTGAGGACCACAACCTGTGAGAACGGAAAATAAATCCTGGGACCCCAGACTCACTAAGCCAAAGGGAAAAGCCAAGCTGGGAACTGGCTTATGCAAACCTGCTTCCCATCTGGTTCCTAAATAAGATAGCTATTACACAAAGATAAAAAAGCTACATCCCTGCCTCTACCTCCATCGCATGTAAAATGTGTATTCAGTGAACACTGACCAAAGACAGAAGAATGCAACCATTTGCCTCTGATTTACCCACACCCATTTTTTCCACTTCTTCCCCTTTCCCCAATACCCGCACTTTTCCCCTTTACTTACTGAGGCCCCCAGACAATCTTTGGGAAAAGCACGGACCACAGTTTTTCCTGTGGTTCTCTGTTCTTTTCTCAGGTGTGTCCTTAACCTTGCAAATAGATTTCTTGAAATGATTGACACTCACCTTGGTTGTGTTCTTTGATCAGCGCCTGTGACGCAGCTTCAGGAGGTCCTGAGAACGTGTGCACAGTTTAGTCGGCAGAAACTTAGGGAAACGTAAGACCACCATCAGTACGTAGGAGTTGTGCATTGGTTTGGTCTGGAAGGAGGAAAATTCAAAGTAATGGGGCTTACAGGTCATAGATAGATTCAAAGATTTTCTGATTGTCAATTGATTGAAAGAATTATTATCTACAGACCTGCTATCAATAGAAAGGAGAGTCTGGGTTAAGATAAGAGACTGTGGAGACCAGGGTTCTTATTATGTAGATGAAGTTTCATAGGTGGCCACCCTTAGAGAAAATAGATGGCAAATGTTTCCTGTTCAGACCCATAGAAGGTGCTAGACTCTCAGCCAATGTCTTCAGGATCAGAGAAAGACCTGGAAAGGGAAGGGATTCTCTACAGAATGTAAATGTCCCCCACAAGAGACAGCTTGGCAGGGCCATTTCAAAGTATGTCAAAGAAATATATTTTGAGGTAAAATATTGATTTCACGGCCTCTGTCTGTCATGTGATGCTGCACTGGAGTCAGGTTGGAATTTGGTATCTTATTGCTAGAGAGCCTTGTCAGTCTTCAGATCTCTGTTTTAATGTTGGTTCTGGTCAGTTCTGCCCAAATTCCAAAGGGAGGAGGGTACAATGAGGCCTGTCCAGCCCCCACTCCTCCTCATCACGGCCTGAACTAGTTCTTCAGGTTTCTCTGGAATCCCTTTGGCCCAGAGGCGGGGTCCACGCAATCGGCTGTGGGGCTTAGAATTTTATTCTTGGTTTACGGAAGCTTTAGGGAGGTGCTCTGAGACCCGAAACTAGACTCGACTTTAACAGACACAGACGACCCTGAAGGTGAGACTGTCTGCTGGTGGGATGCTGGGCGAGTTGCTTAATGTCCCTGAGCTGCTATTTGCTAACTGTGAAGTGGGATCCTGGTCCCTGACAGGCAAGATTGTGGCACACGGAGAGCTGGTGCACGTGGGCGGCTGTCCCCTAAACTCGCGTCCCTTCTTTTTAATCATACCCCACTGGCTGCACCTACACCTCCTCCCAGGCACACACCGAAGAGGATGAGCTCTGGTCCTCGAACCTCTTGTCTGCTCCCACCAGGCAGATTCTCTGTTCCCCGTGCCCAGGCAGCAGTGGTGGACACCAGCATCCCGGAATGGTGTAGAAAGGCTGACCCCGTCATAGCCAAAGCCTGGGGTCTCCTGTTTCCCTCCTCCTCCTCCCCACTCCTCCCCCAACCCCTCCCTCCTCCACTTACCCCCATCCCCTGCATAATGGGTTTCTAGCTGCCTCCTCTGCCTGCCCAAACAGGACAGGCAGGAAAAACTGGCTTGGTTCTGAGTAGGCAGTTTCAGGGCCTTAAGGAGAAATTCATCGGCCATTAATCAGGACCTTCCCTCCGGGGAGTTGGCAGCTTCAGGTGTGGTCTCTGGAAACAAGCCCCATAAATTATTATCAGAGAACCTCTGTCTTGGGTGGCAGAGGCAGCCTGGTTGGGGTGGGCACCCCGGCTACGGAAAGGAGCAGCTCCCTCCACTTTCCTTCCGGCTGCATGTGGAGAGGCTCGAGCGGGGCACAGTCCATGACGAGATATTAATCTTGTGTTTGGATTTTTCCTTTTTTTTAATAAAGAAGAAAGATAAGGTATTGTGCTCATCTTGTAAAAATCAAGCACACAGTACATCAGTCTATTCTACAAAGAAACACAACCTAAGCAAAGATTTGTTATAGGCAGTGGCCAGTTACAGAAACAGTAGGACTTGCATTAGGGGTTTTGTATGGGAAAGAAAGGGAGTCAGACACAGACGTGATGGTGGAGACAGGGGCAGGAAGACAGAGCAGCTGACACTTCCAGAAATAGCTGGCCAGAGGCCAGCAGGAGGGAAACACCGACCCGAGGAAAGAGAGACGGGGATTGGGAGAGAAATTCAGAAAAGACTGAGGCACGCACACAGACAGACACACCCACCCACACACAGATACGGATTCAAAGAGACACGCACACTCTGAGTTTCTGAGAGTAAGCCACTGTCAGTTCCTGGGGTGAGCCACCAGCCACATGGACACAATTTCCTCTTTTTGGTAAGTTCTTTGACCTGTCTGAACCCCCTACTTAATTACCTATAAAATGAGTCATTGCAAGGATGACAAAGACGCTCTCCTTGACCAAACTCCATTCAGGCTCCTTTGAGCCTTCTCCTTGATGAAGCCTCATCCTTGGCCTGCTGAGCTCAGTGCTAGCAAGGAATGCTGCTAAGGTCCTTAGTGAGAATCTTCCCCACCCTTGCTAACTAACCAAGCTCCTTTCAACAACTTTTCATCACCTCCCTCACCCTGCTCATTGGCTATCCCCACTTGTCTCTGTTGTATTGAGAGTTGAATTCAGTCTCTCTCTCTCCTCTTGCAATAGTTTTTTTTTTTTTTTTAAGAGACAGGGCCTTGCTCTGTCAACCAGGTTGGAGTGCAGTAGCACAATCACAGCTCACAGCAGCCTCAAACTCCTAGGCTCAAAGGATCCTCCCACCTCAGCCTCCTGCGTAGTTGGGACTACAGGTGTGTGCCACTGCACCAAATAATTTTTTAAAACATTGTAGAGATGGGGTCCTGCTTTGTTGCCAAGGCTGGTTTTGAAGTCCTGGCTTCAAGTGATCCTCCCACCTGGGCCTCCAAAGGTACTGGGATTACAGGCATGAGCCAACCTATCAGCCTGGTAATCACGTAAAACAGACGCATAGACCAGTGGAACAGAATAGAGAACCCAGATATAAATCCACACATTTACAGCCAGCTCATCTTCAGCAAAGGCACCAACAACATACGAGCGAAAGGACGGTCTCTTCCATAAGTGGTGCAGGGGAAACTAGATAAAGATATGCAGAAGAATGAAACTAGACCCATCTCTCTTACCATACACAGAAATCAAATAAAAATGGATTAAAGGTAAAACTGAGACCTGAAAGTATAAAACTACTGGAAGAAAACATTAGGGAAGTGCTCCAGGACATTGTTCTCAGCAAAGACTTTTTCAGTAGGACCCCAAAAGCACAGGCAACCAAAGCAAAAACAGACAAGTGAAATCACACCAAGCTAAGAACCCTCTGCAGATCAAAGGAAAAAGTCAACAAACTGAAGAGACAACCCACAGAATGGGAGAAAATACTTGCAAGCTACCCACCTGACAAGGGATTCATAACCAGGAGCTCAAACAATAGCAAACAATTAATCGAATTTTAAAATGGGCAAGAGACCTGAGTAGACATTTCTCAAAAGAAGATGTACAAATGGCCAGCAGGTACATGAAAAAATGCTCAACATCACTAATCATCAGAGAAACGCAAATAAAAAACTGCAATGAGGTCTTATCTCACCTCAGTTAAAATGGCTTTCGTCAAAAACGCAGGGAATAAGGGATGCTAGCGAGGATGTGGAGAAAGGGAGACCCTCACACACTGTTGTGGGAACATTGATTAGTACAACCACTATGGAAAACAGATGGAGGCTCCTCAAAAAACTAAAAGGGGCCGGGCCCGGTGGCTCACGCCTGTGGTCCCAGCACTTTGGGAGGCCAAAGCAGGGGGATCACAAGGTCAGGAGTTTGAGACCAGCCTGGCCAACATGATGAAACCCCATCTCTACTAAAAATATAAAAAATTAGCCAGGCGTGGTGGTGCGACCCTGTAATCCCAGCTACTTGGGAGACTGAGGCAGGAGAATCACTGGAACACAGGAGGTGGAGATTGCGGTGAGCGGAGAGTGCACCATTGCACTCCAGCCTGGGTGACAGAGCAAGACTCCACCTTAAAAAATAAATAAATAAATAAAAGTTGGCCGGGCGCGGTGTCTCACACCTGTAATCCCAGCACTTTGGGAGGTGGAGGCGGGCGGATCACAAGGTCAGGAGATCGAGACCATCCTGGCCAACATGGTGAAATCCCGTCTCTACTAAAATACAAAAAATTAGCTGGGCGTGGTGGTGCGCACCTATAAATCCCAGCTACTCGGGAGGCTGAGGCAGGGGAATCGCTTAAACACAGGAACCCGGGAGGCAGAGGTTGCAGTGAGCCAAGATCACACCACTGCACACCAGCCTAGTGACAGAGCAAGACTCCATCTCCAAAAACAAACAAACAAACAAAAAACACCTAAAAGTAAAACTGCTGTATGATCCAGTAATTTCACTAACTGGGCATATAGTCAAAAGAAACAAAATCAATATATCGTAAAGACATCTGCACTCTCATGTTTACTGCGGGACTACTCACAATCGCCAAAATACGGAATCAGCCTCTGAGTTCATCAGCGGATGATGGATAAACAGAACGTGGTGTGGATACACAGTGGAATATTCTTCAGCCATACAGAGGAATGACAGCCTGTTATTTGTACAAGACGGAACTAGGGATCATTATGTTAAGTGAAATAAGCCAAGCACAGAAAGACAAACATTGAATGTTCTCACCCACCTACTAAAAAAGTAGCTCTCGTGAAGACAGAGGGTAGATGCGTGGTTACCAGAGGTGGGGAAATGTAGCGGGGAGAGGGGGAGAAAGAGAAGTTGATTAAAGGGTACAAATACGTGGTTTGATAGAAGGAATAAGACGGGCCGGGTGCGGTGGCTCACGCCTGTAATCCCAGCACTTTGGGAGGCCGAGGTGGGCGGATCACGAGGTCAGAAGATCGAGACCATCCTGGCTAACACGGTGAAACCCCGTCTCTACTAAAAATACAAAAAATTAGCCGGGCGTGGTGGCGGGCGCCTGTAGTCCCAGCTACTCGGGAGGCTGAGGCAGGAGAATGGCGTGAACCCGGGAGGCGGAGCTTGCAGTGAGCCGAGATCGCGCCACCGCACTCCAGCCTGGGCGACAGAGTGAGACTCCGTCTCAAAAAAAAAAAAAAAAAAAAAAAAAAAAAAGAAGGAATAAGACCTAGTGTTACATAGATCATAGTTGACAATTGCCTACTGTATATTTCAAAATAGCTAGGAGAGAAGAATCGGAACGGTTCTAGCATAAAGCAAAAACAAATATTTAAGGCGATAGATATTCCAAGTAGGCTGATTTGATTTTCACAATTATATAAATGCATTAAACTATCACATGTACCCTGAAACTATGTACATCTATTATGCATCAATAAAAAAGAAAAAAGAAACAAGAACTTAGATTTTAAACTCAGCACTCTCCTAGTGGGCTCCTTAAAAATATTTTTGTTTGGGAGGACAAAGTAGGAGGATTCCTTGAGCCCGGGAGCTTGAGGCTGCAGTGAGATCGTGCCACTGCACTCCAGCCTGAGCGACAGAGAGATACACTGGCTCTAAATATAAATAATATAAATATATATTTATGGAATAAATAAATGAATAAAATATCTTTGCATGCTGGTGAGCCCAGGGTACAGTCCGCCCTTGGCAGCTCGGTGACACAGCCAAGGCAGCTGAACAATCCTCGCCCACTAGACAGTGGAGGTCGCCCTCCAGAGGACCTTATCAGATGTACGTGCAAAGCAGTTTTCAAGACAGTTTTCTATTCAGAGTGTGGTTTGGCCGTTCAGGGAGAGAGATCACAAAGGAAAACCACCTTTAGGAAAGCAGGTGAGAAAGGTGTAAGTTCCCAGGCTTGGGGGTCCTGGCCCAGCCTAGCTGTGGGCAACCCCGGGAAGGCTGAGCCCCGCAGGCTGTATGGACAAAGCATCTCGCTTTCCACACTGGCCACAGGTCTATCCCTGGCAGTAAACAGGTCACAGGTGGGCAGCAGGTCTAACACCTGTAGCGAAAGAACGCAGGAGAGGAACTGAGGCTCTGCTACCAGCAGATGCTCCAAGCACATCCCACGGGGAGGACCATGCACAACTCAGCTGGCCACAACCAGGAAAAGGGTGTCCAGGGCCTCAGAGCTGCTTCAGTGGGGCCATTTCCAGGCTCCCAAGCAGTAATGTGGGTGCCCTCTCAAGAACAGAAGCGGAACAGCCTAACGCTAATGTTTGGGAAGAAGAGAACAGTGATCCCCCTGGTTACCTCCCATCTCTCTCTGCAGTTCTCATGCATCTGTGCACACACGCTCACACACACATATGTCCATCAATCCACTCACAATGTTTGACTTAAAGCAGAAACCATATAAAGGGCAGGATAAGGAGAAAAGACGAAAGGAACTGAAAAGATGCAAACAGCCACTAACACGCCAATTTGCACCTTGCACAGGGCCTGGGAAGTAATGACACGGCTTCTCGTTATGCATCAATGATCTCATGTTTTCATTTTAACAAACACCCTAATACAAAAATAGGCTTTATAGGGAGGAGAGAAAATATGTTTTATAGGGAGGAGAGAAAAGCCATTCTGAAGAGCTGGATAGGTTGCCTTTGGCCCACATGGAGTCAGCCCCCTGCCCACGCCACCAGGCTCACGTTCAGGGCCCTGGCTGGAGAAACCTGAGCTGCAGGACCCGCTGCCCACCAATGCAGAAGAGAAGGCAGTATGCTTTTTGCATTGGGTGGAACAAAAACAGAAGAAATGGGAATTTGGTGAGAAATAAGGGAGGTGGTCCTCAGAATCTGCAGAGCAGTGGCTTCCAAACTCTGTGATGCAACCCCAGCCAGAAAAACACTTTACATCATGGCTGAGGGCACATACATGCACGCACATATGCACAATACAGGAAATCTGGAATACAGAAAGCCCTGGAATTCCTAAATAACATCCTGCCCACATGGGAATTCTGCCCTAGCTGATGGCTTCTCCGAGGCCTAGGCCCAAATCCACACCTGCTGTTTAGCCCAGAGCCAAGCCTAGGAGTGTAGGGTCCCCTATGCATGGGTGTCCAACCCCATCCCTGTCCGGAATAGCACGGGTGCTTCTCGGTGCCACAAATGTTGGTGGCGGCTGGGGAGGAGTGGTTCCTCCAAGGCTCCATGCCTGCCTCCACCACTGAGGCCAGCACGGTGGGACTGGGCTAGGGAGACAGGCAGGCTGGCCTACCCACTGAAGGAGCCAGTCTGCTTCCACCTAGTCAGCAGCTCCAGGGAGCGCATCTCCCTCCAGGAAGGGCAGGAGGCCAAGAGGAGCTGGAAAGGTGGGCATTTGATATCATGAGGTATAAAGAGAGCTCCTAGGGGTCCCAGACATCAACTAATAAAAGCACCTCAGAAGTTCATAGATGGGGAAATAGCTGTGTGAATATACCGTGTTATCCAAGTCATGCGGAGAGGAAGGGCTCGAACCCATGGCTACTACTCCCCACCCCCGTCCTCCTCCTCCTCTTTCCATTAAGTTTTTGTGATTATGAAAGTAGCTTACATTTGGTGTAGAAAATATGGAACATATGGAAAAATTTAAAAAGACTCAGGCAAAGGGTCATGTGTCACTTATGACCAGAGGCCCTTGCTCTTTATTAACAGATGGAAATGTTTTCTTCCAAATTGTGCTGCACGTTTTTGGCGAGAGCATGGGGCTGTGCGGCGTCCCCTCCCTGGTGCCCACCTGTGCCCTGCACACTGGCCTGCACTGTGGTGATCTCGCTTGGCCCCCACCTGATTCCCGACATACAGCAGAGGAAGCTTAGGCTCAGGTGGAACAGCCTCAACTGATTCTGTCCCTGAACTTCCGTACACAGCCCTGGAGTCGTCTTAGAGCCATGATTTATTTAACTGTTCTTTCATTTTACAGAACATAAAATGTATTGTTTCCAACTTTTTTCCTATGGTAAATAATACTAAAGTACATATCTCTGTGCATGAATCTTTTTGTATATGTTGGAATATCCTTAAGATAAGGCCCCAGAACTAAAAGTACCCTGTCAAAAGGTGAGCATTTCCGGTTCCCCTGCTGTGCTTTGCTGCGTTGTTCTCTCCTGCTGCAACGTTCTCACTCCACAATCCTGGGGCAGGGAGGGGAGGCCCAGCTGAGTTTGGATCATAATCCTGAAAGACACAATCCCAAGCACCATAATGTGGAATGTTGAAATCCCTAAAGATCAAAATCCCTCAAGTCTAAAATCCCTGATATTTCAGATGACCACAGCTACAGGGCTAGGTGCACACAATTAGTAACCGTAGCGATATACGTGTACACGTTTCTCTTTTGACTTATTTCTTTATGGTCTGTCTTCTTATAACTGCTACACCCATGCCGCCGTCGTTAGTTACCTCAGTGTTTATGCAAAAATACCTGTTATCATTGCCTATTTTATTGTGTAAAGTGGCCTATGAAATGTTCTGTTGTGTTTTTATGTTTCTCAAATACATACCTTTTAAAAATGTAAATAAATAACATCGACATTATTTTTTCCAGATTTATACTTTTGGGATTTTGATCTTTGGGATTTCAGGATGAGGTATTCGGAGCTGTGTCTTTGGGGATGATGACTGGCTCCTGTGCCGTCCCACCCATCTTTGCGGCATGGGACCTTGGCATCCCCACCTCGGCCCTGGCTCTACCTGACCTCACAATGGACCAGGCCAACTCAGTCAATGTGGAGGCAGCATCAGGTAGACCTGGGGCTGAAACTCAACACTGGTGTTCACCTTGACCTAGCTTCTCTGAGCCTCAAGTTCCTCATCCGGACACCAGTGGGGTTAGGGGCTGAGGCACATCAGCACTAAGCAGGAGAGCTCATCGTTGCCATGCATCAGCTGTGGCTCTAGAGCCGAGACGCTCCCAGCCGTGTAGGCTTCCCAGCAGTGCAGGCCCCTCTCTAGAGCTGAGATGCTCCCGGCAGTGCAGGCCCCTCTCTAGAGCCGAGACGCTCCCAGCCGTGTAGGCCCCTCTAGAGCCAAGACGCTGCAGGGTTAATCAGGGCTGCCCAACAGTCCATCCCCTCTTCTCTCTCTGAAATCAAGAAACATTCCGAATTCCAAAATGCAACTGGTCCCAAGTGTTTCAGTTAAGGGACTGTGGCCCTGTGTAATGCCAGGCAGTGACAAGGACTGTGACTGGGAGCCATCGTAAGTCGATGCTGAATGCCAAAGGGAGGAAAGGAGGCAGCGGTCCTTAAAGGGCCCACTGAGCTCAGATCCCACGCCTGAGCCTCCGCCTCTCCGTGCAGTCCCGGAGATGGCACACAGCCTTCTGCACGAACCGCAATGAGCTGGGCTCCCTCATCACCGCTAGGAGCACTCTGAGAAAGCAGGGCCATTCCACGGGGTTCTGCAGGAGAACGGCGAAGGGTGCTGTTCAACCTGCTCAGTCAGTTGCTAGGTGAGGAGAATTTAGTATTCATAAGTGAAAATTTCTAAGTTACTGGAATTAATTATGGGGTTTGATTCTACATCATCCAGAAAAGCCTGGATGCCACACAGACTCAATGCTGAAAGCTCCCAGTGCACCTGCACAAACACACCCACACATGCACCCATATCATATACACACGTGCAAACATGTTCACATTCACACTCACTCCTACATACTCGGATCATATACACATTTGTGCACACGTGTTCATATTCACACTCCTACACACCCAGATCATACACACATACACACACTTGTGCATACACATTCATGCTCACTCCCACACACCCAGATCATATACACACTCGTGCACACAAGCTCACATTCACAATCACTCATACCCAGATCATACACACACTTATGCACACATTCACACTCACTCATACATACACAGATCATATACATACTTGCGCATACGTGTTCGTATTCACACTCCTACACACCCAGATCATACACACATACACACACTTGTGCATACACATTCATGCTCACTCCTACACACCCAGATCATATATACACTCGTGCACACATGTTCACATTCATGCTCACTCATACACACCGATTGTACACTCGTGCACACATTCACACTCATACACACCCAAATCATATATTCATGCACACATGTTCACATTCATGCTCACTCATACACACCCAGATCATATATACACTCGTGCACACATTCACACTCATACACACCCAAATCATACTCACATTCATGCACACATGTTCACTCATGCTCACTCATACACACCCAGATCATATATACACTCGTGCACACATGTTCACATTCACTCATACACAGCCCAAAATATACACATTAATGCACACAATACATATTCATACTTGCACACACCCAAATCATATACCCACTCACACACACATGTTCACATTCACACTCATACACACTCAGATCATAAATACATATGTACACATTCACATTCATACCCCCAAATCATACGCACACTAGTGTATACATGTACACACTCACACACACAAATCATACACACTCATACACACAGTCATACACACTCACACATACCCCCAAATCATACACACACTCATGCACACCGTCACACATATAATCCAAACACACAAAAATATATGCATGCGCTCATACACAATCTCACACATACATATACAGCCATGTGGGATTTTTCTGCCATTTTCAGAAATGTAAATTTTGTAGTTCCTGCTTTTTAAAGACTATAAATTATTTTTAATTTACCTTCATTCTCAATTTTGTTTGTTATAAGTAGCTTGATTGTCATACAGCATCCAACGACGCATATTTCCTTTATTTTTTTTGAGATGGAGTCTTGCTCTGTCACCCAGGCTGGAGTGCAGGGGTGCGATCTCGGCTCACTGCAACCTCTGCCTCCCGGGTTCAAGTGATTCTCCTGCCTCAGCCTCCCGAGTAGCTGGGATTACAGATGCCCATCACCACGCCCAGCTAATTTTTGTATTCTTAGTAGAGACGGGGTTTCACCATGTTGGCTAGGCTGGTCTTGAACTCCTGACCTCATGATCCACCTGCCTCGGCCTCCCAAAGTGCTGGGATTACAGGTGCGAGCCACCGTGCTCTGCATATTTTCATGTTAAAAATGTTTTATTTAAAAAAAAAAAAAAGATGTCCAGAAGAGTTGCAAAGACAGTACTGCAACTTCCCACAGACCCGTTCACCAGCTTCCTCTCACTTGAGCATCTTACACAGCAATGATGCACGTGTAGAAACTGCGACACTCACACGGGTGCCATCTCAGCAGCTCACGGTGTAGAAACTGCGACACTCACACGGGTGCCATCTCAGCAGCTCACGGTGTGGAAACTGCGACACTCACACGGGTGCCGTCTCAGCAGCTCACGGTGTGGAAACTGCGACACTCACGCGGGTGCCGTCTCAGCAGCTCACGGTGTGGAAACTGCGACACTCACGCGGGTGCCGTCTCAGCAGCTCACGGTGTGGAAACTGCGACACTCACGCGGGTGCCGTCTCAGCAGCTCACGGTGTGGAAACTGCGACACTCACGCGGGTGCCGTCTCAGCAGCTCACGGTGTGGAAACTGCGACACTCACGCGGGTGCCGTCTCAGCAGCTCACGGTGTGGAAACTGCGACACTCACGCGGGTGCCGTCTCAGCAGCTCACGGTGTGGAAACTGCGACACTCACGCGGGTGCCGTCTCAGCAGCTCACGGTGTGGAAACTGCGACACTCACGCGGGTGCCGTCTCAGCAGCTCACGGTGTGGAAACTGCGACACTCACGCGGGTGCCGTCTCAGCAGCTCACGGTGTGGAAACTGCGACACTCACGCGGGTGCCGTCTCAGCAGCTCACGGTGTGGAAACTGCGACACTCACGCGGGTGCCATCTCAGCAGCTCACGCCCAGGACCCCAGAGGCTGCACTGGCCCTCACGCCTCCTTAGTCCCCTGCACCGGTGACCCTTTCCTGGCCTGTCTTCGTTTCACTGCCTTGACAGCTTTGCAGAGTGCTGCTCAGGTATTCTGCAAGATGCCCCTCAATTGGTGTGTGTGTGATGTTCTCTCTGATTACATTGGAACTGTGCGTTTGCGGAAGAACACGGCGGAGGTGGAGCGCTCTTCTCATCACGTGCTCTCAGGGGCCACGATGTCAACATGCCTCATCACTGGTGGTCTGGACCTTGATCACACGGCCAAGGTGAGGCCTGCCAGGTCTCCCCACGGGAGAGTGACTGTTTTCCTCTCCATGTCCTGCTGGTTAAGAGTGAGTCATGAAGTCCAGCATGAGCTCCAACTCCCACAGGAAGGAGCATCAAAGAATTTGGGCACCGCGGTAATTACTGAACATTTAGGGGAGACACTTTGACAGTATACAAATATCTTCTTTCTCCTTAAACTTTGCACAGGAATTTTAGCATTCCTCAGGGGAGCTTGCCTGCAGCACTGATGGTGATTTTCTTTTTTTTCTTTTCTTTTCTTTCTTTCTTTCTTTTTTTTGAGACAGAGTTTTGCTCTTATTGCCCAGGCTGGAGTGCAGTGGCACAATCTCAGCTCACTGCAACCTCCCGGGTTCAAGCGATTCTCCTGCCTCAGCCTCCCAAGTAGCTGAGATTACAGGCATGTGTCACCAGGCCCAGCTAATTTTGTATTTTTTTGTAGAGACAGGGTTTCACCATGTTGCCTAGGCTGGTCTCGAACTCCTGACCTCAGGTGATCCACCTGCCTCAGCCTCCCGAAGTGTTGAGATTACAGGCACGAGCCACTGTGCCCAGCCTGATGGTGATTTTCCCTATTTACTCCACATTTCTTGTTTGGAATTTGTTCCAAGAAAGGCCTGTCCCTTTCAGTTTTTTGTTTTGTTTTGTTTTTGAGACAGAGTCTTGCTCTGTCACCCCAGCTGGAGTGCATTGGCGTGATCTTGGCTCACTGCAAGCTCCACCTCCTGGGCTCACACCATTCTCCTGCCTCAGCCTCCCGAGTAGCTGGGACTACAGGCGCTCGCCACCTCGCCCGGCTACCCTTTCAGTTTTAATTTATTCAATAATTTATTTATATGCTTACAAATCCATGGACATTCATTTTATTCTTTGGGGCATAATCCGATTTGTGTGTGTGTGTGTGTATGTCTGTGTGAGTGTGTGTGCACTCAAATCATTGTAGCTGTGGCCACTGGGAGCTCTTACATTTTGGGTTCCATGCCCTTTTGAAATGCCCACAGCTTTTTAAAAATTTTATTTTTGAGCATTTTCTTACTTCCTGGGACTACAAGATGCTCCAGGTTCATCTTGTATTTTCTCTCCCACATCCCAATTATCAGCCATTTCTCCAGGGAGACTTGGCTCCTTTTATTGAAGATGAAATTTAGAAACTAACATCTGGGCATGGAATGTGCTTGCTGCTACTGGGGTGTCCCCTCTCAAAGGACAAACCCAGGATCTACAGATGTGTGTGCTAAGCCATGTATGCACACGCATGTGTGTGTGTATATATTTAACCTATCTGTATATATGTATTATGTAAACATGAGTTCCTGCTGGCATATCTGACTATAACTGACCACCTCAGGGTCCATTCTGATCTGTATATATGTATCATGTAAACACGACTTCCTACTGGCATATCTGACTGTAACCGACCACCTCAGGGTCCATTCTGATCTGTATATATGTATCATGTAAACATGATTTCCTACTGGCATATCTGACTATAACTGACCACCTCAGGGTTCATTCCGATCTGTATATAAGTATCATGTAAACACGAGTTCCTGCTGGCATATCTGACTGTAACCGACCACCTCAGGGTCCATTCTGATCTGTATATATGTATCATGTAAACACGAGTTCCTGCTGGCATATCTGACTATAACCGACCACCTCAGGGTCCATTCTGATCTGTATATATGTATCATGTAAACATGAGTTCCTACTGGCATATCTGACTATAACTGACCACCTCAGGGTCCATTCTGATCTGTATGTATGTATCATGTAAACACGAGTTCCTACTGGCATATCTGACTATAACTGACCACCTCAGGGTCCATTCCGATCTGTATATAAGTATCATGTAAACACGAGTTCCTGCTGGCATATCTGACTGTAACCGACCACCTCAGGGTCCATTCTGATCTGTATATATGTATCATGTAAACACGAGTTCCTGCTGGCATATCTGACTATAACTGACCACCTCAGGGTCCATTCTGATCTGTATATATGTATAATATATATTATATATGGACCTCAGGGTCCATTCTGATCTGCATATATGTATAATATATATTATATATGGACCTCAGGGTCCATTCTGATCTGTATATATGTATCATGTAAACATGAGTTCCTGCTGGCATATCTGTCTATAACCGACCACCTTAGGGTCCATTCTGATCTGTATATATGTATAATATATATTATATATGGACCTCAGGGTCCCCGCTGGCTTTTCCATGACTTCCTTATCCAGCTGTGAGAACCCTGACTCTTACTACTGTATTGACTTATTTGTGAAACCTTAGTATATATAAAAGTAGTTTCAAAGTTGCTAACATGTATTGCTGTGGGAAACAATTTTACCAATTGGAGTTTAGTGCTTAGATATGCAGAGTTATTTGATTCTTTCCAGAATCTAATCAAAACACTGTTTTTGGACTTACCCAGGTCAGCTCCTTTCTGCCCACTCTTTCAGCGCAGGCGTGTCCTGCTGTGGAACACACTCTGGGATTCCTGTGTGGGTCTGTACCCATCCTGTACCCGTCAGGACCCCCGGGCCCTGACTCTTGATGTTGTTCTTGCTCCTCTTGTTGATCTTGTTGTTCCCACAGTGAGGTCCAGTCCTGTGGGGTTTGACAAGCACAGCATCACGTACCCAACTCTGTAGAGCCACACAGAAGACTTTCATCCCTCAAAAATGGCCCCAGTTCGGCCCCTCGGTAGTAAACTCCTCTCCCCTCACTCACCCACTGGCAAATACTGATCTGTTTCTGTCCCGATAATTGTGTCTTTCCATATACACAAAAGTGAAGTCTGAGGGTGAGGCCCATGGCCTTGGGAAGCAGGCATAAGTTGGCGGGGGTGGGCATACAGGGTCACCGCGGAAGAAGATCCATGCTGCCCACACAGCCACATGTGGGACAGGGCAGGACCAGCCCCCCAAGCTGTGAACCTCGCCCGAGGCTATGCCCCACTCTGGAGCAGAACGGCCTCTGCAGAGCTTCCACCATGCACATAGGCTGTGCACAGCCAGGCCAGGAAGGGGAGGGCCCCTGTCTGCAGAGACAGGCCCATCCTGGACAGGAGGGAACAGCATTCCAGGCAGATCCGCCACTGGCTGCTGTTCCCAGAGTGGCTGTGTCCCCTCTGCAGCGTCCATGCCCAGCCGGCCTCCCCTGCCTCCCTCTGCAGCTGTCCACGCCCAGCCAGCCTCCCTGCCTCCCTCTGCAGCTGTCGCTCTCCACCCTCCTCTCCTTTCTTCTCTCCATCCCCCCTCCATCCCCGTCTCCTTTCTCCTCTCCATCCCCCTCTCCATCCCCCTCTCCATCTCCCTCTCCTTTCTCCTCTCTAGCCCCCTCTCCTTTCTCCTCTCTATCCCCCTCTCCTTTCTCCCTCTCCATCCCCCTCTCCTTTCTCCTCTCCATCCCCCTCTCCTTTCTCCCTCTCCATCCCCCTCTCCTTTCTTCATGGCTCTTTCCCTTTCCTGCCACAACTGAACTGAGTGCAGGTGATTTTCGCTGCCTGCTGGCTTTATTCAGCTTCAACTTCTTGACTTTAAAGGTGGATGCAGGAAATGTGTGTCTTGTGTCACACATGGAAATGTTGCTGAAATAAGTTACTCTTCACTGATGTGGCCTCGAGGGTTTTCTGCTGGGTTTCTGGACCTTGTAAGCAAAGCAGACCCTCACCCGACTGACCTCCTGGCTGTGACGATGTGTGTTTCTATCCCACACAGGGAGGGTGTTTATGGTCTGAAGTGAGGCCTCTCATTAACTCCTCAAGAGTCGATTGAAGCACAATTTATTAGAGCCCAGAAATCATGGCAATCCATTCCCACAAGCACACAGCACAGCTAAACCAGCTCCAAGGAGGGTCCGAGTGTCCACAACTGCACCCCAGGCCCATTGTGCCTGCCGCTGGAGAGTGTGGGGCCCCTTGGCCCCTAAAGGTTTGCTGAGAAGTCACTGACATGAGACAGATGGATTAATAGGAGAAACAGTATGCAAATTTATGTGATGTGTACATATAAGAACCTTTAGAACGAAGACCCAACGATGGGGGAAATTGTCCATTTTTATGTTTAGGTTTAATAACGTATGAACAGTCCTCTAAAAAAAGGATTGGACACAAAGGGCTTGATCTAATGTGAATAGACTGAGTGGGAACCCAGCAAGGTCTGTCTAGATTTGTCTTCATCTCTGAGCATTTTCTTCTCTGGACGTGGGGCAGGGCCCTCTCTGGAATGACAGTCTCATGACCTACAGTCAAACAAGGGATGTTGGATCATTTCTCTCTAGTCAGCTCTTATATAGAAAGGTAGACGGAAAACTGAGTAATATTTTTAGGTTTTCTGACCAGCTTTGGGGAGAAGGGGTTCTGATTTCTGTGACCGGCCTTGGGGAAAAAGAGAGTCTGGTTTCTACAGTGCCTTCGGGGAGAATGAGACTGAGAGACAGGAGGGCAGGAGAAGGTCAGAGACAACTTTTGCTTCTGAGGCTGCTGCTGAGGACTTCATTTTGGGGCGTTGTTTTCTGAGCCCCAACAGAAGGAAGGAAGCCTCTCCCTCCAGGGGTCAGTCCTGGGCCTCAAGGGCACCCTCGAAGCAGGCAGCTCAGCTCACAGAGCTCCCCTCGGCCATGTCCTCCACCTGCCCTTCCTTGGTCCAGCACCTCACCTGCACACACCTGTCTGGAGAGTCCCCAAGGTTGGAGAGCTGCTGAGTCAGCTGGGCCGAGCACACAGCGCAACACTTCCTTGTGCCTCCTAACCAGGATGGGTGACACCAGCCCATTTTATGGATGGGACAAGAAGAAGCTGGGCTGACAAGCCCAACATAGTGGAGCCAGCAACAGGCTTTTACTCTCCTCTCTGTCTCTTTGTCTCTCTCCCCCACCGCACCTCCATCCGCTCCATTCTCCTCTCTTCACATCAGCTTCCCAGACAATATTCTTGGTTTCTGTGGCTCCCAAACTGAAGCTTCCCCACAGTGGCTGCAACTATCCAGACCTGGGGCCACACTTGGGCCTCCAGGCAGGGGATCTAGTGATCACATTCTGGTCATGTCATCAGGCCAACTTGGCTGAGCTCTGCCCTCCTTATCTCTCCTCTCCCCTCGAGCCCTCACCCTGGTTACCTGCACAAGTAAACTTGCCCCTAACTGACCCCCTTTTCTCCATCCATGTCCCTCAATACAACACTAACTCTGGCAAAAAAGACCAGCCTGGCCAGGTGCGGTGGCTCACGCCTGTAATCCCAGCACTTTGGGAGGCCGAGGCGGGCAGATCACAAGGTCAGGACATCAAGACCATCCTGGCTAACACGGTGAAACCCCGTCTCTACTAAAAATACAAAAAATTAGCTGGGCATGGTGGCAGGCACCTGTAGTCCCAGCTACGCGCGAGGCTGAGGCAGGAGAATGGCGTGAACCCGGGAGGCGGTGCTTGCAGTGAGCCGAGATCGCGCCACTGCACTCCAGCCTGGGCGACAGCGAGACTCCGTCTCAAAAAAAAAAAAAAAAAAAGACCAGCCTGAAGCAGAGATTGGGTCCCAGCCTGGCTCTGCCTGGCCCTCTGCTCCCGCTTCACCTCACAGACAGAACGCTGCCCTGTGGAGGGGTCCCCGGACCCTTTGGTGGGTGCCAAGCGGGTATGGAGGCCAAGGCCTGAGTGGTGAGAATAGTCCAGGGGCTAGCGCTGCGTGGGGAGGGCGAGCTCAGAGAGCAGGGGAGCCTGACCCTGCAGGTCAAGACTTCTGTCTGAGAGAAATGAAAAGCTGGGGATTTTAAGCAAAGGAATGCCTTGACCCAACCCTCACAACTTACATAATAATTAACTTAAAAGGAATCATAAGTTTAAACAGAAAATCTATATAACAGGTTTACAGTTTAATTTAAAAACTATAATAGGTTTATAGTTTTTAAATTAAAATTTTAAATATAGTGGTTTATAAAACTTTGAGAAGAAACCATAAAATCCCTATGAATGCTGCAAAAGTCACTGTTGAGAGAATGAAAACACAAGACATAGAGTTGGAGAAAATATTTGTGAATCTCATATCTGGCAAAGGAATTGTATCTAGAATACATAAAGAACTCTCAAAATCCAACAGTAAAAACACCAAATAATCCAGTTACAAACCGGGGAAGGATTTGAACAGATGCGTCACCAAGCAAGGGATATGGATGGGAAATAAGCTTCCATCAGCCACCAGGGAGATGCAAATTACAGCCACTAGGAAACGCTTTTCATTCATTCCGGGATGGCTGAAATGTAAGCACGGAAAATGCTGGGTGCCCGCAAGAACGCGGAGCAGCAGGCACTCATTCCCGATTAGCGGGAGCGCAAAGCGAAGGGGCGGCCTGCGGTGTTTTCCTGTAAAGTTGGGCACACGCTTCCCACATGACTCAGCAATTGCACTTCTGGGTATGTACCCGAGAGAAACAAAAGCTTATGTTCACACAAAAACCTACAACGCAAATGCACAAACAGCTCTATCCAACAACCATCCCACCCTGGAAGCAACCCAAACACGCTTCAGCGGCACAGGCGCCTCCACGCGGAACCCCACGCGGCGCTCAGCACGGACGAGGAGGGAGCCGCGCACGCGCGGTCGGCTCGGCGAGGAGCCGGTCTCCAAGTGCCGCCAGGTGCGGGATTTCCTCTGCAAAAGACAAACCACAGGGAGAGCTGCCGGGGCTGGGTCGGGGAGTGTGACTGTGAACGGAGTTCTGGGGGTGATGTAACTGTTCTGTATCCACAGTGTTGCTACATGAATCTATAAATGTGTTAAACTCATAGAACTGTACACCAAAAAATAGCAGTTTTGCTGAATGTTAATTCAGAAATGAAATTAAAATTTTAAATTAACAACAAGCAACTTTACAAGAGAAAAAAAAAAAACCTCATTTCCTCCCCACAAAGCCACCTCATGAGCCTGGGTGGTGCCTAGCCAGTCCTGCTGCTGAACCTGCTCTGACCTGGCCTAAGGGTAGGACTCGAGGCTGGGAGCCAAGGGCCAACCACAGGACAGGCAGCAAGACCCGCTTCGCTGGTCTGTCACACACACCGCACCAAGTCTGTGCTCAGGATAAACCGGGGCACACTCTGAGCTGGGCCTGTCTCCGGCTTCAACCAAAAAGCCTGAGCTCTGGCAGGTGAAGGACCAGACGTTTCTGTGGGGCTATGGACTTGTCTGGGAGGCAGCCACCTCTAAGCCACCCAGGATGGTTTCGGTTGTGTTTGGATGGAGTTCTGAGTTTTGCCAGTTAAAATTCCCCCTTCAGGAGCTCTCTATGGGGTTAAAGTGCAAGATTTGGGGTAGAAAAATGACAAGTCAGAGGACTGGAAGGAACATTATGGACTGTCCTCCCTTCTGCCTGAAGAGATGGGGAGACTCTCCCAGGCCATGTGGAAGACCTCACAGGGGGACCAACTGCTGCCTTTCAGCCTGGCCGAGGGAAGAGCCCCTGACTCAGCCTCCGCAGGAGGAGGTGGGCTGGAACCAAGTTTCCCTGCATCAATCCAGGCACTCCAACATGGGATAGTGAGCCAGCTTGGGGGACAGCAGCTGTCTAAACAGGAGCATGCAACCCCCGTGCTGAGAGTTCCCCAGGGTCACGACTACCCAGAGTCAGAGCTGCCCAGGGTCACAGCTACTCGAGGTCAGAGCTGCCCCAGATCAGGGCTGCCCAAGGTCAGAGCTGTCCTGGGTCAGAGCTGCCCATGGTCAGAGCTGTCCTGGGCATCAGAGGCGCAGAGGTGGGAAGGGCTGGCTTCAGGTGGGAGTTATAGGTGGGAGTTATGCTACAAAGGGTCTTGAAGGCCAGTGTTGTTGACAGGGTAGGGTGCCTGGGTAATAGCAGAGGAAGAAAAAGGCTTAGAGTTGGAGGGAAAAACATGAACTGGAGTTGGGGGAGTGCACCTTCCCCCTCAGAGACCACAAAGCCTCCCCAGGGCTGGGCTGTGGCTGCTGGAGCTCCCAGACCATGCCAAGTGTCAGAGCCTGGGCAAGACCCTCTGGGGCAGCCCGGAACCACCAGAGGTCAGAGCTGGAGGAGGCTCAGCTGGGGCCCTTGCACCAGGCAGGAGGCCCAGAAAAGAGACAGTGCTCTTGAACTGCAGGAAGGCAGCTCCGTAGAGAGGCAAATCTCACTCCAGCTCGGGCAATACTCAACTACACGGACGTGGATGCTCTCAAGGGGGCTTTGGGGCATGTGGTGTCGGCATTGGACCCAAATATGGGCTCAAAGCTTTCCTTTACCATATTCCTTCTACATTTTTCTTGCAGATTGAGAAGGGATAGGGAGGAGTTTAGGGAAGTGAGTGAAGCAGGAAGATGTTGACCAAGGGAAGTTAATTCCATAAAGAGGAGGATGAGGGGACAGAAAGGCAGGAGGAAGAGGAGGAGGAGAATCTTCGCACAGGGGGTGTCAGCTGATGGGGGCAGCATGGGTGCCCACGGAGCCCTTTAGGGGTCGTTGGTTGTGTGCAGAGAGGCCACAGCAGGCGAGGCAGGCAGTGTCTACCACCCCCAAGGAGACACCAAGAATCCCTGTCCTTAGGAAGTCCCCTCTTCCTCCTCTTGAGTCTCATCTCGGAAAGAGGGAGCTGTCAGTCAGAGCTCAGGCCAAACACTGGGGCTAATAGGGGTGAGAGCAGGGACCTGTGGGGTCCTCACCGCTGTCCCCTTCTCACCTTTCTGGCTCAGGCCAGGCTCAGCCCCCAGTGGTCTATTGTCTTTCTATCTGTCATCTATCTACCTACCCACCTATCTAACCATGCCATCTATTTCATCTATTTTTATCTATCAACCATCTATCTACCTACCTACCTTTCCATCTATCATCTAGTTCATCTATTGCTATCTATTATCTAATTTGCCTATCAAGTATCTATCCATCATCTATTTCTATCATCTATCCATCACCTGTTACCTATCACCCATATACCACCTATCCCTATCTATCATCTATCTAGCCAGCAATCCACCCATCATCTACTTCATCTATTTCTACCCGTCTCCCACCCCCTCTCCCCACCCCTCACCAGAGAGTATGCAAGCACGACCACGTCAACAGGCCCTGAAGTCACAGGTTCACACAGCACGTTTTCTGCTCCATCACGTGTATGGGGCAGGGGGCAGCAGAGCTGGGGGAGAAGAGATAAAGGAATTATGTCAAACAGGGACTGTCTTGTCTGCCCCAAGGGCCTTTCCTCATCTATAAAGCAGATTTTTCTTGTAGAGCACGACGAGAGCTGTGAAATGGGAGTGAGGGGTGAGGCAGGCCATGGGGCCTTCCACAGGTGGGCAAGATGGTTGTCTCTGGGGAACCAGCTGGCCAGAGGGGGCCAAGTGCCAACCGGTCTGGATGAGAGCAAAGCAGCAGGCAGAAGGTTACAGAGGCAAGTGTCGGCACCAGGGGTGAATGCTGGGATTTTTCAAATCCAAGAGGCATTTCAAGTAAGGGGAAAACCTCCCCCGGGGCTGGGCTGAGAAGCTAGTCGGGTGATGGGATGAGTGAGAATGACAAGTTGCGTCTGATTGTCCTGGAGACCTGGCTGAGAACTCTGTGTGAGTCTCTTAGGTAGACGGTTACACTTGTTTTCAGTGAGAGTCAGTTTCCATAGAGAACTGCATGGTAGTCACCAAGAACCGAGGGGGCCCAGGAATGCCCCAGCAGTGGTCTGGAAGGGCTTGTGGGGCTGGGCAGGAGGTGGGTGGGGACCGGGTGCAGGCAGAGGGAATTCAAGGGTACAGAGGCAGAGAGATGGTGCCGCCTGGGGAACGCAGCGCACCCAGGACAGAACAGGCCTGAGGGCCACACACACTCACAGCGGCTTCCCAGAGTGTTTGTTTTCTATGCACCAAGATGCTCCCCCAAACCCTCTGCAGCCTGTTCCCTGCCTTGGGGGTCCTGAGGGCCACCCTTCGGGTATGGGGTTCAGGTCGCTATTCCTTTCTCGATGCCCCTGGTGTGTCCATGGGATGAGCTGACTGGCCCACCTAGTGGGAGCCTGTGCACCACGGTTCGTGTGGCCCAGGGGAGGAGGTTTTGCCTTTCCTGGACCCCACTTTATGAAAGGAAAGCCTGAACCCCTGGGCCGGCTAGGGGAGTGAGCTAGGGTGGAGGGCAGTGCTGGTCATGGAGGGCAGTGTCCAGCCCTCTGCTCACCAGCTCCAAGAGTGATTCTGGAAACGGAGCCCAGTCCCTGGGCCCAAACCTTTGCCTCTGCCCTTCTTTCTCTCTACAAATTAGAGGCCACATCCCTGGCCGCTGAAGCCTTGTACCCTGACCCACTGTCTGAACCTGATGGAGTCTAAATGCAGTGAGCGGGTGCCAGCCTTCCCTGGAGCTCTGCAGAGGCAAGGAGGGGGTGGATGGAAAGACGGGAGTCCCTCCCCTTAGGTGAGGGGGGGAACTAGGGCCCGGGGAGATGCCCAGGCCTGGCGGCCGGCGCACGCGGGTTCTCTGTGGCCAGCAGGCGGCGCTGCAGGAGAGGAGATGCCCAGGCCAGGCGGCCGGCGCACGCGGGTTCTCTGTGGCCAGCAGGCGGCGCTGCAGGAGAGGAGATGCCCAGGCCTGGCGGCCGGCGCACGCGGGTTCTCTGTGGCCAGCAGGCGGCGCTGCAGGAGAGGAGATGCCCAGGCCTGGCGGCCGGCGCACGCGGGTTCTCTGTGGCCAGCAGGCGGCGCTGCAGGAGAGGAGATGCCCAGGCCTGGCGGCCGGCGCACGCGGGTTCTCTGTGGCCAGCAGGCGGCGCTGCAGGAGAGGAGATGCCCAGGCCTGGCGGCCGGCGCACGCGGGTTCTCTGTGGCCAGCAGGCGGCGCTGCAGGAGAGGAGATGCCCAGGCCTGGCGGCCGGCGCACGCGGGTTCTCTGTGGCCAGCAGGCGGCGCTGCAGGAGAGGAGATGCCCAGGCCTGGCGGCCGGCGCACGTGGGTTCTCTGTGGCCAGCAGGCGGCGCTGCAGGAGGGGAGATGCCCAGGCCTGGCGGCTGGCGCACGTGGGCTCTCTGTGGCCAGCAGGCGGCGCTGCCGGAGAGCTCAGGAGCAGGGGCCTGGGCCTGCTCCGGGGGGATCCGCCCACCCCACCACAGCGGCCTCTCCTGAGGTTCCCTAGTGGCCGCGAAGGGTGGGCTCAGGGTGAGGGGTCAGGCCACACCAGTGGGTGCAGGGATGGCTGCGGCCACGGGAGGGCGTCCAGGGAGGAGGCCGGAGCTCAGGCCCACTCTGCACACCCAGCCCGCCACCTCCCCCGGCTCTCTCTTCCTTCGTGCACATTCTGGGGCTCATGCTTCTGCTGTGGTCCCATTTAGCCAACCTGGCCAGCCTTTCATGCCTGCTTCATGGGTGAGACGTGGAGGCCAGGTCAGCCGCAGAGCCCGGGGCACACGCCGCAGCCAGCACAGCAGCAGGTGGGCGTCTGCGGCCGGGGCCAGCGCGGGGCCCACTGGGCCTCGGAGGGGCCTCCCTGCCGACTCTGCCCCCGTCCTGTGGCCGTAAGTCCACCCGGAGCGCTCGATCTTCCGTCCACCAGGCCAGGGATGCACGCAGAGTAAGGATGTGTGTGTCTACGCATGTGGGGGTGTGGGTGTGACGGGGTGTGTGCTGTGTGAGAACGTGTGTGTAGTGTTCACATGTCCTCTGTGCGTGAGTCCCTGTGTGTGATGTTGTGTTCTCGGTGTGAGTTCATGGGTGTGACGGGGTGTGCTGTGTGAGAACGTGTGTGTAGTGTCCACATGTCCTCTGTGCGTGAGTCCCTGTGTGTGATGTTGTGTTCTCAGTGTGAGTTCATATGTGTGACAGGGTGTGCTGTGTGAGAACGTGTGTGTAGTGTTCACATGTCCTCTATGTGTGAGTCCCTGTGTGTGATGTTGTGTTCTCGGTGTGAGTTCATGGGTGTGACGGGGTGTGTGCTGTGTGAGAACATGTGTGTAGTGTTCATATGCCCTCTATGTGTGAGTCCCTATGTGTGATGCCCGTGTTCTCAGTGTGAGTTCATATGTGTGACAGGGTGTGCTGTGTGAGAACATGTGTGTAGTGTTCATATGTTCTCGGTGTGAGTTCATGTGTGTGACGGGGTGTGCTGTGTGAGAACCTGTGTGCAGTGAGATCTTCCCCAAAGGTAGGTCAAAGCTGGGGGCCCTTTCATTTGCCAGGATCTAACCCAGCTACTCAGGAGGCTGAGGCAGGAGGATCACTTTAGGCCAGGATTTTGAGAGCAGCCTGGACAATATAGTGAGACCCTGTCTCTACAAAAAAATTTTAAAAATTAGCCGAATGTGGTGGGGCATGCCTGTAGTCCCGGCTACTCCGGAGGCTGAGGTGGGAGGATTGCTTGAGCCCAGGAGTTTGAGGTTATAGTGAGTAGTGATGGCATCCCTGCCCTCTATCCTGGACGACAGACCAAGAGTCCAGCCCTAAAAAAAAAATTTAATTAAAAATTTTTAAATCTTTAAAAATTAAAAATCTTAAATTTTTCTTTAAGATTTATAAGAGGACTCAGTAAAGGCTGTGCTGGCAATAACATCAAACTACTGAATTCTTTGACAACTCCTTGGAGATTATTATTTTGCATGACATAACTAAACATCTTAATGATTGACTTAATTACTTAGATGTCAGTCTGTATGTTTTTGGTGTCGTAAGTACAAAGCTTAGAACTGTTACTTTTAGGGCCAGGAGCAGTGGCTAACGCCTGTAATCACAACACTTTGGGAGGCTCAGTCAGGCGGATCACCTGAGGTCAGGAGTTTGAAACCAGCCTGCCCAACATGGTGAAACCCCATCTCTACTAAAAATACAAAAATTAGCCAGGCATGGTGGCAGGCACCTGTAATCCCAGCTACTTGGGAGGCTGAGGCAGGAGAATCTCTTGAACCCAGGAGGTGGAGCTTGCAGCGAGCCGAGATTGTGCCATTGCACTCCAGACTGGGTGACAAGAGCGAAACTCCGTCTCAAAAAAGAAAAAAAAAATTACTTTTAAAACCAAGTACTAGCTCATCTCTAAGTAATACTATTTAAGTAGGCAAAAGCCCCTGGAGGTCGCCTGAACTTTTTATACTCTTAGCTGAGGGGACAGAACAGAAATGATATGACATTTACAGAAACCCCTATGTGGCCTGGCCTCATTGGAATTTTTTCTATTAGTTAAATAAAGACCATTTGTTTCTATTGATTAAAAACAAAATTATTCATATAATGGGTTCAAGAAAACAAATTATTTCCCTAATGGACAGTGTAGGTCAGGACTAGAAGCAAACAAGGATCTTCTATCCCTCACACATCTCAACACTCAAGCAAAAACTCAAAGAAAACAATGATACTGACGGCCACGTCATGCACCGTGCTCACACAGGATGCCAAGAGGCTTAATATGTGTTCCTTACCTGGACCCTTTTCACTGGATCAGAAACACGGATGTCTTAGTCTGATAGGCATCCTCTGCTAATGCATTTTAAATGATTGAATCAATAATTTGATGGGCCACTTTTTATAAGATGCTACGATACCCTATGAAGCACTATTAAAATATTCATTTTTCTGCACACCAGATGCGGGCCAATTGTTCATAACCAATATTGGTTCTCTGGCAAAAGGAGCAAAGGCAGCCCTCTAAGATATTCCTCACTGATATTCCATTTTTCAGTGGGTAGGGAGACATGAGTAGGAAGCAAATCTGGGTCCCTGCACCCACGATCTTGGTGCCATCAAAGTGCCGCTGCTGGCAGGTTCCTGGGCACCATCTGAGACCAACCCCACTGTGAGGTTGAAGGAGGCTGATCAGAACAGTGGTCCTCCACCTCCTCCCTGACATCTTGGGAAGATGACTTCCCAAGTCATCTTCTATTTATGTGGTCTTATTCCCATAACTGGGGCCAGATGATCCCACCCTGGGAAGACTGGGGAAATTCCCAGAATGCTGACCTGAAAGTCCAATTTTCCCAATGTTTCTACTGTTCCCATGTCAAAAGTCTTTGGGCAAAATCTCCCAGGCTTGAGAGATTTCAATCCAGCCTGGATCACCTCTCCACTTCCTCCATCCCAGAGTGAAATTAAAAATCCCATCTGCTGTCAATGAGGAGTCCCTTCAGGCCCTAAAGTTTAGGAAGAGGAATCCCTATCTTGTCTTCTTCACTGTCATCCCAGCACATCAGTTACTTAAAACAACCCAATTTCAAGAACTGATAGACCTTCATTTCTGGACACACCAAAAACAAGCAAATTCCAGAGGATCAGCTTCAGGGTGGCAGAATGGAAGGAGTAAAAGCCAACCACGGGGCCAGGTGCAGTGGCTCACGCCTGTAATCCCAGCACTTTGGGAGGCTGAGGTGGGCAGGTCACCTGAGGTCAGGAGTTCAAGACCAGCCTGGTCAACATGGTGAAACCCCGTCTCTATTAAAAACACAAAATATTAGCCAGGCATGGTGGCGGGCGCTGGTAGTCCCAGCTACTCGGGAGGCTGAGGCTGGAGAATCACTTGAACCCAGGAGGCGGAGATTGTGGTGAGCCAAGATTGCACCACTGCACTCCAGCCTGGGTGGCGAGTGAAACTCCATCTGAAATAACAACAACAAAAAGCCAACCATGGGATCTGTGGCACAGCTCTCACTTCACCATTAGCTCAGCCAGGACTGGCAAGGGAGTGCCGACTGGAGAATCTTATCCTCTGTTCCTTAGCTGTTTAGATGTATAAAGCCTGAGGGCTTTGCACCTAATTAGGGTTTCAGAGCTTTGTTTTTCTCTCATCTAATTACATTTGCCCTGTGGGGAAGAGCCTCTGTCCAGGAGGCATTGCTCTCTGAAAATCTGTCTCAGCCCAACAACAGGTGCGAGAAGGTGAGCAGCTCCTCTCCCCACCAATGCGGTGAGATGCTGAGCCAGGCCCTGGCTTCTTCTTCCTCCTCTCCTTTCATTATCTCTAACTCCAGTGTCAGCCCTCAAGCAGTCCCCTGCTTTGTCACCCCTGGCAAGGTGGGGAATGTTCTCTTAACCTGCAGCTTTCTCCTTCAGGAACAAAGCGCAGCCTCTTAGCAGCTAGCAATCAACTCCTGTGCTCGGGGCCTTCCAGCCAGACCTTCTGCAGTGCACCCTGGTAGGGGGTAAATTATCCTGAGCTTGGAAAATGTGACTGAAATCACCTCCGACAGAGGGAAATGGGTTTTCATAAAAGACGTTTCCTCACCTTCGGTTGCAACTCAATTCAACTGACCATTTCCCACCCTGGATCTCAAAAGAAATTTCTGCTTTGCTTCTGGGTATGAGCCTGGGTGATAATGAAAGGTACTTAGGAAGCCAGGCCTATTGAAGCAGCGTAGCCCTCAGAGGGGCATGGCTGACTTGGCTAAGAGTAGGACAGGGTGTGGGGTTGAGGAATCCATGGGGACTCAGGGCATCCTGTCGCAGACACAGGAGCTGACCCAGCCACAGGGTCACAGGACAGCCTGTGTCACCACAGTCTCTGTGCAGAGTCCAGAGTTCACAAATGAGATAAATGGACATTTGCTGGCTGGGGTAACTCAGCATCTATTCACCCTATTTCTGGGAAAAGCCTCAATTTACATGTGGGAATGGACCACCCCCTTATTGTTATAGGAGTTATTAAGAAATTATTTTAGGCAGATAGAGAGGAAAAGAGGTCCTTGGGAAGTTTTTGTTTCTTTTAAAGCAGATCCAGAAACCTTTCTTGTCTAACAGGAGAGCGCCAGCTCTAAGAGCCACTGGCAAGCTTTGATATGCAAACGCAGGCCACTGGAAACTGAGTCCACCCAAACATGGAGATTCCAGGTTTCTTCCTTGCCCCAACAGGTGGCTGGCAACATGGCCGCCCCCACATATCCCCACGTGTGTAGAACATCATGGCGCCCTGCATTTGCATCTTAAAAGGCTAGACTGTGAGGGCCAGCTTTTTCGCAGGCTATGTGAATGACCTGCCTGGTCAAACCAATCCTCTGAGCCCTATGCAAGCCAGCACCGCCTCCTCCAGCCTCCTCATATAACTAGCTGATTACACCACACACACGCCCTCCCCCCACATCCCTTCTCCCCACTGGGGTTTTCTCTCTGTTCAAATCCCCTCTCCCTCTGTCTCTGTACTGGGGAGCTGTTTTCTTCTTCCTTCCTTCTTGTATATTAAACTTTTCGCTCCTTAAAACCACTCCAGGTGTGTCTGTGTCATTTTATCCAAGTGTGTGCTAGACCAAGAACCCTGGTGCTCCTCCAGTCATCTGAGCCATATCATTATCTCATTCTGTTTTTGATGGCACTAACCACCAGCATACCCTGCTCCATCAGAACACTCATCCTCCTGAGCTCTGTGAATGGCTCAGGATGCACAAGTGAGAGAAAAATGTAGCCAAGTGAGGAGGCAGAGAGAAACTGCCTCCTGGTAACACAGTGTGCGCCCCTGGATCAAGCCATGCCTGAAGGCAGTTTATTCTGAACTTTTACAATAAGTGCTCTTTTTGTTTAAATCACTTTGGATTGGGTTTTTTGTTCACTTGTAAGCAAAAGCACACTATGATAAAAGGGGATACAAGACAAGTATCACAAATCCAGAAATGAGAAGGTCCCAACCCCAGAGCCCAGGCCAGTCAGGGAAGTGAAGAAACAGCATCTGAGATGCCTATGCCCAGTATCCAGGGGCTAGGTCCATGGCCTTTGAGCCTTAAGATGCAGGAGATCCCTGTGGGGAACTTCACAACAGCGTAGATTCCCACTCATTCCCACAGCCAATTCTCATCCTTCAGTCTGGAAGGGGAACCAGAGGTTTGGTTTTTAACCAATATCCAGGCAATTTGGAAGCAGATAACACAGAGAATACTTTGAGAAACACTTCCCTACACTCTGAGCTGGGAGTTAAAGGACAGGGTTCCAGTCTCTGCGGTGAGGCAGTGGCAAGAGCTCCGTGGGCGGGAAGAATATTAGGCCAGAGCTTAGAACAGGACTGCAGAAGCAAGCATGGAATGGAAGCACATCTGGTGATCTGTGACATACAACGAGCCTGCAGATCACAGGCAATGATTTTTGGAAACTCATCACACAGTAGTTTGAAGCAGCAGGAACGATTTCATCCAAAGTGCCATGAGAACACTTCCGAGTCTACAAATGCTTTCATAGGTCAATCTAAGCTGTTCCTCCCAACCAACCTGTCTGGCAATTAGAAATTAGGAAATTAAAACTCAGAGTGTCTAAATAGCATGCACAAAGCCACACAGCTCACTGGTTCAGTAGCCTAGACCTGGGTCCCAGTCTGTCTGACACCAAACCCCACACTTTTCAAATAATTCTCCCTTCCACTGGGGGAAGGGCTGGGTCTCAGGAAAGGTCTAAGGGACACACAGTGTGGGGATCAGTGAGACCCTACTCAGCAGGCCCAGATGAGGGAAGGGGGTGCTCCATCTGACTGCACAGGAAGGCAAGGCCATTTTAACTTTGCAGCATCTTCAACTCATCTGGCTCAAGAAATCCCAGCCCAGCTTGGGGATGGAGAGTGGAGGAAGACAGGGGCACCCTTGCAAGTGAAGACTAAGCTCTGACTTTTTTTTTTTTTATCTTACCCAAATTCCCTATCTAAAGGGTCTGGGGAGTGATGTCCTACAAACCATAAATTCTCATCAGATGGATTTTATTTAACCCTATATATTGTGACTTACTTTCCAACCTGACTCTGTCATAACATTATGAGACAAGGAAGAAAATCAAAATATTTTACCCCAAAACATAGGCTTTTTTGTCCATATCTTGAAATGGCCCTGCAAAGCTGTCCTTTGTGGGGGAAAATTTGTATCTGTAAAGAATCTCTATTAACATAGCTAGATATTTTTCTTCCAGGCCCTCCCAATCCTAAAGAGATTAACTGAAAGTCTAGCACTTTGTTTTTTTTTTGTTTGAGACGGAGTCTCAGTCTGTCGCCCAGGCTGGAGTGCAGTGACATGATCTCGGCTCACTGCAACCTCTGCCTCCCGGGTTCAAGCGATTCTCCTGCTTCAGCCTCCTGAGTAGCTGGGACTACAGACGCCCGCCACCACACACAGCTAATTTTTATATTTTTAGTAGAAATGAGGTTTCACCACATTGGCCAGGATGGTCTCAAACTCCTGCCCTTGTGATCCACACCCACCTGGGCCTCCCAAAGTGCTGAGATTACAGGCGTGAGCCACCGTGCCTGGCCAAGTCTAGCACCTTTTAAAGATCTGAATAGGAAACATTTGCCATCTATTGTCTCTGAGGACAGCCTCTATAAGACTTCAAAAGAACCTTGGTCTCCACCATCTTTTATCTTAACTTGAAAATTTCCTTTCTATGGATCCCAGGTCTTTAGACAAACTCACTGAAATTTACCTATAGCCTGGAAGCGCCCCTCTCCTCCTGCTTTGGTCCCACCTTTCTGGACCAAACCAGTGTATTTCTTAAATGTACTTGATCGATGTCTCATGCCTTTCTAAAATGCATAAAACCAAGCTGTACCCCGACCACCTTGGACACATGTTCTCAGGACCTCCTGAGGGCTATGGCAAGGGCCGTGGTCACTCATATTTGGCTCAGAATACATCTCTTCAAATATTTTACTGAGTTTGACTCTTTTCGTCTACAGGAGCAATGGAAATGATTTTCTTTGATCACAGTGTCAGCTCCTGACATTGGGTTGCGCCCATCTGTGCTGCGGACTCTTCCCTCGGAATGAGAGAGGGAGATGGCTCCCAGTGTGGTTGGAAGTCACCCCGCCCCACAACAACACAGTGCAACAGGCCCCAGCTTCACACCCATTCAGTTCAGGACAAGTTTTTTGGAGCATCTACTCTGGGCCAGGCCCGTAGGATACTAAGATGAAATAGAGACAGTTCCTGCCTTTGAAGGGTGGTGATTTACCGGTGGGGAGAAAGGAAGAGGCCCATGAAAAGTCGTGTCTGTAGAAGGTAAGAAGGGGCACAACCGCCATGGCAGGGGAGTCACAAAGGAGAAGCATTCAGCCTGCCGAGAGGTCCCAGGACTTCCCTGGAGGATCAGTCCCCAAACTGACTGTGACAGGGAGCAATACCCAGATAACAGCAGAGGCCCAGAATAAGAAAGAGTCTGTGAGTGGGCAGAATTCCCTCCAGGGTCATGAGGGGAGCTGACTTCCGATTAGGGCATTTCATCCTTCTCTGAAATGCAGCTGAGAACTGGTCAGCCTCACTCCCTTGCTGAGACCAATAGCAATCCCTGATGATCTTGCCACAGGTCCAGCAGGTGCCCCATCCACACTTTGTCCCCAGCCCCTACCAGGAAGCTCCAAACACCTACCTGAGGGGCCAACTCTGATTCCCAAGGAGGTGACACCTCCTGCCCCTTGTTGATAGAACATTGATAAGGAAATAGGACTGAGTTTTAAGCTTCTTTCCATGTCAAATATTTAAAGGCAATATAATGTTCACGTTTAAATAATATTTCATGTGTAATTAAACAATCCCTTATTGTTAAATAGATGGGTTCCAATTTTGAACTGCTATAATCTGTGTATGTGTCCTTGATTAAATCCTTAAGAGAAATCCCTAGAAACATTATCTTAGGGTCAAATGGCTTGGATATTCTGTAAACTGCTGATAATTATGGGAAATTGCCTTCCAGGAAGGTTATAACAATTTGCCTGATCCCCAGCAGCAACAGACTTTACAAAGTACTCAGTATCTAATATTTAACTTTGATAAAGATAAGCTTCTCCCTTCTTTTTCACTTAAAATGCTGTGTCCCACCTCACTTTTCAGTGTCTCTTCACACTGACAAGACGGTTGGCTAATACTTCAGAGCTTGCAGAGCATCTTTATACACTTTTAATCCTCCTAACAACCATGAGAGATGGAGCTTACTATTATCATCCGTGTTTGCAAATGAGGCCCTGAGAAGTTGAGTGATTTCTGTAAGGTCTCAGAGCCAATAGACACTGGTAATGAAATAAAATGCAAGGCCCCTTATCTTTGGAGCCCAGTGTTCCTTCCACATAGGTGGTTCTCCACCCAGGCTGCCCAGGAGAATGTGGAATCTCCAGCAGTTCTGACTTAACTGGCCTGGTGTGGATGTCTGTGATGGGTGAACATTCCCAGACCCTTTTAAGAATGTGATAGAAGTGGTAGACCCACTTCCCAGAAAAAGGGACGCACAACAAAATAATTGTCCTGAGTGGGTCTGACAGAATCAAGTGAACCCTTTAAATCTGGATCTAGAGGTCAGAGACTGAGAATGTCAGAGATGCAAAAGAGATTCAGTGCAAGAGAAATCCTCCTACTGGTTTTGAAGATAGATGTTGGCACCCTGTGTCAACAACCTGAGAGTGGCCTTGAGTTGCTGGGAGCACCCCAGACTGACAAACAGCAAGAAGAATATGGGGACCTCAGTCCTACAACCACAGGAACTGAATTCTACTGACAACCAGTGAGCTTGCAAAGAGGACTTGGAGCCCCAGATGAGAAGCAACCCTGGCTACCCCGATCTCAACCCTGTGAGATCCTAAACAGACAATCCAGCCATGCAACACCCAAACTTCTGACCTATAGAAACCCTGAGATAATAAATGGGCATTGCTCTAAATCACCAAGTTTGTGGTAATTTGTTACACAGCCATAGGAAGTGAATCGACCTGATGTATCTGAGCACCTGCTAGGTTATCATTAAGATTACTCTTCAAAGGTAAAAATTATTTTTCAAAATGTTTCTGCCCTACCTTCTGTGAGCATCTGGTGATGTATGGACCACACACATAAAGGTAGACTGTGTTTAGGTGGGCATGGTGGTGCATACCTGTGGTCCCAGCTACTCAGGAGGCTGAAAGAGGAGGATCACTAGGGCCCAGGAGTTCAAGGCTGCAGTGAAGCTGTGATTGAGCCATTGCACTCAAACTTGGGCAACAGAGAAAGACACCAGCTCTAAAAAAAAAAAAAAAAAAAAAAAAAAAAACTGCTGAATGCTATAAATAAGATTGGAACTTGCTCTGCTTTTACAAGACCACTGTTAGATGACCACTGACAAGAAGACTGTGAGCTGGTCTCTGTAGGAAGCAGGGGCCTGGGCAGCTCTGGGGGCACAGGAGACAGGCCTGGGGCAGAGACACCTCAGGGCATTTTCAGAAGACAGCCAAAGCAGCCATTCCAGCTTGCCCAGGTAGATGGCAAGTCAATGGGAAATGATTCCAGGAAGGTAGGGAAAGATGGAATTCTGGAGAGCATTGGACCTCAGATTGGGAGTCTGAACATCTTTCCATATACATCAGGAAGTCATGGAAAATTCACAGACTGGAGTGACTTTGGCAAAGGTGGGATTTAGGAAGACTGATCAAGGCACGGGATAGACCCATGGATGAATGGCCTTCTGGTCAGTTTGTCCCTGTGGTTTTCTATGCTGAGGAGGTGGGAATGTGCTGGGTGAGTCAGCTGTGGATTTGTGTCCCTGCCTCACCTCACTCCCCACTGTCGTGGATTTGTCGGCTCATCTGTAGTGCGCTCCCTGAAGAAACACTCAGTTCACTCAGCTTGTTTCTAACCCAAAATACTCTGCAGGGCCCATCCTCTCGTCTTTGCCTGGGGATGCCAGACCACGCACTGCGGATGCCTTCCACCTTAGCACTAGTGGGCTAAATGATGACTGCCTTGCTGTCCCAACACCACCCATCAAAGGGAAGACATCACCACTGGGGTCAGTACAGCCCAAGTGACAAACTCTATTCCCTCCTTTCTCTCCATCCCATGGACCCTTGATTTGCTAAGTGGGAAGACACTTTCTCGTGGTTCAACATCACCTAATCTGCACAATTGCTTCTGCAGGCTAACTCAGCCAGAAACCCTGGATATCTGGGCAAAAGTGCATATAACTTTTAAAAGGATTACTACTGCTTTTAATATTCCCTCTGTCTTGAGTCAGACCACCACCAAGATCAGAGTTAATATCATATATCAAAGTCCTGCCATCAGCCTGTAGGATTTATTACTAGCATCTGTCCACTTCAGAGCTATGGGAACCAATGGAATTGGATCTAAGGTTTTGAGTTGGCTCTTGTGCATGGAAATTTGATGCAAACACTCTAATTTATTGGCCCTAAAGGGCTTTGGCAAGTCATTTTGGCAAGTCACCCACTGAACACAGAGTGAAATTTGCAGAGGTTTCCCCTCTGCTCGAACAGTGGTGTTCTCAGCACGTACAGGGAAGTTCTGCCCCCTTCCAGCCAGGTGAGCTAGGGGATTTTGCCTACCCTTTCTGAACCTCAGTTTTCTCATCCATAAGATGGGAATAAAAACATGGTCCTGGATGCATGTCTCATGCTAGGCACTGAGGCAGGGTACTCTCTCCCCTGAATGCCTTGCTATTGATGCATCACCAGTAAGGCATGCATTCATTGCACAGAAACTTAGGCATATGCCTACCAACATGCCCGATGTTGTGTGAGGCCTGACCGCTGTGAGGATGGACTTCCATCTGTGTGAATGGATTCATGAGACGAGCCCTCACTCTCAGGACTGAGGGCATTGGTGCTCTAACTTGTCTGAATATGGAATCAGCTGGAGAGATTCTGTAAATTACCAGTCCCATTCCACCCCTGAGATCCTGATTTCATGGTCTTATTTCATTGCAGCCTGGTCGTTGGGATGTTTAAAACTCTCCCTAGGAATTCCAATGTGCAGCCAAGTTTGCAACTACACGGAGCCAGGTTAGTGGTGCGGTCAGCATGGTGATAATTGGGCTCATGAACCCATGACCTCAGCTTCATCAGGAGACCCACTGTAAGTACTGGCCCAACAGGAGGGAAAGGAGCTGAGTCAGATGATACCACTGAGGGGCATGAGCAAATGAAAAAACAGGAACCCAGCCATGAAGCTCGGCCTGAGTGTTGGAGATGCCACTATAGAGACCCTGGTCTTAGCAATCCAGACTTTTCCCCAGCAGAAGGGAGAGGTGAAGATTATCCTGGCTGGGACTGTGTAAGGCCTTTGAAGGTTGACCATCCATCTCACCCTGCTGTTTCCCTCCTTCCCTGCAGAACAGCCGTTCACCTGAATGTTCCAGGCTTTTGGTTAACAACCCCTGGTCTTTTGTACCCATTCACACTCAAAATCAGGGGGAATTCTTTGAAATGGTTAAAATGCAAAAGTGAAATTTAGAAGCCCTATGAATGAAACAACAATCCAACAAAAAATTCCCAACACTTTAAGCAAATGCTTTTCTGGCAGAGCCTTCAAATTGCTACTGTCCCACTATCTTCTGGAATCGTGTGTGTGTGTGTGTGTGTGTGTGTGTGTGTGTGTGTGTGTAGAGCAACAGGTGAAGCAGCAACCATAAGGTAGCCTACTTCAGGTCTGGCACCTGTTTTCACTGCTGTCATGCCCTCTTCACTGAGATCCTGACTTAAATATGTACACATGTGAATGCTGATTTCTTAGCATGAATTTTAACTCAGCTGCTGCTCGAGCATCAATGATTCCCAATTCCCATCAGAGTGAATGGCCCCTTCCTGGTCTCTGCAGTCAGCCCTCTGAAGCTGCTCAGCTGCACCCCTGGGAGCTGAGGGGCCAACTCTGACTCCCAAGAAGGTGACCTCTGTCTCCCTTCCAGGGCCAGAGATGCAATATCACACACACACTGCCTTTGGAATGTGTGATTAAGCTTTTGGCTGCCAGTAGCCTGACAGCTTCCAGCAGCTTTGTCTGCCACCGTGTCCACTTCTCTGTGCCAAAGTCACTGAAACAAAGGGACTGCAGATGTTGCTGTGAAGTCCTTCCAATTCTCCAGGACAGAGGAAAGCACTACATTGGGTGGGGGGTGGAGTGGGGATGATGGACTGTGGGAAACCTGCATGATGGGCGTGAAACAATAAAAATGAAGCTGATTTTCTTCATAGCACTTGCTGCCATAGAGATACATTTGTTTCTGTGACCCTCTCACTGGAATGTAAACTCCCTGAAAGCAAGGACTTGGCTTATTGCTGTATCCCAAGAGCCTGACACAGTGCCTGGCACATGGTAGACACTCAATAGATGTTTGAGATAGGGAGGGAGGGAGGCAGAAAGGGAGGGAGGCAGAAAGGGAGGGAAGGAAGGAGCAAGGAAGGAAGGAAGGAAGGAAGGAAGGGAGGGAGGGAGGGAGGGAGGGAGGGAGGGAGGGACATAGACAGTGGATTTGGATAGACTTGGCTTTAATCCTTTCTGTAGCAATTCTAGCTGTGTAAAAATACGCGAGTGAGTCATTTATTTTCTTTGAGTCTCTTTCTTCATCATAGTACCAATTAACAGGGCTGGGGTAAAGAGTGATACATGTAAGGTTGCTAGCACTATTGGCAATCAAAACATGAGAGCTACTTATTTACATTGTGAGTATTGCTACTACTGATATTATCATTTCTGGACATTACTAATGATGTGAGCACTGGCCTTTCATCAGAGATTACTGGATAAGGAACATTTACCGTCTTGTCTCTGCTCATTGTGCTAAAGTTCCTTCTTTATCCAACAACACTTTCTCCTGTTTTCCCAATTTAGTGAAAGGATTAATCTTTTCACTCTCATTCTTCCTGTTTTGTTTCCCATAATATGGGTCCCATCCTTCCTCATGAGATGGGTATCTCAGCAATTGAGCCCACCCCACCCACATATTTGACCCTGATCCAAGACCCTCATTTCTGGGAATGAACCCCAGATCAGCCATGATAGAGGATAGCCTGGTTTTATCTTTTTGCTTCTGAGCAGGATCCAACAATTCTCATAAAATTTTCCCCAGCCTGTTCAGTGGAATTGTCAAAGCATCATTTTCAAAAAGTGAAAACATGATTCTTATATAAGTCTATAGGGAGTGTGTATAAAGATCTGTTTACTTCACAAAAGAAAGAACCAGAGGATGGTAAAACTGTTTGAAAAGAGAATTGGAAGGAGAAAGATTTGGATAGACCATCAGAAACAGCATGCTGACATAAGTTTGCTAATTTGGAAACCTCACTCATTAATGTCCTGTGGAGCAATAAAATCTTTTTACAGGACAAAAATCATTTGTATCTCTACCAGACAAAAATTAACATGTAACTTGGCAGAGTCTGGGCCCTAATCAATAGTAAATAGTAAGTCAAACAAAAGTACCTTCCCTTAGAGAGTTAAAAAAAGCTTTGGTGGTTTGTTAGGCAACCTTCCAGTATGGCATTAGAAAGACGTGCAGTCATCCTATTTTTACTTCCAAGTTTGGGATACTTTTTTTTTTGAGATGGAATTTTGCTCTTGTTGGCCAGGCTGGAATGCAGTGGCATGATCTCACCTCACTGCAACCTCCACCTCCCTGGTCCAAGCAATTCTCCTGCCTCAGCCTTCCCAGCAGCTGGGATTACAGGTACACACCACCACGCCTGGCTAATTTTTGTATTTTTTAATAGACACAGGATTTTACCACGTTGGCCAGGCTGGTCTCAAACTCCTGACCTCAAGTGATCCGCCCACCTTGGCCTCTCAAAGTGCTGTGATTACAGGCATGAGCCACCATGCCCGGCCAAGTTCAGGATACATTTTTAAAACAAAATTGGTCCCCCTCAGCCTGGTGGATGTCCCTGCAGAATTTAAAAATACTATTATGTTCTAGATGTCTGATGCTGTCAATTCTCAATGGCCAGAAGAGGGCATCTGCCCAGATCAGTTCAGGTGTCTATCCCTGGTCTGATCGCCTGTGCCCAGGGTAGCGTATCAGGTACACGGTGCTGTTTCTTCCCTGCTATTGGTAGAACAGCTTTTCCAAGAAGGGGATAGGCTGGAATGGAAGAAAAGAGTCCAAAGAGGAAGGAACCACAACAGAAAGAGAATTGCTTTCCTTTCAGTTGTGGGAGCACCAGCTTAATGCCTCTTTTCCACATTTGCCCAGCAGAGGAAATGTTTGGGCCGAATGACAGAAAACCTAGGGTAGCCTTTTTGGTGCCTCCTGACAATCACAGAAGCAGGCTGGGATCCTACCCAGGTATGGCAGAGCAAGTGAGCCCACCTAGGTGGGAATCCTTACCCTCCTAATCCTGCAGGTTCACTTCACAATCTTGTGTAGACCTTAAACCGTTGTTTAGACAGTTATATGAAATGGGGTATTTTCTAGAGAAAAGGACAGTGAATGGGGATATGGGGATTTTTTTTTTTTTTTGAGACAGAGTCTCACTCTGTCGCCTAGGCTGGAGTACAGCCATGCTCCCAAGCCATGCTTCCTGTATGGCCTGTGGAACATAGAGTCAATTAAACATCTTTCTTTTTTTTTTTTTTTTTTTTTTTTTGAGATGGAGTCTCGCTCTGTCACTCAGGCTGGAGTGCAGTGGTGTGATCTTGGCTCAATGCAACCTCCACCTCCAGGGTTCAAGCAATCCTCCTGCCTCAGCCTCCTGAGCAGCTAGGATTACAGGTGTGTGTGTGTGTGTGTGTGTGTGTGTGTGTGTGTGTGTGTGTGTGTTTAGTAGACACGGGGTTTCACCATGTTGGCCAGGCTGGTCTCTAACTCCCGACCTCGTGGTCTGCCCACCTCGGCCTCCCAAAGTGCTAGGATTATAGGCATGAGCCACCGCGCCCGGCCCACCTCTTTTCTTTATAAGTTACCCGGTTTCAGGTAGTTCTTCATAGCAATGCAGACTAATACAACTACTTTGAGTCTCACCTTTCCTTATTTGGAAAAATATTTCCATTGAAGTGTTATGGTGAAGATTCAATACAATTAAATGATATAACATATGTAAAGGGCTTAGCAATAACCCAATGGCTAATAAGCAGCCAAGGAGTGGTAGCTCTCAGTATAGTCAGCCTCTAAGAAGAGAGCAAATGTTTATTTTCAAGAAGAATTATGCAGAAAGGGCCACTTTCAGTCTACCATCCCCCCAGATTCCTTGAAGGCAGGATGATGTGAGCAGCAAGGGAAGAAAGGGGAGTGGGCACGAAATACTACAGAACCTGCAGGGAATGAAGTCCCTCTGTCTGTGTGTGCCTATATCAATAACTTAAACTTACACATTCATGAGATGCACTGTGTTTATTAGGATGTACATGTGTCCCTAAGAATCTGAGAGCTCCTGAGAGACAGAGACGGTGTCTTACTCATCTGCTCTCCCCAGGTCCTCGCTTACTACCTGGCACTTATTGGGTAATAAATGTCTGTTGAATGCATGGAAAAAGAAAGGTAGGAAAGGTGTGAAGGAGAAGATGGAGGTCATGACCAGTAGAAATCTCAGCTGTTCTGCCTGGGCTCCATGTCATCTCCCTGCTATTAGGCCCATCAGAATGTAAGCACAAATGCCTAGAGAATGACAAGCTTCTTTGGGACTCTGCTGACTAGACATGACATAAGACTGGACAGCTCCTGGGGAACTTCCAAGAGCTGGCTCCAGGCAGTGACTAATCCTAGGAGCTGCTGGCTTGGCTGCCTCTCTCCCTTCCTTATTTCCAAGATTGGTCACCTCCTGCTCTGAAATAGCAATTGATTTTCAGACATGAGTTGATAGAACCATGATTTTCTAATACTGTTCCAAAGAGGCTAAAGTACCTCTGAGGAGCAGTGCAGGCTAGGATCAAACTCTCCCTACCTTCCACTCCACTCCCTACCTTGCCCCTCCACCTCTGCCCACTTTCTATTTCTTCAGGCACAGCAGCTTCTACCTTATGGATTACAAATTCTGATCATCCATCTATGGTTGCATTAGGAAAAGAGTACTGCTACTTTCATTTTCTTTTCTAACCACTGCCCTAGAAGAATAACACCTCACATTCTCTGGTAGACTGAAGCCTGCAGCTGCAAGGATGCTCAGAAAACCAGACTTCTATTCATTGGCCACTTGCTGCACGCTCTGTCCCTCGATCCTTGCAACGTACCTTTGAGGTAGGCACAAAAATCCCCATTTACAAGTGAGAAAACCAAGGCAAAAGAGGTTCAGTTTATTTCAGGCTCAAATGTGCTTCCAATAGCTTATAGCCTCTACAGCTAGTGTTTGAACCCAGGTCTGAAACAAATAGGATTGACAAGGGGAGGGAAAAGAGGAACAGAAATTCTTTTCTATAAGACAATTGTTTATGCAGCCAGGATTTCTTAAAATCCAGTTTGTGCCTACGGACATAATCTTTGAATTTGCTTTGTTTCTCGATGAATAACTTGGAAGCTATTCAAATAACTTGGAAGCTTCCTTTAAAAGGAACATCAGGAGGTGATTTTTGACTAACCCTAGGTGTCCTTTCTGAGCCAAATAGATTTTCAAATAAGAAAATGAGAGGACATGAGCTTGAGGAAAATGATAGGCATTCCAACCTCATCCGCTTGCTGACGACCTCCACGTGATTTCAACAATGATTTCAAATATTTCACTTTTTAAGTCAGTGTGACTTAAGTATGAAATTGCCTCTCCCTAAAGCTCCCCTAAGGCCTAAACAGTCGTCATTACCATAGCTGTGACAGGGAGACTGTTGAATTTATAATCTATTGGCCATTCACAGCATAGCGTATAAACCTAGCTCATGATTTCTTTGCAATAGAAGTGTACTTTTTCATCACATTCCCTTCACAACTTACTCACCAGATCAGACTTTGAGCTCTCCTCCTGGCTTAGCCTGGATCGTTTGAAATGGTCATCCATCCTTTGGCCCCAATACCTAAACTAAGGTCTATGAACAATAAGATGATTTTCTTCAGTGGGACTTTTTTGTTTAATATAATATTAGATATTTCCCCTGATACAGGGCTCAATCTTTTTCTTTTTAAAGCAATATTTCTCAAAGTACTTTTCACAGAACTTAAGTTTCATTAAGCACTTCACTAAAAGAAAAGTCTGTGATCTAATAAATTTGGAAAATATTGAGAATTAGAGCCCCCTCTTAGATATGTACTGTAGCTACTCAGCTTGTTACAGATGAAGTAAACATTGTAATATTCACCCAGCTTTTGAGTGATGTCTATTAACGTCACCCAAATGAGTATTCCATGGAATGCACTTTGCAAAAACCTATTATTCAAGAAAATTCTGGAGCATGAAAGCTATTAACGATAAACCCATTCACAAAATCACACCAAATATCTAAAATCATGTTTAAAATCTCCTAGAAATGGGTTGAATTGCCCACTTCAGAGACAAAGTGATTCTTCTGTAATAACGAGTTTTGTTTAGTGAGTACTTATTATCTCATTGAATCCTGAGGACTACCTCACAAGGTAAGTATAGCTCTTTTCATTACACATGACAAACAAGGCTCAGAGAGGTTAAGTAACTTGCTCAAGATCACAAAACTGCAGAGTGACAAAACTAGAATTTTGAATCTAAGCTCAAAGGGTCACCAAACCAAATTTGGGTCCACCCACCCAGCCTATCAAAGTCAAGCACTGATATCGGCATTGCTGAGACAGAAGTTGAGGAATTTATTGCAGGCAGCAAGCAAGGAGTATCAGGCAGCTAATCCTTAAGGCCTAATCTCCCTGATGGCTTATGTGTAAGGGTTTTTAAAGGTGGGAAGGCAGAGGTTGCAGGCAAGGTCATACCATACATGGAGGCTACATATTGGTTTGGCCAAAAAAGGCAAAATATCTCAAAGTGAGGGCCCACAGGATAGGTGACCATTAGATGAATTCAAAGATTTTCTGATTTGAGACCAGGTGCAGTGGTTCACACCTGTAATCTCAGCGCTTTGGGAGGCCAAGGTGGGTGGATAACTTGAGGCCAGGAGTTTGAGACCAGCCAGACCAACATGGCAAAACACCATCTCTACTAAAAATACAAAAATTATCTGGGCATGGTGGTGTGCACCTGTAATCCCAGCTACTCAGGAGGCTGAAGCATGAGAATCGTTTGAACGTGGGAGGCAGAGGGTTCAGTGAGCTGAGATCGTGCCACTGCACTCCAGGCTGGGCAGCAGAGTGAGACTCTGTCTCAAACAAACAAACAAAAACCCAAAGATTTTCTGATTTGTGATTGGTTAAGTTTTGGCTACAAACTTGGGGTCAGCAGAAAGGAATGTTCTGCTCTGGCCTGTGGGTGTGACTTCCTCCAGGTCCCTCAGGAAGAAATTTAGAACAAAGAACAGTTGTGAGTGTTCAGTCCTCAGTTCCTCCTTATCTGAGATCTACGAGCCAACAGGTGGTATTTTCCATTTAGCGGGGTCTGGGTTTCTACAGAACAACTCAGGGACATATGTTAAGATGTTATCTCTAGTTTCTATAGGGAAACAAACATTTTGTGGCTCTAATTTTCTTTTTTTTTTAATTATACTTTAAGTTTTAGGGTACATGTGCACAACGTGCAGGTCTGTTACGTATGTATACATGTACCATGTTGGTGTGCTGCACCCATTAACTCGTCATTTAAGATTAGTTTGTGGCTCTAATTTTCTTGACTATTGTTTTAAGCTATTATTACCTTCTTACTTATCAGGGTGCTCATCTACTTCTTGAGGCTAGCCAGGTGGCTGGAATTTTCCTTGGAGGGACTCAAGAGTTTCCTTTATTTTTCATGCCTTAAATGGGTCTGTTCTCCCTCTTCAAAGCTCAAGCTCTTAAGGACTATGCTATTGTTAGATTTTTCGTATTGGAGCAGTCCTTCCCTCCTACTCAAGAACACCCCTTCTTCAGACAGCCTGGCTGGGTCTTCATCCTGGGAGAGCTCATGAAACACAAACCAGATCTTGGCCCTCACGTGTGTCTAGGCAGAGCTGAGCCTGGGCAACACCAAGCGTGCCCCCGATTTTGCATGCCCCAGCCAATTCAGAGTCAAGATCCACGCTCAGCTCCTTCCCTGCAAAGTGCTAATGATGAAGGATGGGGATCAAGTCAGCAAACTCCAGAAATGGTCTTAGACTAGGAGTCAAGCCTTGAGATCCTATTACACACCAGATTCATTCCCTGATTAGAGCTGCTGAATTCTTTTACTCTCACTGCACTCATGCTAAAGTTTCTTTCCTCCAGCCTCGTAACCCCAGAGGAGGCTGAGCCATGATACCCATTGTCTAGCAATAAATATTTAAGGAGCCCCTGAGATATGTCAGGCACCATCGCAGGTGCTGGGACAAGTGAATGTGACCAGGAAAGTCCCTCCCCTCTCAGAGGTTCTTTTCAAGTTGGAGGACAGCAAATACAGAAATATAGAGTCTAACATAACAACAGGGAGTAATAAACACTTTGAAGAAAAATAAAGTGGAATAAGAGGGTAGGGTTGCCATAGGGTTCTCTGGGCAGTCTTCTATGGAAAGGCCACTTGTTGGGGCAGAGAAAAAAAAGATGTCTGAAAGGAGGACTACCGGCCCCCCATAAGTGCGCTCCGGTCCATGCACAGGGCAATGGGCATGTAATTTCCTATGATTAAGACCTACAGTATGTACAATATTACTGCAACAGACACTGAGACTGACTTAGCATTGTTTCATAGCATCCGAGTTGCTCTGTTGGAGGAAAGTGCATGTGATGGGCATTCATTTGCTTCCGCCATCAGACAGATTCTCTACCTTTGTCTTTCCTACAAGATTCCCTAGGAAGGCAGGGCTCAGTGGCTCATGCCTGTAAGCCCAGCAATTTGGGAGTCTGAGGCAGTCAGATCACAAGGTCAGGAGTTCAAGACCAGCTTGGCCAACACGGTGAAACCCCGTCTCTACTAAAAATACAAAAATTAGCTGGGCATGGGGGCACGTGCCTGTAATCCCAGCTACTCAGGAGGCTGAGGCAGGAGAATTGCTTGAACAGAGACCCGGGAGGCAGAGGTTGCAGTGAGCCAAGATCGCACCACTGCACTCCAGCCTGGGCTACAGAGTGAGACTCTGATAAATAAATAATAAATAAATAAATGATTCCCTAGGAAGCTGACTCCCACTGAATGTGCCACTCAGGAGTCCCTGCTCTCTAGATTACAGTTGAGTTTGCTCAATGCAAGGCCCCAGCAGAAATGTTGAAAGTAAGAGCAAATAGATAGTTAACCACTCTTTAAGACAACAATGGATGTATACTTCTCTGGCCTCAGCTCCTGTGGGGAAGCTCCAGTGCCAGTCCCTGGGTGCTTCACCATTTTCCGTTAGTTCCTGAACCTTGTAAACTGACCCTTCACTAAATTCTTCCTAGTTAACCCTTTGAGAATGAAACCATTTCCTGCCAGGACTCTGACAGATACAAAGAACCCACAGCCGACTGCTGGGTGCGCGGCAGACCTAGTGCATGGCTCCACACTGCCATCTTGGGGGCTGGCACAGGCTGGCACTGAGTCTGGGGAAGGGAGCTGGGGCTGGAGGTGTGGAGGGGAAGACCGTGCATAGTTGCTTCCTGATCAGCTCTTTATTCGATTGAGAGTGAGGCAGGGAAGATTAGAGGGAAGCTTACAGTGGAATTCAGGGCTGAGGCTGCTATTCTTTTGCTCCTTGTAACTTCCTACAGTGTTGTCAGCATCCACATACTTCTCTGTGGGGTTGGTCTCAGAGCCAGGTTACCTTGTCTTAGGTCCAGTGGCAGCCTGACTGGCTTGGTGTCCTTGAACAAGTTACCTAACCTCTCCATACCTCAGTCCCTCAGCTGTAAAATTTAAAAAAAAAAAAAAAAGAAGAAGAGTACCTACTGTATAGCATTGATTTGAAGATTGAATGAGCTGGTATTATACAACGTTTAGAAGCAGTGCCTGACATGCAAAAGGCTCTCAACAAATACTATCCTTTACTAATATCCTGTGTGTCTGTATCAGAGCTGGTGGGGTGGAGGGACAGAAAGAAGTGGGAGAAGGTAAAGAGATGGGCAAATGATCTCTAAAGTCTCTCTGGCACTAACACAATTCTTTATTATGTGTTTTGTCTGGCTCTTTATATTGATAGCTGTTCCAGAAGCAATCAATAGCTATTAGTCGGTTTTATTCTTATTTTTCTGTCTGATCTTACAGGGGAGCAAACTGTGGCAAAGCATGAACTTACTTCTCAGAAAATTAACCATTATGTTGGCAATCACTGTGATTATTTGAACTTCAGCGTCTGGACAAATTTAGTCACATGAAATACAGAAGAGAGATTTCTCATGGTTAAAATGAAGCTCTCTTTATTTGCTTCTGCTAATTAAAAAATCAGAGCTAAAGATACTTAAACACTACAGTTAAAATGCCATGGTTGTCTATTGGCTTAATGAATTCTCTTATGAAATCAACTCTAAAATGTTATCCATCATAAATCATGAAACACAATTTTTCTTATTCTCTTTAGAGCTTTACAATTCATCTTAAAGACCAGTGTTTACACTCTCTTCCGTAGGTTGTACAATAACCTTTGGCGAGAAAAAATAAATGTCTGGCTTTCTGACTCATAGGTGTGTTCCCTTTAACAGAAAAAGAAAATATGTCCTCTTTAAAACTGATGATCATTGGTCACCTCAATTTTATTGAAGTTCACTTCTGACCTCTTTAGATGTAGTTCTCTACATAAAACTGCCCAACAGAATTCTCTGTCTGAATGCCTCCTCCACAAACAAAATTTTAAGAACTAAAATCATCATCTTTCCTTCCAAATGTGCTCTCCCTATGTCCCCAGGGCTCTCCATGTGTAGAGCTGAGACCATTTGCCACTCAGTTTCCTCACCCAATTAATTACAAGTCCCAACAATTTTCCGTTGTTTTTTTTTTTTTAGACGGAGTCTTGCTCTGTCACCAGGCTGGTGTGCGGTGGTGCAATCTCAGCTCACTGCAACCTCCACTGCCTGGGTTCAAGCGATTCTCCTGCCTCAGCTTCCCAAGTAGCTGGGATTATAGGTGTGTGCCACTACATCCAGATAATTTTTGTATTTTTAGTAGAGAGGGGATTTCACCATATTGGCCCAGATGATCTCAATCTCTTGACCTCATGATCTGCCCACCTTGGCCTCCCAAAGTGCTGGGATTACAGGCGTGAGCCACCATCCCTGGCCCAGTTTTGCCTTTTTAACATCCCTCAGCTCTTCAAATCCATTTTCTCTTCTCTAACACCTCCCCATTCCCCAGCTCGTAATGAACTCTTAAGTAGATTACTACGATCACCTCCCAAATGGTCTTCCTGGCTCCATCAGCCTTGTGACCTTCAAGTTCATTCTCCACATGGATGTCAGAGTAACTTTCTAAAATGAAAATCTGACCACGTTACTCTCTTGCCTAAATCCGCCTATGGCCGCTGTTAGGATCAAGTCTAAACTCCCGACCCTGGAACATCAGGTCTTTGTGCTCTGTTCAGTGCTTCTCTACCTCACCTGCAACCAACACCACTCCCACATCCATATTCTGCTCACCGTGTATCAACATGAACAGGAGGTGGGTGTTTCAGTCCCCAGGAAGACACTGGGCCTTTTCAATCATCTACTGCTGTGTAATAACCACCCTGCAAACTGACCACATGATTTCATTTTGCAAGGGTTCCTTCCTTGGGCTGTGTTCAGCAAAAGGGTTTACTGAGCTGGCAGGTCCAAGATGGCCTCACTCACAGGACTGGCTGTTGATGGGAGCCTTGATGCTCTTGGGCTCACCCCTTATCCTCCAGTAGGTTAGAGCTTCTTACAGTGGTTTCAGGCAGCATCTGAAGACAGTAAATGCAGAAGCTCCAAGGCTTCTTACATTCTAGCCTGGAAAATCACATCACATTGCTTCCTTCATATTTTTTTGGCAAATCAGGTTGCAAGGCTTGCCCAGATTAGGGTAAAGAGGCAAAGAGGCTCCTTTTCTTTTCTTTTTCTTTTTTTTTTTTTTGAGTCAGAATCTTGCTCTGTTGCCCAGGCTGGAGTGCAGTGGCGCGATCTAGGCTCACTGCAAGCTCTGCCTCCTGGGTTCACGCCATTCCCCTGCCTCAGGCTCCCAAGTAGCTGAGACTACAGGCACCTACCACCACGCCTGGCTAATTTTTTTTTTTTTTTGTATTTTTTGGTAGAGACTGTGTTTCACTGTGTTAGGCAGGATGGTCTCCATCTCCTGACCTCGTGATCTGCCTGCCTTGGCCTCCCAAAGTGCTGGGATTACAGGCGTGAGCCACCGTGCCCGACCAAGAGGCTCCTTTTCTTGATGAAAGGAGTAGTGAAGTCACATTGCATGTCCTTGCAAAGGGACATGCAGACCACATTAGTGAGAATATGTGCCTGTATTTTGCAATCTGTAACATGGGCATAAACTAAATGTTTTCCAAAGGGAATAGGGCAAAACAAAAAGGACCTTGACCACTCCTTTGGCCCTGAATAAATCTAGGAAGCCTAAGAGTATGACTATCCTGAGGTAGAAAGAGGGTCACATGCTGGATAAGAGGTACCTGGGCTCTCCACTTACAAGAAGAGAGCATGGTTACATTTATAATCACCATTCCCAACACGCTGTGAGTGCAGGCAGCTACCAGGAGGAGAACAAAGGAAATAACCAGGACACCCATCTCTAAACCTGTTAATTTAATCACACGGAACACTTCTATTTAAAATTCCCGAGGGTTAAGATGTAAGAATGCTTATCAAGGTAAATGCTGTTCACACTGCTTGGAGTGTCAGGCCTAGATCTCTATCCATCAGAAACAACAATATCAATAACAACAACAGCAACATGATGATGGGGCAATTTCTGAAAAGCACCATGTATTTTATCGATACTTGTCCGTTGCAGAAAATCCAGGTGAATCCAAAGAAGAAATAAATGTCTTCCACAATCCCATAGCCCAGAGCTAACTAACCACTATAAAGAACCCAGCGTGGTTTTAACTAATGGATCAAAAGATGCTCATCAAAAGCTCTGAGCTTTCCTGAGTGCTAACAGGAAACATCTAGCATCACTGGTCTCTCCAAGGCTGCAGGTGTCTTTGCCCATAGTGCCTGTTTTGTGTCAGGGAAAGAATCAACCTGGGAGCCAAGCCCAGGAATCAGGATGACCAAGACATACTGGACAAGGAGGCAACAAACCCATCCAAGGACACTCAAGGACAAATCAAGCAAATGAATTTAAGGGAGACCTGCTCATGGTCTGCTTTGCTGCTCAGCATGGCTGGGAGGCACAGTGGAAGATCATGCATCCTTCCCCTGGGACTCCTCTGCCAGAGCCTGAGAGCTTTCTCCTGCACACAGGCTAGGGGTAGGGCAGTTGGAATTGATCCATGCCTTCTAGCTAGACTGTGGGTCCCCTCAGTCTTGGGCATGGTGACAGCCCAGCATCAGACAGAGGTCAGTATCAAACTAGAAAATTTAATAAATGCTGTCAGATTTGTAGACCCAAGAAAATATAAACTGCCAATCACGGAGGAAAAAAATATCTCAATGATCTTATCTTTATATGATTCCCTTGCTGCCTGGAGATTGACATTTCCTTGGGGATAATCTGGTCATAGGATTGGTGAAGGTGGAAGGGAGGCAACCTCCAAAGGTGGGGCCCTCTGCTCACCTGGGACAGGGAGGGCCTGAGGTAGGTGTCTGTGTGGGCTGGGGAGGAGGATGGGAGCAGTGCTTCTAGATGTTTCCACTTTCTCCTCATTAGATAATAATGAATGGGTGATTTCCCTAGTCACTGCAGTGTGAGGAAATCTACAAAATTAATTTCACAATACACTTTACAGGATAGGTGGAGAAACACATGAAGCACAACTGCAGTGGGTTATAAAAAATGGCCTTTCGAGTTGAGCAGTAAATTCGTTCAAGCAGCCATTCTGAAGGACAAACTGGCTCTGTATTTAAGAGGGGCATTCCAGCACTTCTCTAGCTACTGGGTTGACAATGACTCACCAAAGCCTCTGGTAGCCACCACAGGACGCCCAGAGCACGTTTTAAAGCTGAACACCAAACTGCGGACTTCGGGAGTAAGTGAACTGACTGGTTTTTATTTTGTTTTACTGCTTTTAACATTACAGTGACTGTTACAGGTTCCAGCAGGATAACTGGGTGGAAATGAGTTTGGTTTCACTTAGTCTCTCTAAAGAGAAAGCAAGTTGGTAGACTAATACCTAATAAAAGCAAAGCTGCCAACAATTGAAATTGCCTGGGCTGCTCTGTGTGTCCCACATGCATGGGTGTGGGTGCCAGTGTGTGTGCGTGTGTGCATGCATGTGCATGTGTGTTGGGATAGAGTGGCAAGAAAATGGGAAATAATAAGAATGTTCAGTCCATAGCCCTTCATTATAAAAAGGTGAGCTGTAATAAATACTAGTGCCACATTTAGCCAAAACTTTACTCCAGCCAAAGGTGATATTTTCATGATAACATCCTGTGATTGCTTTGTTCTTCGTCTTTTATGTTCTTCCTAGATGGGCTCAGAACATACAAGAATTAAGTACACATCTTATTTTCCAGTGATAATGCTACCGGCAAATTCTGTTGTTTGTATAAACATCAGCCATGTTTATATAACTAAACTAGTGTTTTGTTTTGTCAATTCAGCAAGAAATTAGACCACATGGTGGCTTAATGCTGCATTGATTTGGCTATCAATTTGTTTTCACTTTTCTGCAAAATATTTAATACATTATTAAATTGAATTATGCTGATGCCACAGTTGTTCTTATCTCAATTGTCTTAAAATTCATTTAATTTTTTTTTCCTTTGGTTTCATTATTCAAATTTTAACTTCAGTTCTCAACATTTTATCTGATGGAAGAGATGGAGTCCATTACTAAGGACTCCATTGTGCTCCATCATGCCAGAGTTGTAAAATAGATCTTTTAAAGGAAATTTACTGTGATTTTTTTCTATTTAAGAGCTTCCTCTCCAGTTGAGCATGTAAGAAAATTATACCAGGAGAATACAGTAAACTCTATGAGGCAAGCTATAAACATGTAGCATTGTGATTAGGGCTGGTTCTCCTTCTAGAGACATGGTAGGATTGCAATTTCATACCATCCTTGAAGTTAGAGAGAGCCACGTGACTCATTTAGCCAATGAACTGTGAGCAGAATGACATGTCACTTCCAGCAGAAGCTTTAAGAATCTGAGAGACATTCATACGTTTTCCATGTGCTGTAGCCTTATACCCAAAGCCTGGGTCCCAAGTGACCATGACAGGCAGAGCTCCCTGTTGAGCCACAGAGATTTAGAGAATGGCTGTTAACACAGCATAATCCAGCCCATCCTGACTAATCTGATATTAACATGTATAATAAAGAATTCTATCAATGCTGAGGGAAGATGATTAGTTAAGGTCCTAGGTTGCAAGTCTCAAAACCTCTTCTAAGGATTGTAGACAGGAAATTAAATGACTTCTAGTCCCTAGAGTTCCCAATCTCCTACCATCCCATCCTAATATGACAGAAGTAATTCCTGAGTTGCTTCTGAAACCAGAGCTTCCCTCAGAACCCTTAGCCTGCCAGATGGCTTCTTGGAGAGCCCTCACTCACTTTTCTCCTTCTGCTATTGCTGCTCATTCATTCCAGCTTTTAAAAATTCATCTTTATCCAGGAACCTCGCTTCTAGAAAAGTCATACAGGTGCTTCCAGGAGGCTACATGGGCACCCATATTTTTCTAGCCACTTTCACTAGACCAATGCAGCAGAGAAGAAAAGCCTCAATAATTATTATGACATGGCATGTTAGGATACCAAGTAAATTGCATTTGTAAAATGTGATTTTCTGTTGGTGTTCACTTCGGCTCTACTGACATTTGGTAAGTATTATTGACTGACTGACTAACTAATGTGGTCATTAGTCTTCATAAAGAAAGGCTCTCTACAAAAACGGAGGGATGCCCTTTTTCTGGCATTTAATACGTAAGAAATTGCCTCCGATAGAAACCAGAGTTGCCTGATTACTATCAGCACAGGAGAAATGTATTAATGTGCCTTTCTAGTAACAGGTTTTTAGAAAGTCAAATATAAACAAATCTGTCTATTTGTGTGTGTGCATGTGGTAGTGGGGAGGGAAGAAAAAAGGAGGGGGAGAGAAAGAGAAATAAGAACCAAGTTTATTATACTGTATTCAGGGGGAAAAAATTTTCCCAAGGTTCTAACAGAAGAGCAAAGTGCCACTGTCAATAGCCTCAGTAGTGTTAGGGTTGCTTTTATGTATTTATTTATTTACTTATTTATTTATTTTTCCTTTTTTTTTCCTTTCTCTTTTTTTCTTCTTTTTTTTTTTTTGGACAGAGTCTCACACTGTCGCCTGGGCTGGAGTGCATTGGCGCAATCTTGACTCACTGCAACTTCTGCCTCCCAGGTTCAAGTGATTCTCCTGCCTCAGCCGCCCAAGTAGCTGGGATTACAGGTGTCTGCCACCGTGCCTAGATAATTTTTTTATATTTTTAGTAGAGATGAGGTTTCACTATGTTGGCCACGCTGGTCTCAAACTCCTGACCTCATGATCCACCCACGTTGGCCTCCCAAAGTGCTGGGATTACAGGCGTGAGCCACCGCCCCTGGCCAGGATTGCTTTTATAGCCAGTCTTCAGGTGCCCACTGTAGGAACAATGTCATTTAGCCCTCGGGATTATTCTGTGCCAAATATGGATAATGACTAATATTCAACACAGATATTCTCAGCTCAGAAGAGCAATTAGCAAATTCATAAATTAAGTGCTTGCTTCCTTTTTAGTCAAATACAAACATTTGTTAAAAGATATTATTTTGCTTTACACTTTTTCTCTCAGAAATAAACAGATGCTTGAATTCCCACAGTGCTGCTTGAGCCTCACACCATGTCATCCTGCCAGGCACCCAGATCCAGTTCTAGAGTTTCACATGATCATGAGTGTTGGTTAATAAGTCACTGTGAACTGGGAGGGGAGATTTTTCAGGAGTGCCACAGGGCTCTCCCTTTAATCACATACACTCCCTGCTTTCATTGGAAAGTGTATAATGATGTCAGAGTGCCCCAGAATGGAGCTAGTTGGAAGACTGCCGTCATAGGGATGCCTTAGTGAATTAATCAGGTTTTAATTTCTGGCTCTCAACTTTGTAGATGTAAAAGTTGATTTATCAATATGTGAGAAAGGATGAATCTTTCTGAAGGTTATGTCATCACACTCACTAAGCACACAGAGAATAATGTCTAGAATCTGAGTGCCATGTTATCAAATTATACTGAGACTCTTGCAGTCACACGGGCTGACATGTAAGCATCGCCATGCCTAGTACAGACTCTCCCTGCAGATGAAATTATATGGGATGCTAAATTATAATCAGAACAATGTTTGGTGAGCCAAAACTACAACAAGGGAAGCTAATTGGATGAATTTATAAAAATATACCTCAGCCAAAATAGCTTAATTCAGTCTCCCTTATCATAAGGATACTCTTGCCTAAAGGGACAGTAATATTAAAGACACTAGGAATAACCTCTGTACTTTGGACAGTAGACCTACATAGCCCATTAGGCCTCAATGAAGTCTTATGCAAGACCAGAAGCCAATTTGCCATTTTAAGGTGATTCTCCATGTTTCTGCTCTAACTGTGCTTCACAATACTCAAGACACTGAATCAGGATGTTTCCTGGAGTGCAGGGAGCTGTCCGTGTTACTGAGCAGTTCTCAGCAACACAAAGATCCTACTGACTCCTCATCAGACTTCTTTCTCACTGGAATTTTACACCTGGGCTGTTAACACCAGGCCAGGTCAAATTCAAAGGAGAGAAAAAAGCTCATTATGAAGGGTAAAATCCAAAACACTGTGCATAAAGATATGTGTGCACAATTTTTATACATAAAGATTTCATAAAGCCAAAGCATCAGGAAATGAAAAGAGATACAGAAAGAAAAATGATGGTAAATGAGACATTAATTTACCCTTCTAATCTCTATCACAGCAAAAAGGTAATTAAAAAATCTATATGAGGACCAAAAAATACACAAAGATTATGTAGCAAAGCCTATAGCCTGAAAAAGTAAACATTGAAATTTGTATGTCCATAAAATGTTTACAAAATTCAGTACATATTACACACCCCACCCTAAAAACATCTAAGCAAAGTAGAGAATGTAGAAATGCTACAGATTATATTCTCTGATTATGACACAACAAAACTAGAAATTACAGCATGGAAATTTAAAAGCTTTCTCTTAAATAATTCTATGTCAAAAAGAAATCCAGGCCAGGTACAGTGGCTCATGCCTGTAATTCCAGTACTTTGGGAGGCCAAGGTGGGCAGGTCACTTGAGGTCAGGAGTTCAAGACCAGCCTCGTCAACATGGCGACACCCTGTCTCTACTAAAAATACAAAAATTAGCTGGGCCTGGTGGCGCATGCCTGTAATCCCAGCTACTTAGGAGGCTGAGGCAGGAGAATTCCTTGAACCCAGAAGGTGGAGGTTGCAGTGAGCTGAGATTGCACCACTGCACTCCAGCCTAGGTGACACAGCAAGACTCTGTCAAAAAAAAAAAAAAAAAGAAATCCAAATAAAATTTCCAGAATATGTGGAAAATAGTGACAATAAAAATATTACACATGTGTAATCCCAGCATTTTGAGATGCCAAGGTGGCAGGATCACTTGAGACCAGGAGTTCGCAACCAGCCTGGACAACATAGGGAGACTCCATCTCCACACAAGCCAAAAAAAAATTTTAAATAGCCAGGTATAGTGGTACTTCTTGTAATCCCATCTACTTGGGAGGCTAAGGTGGGAGAATCACCCAACCTCAGGAGTTCAGGGCTTCAGCAAGCCATGATCATATCACTGCACTCCAGCCTCAGCAACAGAGCAAGATCCTATCTCAAAAAAAAAAAAAAAAAATCACATGTGGGAAATAGCTATAGCACAATAAAAATAAATGTATTAAGTATGAACAACAAAAAAGCTAGTAAAGGTTGAACAACAACTATCCTTAGGAAAGTGGAAATAATGTGTTAATAAATATGAAAGCAGGCTAGGCACAGTGACTCACATCTGTAATCCCAGCACTTTGGGAGGCTGAGGCAGGCAGATCACCTGAGGTCAGGAGTTCCAGACCAGCCTGGCCAACATGGTGAAATCTTGTCTCTCCTACAAATACAAAAACTAGCCAGGCTTGGTTGCGCACTCCTGTAATTCCAGCTACTTGGGAGGCTGAGGCAGGAGAATCTCTTGAACCTGAGAGGCAGAGGTTGCAGTGAGCCAAGATCATGCCACTGCACTCCAACTGGGGCAACAGAGTGACACTCCATCTCAAAATAAATAAATAAGAAAGCAGAAACTAATAAATTAGAAAACAGAAACATAGAACTAATTTATAAATCAAAGCACTATGCCTTGAAAAGAGGGAGAAAAATTGTGAATTAAGGAAGGGAAGAGATGGTTGGAGAGGAGGTGGGAGAAGGCAGAGATAATTGAAGGAGCAAAAGCATCTGGAGAAGCAAAGCCACTGAAAGATGAACAGGGCTCTGAAAGAAATGCTTGATTGCTATCTTTTCAAATGACTGCAGTTCCCAGTGACATCATTTTTCTCCTCCCTGGAAGTCTGAGGGGCAGTTCACTTATCTCCTCCCCTCCCCTACTCCTCACCCCACACTCAAAACCTGTCTATGCTCCTTTCATTCTCATATGACAGATTTCAGATGGCATTCTTATTTCCCTGATTTCTTTTTGAGATAGCTTGCATTTCCCTACTCTATATAAAGCCACCGTTTATCAAATGCCTACATGGACCAAGCAGTCCACAAGGGCTTCACAGACAGTTTTACTAAACTCATGCCAAAACTTTCAGGTTTTATAGATAAAGATCTATACCTTATAGATAAAGGTATCTATAAGGTATAGATAAAGGTAAGGTATCTATACCTTATAGATAAAGAAATTGAAGCTTATAGAGTTTAAGTAATGTTCCCAAAGCCTCGTGGCTAGTAATTCAAACCTAATTTCTGCCTACTCCAAAGTCTATTTTTCCTCATGATACTATACTGCCTCTCCATGGATAAAGACAGAGATCACATATTAATAAAATTTGCACAAAGTCGGCAAATTGTTGAAAGGGAAGGCTAAGATGATTAATAAAATCAAGAGCCAGATGATCTCAACAACCTGAAATAACTGGCTGACAACCAATTTGAATAACTCCCTGCGGGTGAAGTTCAAAGTACTATTTGGGGTTTTTTTTTAAGTTTGGCTGGGTGCAGCGGCTCACGCCTGTAATCCAAGCACTTAGGGAAGCCAAGGTGGGTGGATCATGAAGTCGGGAGTTGAAGACCAGCCCGGTCAACATGGTGAAACCCCATCTCTACTAAAAATAAAAAATTAGCCGGGCCTGCTGGTGGATGCCTGTAGTCCCAGCTACTCGGGAGGCTAAGGCAGGAGAATCGCTTGAACCCAGGAGGTGGAGGTTGCAGGGAGCCGAGATCGCACCACTGCACTCCAGCCTGGGTGACAGGGCGAGATTCCGTCTCAAAAAATAAAATAAAATAAAATAAAAAATAAAAGTTTGATATATTCAGAATCAGGGAGGTCTGTTGGGTGCAGTTCATTTGAAAAATTCCTCAGCATTTTAGTGATCTGTATGGTCCCTCTATCCGTCAGGGTCCTAGCAGGAAATTGTTGCACTCTCAAAGGATTAAGCAGAAAGAGTTTAATGAAGGGTCTCTTTCCAGGGTTAAGGGAACTGCTAGGGTTTGGATATTTGACCACTCCAAACTCATGTTGAAATGTGATCCCCATTGTTGGAGGTGGGGCCTAATGGGAGGTGTTTTGGTCCTGAGTGTGGACCTCTCACGAATGTCTTGGTGCCATCCAAGTGAGTTCTTGCTCGCTCTTTTTTTCTTTTTGAGATGTAGTTTCACTCTTGCTGCCCAGGTTGGAATGTAGTGGTGCGATCTTGGCTCACTGCAACATCCACCTCACGGGTTCAACCCATTCTCCTGTGTCAGCCTCCAGAGTAGCTAGGATTACAGGTACCCACCACTATGCCCAGCTAATTTTTGGTATTTTTAGTAGAGACGGGGTTTCACCATGTTGGCCAGGCTGGTCTCAAACTCCTGACCTCAGGTGATCCACCTGCCTCGGCCTCCCAAAGTGCTGGGATTACAGGCGTAAGCCACCGTGCCTACCTAGTTCTAGCTCTCTTAATTCCCACAAGAGCTGGTTGTTAACAAGAGCCTGGTACAAACCCCTCTCTCTTGCCACGTGATCTCTGCACATGCCAGCTTCCCTTCCCCTTCTGCCATGAGTGGAAACAGACTAAAGCCCTCACCAGAAGCAAATGGTGGCACCATGCTTCTTGCACACCTTCAGAACTGTGAACCAAATAAACCTCTCTTCTTTAAAATTATTCAGCCTCTGGTATTCCTTTATAACAACACACACACACACACACACACACACACACACACACACGCAAAAGCAGACTAAAACAGGAACTAATTAGAAATGGTGATGCACCGAGGGATTGGCACCGAGGCTCCCCAACAGGAACTGAGGCCATGGATAGAAGGACACATTCATGTTATTTTTTTCTAATGGTTAAGTAATTATTTGCTCTTACTCTCAAAATTTCTGCCAAGGCCTCCCATGGACCAAACTCAACTAGAATCTAGGAAGCAGAGAACCTGAGTGTTGCATTCAGCAGAAGTCAGCTTCCTAGGGAATATTGCAGGAAGGGTGAAGGTAGAGAATCTGGTGGGGAAGCAAGCAAATGCCCATCACATGCACTTTCCTCCAACAGAGCGACTCAGATGCTATAAAACTTGCTAACGCAGTCTCAGGGTCTGATCACAGTAACATACAATCCAGGTTTTAATCATCAGAAATCGCAGTCCTATTGTCTTCTGCACAGACCCAAACACACTTGGAGGTCATGTTCAATATGAATACCTCACAGAGAAGGAAATTTACACACGAGAAGTACATCTGCAGAAAGCCAGCTGGCATGTCAACCATTCGAAAACTCAGGGTGTTCGGGATAAAGAAGACTCAGGAAGACAAGTATGAAGCATAATCTGTGACATTATTGATATCTTCCTGATATCAATATTATTGATATCTTCCTGAAGAACATAATTCCTGCCTACCATCAACAAGCATCAATACTTTCTACCAGCTATTCTCAACCCTCATCATCGGAAGAGACAGACACTGACTGTGTCAAAGTATTAGTCCCATCATTCAGCAATTAACTTTAGCTCAATGCTTCAAAAATTCTTCAGGCCCTGTGTAATTTCAGCTATGTACATTAATGATGAGTACCCATACAACCATTCTGTTTCTTATTTTCAGTACCATATTTAATAAATATCAGTTATTCAATACTTTATTTAGACATTTTGTTAGATTATTTTGACCAATGAAGTCTAATCTAAATGTTCTGAGCATGTTCAAAGTAAGCTAGGCTAACCTATAATTTTTGGTGTGCTAAATGCATTTTTAACTTATGATATTTTCAGTTTACGGGGGTTTGTTGGGACATAACTTCATCATACATCAAGGAGCATCTGTATATGGGATATAGTTAAAGCAGTGATCAGAGGAAAATCTATAGCCTTAACACATTTATTAATAAAAGTGTAGGAATTAAATTATCAGCTGAAAACTGTAAAAAGTATATAAAAGAGTAAGCAGAAAGTACAAGAAAGAACCCATAGTAGAAAAAAGTGAAAATTAATAAAATAAGAAGCCAAAAAACAGATCAAATCAGTAAACCAAAAATCTTGTTCTTTAAACAAATCAACAAAGTTGACAAAAAATTAGATCTTTTAATCATGAATAAAAAAAGAGAAAGCACAAAAATGAATAAGGAATGGTGAGAGAAATAACTATTGATAATCAGCAAATAAAAAATCATTAAAAACAATGTTGTTCACATCTATGAAAAACATTGAAAGCTAGAGGGAATGGGTAATTTTCCAGAAAAATACAATTCACCACAATTGACTTCAAAAAAAAAAAAAAGAAGTACAGCACTTATGTGAGCAATTTCCATAGAGAAATACAGTTGTCATGGAATTATAACACACACACAAACACTAGGTTTAGATGTTTTCACAGAGAATTCCACCAAACCTTTAGAAATCAGATCATCCAAAGGCAAATTAACAACCCTCAGCCATTTGAGGCAAAATATTACAATTGAGGCAAGATATACTGTACTGAAAACTTGAGGAAAAAGCAGGAGAGAAAGTTCCTTTGGGAAATTCGAATACTCAAAAGTGCTTACATACAATGAAAAATTTGGAAATCCATAAGCATGGCCAAGGTGGGACACATGCTCAGAAAAGGCCTGAGAAGACACTAATAACTCACCTTTAGTAATTCCTAGGCTCACAGCAAGAAAAAATGAAGGCTAAGGCAGAATTATATATGGCTCCGCTAAGTGTTGAGGGAGCCCCAATACAGAGTCAGTAAGCAAAGTCTGGGAGATGTTTTTCATATTTTTTTCTTTTTTGGCTCCTTGCAGTCAAGGAAATCATTTTTAAATCACTAAATGCTAAATGAACACAAGCTAAAGGAACCGAGCCGCCTTCAAACATCAAACATAAAAAAGAATGCAGATATTACAAAACCAGTTTACAAAAGTTACTAAACAAATAAAAACTACATCCCACAGTGGGTAACAAAAATAACCTTGAAGAAGGGAAAAATTTGGTTTCCAGAATAAACACATTATAATATCCAAAATGTCCAGTTTTCAACAAAAATTAAGAAGCATGCAAATAAACACAAAACTATGGCCCATTTACAGAAGAAATAAATGAGACTCTCCCTGAGTAAGCAGATATTGGAAATATTAGACAAAAACTTTATATAACTGTCTTAAATAAACTTAAAGAGCTAAAGAAACCCAAGAGAATGACATATAAATAAATAAGAAATATGAATTTTTTAAAAGGTACAAAAAAATTCTGAGGCTGAAAAGTACAATAACTAATTAAAAAGTTACTTTTTACTTAGGGTTCCAATAGAAGATTTGAGCAGCTGGAAAAAAGAATCAGTGAACTTGATAGATCAAGTGAAATGATTCAGTCTGAAGAGCAGGAAAATGAAAGAATGACAACAAAAAAGAATAGAGCCTAAAGACCTGTGTAACAACATCAAGAATGCCTACATACAGAATCCTGGTGGGGAGTGAGGGGCAGGAAGACTATTTGAAGAAATGTGTTTGAAAGCTTCCCAAATTTCACTAAAAACAAATATACACATTCAAAAAGCTCAGTGAACTTCATCAAGGAAATATACAAAGATATTCACACCAAGACACACTATGTTTCAAATTGTCAAAAGGCAAAGCGAATGTTTGAAAGCAGCAAGAGAAAGGCAACGCGTCATTTACAAAGGATCCTCAATAAGTTTGACAGCAGATAGTGCATTATAATCCATGGATGTCAGAAGAGCTTAGGAAAAAGGCAATGCATCATTTACAAAGGATCCTCCGTAAGTTTGACAGCAGAGAGCTCATTATAAACCATGGGTGCCAGAAGAGCTTAGAATGACATTTTAAAGTTCTGAAAGAAAAAAACACTGTCAACCAAAAATTCTGTAACTTGGAAGATGCCCCTTCAAGTATTAAGGATAAATTACACATTCCCAGATTAAAAAAAAAGAGAGAGAGAGAAAGAGAAAGAAAGAAAGAAGAGAGAGAAAGAAAGGGAGAGAAAGAAAAAGAAAGAAAGAAAGAAAGAAAGAAAGAAAGAAAGAAAGAAAGAAAGAAAGAAAGAGAAAGAAAGAAAGAAAGAAAGAAAGAAAAAAAGAAAGAAAAAAGAAAGAAAGAAATAAAGAAAGAAAAAGAAAGAAAAGAAAGAAAGAAAAGCAAGCAAGCTTTAAAAGTTCATGTTTGGTAGGCTGTACTTCAAGATACACTTTTAAAAAAAAAGACTCCTTCAGATACAAACTAAAAAACACTAGAAAGTAACTCAAAACCACATAAAGAAATAACTCCAGTAAGGATAACTACATAGGTAAATATAAAAGCAATTATCATATTTTTTGTAAGTCTTTTTAAATATTCTATATGTTTTAAAACAAATGTGTAAAATAATGACTATAAATCTATGTTAATGAAGCATGATGTATAAAGATGTGGTTTGTGAAATTACCAACATAAAGAAATTCATAGGAAACTAAATAATAATAGAGATTTTGTATACTATTGAAGTTGTTTCAATTTACTCTAAATTGTTCCAAATTAAGAATGTTAATTGTAAATCCCCATGGTAACCACTAAGTTAATATCTTTTGAAAATACAGAAAAGGAAAGCAGAGGGTAAACACAGTGATATGCTACAAAATAGCAACTAAACACAAAAGAAGGCGATAATTGAGGAAATTAGGAACAAAGGAGGTATAAGACATACAGAAAACAAAAGCAAAATGGTAGGAGTAAGCCCCTCTTTATCAGTAATTACATTAAATACAAATGAATTAAACTCTCCAATCCAAAGAAAGAGATTGACAGAATGGATTTTTAAAAAATGATCCAACTATATTGTCCACAAGATACTCACTTTAGATCAAAATACACAATGAGTTGAAATGAAAGGATGGGAGAAAATATTCCATGTAAGTAATAACCAAAGGAGATCTGAGGCAAATATACTTATATCAGACAAAATAGACTTTAAGTCAAAAACTGTTACAAAATACAAAGAACAGTATATATTGATTTCAAAATTAAACAAGAAGATATAACAATTATAAATATATGTACACCAACTAACAGGGCTCCAAAATATATAATGTAACCATTGAGAGAATTAAAGGGAGAGACAGACAATTCCACGAAAATTGTTGGGCATTTTAAAACCCAACTTTAATAAAGGACAAAACATCCAGAGCAAATATCAAGGGAGGAATTAGAGGATTTGAATAAAACTATAAGCAATAACTATAGATAACACTTCTCTCAAAAACTGCAGAATACACATTCTTCTCAAGTGAACATGGAACATTCTCCAGCACAGATGATATGTTAGGCCATAAGATAAGCTCAATAAACTTAAAAAGATTGAAATCATGCAAAGTATCTTCACTGACCACAATGGAATGAAATAAGATATCAATAACAAAAGAAAAACTAGAAAATTTACAAATATTTGGAAATTAAACAACACAGTATTTACCAACCAATGAATCAAAGAACAAATCATGAGGGAAATTAGAAAATGTTTAGAGACGATTGAAAACAAAGATATAACAAGATGGGTGTGATATATCAAAAGCAGTGCTCAGAGTTGTAACACCTACATTTTAAAAAAGAAACATGTCAAATCAATAACCAAACTTTACTCAATAAACCATAAAAGGAAGAGCAAACAAAATCCAGAGCTAGCAGAAGGAAGGAAATAAAGATTAGAGCAGAGATAAATGAAATTGAGAATTAAAAAATTATACAGAGATCAACAAAACTAAAAGTTGGTTCTTTTAAAATATCAATAAAATTAATATACTTTTACATAGACTAAGCAAAACATCTCTATTCAGCTGACTTTTTTTTACAAGGGAGCCAACATTATTCAGTGGGGAATAATAGCTTTTTCAACAAAAAGTGCTGGGAATACTGAATATTCATATGCAAAAAAAATGAAGCTGGACCCCTACCTCACATTATATACAAAATCTAGATTGGATCAATAATGTAAATATACGAGTGAAAACCATACATGCTTAGAAGAAAACATGGAAATAAAACATTGCTGTGGATTGGCAATGCATTCTTAGATAATACACCAAAAATACAAGCATGAAACAAACAAATGTAGCCAAAATGTACCAGAATCTGAAAACATGTATTATCTATAAAGAATTAGAGGGGAATTTGGTGAAAGAAATATGGGAGAATGGGATATTGCTCTGTGAATGCTTTTGTGCATAATTGTACATTTTTAATTAAGTTAATCTTTTACACTCTCAAAGTGTGATATTAAGCAAGCAAAGATAAGTTATTACAAGACTCTAAAACGGAATGCAATGAGAAACAAGTGAATCCAAATATATTTCAAATGAATGAATGACATAATCAAACTTAAGGGGAAAATAATAATTAATCTGATTAATTTTTGACTGTTCTCTTATTTCAAATTGACTTTTGAACATACTTTGACTACATACTATTGCTTGAAAAAATAAAATATCTGCAAAAAATTATTAAATCTTCATGATAGGATTTTTTCTTTTTATATTAGTATAAATATAACAATTCTGAAACAAATGTATGTGCATTGTAAGATTAAGCCAATGAGTAAATATTAATATATTTGTATTGCTAGAACCCCAGATTCTCACTGTGAAAGGACAGAGATACAGATATGGAATAAGACAAGGAAAGAAGCAGCCCACTGAGTTACATTAGAATCAGTATTATCAACATAAATATACAATGTGCTCTCTCACATGCTCTTTCCTTCTCTTAAAAAATATATAATATGTACATATTATATATTATATGCATAGACACACGTGTGTCTATACATATCCTACATGTACATATTGAGGATTAACAGGTGCTAGTAGAAAATATTAACTTTCTTTGTATTAACAGGTGTTAGTAGAAAGTAGTAGTAGGTGCTAAGATAAAAGCCATAATTAAACCTCCTGGTGAATGAACACACCATCACCTACAATCTTACCAAAAATAGAATCAAGCACGTGTCCTAGTCAAACCTCTGGATTCAACTGTCATTTGGATAAAATGCAAAGGATAGTGAAAATGTCGATCTTCACTGAGAGTCTAACCAGCAAATTTCACAGTGTGGACATCAAGTGACAAAAATCCCACATTTTTCAACAAATATATTGTATGGGAAAGAAAACTTTGAAAAGAAACGTGTATGTTAGAAGGGATTTTAAAAACACGACAAATGAAAAAAAATGGGCAAGACTAAATCATAGTGTCTTGGAATGCATACATGAAGGACACAGCCGTGAAAATGCAAGGACGCCTCTATTGGAACAGTCATGTTTATCGTCACTTTTCAGGAGAAAGGTGGCTGCAATTGAGGAGAGTCACATGCAGGACTTCAGGGCTGGCAAAGTCCTATATCTTGACTTATGTGATGATTACAGGGATGTTTACAAAAATCAAACTATAAGTTTGTTTTGTGCCATGTTTTGTATTGTGTGTGTGTGTTTTGTTTTTCAACTTAAAAATAAATAAAATCAAAACCAAGGCTTCATTATCAAGTAGCACAAAGTCTCCAATCTATAATCTCCTTTGTCTGGATATCTGCATTTAACTACCATTGTCAGAGCTAATCCTGACAATGCATTCATATTTTTAACACTGAAACACAGTAAACAGGGAAAATTTTGCTCCTCTAAAACAGGGCATCTTCAGGCAATCAGAACAACTCAGAAAGTTTCTGTCTGTTGCATAAAACTCCCCTGTGCAAAGAGTTACACAAAATGCTGTCATAGTAAAGGTAGTTAACTAACGGCACTAATTGTTCTTGGGCAGTGGCCAAGTGGAACTTCAGAGACCTGGCATTGCCAGCCAGAAATCACTTGTCATGGGAATTGTCTCCTGGAATCACTTTGGTTGTCCCAGGGTAACGCAGGGAAAGTGGTTAATGGGTCACTTGGGGGTGGCATCTTCATCAGTAAATCACATTTACTTTCTCCTACTAAGAATTTTATTTTTGGCCATGAAGCCAAAAGTCAGCTCTTAAATAACAAGGGAAGCAAATAATCATTGAATAAAAATAGCAGAAAGAAAAAGCTGTGCAAAGAAATTTATGTTATTAATTTGTTATATATGTAAATTTTTATCATACTTTAAGTTCTAGGGTACATGTGCACAATGTGCAGGAATAAAATTTATGTTTTTAAAATTTATTCTACATTATGAATTCTACATTAGAAAAATAAACCATAGCCTCATCACAGGCACTTAAATACACTGAAGCTGCCAAAACAATCTATCGTTTTGCCTACGTACTTATCAACTTCCTCATAGCAAACTGGGAGAAAAAAGCAATGGAATGAATAAAATGATAGCCACAAAAATCAAGGTGGGAGAAATACTTATTATATGTCCATAAAAAATTTTAATTAATGCAAAGTATTAACACCAATGATTGCAGTAATACAGATCTTACAAATGATAGTTTTAGTCTGAACAGGACTATCCAAAAGTTAATTTTCTATAGTAACAGTTTTTAAGTAAAATATCAATTCCTGAAACACATAAAATGGTCCATGAGTATACAACGAGTGAAAAAAAACAAATTCAGAGCAAAGATAAATTAAGAAGTATCTAATATTCAAACATAGTCAAAGAGAGGGAAATTTCTGGATAATCACTTAAACCCATGGTTAAACATAAATGCACATATGTTAATGTTTACTGAATAACTTATCTGTGCCAAGTGGTGTATTAATGATTCATTTTTATTTTTCACTAAATCTTTTCTCTAAAGTTGGTGTAGCCTGCAACTAAATGCAAGAAATCTGACCTAGGACCTGCACTTCTTACCATTTTGCTCATATTTATTCCCTGTGCATTTTTGTAACATGTATATGTTATATATATAGAAAGAGAGAGAGGCAGAGATGGAAAGTAATTTATGGAGTTTGATGTTATGTCAGGGTAATTACATGATTATATAATTAACAGGTTTCTTTTTAAATCAGCTATATCAATAGAAAAATAAATGTAGGAATCAAGAGACTCATTCTGTCCATCTGTGATAGTTCCATCATGATACTGCATTGTCAAGTCATTGCTCCAAAAATATGGTTTAGCTCAACACTGAGTGACTATAGGAAACCAGAAACCAGGCTGGGCGCTAAAGATGCAAAGATGAATGAGACATCATCTCTGCCGTCCAAAAGCTTACTGTCTAGTGGGAGAGTTACACACGTAAGGACAGTAATCTAATAAGAGCTAATAAGTGAAAACTAAGATAAGTTAATAATACAAGATTACAGGGAAGGTTTCCAAAGTCAATGAGGCCTCAAATGAGTCTTGAAAGTGTGCAAGGATTAACCAAATGAAGAAATGTGTAAGTTTTTCAAACAAAAAGGCACAGCATGAGCAAATGCAAGGAGGCCTAAAATAAAGAGATGTGTAAAGAGGTGTAAGCAGCTTTGTGCTGCTGCCTGATAATTAGAAGAATATCGGGAGTAACAAGAGCTATAGAAGAGAGTCACAATTACGGAAAAATATTTATTAAATTATAAGAAATTTATAGCATAAGGAATAGTAGGACCGTTAAATGTTTTAATAAAGATGATGCTTCTTTTTTTAATATTTATTTTTATTATACTTTAAGTTCTAGGGTACATGTGCACAACGTGCAGGTTACATATGTATACATGTGCCGTGTTGGTGTGCTGCACCCATTAACTCATCATTTACATTAGGTATATCTCCTAATGCTATCCCTCCCCTCTCCCCCCACCCCACAACAGGCCGCGGTGTGTGATATTCCCCTTCCTGTGTCCAAGTGTTCTCATTGTTCAAGTCCCACCTATGAGTGAAAACATGCGGTGTTTGGTTTTTTGTTCTTGAGATAGATGATGCTTTAAATTGACCACTCCAGCTGCATTGTGGGAGGAAAAAAGATTTTAGAACAAGACTAGAAACAGAATAATTAGAAAAATGCAACTACAATGCAGATGAGTGATTATCAAGGTCTGAACTGAATAGTGGAAATAGAGATAAGGAGGCAAATTCAAGATATGTGCGTGACAGTAAAATTAACATGACCTGGTGTTTGATTGACTCTGTAAAGTGAAAGGAAAGGATGAATAATCAACAAATAATATTTATTCTACCAAATGCCTCCATGCCGCTTTGATGACAGGATAATATGTAAGCTTTTCTATATTTCAGAAACTATATGACATGACGAAAAGTAAAAAGGGGATGGGGGTAAGGAGGTATCCTGAATTGACTGAGAAATAAGGAGGTATTCCACAGAGAATATAAATAAACATATACTTAGTGTTCAAGGAATAATAAAAAAGAGAACATCTATGTGTCCACCATACAGGATATGAAATAGAACATTTGCCGGCCATGGTGGCTCACACCTGTAATCCCAGTACTTTGGGAGGCCGAGGTGGGAGGATCACTTAAGCCCAGGACACAGGTTGCAGTGAGCCAAGATCACACTATCGTACTCCAGCCTGGGCCACCATGTCTCAGAAAAATAAAAAAACTAGATGTCTTGGAGGATTGGAAACAAAATAGAACTTTACTAGTGCCTTAGACGCCCATTGGGTGCTCCTTGCCAATTGTGTTCTCCTTTATTTCCTGCTGGATATGACCACTGTCCTTCCATTGCATTGTATGTGTTTTTTAATAGACTTTAATGGTTCTCAAGTGATGCATTATTTAGTTTGGTTCTTTGAAACTTATATAAATGAAATTATTTTGTAGAAGTTCTTTCACCTTTATCAGAAGGTACTTTCACCTTGATTCAATAATAAGTTTGCATATTACAACCTTGTTGAATGTTGGTGTAATTCATCCATTCGTATTGCTATATGATATTCCACTACAAGAATATGTCGGACTTCATTCCTCAGATCTATTGTTGATGAACACTTGAAATTTTTCCAGTTTTTAACCATTACAAACAATGCTGCTATGAACATTCTTTTGTAAATCACCTGGTTCATATGTGCAAGATATCCTCTGGGGTATATATTTAAAAGTAAAATTATTGAGTTATTCAACATTACCATGAAATGCTACACTATTTTTTTTAACAATCCTACCAATTTACACTTCTACCACGAACAGATAAGCATTACCATTGGTCTTCATTTGTAGGAACCATATTTGTCTTTTGCTCTGGGGGCTTTGTTTTGTTTTGCTTTGTTTTTTGCTTAGAAGTGCTTTGGCTATTAGGGATCTTTTTTTGGCTCCATGTGAACTTTAGGATTTTTTTTTAATTTTGTGAGAAATAACGTTGGTAATTTGATGGGAATTGCATTAACTCTATAGATTGTATGGGTGATATGGTCACTTTAGCTATTGATTTTTCTAATCCATGAGCATGGGATGTTTTTCCATTTGTTTATGTCATCTATAATTTCTTTCATTAGTATTTTGTAGTTCTCCTTGTAGAGATCTTTCATTTATATAGTTATGCATTCCTAGGTATTTTTCATGGCTATTGTAAATTCAGTTGAGTTCTTAATTTGGTTCTCAACAAATTAATCTCAACAAACATTCAAACAGCTTGAATGTATTTGGTGTATAGAAATACAACTGATTTTTGTGGCTTGTTTATCCCAAGACTTTACTGAAGTCGTGTATCAAGTCTAGGAGTCTTCTGAAGACTTTAGGGTTTTCTAGGCCTACAGTCATGTCATCAGTGAGCAGAGATCATTTGACTTCTTTTCTAATTTGTATACCTTTTATTTCTTTCTCCTTTCTGATAGTTCTGGCTAGCACTTCCAGTACTGTATTGAATAGGAATGATGAAGGTGAACATCCTTGCTTTTTTCCAGTTTCTAGAAGCAACACTTCTAACTTTTGCCCATCCAGGATGATGTTGGCTGTGGCTTTGTCATAGATGACTCATTTTTTGAGGTATACTCCATCTATACCTATATTGTTGAGGGTTTTTATCATAAACAGATGTTGGATTTTATCAAATGCTTATTCTGCATCTAATGAGATGATCATAGGGTTTTTGTTCTCAGTTCCATTTATGTGGTGAATCATGTTTATTGATTTGTCTATTTTGAACCATTCAAGCACCCCTGGAATAAAGCCCACTTGATCATGATGAATTATCTTTTTGATGTGTTGTTAGCTTCAGTTTGCTAGAATTTTGTTGAGTATTTTTACATCTGTGTTGATCAGGGATAAGGATTTGTAGTTTTCTTTTGTGTTCTTTTTAAAATTTTCCTTGTTAATTTTACTGCACAGTATTATTTTAATGATGAATAAAGTGTTGAGCTGGACATGTGTACCTTGTTCCTCATGTTAGAATGAAACTGTTTAATATGTCATGATTATTTATAATGTTGAGAGTAGTTTTTGTGTATATATTAAGATATTTACATCAGTTCTCTTCTATTCCTAGTTTGTTATTATTACAAATAGTTTCAAATGTGAACAAGTGCTTTTCCCACAGCTATTGAAATAACCATATTTTTTTCTTTTATTCAGTTAATGTGGTTAATTTCATTGTTTGGTTTTCTAATTTTAAACCATACATTCTTGAAATTACTGCACTTAGTCACGATGTATTTTTCTTTGGAGTATATTGTTGGATTATATTTGCAAACATTTTTGTTTAGAATTATTATGTAGTATATTAGTCTGTAATTTCATTTCTTTTAATATCCTTGTATGGTTTTACTATCATGGAGGTACCACCATATAAAACAAGTTGGAAAGTGTTATGTCTTCCCAATTCTCTAAAAATATTCATGTAACATTGGCATTATTTCTTTATTAAATATTTGGTAATATTTCTTTATTAAATATTGCATCCACCTAGCCCTGGAGTTCTTTCTACAGGAAAAAAAAATTTTCTAAATAAAATTTCTACAATGAAAAAAAAACTACTCAGTTTTTCTAGTTTTTTTCTGATCATTTCATAAAAGTAGGTATTTTTCATAGGAACTTGACCATTCCTTATGATTGTCAAATTTATTAATATAAAGTTTCATATTTTATATTTATTTTATCAGATAAATAAAATTATATGTTTTGAAATATATATTCATTGTAAAATAGCCATGTTAAGCTAACATATGCATTACCTTACATGCTTATCTTTTTTTATGAGAACACTTAAAAATCTACTCTTAGCAATTTTGAAGAATACAAGTACATCCCCTATGGAGAACAGTTTGAAGGCTCCTCAAAAAAGTAAAAATAGAGCTACCATGTGGTCCAGCAATCCCACTGCTGCATATATACCCCCCAAAAAAGAAATCAGTATATCGAAGAGATATCTGCACTCCCGTATTTGTTGCAGCACTATTTACAATAGCGAAGTTATGGAGTCAACCTAAGTGTCCATCAACAGATGAATGAATAAAGAAAATGTGGTACTTATATACAATGAAGTATTATTCAGCCATAAAAAGGAATGAGACCCTGTCATTTGCAACAACATAGATGAAACTGGAGGTCATTATGTTAAGTGAAATAAGCCAGGCACAAAAAGACAAATACTATGTGTTATCACTTATATGTGGAATCCAAAAAGCAAACAACTGAACTCATGGAGATAGAGAGTAGAAGGAAGTATACCAGAGGCTGTGAAGGGTAGTGGGGGTTGGGAGAGGTGGGGGATGGTTAATGGGTACAAAAAAAGAAAGATTTAATAAGACCTAGTATTTGATAGCACAACAGGGGGATTGCAGTCTAAAATTCAATTATACATTTAAAAATAACTGAAAGAGTATAATTGGATTGTTTATAACACAAATAATAAATGCTTGAGGGGATGAATATCCAATTTTCCATTATGCACTTATTGTACATTGCATGCCTGTACCAAAATATTTCATGTACCCCATAAATGTATACACCTGCTATGTACCCACAAAAATTAAATTTAAAAACAATACATTGTTATCCACTATAGTCACCATATTGCACAATAGATCTGTTGAATTCATTCCTCCTGTACAATGCAATTTTGTACCCTTTGACCAACATCTACCCAATCCTCCTGGTAACCATCATTCTACTCTGTACTTCTATGTGTTCAGCCTTCTTAGACCTCCACATACAAGTGAGATTATGCAGTATCTGGCTTTCTGTGCCTGGATTATTTTACTCAGTATAATGTCCTCCCGGTTCATTCATGTTGTCACAAATGATACTTTTTTTATTTTTTAAGGTTGTATACTATTCTATTGTGTATGTGTACCACATTTTCTTCATCCACTCATGTGTCGATGGATACTTAAGTTAATTCCACATCTTGGCTGTTGTGAATAATGCTACAATAAATATGGGAGTACAGATAACTCATTGACACACTGATTTGATATCTTTTTAATATATGCCCAGAAATAGCATTACTGAATCATATGGTAATTCTATTTTTACAGAATCACTTATACTGTCTTTTACAATGGCTGAAATAGTTTACATTCTCAACAATTACAAGGTTTTCCTTTTCTCCACATCCTCTCCAACACTTGGTATCTTCTGCCTTTTCTGTAACAGCCATTCTAACGGATGTGAAATGGCATTTTATTGTAGTTTTAATATGCATTTCTCTGATGATCAGTGATAATTAGCATTTTTATATATCTGTTGGCCATTTGTATGTCTTCTTTTGAGAAATGTCTATTTAGATCCTTTGTCAATTTTTCATTAGGGTTCCTTGTTTTCTTATTATTGTGTTGTTTGAGTTCCTAAGATATTTTGGACATTAGCCTCTTATCAAATGTATAGTTTGCAGATAATTCCTCCCATTTTGTAGGTTATCACTTCACTCTGTTGACTTTCTTTTGCTGTGCAGAAGCTTTTTAGGTTGATGCTATTCCATTTGTGTTTTGTTGCTTTTCTTGCCTGTGCTTTAGAGTCATATCATAAAATATTATTGCCCAGACCAATGTCTTGGAGTTATTCCCCTGTTTTCTTCTAGGAGTTCTATAGTGCTAGGTCTTACATTTAAGTCTAACTTATTTTGAATTTATATTTTTATATGGTATGAAATAAGGGCCTAAGATCAATCTTGTGGACATTCAGTTTTCTCAACACCATTTTTTGAAGAGACTGTTCTTTCCCCATGTGTGTTCCTGGCACCTTTGTTGAAAGTCAATTGACTATAATATGTAGATTTATTTATGGGCTCTTTATTCTGTGTAATTGGTCTATGTGTCTGCGTTTATGCCAGTACCATGGTGTTTCGATTGCTATAGCTATGTAGTATAATTTGAAGTCAGGTAATGTGATATCTCCTGCCTTGCTTTTTTCGATCAAGATTATTTTGGCTTTTCAGAGTTTTTTGTGATTCCATACAGATTTGAGAGTTGTTTTTCTATTTCTGTGGGAAAATGTCATAGGAATTTTGATAGAGATTGCATTCAATATGTACATCACTTTGGATAGTATGGACATTTCAAACATATTACTTTTTCCAATCCATGAACATGAGATATCTTTCCATTTATTTGTGGCTTCTTCAATTGTTTTCATCAATGTTTTGTAGTTTTCAGTGTAAAGATCATTCACCTCTTTGTTTAAATTTACATCTAAGTATTTTTTGTTGCTATTATAAATAGGATTGTTTTCTTGATTTCTTTTTTTGTATAGTTTGTTGTTGATGTGTAGAAATGCTACTGAATTTTGTATGTTCACATTGTATCCTGCAACTTTACTAAATTCATTTATGAATTCTAAATTTTTTGGCAGAGTTATTGGTGTTTTCTATATATAAGATCATGTCAACTGCAAACAGAAACAATTTAACTTCTTCCTTTCCAATTTTCATGCCTTTTATTTCTTTCTTTTGCCTAATTGCTCTGGCTAGGACATCCAGTACTATGTTGAATAGAAGTTCTGAGAGTGGGCACCCTTGTATGAAGTTTTCCACAACATCTCTTATCTTTTTATTAGCTATATATTAATAACGGATGTTTCTTCTTCATCAGGAGTTTGAAAAATATGTCTTTTCTCTATATTGTTCTTAATCAGTCTTCCTAGAAGTATTTCAATTTCAAAAAGTAGCAACAACTGTGGGAGTTCAGTCAGGCTGGTGGGAAAAATTTTAAAGATAGTTATAAGAAATCGACACAAACCTTCATGGAAGGCTGGGGGTGTTGTATAGCTTCAGTAATAGATCTGAATGAAGGCGGCCTAATCCTTCCTTGAGTAAATAGCTTAAAGTAGGTGCAAAGGAATGTAAGGGAGTTTATCTAAATAACTTGTTTACTCATGTGGTCCTGAAGCCAACCTTTGATCATTCACAGGCAGGATGGCTCTCTCTCGGGGGAGGGTGACCAGGTTAATTACCCTCTATTTGTGTTGACTAAAAGCCCCTGTCATTTAATGTTTTTTCAATAAATGCTGGCAGGGCTAGCTAGTCAGGGCTCGTGGCTGCCAGAACTCTTTCTGTGCACGGCCCAGCCCCCTAGCGGCTCTTTCACTGAATAATTGGTGTCTGAGTACATTATTCATCCCTCGTGCAGCTGGGGTCTGCAGGACAGACCCCCACAAACAACAATTTGCAAAAGCAAACTTCCCTGTTTTGTTTTTTTCCCAAGATGATAAATTAGAGGCTTTTAGTGTGCCTCGGCCACTTAGAAATAGCAAGAGAGTGCACAAAGGTCAACTCTGTGAGCTCTAAGTCAAGAAGGAAAATGGGAATCCACCAGAATCATGAAGGACATCATAGATCCCAAGAAGGAGAATGTGAGCAAACAGTCAACATGACAGCAACCAGCTTATAAAAGTGAGCGAAGTCCTAGTATGTGAGAGAGGCAGAGAGCCTCCCTCTGTAACTGACATTTTCACTGTGAATCTGAGCAACCCCAGCCAAGTTGTTGCATTTTGTTTCTCCCAAGGCCTGGAGTCAACATGGGGAGAGGCTTGGAGATGCTGTGAAGCAAAGACACTGGGAACAGCTGCAGACATTTTCCCAGACCAGGAAGTAAGAGCAAGATGCCATTTTCAATCTGGATGCATGCAAAGTCAGCTTTTTTTTTTCTTTTTGTGACCCAGCAGAATGCCTGCACAGGCATTTTAGTCTCAGGCCAAAGATTGGAACAACTGCTTTGGGGCTTGGTAGGGACCTTCACAGCCATATTGTGGGAAACACCTCAGCAGTATGTGCTGGAATTGTGCTTTCCCCCATCGCAGCCTCGGGGCAACAGAAAAGCTGCTACAGCTGTAATTTCTCCCAGGTGATGAAACTTGCAGCCAGGGCAAGCTTGGAGACCTACAACCAGTCTGCAGGTGTCATTGCTGGGTGCCCCAGCCTGTTCCCCTGAGAATGTGATACAGCAGGGCTTTCTCTGCTTCACCCCCAGGCAGAAATTCAGGCATTGGAGCACCTGTCTACCTGGACCAGCATCCTGAGCTACCCCACCGTTTGTAAACATAGGTTGTGGTGCAGTGGGGCCCTCTCCAGTCTATGGCCAGGCAGATTTCCAGGTATGTGGAGTACCCACTTGACTGGATCAGCAGCCTGAGCTTCCCCAACCTTCCTGTGCTGAGATTATAGTGCAGTGAGGCCCTCTCATCTCCACACATAGGCAGACCTCCAAGCAATTAGAGCACCTGCTCCTATGGAGAACTTAAATTTACAAGAAAAAAAAAAACCATCAAAAATTGGCCAAAGGACATGAACAGACAATTCTCAAAAGAAGACATGGATGTGGCCAACAAACATATGAAAAAAAGCTCAAATCACTGATCATTAGAGAAATGCAACTCAAAACCACAATGAGATACTATCTCAAACCAGTCTTAATGGTGATTATCAAAAACTCCAGAAACAACAGTTGCTGGTAAGGCTGTGGAGAAATAGGAATGTTTTTACACTGTTTGTGGGAATGTAAATTAGTTCATTCACTGTGGAAGGCAGTGTGAAAATTCCTCAAAGATCTAGAACCAGAAATGCCATTTGCCCCAGAAATCCCTTTACTGGATATATGCCCAAAGGAATATAAATCATTCTATTATAAAGATACATGCACAGGGCTGGGTGCAGTGGCTCACACCTGTAATCCCAGCACTTTGGGAGGCCAAGGCGGGTGGATCACCTGAGGACAGGAGTTTGAGACCAGCCTAGCCAACATGGGGAAACTCCATCTCTACTAAAAATACAAAAATTAGCCAGGTATAGTGGTGCACACCTGTAATACCAGCTACTTTGGAGGCTGAGGCAGGAGAATCGCTGGAACCCAGGAGGCAGAGGTCAAAGTGAGCCAAGATCATACCATTGCACTCCAGCCTGGGCAACAAGAGCAAAACTCCATCTCAAAAAAATATATATATATACATATACATACATATATATACACATATATATACATATATACAGATATTATATATGTAAATGTATATATATGTGTATATATATACACACATATATATACACATATATATACATATTATAACTACATATATATACACACACACATACATATACATGCACACATATGTTTATTGCAGCACTATTTACGATAGAAAATACATGGAATCAACCCAAATGCCCATCAATGATATATTGGATAAAGAAAATGTGATATATATTCACCATGGAATACTATGCAGCCATTAAAATAAATGAGATCATGTTCTTTGCAGGGACATGGATGAAGCTGGAAGCCATCACCCTCAGCAAACTAACACAGGAACAGAAAACCAAACACCACATGTTCTCAGTCGTAAGAGGGAGTTGAACAATGAGAGCAAACACATGGATACATGGAGGGGAACACCACACACCAGGGCCTCTCAGGGGGACAGGGGGTAGGAGACCATCAGGACAAACACGTGGGTACATGGAGGGGAACAACACACACCAGGACCTCTCAGGGGGACAGGGGGTAGGAGACCATCAGGACAAACACGTGGGTACATGGAGGGGAACAACACACACCAGGGCCTCTCAGGGGGACAGGGGGTAGGAGACCATCAGGACAAACACGTGGGTACATGGAGGGGAACAACACACACCAGGACCTCTCAGGGGGACAGGGGGTAGGAGACCATCAGGACAAACACGTGGGTACATGGAGGGGAACAACACACACCAGGGCCTCTCAGGGGGACAGGGGGTAGGAGACCATCAGGACAAACACGTGGATACATGGAGGGGAACAACACACACCAGGGCCTCTCAGGGGGACAGGGGTAGGAGACCATCAGGACAAACACGTGGGTACATGGAGGGGAACAACACACACCAGGACCTCTCAGGGGGACAGGGGGTAGGAGACCATCAGGACAAACACGTGGGTACATGGAGGGGAACAACACACACCAGGACCTCTCAGGGGGACAGGGGGTAGGAGACCATCAGGACAAACACGTGGGTACATGGAGGGGAACAACACACACCAGGGCCTCTCAGGGGGACAGGGGGTAGGAGACCATCAGGACAAACACGTGGGTATATGGAGGGGAACAACACACACCAGGGCCTCTCAGGGGGACGGGGGGTAGGAGACCATCAGGACAAACACGTGGATACATGGAGGGGAACAACACACACCAGGGCCTCTCAGGGGGACAGGGGTAGGAGACCATCAGGACAAACACGTGGATACATGGAGGGGAACAACACACACCAGGACCTCTCAGGGGGACAGGGGGTAGGAGACCATCAGGACAAACACGTGGGTACATGGAGGGGAACAACACACACCAGGGCCTCTCAGGGGGACAGGGGTAGGAGACCATCAGGACAAACACGTGGGTACATGGAGGGGAACAACACACACCAGGGCCTCTCAGGGGGACAGGGGGTAGGAGACCATCAGGACAAACACGTGGATACATGGAGGGGAACAACACACACCAGGGCCTCTCAGGGGGACAGGGGGTAGGAGACCATCAGGACAAACACGTGGATACATGGAGGGGAACAACACACACCAGGGCCTCTCAGGGGGACAGGGGGTAGGAGACCATCAGGACAAACACGTGGATACATGGAGGGGAACAACACACACCAGGGCCTCTCAGGGGGACAGGGGTAGGAGACCATCAGGACAAACACGTGGGTACATGGAGGGGAACAACACACACCAGGGCCTCTCAGGGGGACAGGGGGTAGGAGACCATCAGGACAAACACGTGGATACATGGAGGGGAACAACACACACCAGTGCCTCTCATGGGGACAGGGGGTAGGAGACCATCAGGACAAACACGTGGATACATGGAGGGGAACAACACACACCAGGACCTCTCAGGGGGACAGGGGGTAGGAGACCATCAGGACAAACACGTGGATACATGGAGGGGAACAACACACACCAGGGCCTCTCAGGGGGACAGGGGGTAGGAGACCATCAGGACAAACACGTGGATACATGGAGGGGAACAACACACACCAGGGCCTCTCAGCGGGACAGGGGGTAGGAGACCATCAGGACAAACACGTGGGTACATGGAGGGGAACAACACACACCAGGGCCTCTCAGGGGGACAGGGGGTAGGAGACCATCAGGACAAACACGTGGATACATGGAGGGGAACAACACACACCAGGGCGTCTCAGCGGGACAGGGGGTAGGAGACCATCAGGACAAACACGTGGGTACATGGAGGGGAACAACACACACCAGGGCCTCTCAGGGGGACAGGGGGTAGGAGACCATCAGGACAAACACGTGAGTACATGGAGGGGAACAACACACACCAGGGCCTCTCAGGGGGACAGGGGTAGGAGACCATCAGGACAAACACGTGGGTACATGGAGGGGAACAACACACACCAGGGCCTCTCAGGGGGACAGGGGGTAGGAGACCATCAGGACAAACACGTGGGTACATGGAGGGGAACAACACACACCAGGGCCTCTCAGCGGGACAGGGGGTAGGAGACCATCAGGACAAACACGTGGGTACATGGAGGGGAACAACACACACCAGGGCCTCTCAGCGGGACAGGGGGTAGGAGACCATCAGGACAAACACGTGGATACATGGAGGGGAACAACACACACCAGGGCCTCTCAGCGGGACAGGGGGTAGGAGACCATCAGGACAAACACGTGGATACATGGAGGGGAACAACACACACCAGGGCCTCTCAGGGGGACAGGGGGTAGGAGACCATCAGGACAAACACGTGGATACATGGAGGGGAACAACACACACCAGGGCCTCTCAGGGGGACAGGGGGTAGGAGACCATCAGGACAAACACGTGGATACATGGAGGGGAACAACACACACCAGGGCCTCTCAGGGGGACAGGGGGTAGGAGACCATCAGGACAAACACGTGGATACATGGAGGGGAACAACACACACCAGGGCCTCTCAGGGGGACAGGGGGTAGGAGACCATCAGGACAAACACGTGGATACATGGAGGGGAACGACACACACCAGGGCCTCTCAGGGGGACAGGGGGTAGGAGACCATCAGGACAAACACGTGGATACATGGAGGGGAACAACACACACCAGGGCCTCTCAGCGGGACAGGGGGTAGGAGACCATCAGGACAAACACGTGGGTACATGGAGGGGAACAACACACACCAGGGCCTCTCAGGGGGACAGGGGGTAGGAGACCATCAAGACAAACACGTGGATACATGGAGGGGAACAACACACACCAGGGCCTCTCAGGGGGACAGGGGGTAGGAGACCATCAAGACAAACACGTGGGTACATGGAGGGGAACAACACACACCAGGGCCTCTCAGGGGGACAGGGGGTAGGAGACCATCAAGACAAACACGTGGGTACATGGAGGGGAACAACACACACCAGGGCCTCTCAGGGGGACAGGGGGTAGGAGACCATCAAGACAAACACGTGGGTACATGGAGGGGAACAACACACACCAGGGCGTCTCAGCGGGACAGGGGGTAGGAGACCATCAGGACAAACATGTGGGTACATGGAGGGGAACAACACACACCAGGGCCTCTCAGGGGGACAGGGGGTAGGAGACCATCAAGACAAACACGTGGATACATGGAGGGGAACAACACACACCAGGGCCTCTCAGCGGGACAGGGGGTAGGAGACCATCAGGACAAACATGTGGATACATGGAGGGGAACAACACACACCAGGGCCTCTCAGGGGGACAGGGGGTAGGAGACCATGAGGACAAACACGTGGGTACATGGAGGGGAACAACACACACCAGGGCCTCTCAGGGGGACAGGGGGTAGGAGACCATCAGGACAAACACGTGGGTACATGGAGGGGAACAACACACACCAGGGCCTCTCAGGGGGACAGGGGGTAGGAGACCATCAGGACAAACACGTGGATGCATGGAGGGGAACAACACACACCAGGGCCTCTCAGCGGGACAGGGGGTAGGAGACCATCAGGACAAACACGTGGGTACATGGAGGGGAACAACACACACCAGGGCCTCTCAGGGGGACAGGGGGTAGGAGACCATCAGGACAAACACGTGGGTACATGGAGGGTAACAACACACACCAGGGCCTCTCAGGGGGACAGGGGGTAGGAGACCATCAGGACAAACACGTGGGTACATGGAGGGGAACAACACACACCAGGGCCTCTCAGGGGGACAGGGGGTAGGAGACCATCAGGACAAACACGTGGGTACATGGAGGGGAACAACACACACCAGGGCCTCTCAGGGGGACAGGGGGTAGGAGACCATCAGGACAAACACGTGGATACATGGAGGGGAACAACACACACCAGGGCCTCTCAGGGGGACAGGGGGTAGGAGACCATCACATGGAGGGGAACAACACACACCAGGGCCTCTCAGCGGGACAGGGGGTAGGAGACCATCAGGACAAACACGTGGGTACATGGAGGGGAACAACACACACCAGGGCCTCTCAGCGGGACGGGGGGTAGGAGACCATCAGGACAAACACGTGGGTACATGGAGGGGAACAACACACACCAGGGCCTCTCAGGGGGACAGGGGGTAGGAGACCATCAGGACAAACACGTGGGTACATGGAGGGGAACAACACACACCAGGGCCTCTCAGGGGGACAGGGGGTAGGAGACCATCAGGACAAACACGTGGATGCATGGAGGGGAACAACACACACCAGGACCTCTCAGGGGGACAGGGGGTAGGAGACCATCAGGACAAACACGTGGATACATGGAGGGGAACAACACACACCAGGGCCTCTCAGGGGGACAGGGGGTAGGAGACCATCAAGACAAACACGTGGATACATGGAGGGGAACAACACACACCAGGGCCTCTCAGGGGGACAGGGGGTAGGAGACCATCAAGACAAACACGTGGGTACATGGAGGGGAACACACACACCAGGGCCTCTCAGGGGGACAGGGGGTAGGAGACCATCAAGACAAACACGTGGGTACATGGAGGGGAACAACACACACCAGGGCCTCTCAGGGGGACAGGGGTAGGAGACCATCAGGACAAACACGTGGGTACATGGAGGGGAACAACACACACCAGGACCTCTCAGGGGGACAGGGGGTAGGAGACCATCAGGACAAACACGTGGGTACATGGAGGGGAACAACACACACCAGGGCCTCTCAGGGGGACAGGGGGTAGGAGACCATCAGGACAAACACGTGGGTACATGGAGGGGAACAACACACACCAGGACCTCTCAGGGGGACAGGGGGTAGGAGACCATCAGGACAAACACGTGGGTACATGGAGGGGAACAACACACACCAGGGCCTCTCAGGGGGACAGGGGGTAGGAGACCATCAGGACAAACACGTGGGTACATGGAGGGGAACAACACACACCAGGACCTCTCAGGGGGACGGGGGGTAGGAGACCATCAGGACAAACACGTGGGTACATGGAGGGGAACAACACACACCAGGGCCTCTCAGGGGGACAGGGGGTAGGAGACCATCAGGACAAACACGTGGATACATGGAGGGGAACAACACACACCAGGGCCTCTCAGGGGGACAGGGGGTAGGAGACCATCAGGACAAACACGTGGATACATGGAGGGGAACAACACACACCAGGGCCTCTCAGCGGGACAGGGGGTAGGAGACCATCAAGACAAACACGTGGATACATGGAGGGGAACAACACACACCAGGGCCTCTCAGGGGGACAGGGGGTAGGAGACCATCAGGACAAACACGTGGGTACATGGAGGGGAACAACACACACCAGGGCCTCTCAGCGGGACAGGGGGTAGGAGACCATCAGGACAAACACGTGGATACATGGAGGGGAACAACACACACCAGGGCCTCTCAGGGGGACAGGGGGTAGGAGACCATCAGGACAAATAGCTAATGCATGCAGGGCCTCATACCTAGGTGATGGGTTGATGGGTGCAGCAAACCACCATGGCACACATTTACCTATGTATCAAACCTACACTTTCTGCACGTGTATCCCAGAACATAAAATAAAATTTAAAAAATATATACACTGATTCATGATCTCCTTTCTCTCCTTCTGAAACACTCTTTAAAACTTTTTAGCATTTCCCCCTCTGTCTTCCATGTCTCCTAACTACATGTTTCTTATTTTCCATGTCTTTATTCCTGTGTTCATTTTGGATAGCCCCTTCTGACCTATATTACAGTTTACTAGTTCACTCTTCAACTGCTTCTAACATACTAATATTCTGTTAAAACCATTCATTTGGGTTTAAATTTCAATTATGTTATTCTCTATGGACATTCTATTTGTTTTCTTTTAATCTTCTTGGCCATTCTCTAGAGTTTCCTGTTCCATTATGATATTTTTAATTTTTTGTTTTACTTTAAACATACTAAATATAGTTATTTTATTTTATTTTCTGTATCTGATACTTTCAATAACTGCAGTCTTTGCTAGTCTTTTTTCTGTGCTCTTGCTCATAGTTTTTTTCATTTGTTTTCATGATTAGAAAAACAGAGAGAGAAGAAGGAGAGTAAAGGGAGGAGGAGGAGGAGAAAAGAAGAAAGCAGAGAAGAAGGGACAGAGAAAAAAAGGAAGTTGGTTCTAACGTTTCTCTAACAACTGGCTTCAGTGAAACACTCCCACCTTGTGGATTTTTAGGTTATTGAAATTAACCAGTCTTCTGGGTGCAGCACACCAACATGGCACATGTATACATATGTAACAAACCTGCACTTTGTGCACATGTACCCTAAAACTTAAAGTATAATAAAAAATAAAATAAAAAGCTACACAAATTTAAAAAAAAAGAAATCAACCTAATTCCTAGATTACCACCTCTTGATTCAAATGCTTTAAATCTAGGCTTTTCATCTGAGTCTTTCTTTTTAGTTATTCTGTTTACCTTCAAAACACTCCTGCTTTGAATCATTCAAAATCTACCTCCCTCCCTCTGTTTGACTACCATCAATTTTTTTGCTCATTCCTAATGCATTAATCTATTAGCTGTGAATATCCAAAAACCCTCATTTCACTGAATCTTTGACAGACCCCTTTGCATCCTCTTGTTCTTCTAATTATTTCCTCAGAAACTTTATGTTCTCTTTTCTTTACAAGCATGTCATAGTTTATATATAATGTGTGTATTGTTTTTATATATACCTATATATAGCCTCTTTTTAAAAGCACTATACCCCATGCTTTGAAATATATTCTAAAATCAGGTAGCATGAAAATGGAAACATAACATACTAAAACATATGGGATGCAACAAAAGCAGTTATAAGAGGGACATTTATAGCAATAAATGCCTACATCAAAAAAGAAAAAAAAGATCTCAAATAAGCAACCTAATATTATGCCTAAAGGAGCGAGAAAATTAGAGAACAATACAAGCCCAAAGATAGCAGAAGGAAACAAATAACAAAGATCAGAGCAGAAATAATATAATAGAAACTGAAAATTTCAATAAAAATAAGAATTGTTTTTTGAAAAGATAAACAAAATTAACAAATTCTTACATAGACTAAGAAAAAAGAAAACAAACTCATAAGTGAAAGAAGAGACATTACAACTGATACCACAGAAGTTAAAAAATCATAACATACTACTATAAACAATTATTCACCAGCAAATTAGATAACCTAGAAGAAATTGATAAACTCGTACCAAAACTGAATCATGAAGAATTCAAAATTTAGAAGAAATCATGAATAAGGAAATTAAATCACCAATGAAAGGTCTCTCATAAAAGAAAGACCCAGGATTGAATGGCTTGGTGGCTGAATTCCAACAAACACTTAGATGATTAACACCAATCCTTCCCAAACTCTTCCAAAAAAAATGAAGAAGAGGAATACTTCCAAATTCATTTTTCAAAACCAGCATTACCCTGATACCAAAACCAGAGAAGGACACTATAATAAAAATAAATTGCAGACCAATACTCCTGATGAACTTGGATGGAAAAACCTTCAGCCAAATATTAGCAAATATTATTTTTAAAAAAACACAGCAAAAAAATTCACCATGCTTAAGTGGGATTCATCCCTGGGAAGCTTATTAGTCTTATTTGATTCGTGTAATCAGAAAATTTCTATGTCTAGTGAAGAGAAATGAGAGCAATAGAGACTCATAGCACCTCAACAAATGTCCAGGCTTGAGCCAGTTAACAAATACAAGTCCTTCAAATACAAAAAAGACTGTGAAAGAAAATAGAACAGATCAATGAAACTAAGAATTTGTTCTTTGAAAAGATAAAACTGACAAACCATTAGCTAGACTAGAAAAATGAGAGAATACTCAAAGCAATAAAATCAGAAATGAAAGAGGAAATATTGCAACTAATACCACAGAAATACAGAGGATCATAAGGGGCCACTATAAACAATTACAAGCCAACAAATTGGATAACCTAGAAAAAGCAGATAAATTTCTAGAAAAATGCAACTTACCTAGAGAAAGTCAAGAAGAAAGATAAAATCTGAACAGAACAATACTGAGTATGGAGAGTATATCAATAATAAAACATCTCCCATCAAAGAACATCCCAGGACCAGAAAACTTCATTGCTGAATTCTAACATTTTAAAAAATAATAATACAATCTTTCTGAAATTCTTCCAAAAACTTGAAGGAGAAAGAGTATTTCCAAACTCATTTTAAAAGATCAGCATTATTGTTTTTTTTTAAAGTGATGTTCCCCTTCCTGTGTCCATGTGTTCTCATTGTCCAATTCCCACCTATGAGTGAGAACATGCGGTGTTTGGTTTTTTGTCCTTGTGATTGTTTGCTGAGAATGATGGTTTCCAGCTTCATCCATGTCCCTACAAAGGACATGAACTCATCATTTTTTATGGCTGCATAGTATTCCATGGTGTATATGTGCCACGTTTTCTTAATCCAGTCTATCATTGTTGGACATTTGGATTGGTTCCAAGTCTTTGCTATTGTGAATAGTGCCACAGTAAACATACGTGTGCATGTGTCTTTATAGCAGCATGATTTATAGTCCTTTGGGTATATACCCAGTAATGGGATGGCTGGGTCAAATGGTATTTCTAGTTCTAGATCCCTGCGGAATCACCACACTGTCTTCCACAATGGTTGAACTAGTTTACAGTCCCACCAACAGTGTAAAAATGTTCCTATTTCTCCACATCCTCTCCAGCACCTGTTGTTTCCTGACTTTTTAATGATGGCCATTCTAACTGGTGTAAGATGGTATCTCATTGTGGTTTTGATTTGCATTTCTCTGATGGCCAGTGATAGTGAGCATTTTTTCATGTGTTTTTTGGCTGCATAAATGTCTTCTTTTGAGAAGTGTCTGTTCATATCCTTTGCCCACTTTTTGATGGGGTTGTTTGTTTTTTTCTTGTAAATTTGTTTGGGTTCATTGTAGATTCCGGATATTAGCACTGGGGCCTGTTGTGGGGTGGGGGGAGGGGGGAGGGATAGCATTAGGAGATATACCTAATGTTAAATGATGAGTTAATGGGTGCAGCACACCAGCATGGCACATGTATACATATGTAACTAACCTGTACGTTGTGCACATGTATCCTAAAACTTAAAGTATAATTTAAAAAATAAATAAATAAAAATAAAAATAAAAAGGCAAACAAGGACACTATAAGAAAAGTATGGGCCAACCAATATCCCTGATGAACACAGATACAAAAGTCCTCAAAAAAAAGTACTAGCAAACAGAATTTAACAACATATTAGGAGAACATTTACCATGATAAAGTGGATTTATCCTCCAGATGTTTCAGCAAACACAAATCAAATGTGATAAACCACATTAACAGAATGAAGGATAAAAAAATAGCTATCTCTATATATGCAGAAAAAGCATTTGACTAAATTCAAAATCCTCTCATGACTAAACCTCTCAACAAATTGGGCATAGAAGGCATGTACCTTAACACAAAACAGGACATATATAACAAGCTCACAGCTCACATCATACCCAACAATGAAAAAGTAAAATCTTTTCTGCTAAGATCAAAAACAAGACAAGGATATTTATTCTCACTACTTCTATTCAACTTATTTCTGGAAGTCCTAGCCAGAGCAATTAAGCCAAATAAAGAAATAAAATATTCAAATTGAAAAGGAAGAAGTAAAATTGTCTCTGTTTGATGACATATTATATATAGGAAACCCTAAAAACTCCACCAAAAAGCTATTAGAAATGATAAATGAATTCAATAAAATTTCAGAATTCAAAATCAATGTACAAAACTCAGTAGTTTCTTTACACTCACAACAAACTATATGACAAAAATAAAGAAATCAATCTCATTCACAGTAACATCAAAAAAAACGTATTTTTTTTGTTTAGGAGCACATTTAGGATAGTACTTAGGAGTACATTTAACCAAGGAGGTGAAAGATCTGTATTCTGAACACTATAAAACATTGATGAAAAATTGTAGATGACACAAATACATGGAAAGATATTTTATGTTCATGGGTAGGAAGAATTAATATTCTTAAAATGTCCTTACTGCCCAAAGCGATTTATAGGTTTAATGCAATATTTATCAAAATTTCAATGTCATTCTTCACAGAAATAGAAAAAACAATTTGAAAATTTATATGGAACCACAAAGGATCCTGAATAACTAAAGGACTCTTGAGCAATAAGAACAAAGCTGAAGGCCTCACAATCTGACTTCAAAACATATTACAGGAAAAGAACAAAAGAAGGAAGAAGAGGGTAGAGGAGAAGTGCAGCAAGGGTGGAGGGAGGTGCCCACGCTGGGTCGGAGGAGCAGGAGGAGTATGGAGGGAAGACTCCTGGGTGGCATGGAGCTCTTGCACCTCTAGGCACTGCCCAGCCCTGTGTCAGCCAGGGCTGAACCCCCACAGGATAAGGAAGCCTGTGTGTGTACCAACAATCAAAGCTACATCTGTGACACAACAGGACACTGCTATGGGCAGTCTCAGTGTTGTAACTACTACTATGAACATTGGTGGTTCTGGCTGGCATGGACCATCACCATCATCCTGAGCTGCTGCTGTGTCTGCCACCACAGCCAAGCCAGCCCTCAAGTCCAGCAGTAGCAACATGAAATCAACCTGACTGCCTATCCAGAAGCCCGCAATTACTCAGTGCTACCATTTTATTTCACCAAACTATTTATTACCTTCTTATGAGGAAGTGGTGAACTAACCTCCACCTGTTTCCCTCCCTGTCTGTCCATTGTGGATGAGCTCTGAGCCCTGTTTTCCTGTGAAGATTCTTTGAATTGCAGCCATTCTATTCACATGAACTCTCACATCTGGAGCACAGATGGCCCTCTCAAGGTAATTTATTGTATGCATTGACTGTTTACCAAACAAATGTCTTACTATGTACTCAGGTATATTCAGCAGCATTGTCGACTGCAGTCCCCTATGCTTGCCAGAAGATACTGTATTCAAAGTAGAAGTTTCACAGTGATGAGTAATCACTGCAATTTTCCCATTGCTCCATGGACTCTCGGAGGCCGGTGTTCTGTTCCCTGTAAATAGAGATGTACTCTGAACCTTTCTGCCTCTCTCAGCTGTTCCTAGTCCTTGGTATCAGCCCCTGGAGATGTCCACAACCACTTAGGACAAAAGGCAAAAGTGGAATTTCAGACAAAACTTTGATAGGATCTTCAGTGATAAACTTGGACTAACTGTGGCCCAGGTATCAGCACTCCCAAGAATTGCCAGGAGGAAGCTTTGGCAGACACCACAGGTATGGCAAGGCCTATCTCCCTCTGCTGAATCCAACAGGGGCAAGCAAGCTGGCATGTGGCTTGAGGTGACCCGAATATGTCAGCACCCCTCAGATGTCTTTCTTTGCACTTTTGAAAAAAATCTCAGAATTTGCTGGCAACATGGCCAAATAGGAACAGCTCCAGTCTGCAGCTCCCAGTGAGATCAATGCAGAATGCAGGTGATTTCTGCATTTCCAACTGAGGTACCTGGTTCATCTCACTGGGACTGGTTGGACAGTGGGTGCAGCCCACGGAGGGTGAGCCAAAGCAGAATGGGGCGTTGCCTCACCCAAGAAGTGCAAGGGGTTGGGGGAATTCCCTCCCCTAGCCAAGGGAAGCCCCGAGGGACTGTACCATGAGGAACGGTGCACTCCACCCAGAAACTATGCTTTTCTCATGGTCTTCACAATCCACAGACCAGGAGATTCCCTCCAGTGCCTCTGCCACCAAGGCCCTAGGTTTCAAGCACAAAACTAGGCAGCTGTTTGGGCAGACACCGAGCTAGCTGCAGGAGGTTTTTTTTTTTTATGCCACAGTGGCAACTGGAATGCCAACAAGACAGAACCATTCTCTCTCCTGGAAAGGGGGCTGAAGCCAGGGAGCCAAGTGGTCTGGCTCGGCGGGTCCCACCCCTACAGAGCCCAGCAAGCTAAGATCCACTGGCTTGAAATTCTTGCACAGCAGTCTGAGGTTGACCTAGGACACTAGAGCTTGGTGGGGGGAGGGGCTTCCACATTGCCAAGGCTTGAGTAGGCAGTTTTACCCCCACTGTGTAAACAAAGCCACCAGAAAGTTTGAACTGGGTGGAGCCCACCACAACTCAGCAAGGCCACAGCAGCCAGACTGCCTCTCTAGATTTCTCCTCTCTGGGCAAGGCATCTCTGAAAAAAGGGCAGCAGCCCCAGTCAGAGACCTATAGATAAAACCCCCATCTCCCTGGAACAGAGCACCTAGGGGAAAGGGCGGCTGTGGGCACAGCTTCAGCAGACTTAAAGCATCTTTGAAAAGCCTGATGGCTCTGAAGAGAGCAGCAGATCTCCCAGCACAGTATTCGAGCTCTGATAAGGGTCAGACTGCCTCCTCAAGTGGGTCCCTGACCCCCGTGTATCCTGACTGGGAGACACCTCCCAGTAGGTGCCAACAGGCACCTCATACAGGAGAGCTCTGGCTGGCATCTGGTGGGTGCCCCTCTGGGACAAAACTTCCAGAGGAAGAAACAGGCAGCAATCTTGGCTGTTCTCCAGCCTCTGCTGGTGATACCCAGGCAAACAGGGTCTAGAGTAGACCTAGGGCAAACCCCAACAGACCTGCAGCAGAGGGGCCTGACTGTTAGAAGGAAAACTAACAAACAAAAAGGAATAGCATCAACATCAACAAAAAGGACAGCCACTCAGTGACCCCATCAGAAGGTCACCAACATCAGAAACCACAGGTAGATAAATCCATGAAGATGGAGAGAAACCAGAGCAAAAAGGCTGAAAATTCCAAAAACCAGAACGCCTCTTCTCCTCCAAAGGATCACAACTCCTCACCAGCAAGGGAACAAAAGAAAACTGGACAGAGAATGAGTTTGACGAATTGAGAGAAGTAGGTTTCAGAAGGTAGGTAATAACAAACTCCTCCAAGCTAAAGGAGCATGTCCTAACCCAATGTAAGGAAGCTAAGGACCTGGAAAAAAGGTTAGACCACTTGCTAACTAGAATAACCAGTTTAGAGAAGAACATAAATGACCTGATGGAGCTGAAAAACACGCCATGAGAACTTCATGCAGCATGCACAAGGATCAAGCACTGATTCGGTCAAGCGGAAGAAAGATATCAGAGACTGAATATCAACTTAATGAAATAAATCAAGAAGACAAGATTAGAGAAAAAAGAATGAAAAGAAATGAACAAAGCCTCCAAGAAATATGGGACTATGTGAAACGACCAAATCTACGTTTGATTGCTGTACCTGAAAGTGATGGGGAGAATGGAACCAAGTTAGAAAACACTCTTTGGGATATTATCCAGGAGAACTTCCCTAACCTAGCAAGGCAGGCCAATATTCAAATTCAGAAATATGGAGAACATCACAAAGACACTCCTCAAGAAAAGCAACCCCAAGACACATAGTCATCAGATTGAGCAAGGTTGAAATGAAGGAAAAAATGTTAAGGGCAGCCAGAGAGAAAGGTCAGGTTACCCACAAAGGGAAGCCCATCAGACTAACAGCAGATCTATCAGCAGAAACTCTACAAGCCAGAAGAGAATGGGGGCCAATATTCAACATTCTTAAAGAAAAGAATTTTCCACCCAGGATTTCATATCCAGCCAAACTAAGCTTCATAAGTGAAGGAGAAATAAAATCCTTTACAGACAAGCAAATGCTGAGAGATTTTGTCACCACCAGGCCTGCCTTAAAGGAGCTCCTGAAGGAAGCACTAAACATGGAAAGGAACAACTGGTATCAGCCACTGCAAAAACATACCAAATTGTAAAGACCATTGACACTATGAAGAAACTGCATTAACTAACAGCAAAATAACCAGCTAGCATCGTAATGACAGGATCAAATTCACACATAACAATATCAACCTTAAATGTAAATGGGCTAAATGCTCCAATTAAAAAACACAGACTGGCAAATTGGCTAAAGAGTCAAGACCCATCAGTGTTCTGTATTCAGGAGACCCATCTCACGTGCAAAGACACAAATAGGCTCAAAATAAAGGGATGGAGGAATACTTACCAAGCAAATGGAAGGCAAAAAAAAAGCAGGGGTTGCAATCCTAGTCTCTGATAAAACAGACTTTAAACCAACAAAGATCAAAAGAGACAAATAAGGGCATTGCATAATGGTAAAAGGATCAATGCAACAAGAAGAGCTAATTATCCTAAATATATATGCACCCAACACAGGAGCACCCAGATGCATAAAGTAAGCTCTTAGAGACTTAAAAAGAGACTTAGACCCTCACACAATAATAGTGGGAGACTTTAACACCCCACTGTCAATACTAGACAGATCAACGAAACAGAAAGTTAACAAGGATATCCAGGACTTGAACTCAGCTCTGGACCAAGTGGATCCAATAGACAGCTACAGAACTCTCCACCCCAAATCAACAGAATATACATTCTTCTCAGCACCACATTGCACTTATTCTAAAATTGACCACATATTTGGAAGTAAAACACTCCTCAGCAAATGCAAAAAAAAAATGGGAATCATAACAGTCTCTCAGATCGCAGTGCAATTAAATTAGAACTCAGGATTAAGAAACTGACTCAAACCCACACAACTACATGTAAACTGAACAGCCTGCTCCTGAACAACTACTGGGTAAATAAAGATATTAAGGCAGAAATAAATAAGTTATTTGAAACCAATGAGAACAAAGACATAACATACCAGAATCTCTGGTACACAATTATAGCAGTGTGTAGAGGGAAATTTATAGCACTAAATGCCCACAAGAGAAAGCAGGAAAGATCTAAAATTGACACCCTAACATCTCAATTAAAAGAACTCAAGAGGCAGGAGCATACAAAAAGCTAGCAGAGGACAATAAATAACTAAGATCAGAGCAGAACTGAAGGAGATAGAGACACAAAAAAACCTTCAAAAAAAAATCAATGAATCCAGGAGCTGGTTTTTTGAAAATATCAATAAAATAGATAGACCACTAGCCAGACTCATAAAGAAGAAAACAGAGAAGAATCAAACAGATGCAATAAAAAATGATAAAGGAGATACCACCACTGATCCCACAGAAATACAAACTACTATCAGAGAATACTATAAACACCTCTACACAAACTAGAAAATCTAGAAGAAATGGACAAATTCCTGGACACATACGCCCTCCCAAGACTAAACCAGGAAGAAGTTGAATCCCTGAATAGACCAATAACAAGGTCTGAAATTGTGGCAGTAATTAATAGCCTACCAACCAAAAAACAATCCAGGACCAGATGGATTCACAGCCGAATTCTACCAGAGGTACAAAGAGGAGTTGGTACCATTCCTTCTGAAACTATTTCAAACAACAGAAAAAGAGAGAATCCTCCCTAACTCATTTTATGAGGCCAGAATAATTCTGGTACCAAAATTTGGCAGAGACACACACAAAAAAAAGAAAATTTCAAGCCAATATCCCTGATGAACATCGATGCAAAAATCCTCAATAAAATACTGGCAAACCAAATCCAGCAGCACATCAAAAGCTTGTCCACCACAATCAAGTCGGCTTCATCCCTGGGTTACAAGGCTAGTTCAACATATGCAAATCAATAAACATAATTCATCATATAAATAGAACCAATGGCAAAAACCACATGCTTCTCTCAATAGATGCAGAAAAGGCCTTCGACAAAATTCAGCAGCCCTTCATGCTAAAAACTCTCAATAAACTAGGTACTGATGGAACATATCTCAAAATAATAATACCTATTTATGAAAAACCCACAGCCAATACTGAATGGTGAAAAACTGGAAGCATTCCCTTTGAAAACCAGCACAAGACAAGGATGCCCTATCTCACCACTCCTATTCAACGTAGTATTGGAAGTTCTGGCCAGGGCAATCAGGCAAGAGAAAGAAATTGTCTCTGTTTGCAGATGACATGATTGTGTATTTAGAAAACCCCATGGTCTCAGCCCAAAATCTTCTTAAGCTAATAAGCAACTTCAGAAAAGTCTCAGGATACAAAATCAATGTGCAAAAATCAAGCATTCCTATATGCAAAAAACAGACAAACAGAGAGCTAAATCATGAGTGAACTCTCCCATTCACAATTGCTACTATGAGAATAAAATACCTAGGAATCCAACTTACAAGGGATGTGAAGGACCTCTTCAAGGAGAACTACAAACCACTGCTCAAGGAAATAAGAGAGGACACAAACAAATGGAAAAACATTCCATGCTCATGGATAGGAAGAATCAATATCATGAAAATGGACATACTGCCCAAAGTTTTTATAGACTCAATGCTATCCCCATCAAGCTACCACTGACTTTGTTCACAGAATTGGAAAAAACTACTTTAAATTTCATATGGAACCAAAAATGAGCCCGCAGAGCTAGGACAGTCCTAAGCAAGTAGAACAAATCTGGAGGCATCACGCTGTCTGACTTCAAACTATACTACAAGCCTTCAGTAACCAAAACAGCATGGTACTGGTACCAAAACAGATATGTAGACCAATGGAACAGAACAGAGGCCTCAGAAATAACGCCACACATCTACAACTATCTGATCTTTGACAAACCTGACAAAAACAAGCAATGGGGAAACGATTCCCTTTTTAATAAATGGTGTTGGGAAAACTGGCTAGCCATATGCAGAAAACTGAACCTGGATCCCTTCCTTACACCTTACACAAAAATTAGCTCACGATGTATTAAAGACTTAAACATAAGATCTAAAACCATAAAAAACCCTAGAAGAAAACCTAGGCAATATCATTCAGTACATAGGCATGGACAAAAACTTCATGACTAAAACACCAAAAGCAATTGCAACAAAAACCAAAATAGACAAATGGGATCTAATTAAACTAAAGAGCTCCTGCACAGCAAAAGAAACTATCATCAGAGTGAACAGGCAACCTACAGAATGGGTGAAAATTTTTGCAATCTATCCATCTGACAAAGGGCTAATATCCAGAATCTACAAAGAACTTAAACAATTTACAAGAAAATAACAAACAAACCCATCAGTGGGTAAAGGATATGAACTGACATTTCTCTAAAGAAGACATTTATGCAGCCAACAAACATATGAAAAAAAGCTCATCATCACTGGTCATCAGAGAAATGCATATCAATACCACAATGAGATACCATCTCACGCCAGATAGAATGGCGATCATTAAAAAGTCAGGAAACAACAGATGCTGGAAAGGATGTGGAGAAATAAGAATGCTTTTACACTGTTGGTGGGAGTGTAAATTAGTTCAACCATTGTGGAAGACAGTGTGGTGATTCCTCAAGGTTCTAGAACTAGAAATATGATTTGACCCAGCAATCGCATTACTGGGTATATATCCAAAGGATTATAAATCATTCTACCATAAAGACACATGCATACATATGTTTATTGTGGCACTGTTCACAATAGCAAAGACTTGGAACCAACCAAAATGCCCATTCAATGATAGACTGCATAAAGAAAATGTGGCACATATACACCATGGAATACTATGCAGCCATAAAGAAGGATGAGTTCATATCCTTTTCAGGGACATGGATGAAGCTGGAAACCATCATTCTCAGCAAACTAATCCAAGAACAGAAAACCAAACACCCGATGTTCTCACTCATAAATGGGAGTTGAACAATGAGAACACATGGACAGAGGGAGGGGAACACAACACACCGGGGCCTGTCTGGGGGTAGGGGCTGGGGGAAGGTTAGCATTGGGTTAAATACCTAATGTAGATGATGGGTTGATGGGTGCAGCAAACCACCATGGCACGTGTATACCTATGTAACAATCCTGCATGTTCTGCACTTGTACCCCAGAACTTAAAATATAATTTAAAAAAAAATCTCAAACAACTCACTGAAGTGTCTCAAAGCTGAACAAGTTTTACCAAAATGAATCCTTCTCAGTTAACTGATCAAATGGATGAATCCTGACCCTCTGAAGTCTCTTTCCTGAGTTAGAGCAGGGAACTGCTCTGAGTGTTAACTGTTGGATTCACTGCAGTGTCCTACAATATTTTACAAGAAGATGAAAAGGCAACCTGCAGACCTAGGCTTGATTCCCAAGTCACAGTCTGACCCCTGCTACAGGAGGTTACCCTCCTCAGGAAGAGATAGAAATAGGGAATTTGAAGGAATAGTGAGGGGACCAGGGAGATTTGATTGAGTCTGGTTTCCAGGTGAATTAAAAGGAAGGGTGTCATCCAGGGTTTGTTGCTACAGTCAAAAGAATAAATAAATCAATGAAGAAATACCTTCATTGTCTGTGGTTTTCATGCAGATATACTCATGGAGGTTGTATCTCTCCAAAAACAGACAAATCCAAGGCTGTGAACAAGCATCCGCATTTGAATTCCATTAAACCAAAATCTATGTTGAACGAAGTGAAGTCTGTACACAGCATTGCAAATGTGAACACATTCCTGTGTGAGGCACATCACCATTTGTCAGTTATTGTGAATATGTGTATTTTTAAGCAATAAGATGCAGCTGGTCAGTTTTCTGGGCAATCTTGGCGATGCATTTCCTGTGCTGTGGTTGTTCTCTAACCACTGTGAGAAACCCAAATAAAAATCGATCCCCCCCCAAAACAAATACGTATCACAAAACCATAGTAATCAAAACAACATGACACTTGCACAAAAACAGACACATTGACCAGGGGAACAGAATAAGGAACCCAGAAATAAACTCATGCATTTATGACCAATAAATTTTTGACAAAGGTGCCCAGAAAACGTAATGAAGAATAGACATTTGTTTCAATAAATGGTGTTAAGAAAACTAGATATCCACATGCAGAAGAACATGAATGTGTATGGTGTGTATCCTTATCTCACACCATACACAAAAATCAATTCAAAATGGATTAAAGGTTTAAACATAAAACTGTAAAACTACTAGATGAAAACATAGGGGAAAAGTTCCACAATGTTGGTTTGGTCAAAGATTTCTTGGATATAACCCCCAAAGCACAGGCAACAAAAGCAAAAATATATGGGATTGCATCAAACTAAAAAGCTTCTGCACAGCAAAGGAAACAATATGGTGAAGAGACAACCTACAAGTTGTGAGAAAATATTTGCAGAGCATACATCTGATGAAAGGCTAATCTCCAAATATATAAGGGACTCAACTCAATATCAAGAAAACAAATAACCAAGTCAAAAAATGGGCAAGGTCCTAAATAGACATTTCTCAAAAAAAATACAAATGACTAACATAAAAAAAGTTTGTCATCCTAATTATCAGGGAAATGCAAATTAAAATGACAGTGAGATGCCACTTCATACCTGTTAGAATGGCTACTATCAAAATGATAAAAGATAACAAGTGTTGAAGAGGATACAGAGAAAAGGGAACCCTCGTACACTGTTGGTGGAAATGTAAATTAATACTATTATGAAAAATAGATAAAAGTTACTCAAAAAACTAAAACTAGAATTACTATATGATCCAGCAATCCCACTTCCTTGTATATATCCAAAGGAATTTAAGTCAATATGCTGAAGAGATATCTCCAGGCTCATGTTCATTGCAGCATTATTCACAATACCCAAATATGAAATCAACACAGGTGTCTATCAACTGACAAATGGATGAAGAAAATGTAGTGAATATATACAATGGAATACTACTCAGCCTTAATAGGAAGGAAAACCTGATATATGTGACAACATGAATTAACCCAGAAGATATCACGCTAAGTGAAATAAGCCAGGCACGAAAAGACAAATATCACATGATCTCACTGATATGTGGAATCTGAAAAAGTTGAATTCATAGAAGTAGAGAATGGAATGGTGATTATCAGAGGCTAGGAGTTGGGGGTAGACATGGAAAAGGTAGATGTTGATAAAAGGGTTCAAAGTTTCAGTTAGACAAAGTTTCAGTGAACTATTGCACGGAATGGTGACTGTAATAAATAACAAGGTATTGTATGTTTCAAAATGACTAACAGAGTAGATTTTAAATGTTTTCACCACAAAAAAGATATGTATGTCAATAAGATAGACCTAATCTTTCCACAATTTAAACATGTATCAAAACATTACATTGTACCCCATAGATACAATTATTATTTGTCAATTTAAAATTTTTCACTAATTTATATTGTTATTGTTGCACCAACTCCTTTCCACCAGGCAGATTCTCATAAAGACTATTTTCTCTCTTACATGAAGCATTTCCTACACACCTCTTAATCACGGTAGCATTGACATCATTCCACCAGATTCTATCTCCAGTGTTAAAATAATCAAGAACCCAGAAATCTCCACCAGGGGGCAACCAATGCGTATCAAAGTTTCCCACTTTCCTTTAGATTTACTTATGGGTAACTTATGGGAAAAAATACTTAAGTACTTCCCTTTTTAAAGAAAAAAATTATATGAATTCTACAAAATTATGGCAGAAAATTTAAGAAGAGCAGATGCTTCCCAACTCATTCTAAAGGGCCAGCATTACCCTGATTCTGAAATGAAAAAGCTTTACAAAATCCAAGATCCATTCCTGACTAAAGATAAAAGAAATTTTCAGCAAACTGTGAATACAGAAAACTTTCTCAGCCTGTTAAAGAGTACCTATGAAAAAAATTATAGCTAACATTATACTTAATGATGAAATATTTAATATATTTCATAACAGGAACAAGTCAAAGATGTCTGCTCTAACTAATTCTACTCAGCATTCAACAAAATGAATATAGTGAATTCATACTAGAATTTTAAAAGCAAATGTCTTTATTCACTGACAACATAATCATCTATAAAGAAAATCCTACATAACCTATAAAAAACTGATGGAACTAATAAGTTTTGCAAGTTTACAGGATATAATGTCAAACAAAGATCTATTATGTGCCCATAAGCTAAGAATAAACAATTGTAAATTGAAATAAAAATGTCACTTAAAAGGGCATCAGAAATATAAAACTTAGAGATAAATATAAAGTACATATGCATAAAGTACCTGTTCACCAAAAACTACAAAACATTGCTGAAAGAAATTAAATGGGCATAATATAGATGTAGAGATGTGTTGAATTTATGACTCATTTTGAACAAGGAATATATTCATCATATATTCATCAGATAAGAATTATGTTACAGGTCTAATAACATTCAAATCAATACATAATGTCTCATAGTTCCTGAATCTAAAATATCAAAGAAAGAAACATAAAGCCATATCATGTTTAACGAGAAGGGCTTATTGTATCATTTATGAGATCTTCTTGTAAATCACTAGCTGTTTGCATACTCTCTTTATTGCTGCCTTCATCTCCTTATTCCTGAATGTATAGACAACTGGATTCAGAAAAGGAGTGAGAACTGCATCAAAAATAGCCAGAAACTTGTCCATCTGTGAATTAGGGTGTGGCCATGTATACACAAACATGGGTGGACCAAAGAACAAAAGGACCGCTGTGCTGTGAGCTGAAAGAGTGGAAAGGGCCTTGGATGAACCACCTGAGGAATGTTTCCAAACAGTAAACAGGATGAAGATGTAGGAGATTAGAAGTATGAAGAAAGTACCCACACAGATAAACCCACTGTTAACAGTGACCATGAACTGCAATCTGTAGGTGTCGGTACAGGCTAGTCTGAGAAGCTGAGGAAGGTCACAGTAGAAGCTGTCCAACACATTAGGGCCACAGAAGGGTAAATTAACAAGAAATGCCAGTTGGAACAGGGAGTGACTGACACCAAGGGTCCAGGCAACAGCCAGAAATGAAAGGCACATTCTTGGGCTCATAATGGTCAGATAGTGGAGGGGCTTAATAGGGCCACATAACTGTCAAAGGCCATGGCTATGAGCAGCACCATCTCCACACCACCAATGACGTGGATGAAGAAGATTTGAGCGATGCAGCCTCCAAAGGAGATGACTTTGCGCTTTCTGAACAGGTCATAAATCATCTTGGGAGAAGTGACAGAGCAGGCTCCTAAGTCAATGAAGGAGAGACTGGCCAGTAGAAAGTACATGGGGGAGTGTAAGTGAGGGTCAGTGGTCACAGAAAACACAATGAGGATGTTTCCAGTAATGCTTGCCACATAGAGCACAGAGGAAAACACTAGGAGGAGGAGCTGGATCTCCCATGAATGAGTGAGTCCCAGAAACAAAAACTCAGATACCACTGAGTGATTCTCTCCATCCATTGGTCCAGCCAACTGGGCTGTGGCTAAAATTATGAGAACTAAGAAAATGGGGAGGAAATTGTGATTATGAAGATAATAATATGTACTAAAATCAATATTGCAATGTCACTATGAATAAATAGTATACAGTTATTCTGTTCCTCACATATTAAAAACAAAAAATCAACATAATATTATCACAACATGTGAGCTGCAACCTGATTTAAACCCATCATCAATACTTTCAGTGTAATGTCTGATCTAAAATTAACAGATTAGGTAAGAACAAGATTCCTGACTATCCATGAAATTCATCAGGTGTTTAAATGACCTGCGATATTAACTATTCCTCATTTCCAACATATTCCATTTGTACTTATACATATTCTTATAATTTCCTTCCCTTCCCAGTTTGTAGCCACAATTCTCTGACAGAAAGTAGACATAAGAGGAAAACATGATTAACAGATGGATTATCACCTGCAGTAAGAGGTGCCTGGGACGGACTTAGTTGAGGTAGGCTGTGGATTGAGACAGAATATAGAGACTGGGGTATGTGAAATCGGAAAGCCCACAACTGTAGCAGAACAGAGTAAGTGGACTTTCACAAGAAATAGAATCACCACCATTATCTACCACATTTTCTCATGCTCACTGCTATTTAAGTGCCTCAGTTTCTATACAATCTTTCACAATTACGAAGCCCTAAATGGCTTCCCATCCTGCAGTGATTTCATAAGGAGCCTATGCCACCTGTCATGTAAGGCTTTTTCCATGCCTAATAAATATGTTTTGGAGGGATTTCACCAGAGTTTTTGCTAAGATGCATAAAATGGCCACAGAGGTTGTGAGAAATCTCTGCAGTTTCTCTTTGTCTATACACATGAAAGTATTGAAGACCAGCACTTGGATTAGTTAAGATAATGTTTTAATTCATCGCTGTCTCCTCCTCCCCTTGGTACCAGCTTTTATGTTCATTGCATTCCCCATCCTTTTAAGTACTCAGTACCTCCTGCATGGTAACCTATTCTGATATTTGATATTATCATGCTTAATTTGACTGAATCCATTTGGATATTTTATCTTTAAGAAATTTGTAGTTTTATACTTTTAATTTATGATAAAATTAGATTAATATCAAACATTAACAAGTGACTTTTAGGAAGGTATATGAGCTTTCTTATTGACTTCAAACTATAAAGTACAAACTGTGACACTAGAAATTTAGTCCTTTAACACATGTTGTATTTATATGTGAAGTGGAGGGTGAGCAGAAAACAGTGTTATATTTCTCTGTGTCCAGATGGATACTCACCTCAATGATTTTCCTATAGTAGAAAGTAGTTCCTGAAAACACTTAATAGAGATTATTTTAGAAGTTGCTGAGGTACAAATAAAACTGCTATGCTGACATCATACTTTTTTGCACCAACAACTCCAGTTCTTCTGACACAAAGGACCATCTTCCTAGTGCCATAATTTATCTTAGACCCCAAAACTCACAGAGGCACACATCATATCTCTAATACTTGCTCACCACCACTGGCATGAGTCTCTCTCTATCCTCTTCTACGTGAAGTGATTATACTGTCACCTCTGGAGCTAACTGTCCACAGTCTCAAGATGCACACTTTTTACAACCAGAAGCCTATGGACTGGGTGAGGGAGCAGAAACAGCCACAGGTACTGCCCATCAGGGTAATGTAAGTCAGCATGCAAACAACTGATCAGATGAACATGAATAGCAAGGTGCTGAGGCACTGGGAAGAGGGACCGGAAAACTCTATAATTGTTGAAAAAGACTCAAGCCCTTGGGAAGGGAAATGCCTACGAAATTATATAAAGACCATTTTATCCAAGTTGGTCATCATTCAGATGAAAACCATGAGGCCCAGAAAAGTAAACTGAGTTTCCAGAATTCACACAATTGATAGAATAGGAACCAGAATTCAGGCCTCTTGCTTCCTATTCCAGAAAGACAAATTGCAATAATAATCAAATAATATGAGCAATCATCCAGTAAAAATAATCTAGTAAAAACAGCAAAACTCAAAAGAGTGATTTTTCCTGGTTAAGACCAAAACTAACCATAGATTGCTATACATAGTATCTATTATAAATACTGAATTATATAGCAGCCTGACAATAAATACATAAAATGTGTACACAAAGATTATTGAACCTGTACAATACAGTAGTAAATAGTAGCTTTATATTTGCAAAGTGACTGATCATTACTATCAGAATTTGTACCCATTCTTCATATTTTGTTGGTCATATAACCAGTTACTACAACTGCAAAAACAACCTAAGGTCATGTTTCTGTGAAGTCCATCCTTTTGGTCTTTAAATTTTATTATCCTCAAAGGTCAATTATGATCTCAATCTTTTCTTGTAATTTTACTGACAATTCTCCTTCACACTGATTTGTTCTTTCTCTAATTCCTGTAAATAGAAAGAACCAAAAAAAGTTGAAAAAACATGTATTGTACATATAACAAACAATCATATGTGGTATACAATATATATCAAATGAGTATTAAGATAAACATTCAAAGAGTTTTAAAGAAAAAAGTGTTATAGATATTGGAGGGCAGAAGAGACGATTGCCATTAAGAACAGGTGGAGGAGGTTATGCCAAGGACATTGACCTGACCCTTTAGGAATTAGTGAAAATTGAATAGGAGAAGAATGAGGTATACAATGTGTGAAAAATACCTAAATTGATATAACAGGAGGAGACCTTTTCATATCAATTATCATTACTTCTGTGTATATAACCATATTAGATACCCACAAATGAATAGAAAGTGGATAGTTCTTGATTGACAAGTAAGACTAATAATCCCAGATCATAGTAAGGTCTTAACTTCAAGTCAATAATCTTTATTACTTATGGTTCATTCCTCTCCCTCATGTTTTCCAATAATTTTAAAATGCATAATTAAAACAATTCTCATTTAAAAACATAGTAGCCATGACTAATGATCTTCCAGTGGGAAGGTACTAAGACTTTACAACATGTTTCTTGCTGGGGATAAGACAGCCTACAGCCAGCATTCAACTCATTTTTCTAAAGTCTATGGATCAATTTGAAATACAGAAAAAGTAGAACAGAGATAAAGTTAAAACAAGATTAAAAATATGGGAAGAATGGGAGAAAGGGGAGATTAGAAGATATGAACAATGATTTAAAAATAAAAGAGCCTCAAAGGAGAAGAGAAACTGCTAAGCAAGACTAAGGTAGGATGAAATACAGTAGTCTCTGTTTCTGAGAACACAGGTTAAAAAGAACATACATAAAATAAATTTATCACCTTTAATACACTCATTCAAGGATGCTACTGAGTTTGACTTTGGGAATTTCTCACCTTTAACACACTCATCTGGGGATGCTACGGACTTTGACATTGGGTTGCATTTAAAGGGGGAGAGAAAGGGCAGTTGCTTCTATTATCTGCCCTTTTGGACTCACAGAGTTTCTTTGAAAAGCACAGATGATAATAAATGGAAATATTGCCTTTTATACTATACAATAATATACACATGCAATTCACTGGAAAAAGTATACTCGTTACTATGATTTGAGGATACTACCATATACTAATCAAGAGAAACACATGTACAGAACAAAGAAGCCACATGAAATTTTTACTAGTGTGTGTTTTCCTTGTGTTCTACCACCCCAGGAGCAGCTTCTGCTACTGAAGATCACAGTAGAGTTATTTCCAAAAGTTGTGGGTCTGCAGGGTGGACTTATCACATAGCTGTTTGCCAAAATTCAAAAGTCCAGAAACCATTTCCAAATTTTCACCTCTTTTATCTTCAAATCCTAAAACTATGAAAATTCACAAACTTAGCTCCATATATTATGGTAGAAAGGTTAATAATTTGGACTTTGAGGTTGACCAGGCCTGATTTTTGAATAAATTCACAAACTTACCTCCATACATTATGGTAGAAAGGTCAATAATCTGGACTTTGAGGTCGACCAGGCCTGATTTTTGGATCCAGGCTGCAACACTCACTTGCTGTGTTAATGTAACAAAGTTCCTAGACCATGCTGAGCTTCAGTTTACTAGTTATTGAATTAGGGATATAGCGTTCGAAGGAAGAAGTTCTAGTATTTGATTGCACAGCAGAGAAATTATAGTTATTGAACTGGGGATATGTAGATAGACATAATAAATTTTAGTATTCAATTATACAATGGAGAAATCATAGGGAACAATAATTTATTATATATTCTAAAATAGCTAGCAGAGAAAAATTATAATGTTCCCAACACAAAGAAAAGATAAATATTCGAGGTGATGAATATCCAAATTACTCTGATTTGATCATTACACATTGTATACATGTATCAAAAATATCACATGTACCCCAAAACATGTACAACTATGATACATCAATAAAAAACAACAAAAAAACCAAAAGAATAGAAATCAAAAATAAATACATAAATACATAAAATAGGGATAATAATACCTCCCTTGTTTGCTTGCTCCCTTGCTCCATTTGTAAGAAATAAGTGATATAATATAGGTAAAAATACTTAACCTCATACCTACCACATAGTATAGCACAATAAACGTTATTTATTATAATCTGAGGCCTACCTACATAAGTGACTTTCAAGTATAGAAAATTATTTCTCAAATTTTAAATACTCCCTGATTCTCAGGTATGGTAATTAGACCTGGCTTTAGGTAAAGCTCTCATGTCTACACTTGGATTTAATCACTTAAGTATATTTCCCAGCGCCCCCCCCAAAAAAAATTGCTCCTAGGTGGACACACTAATCAAAGACTTCCTGAGAAATGCAGGAAGAAGTTTTGTCCTCTGACCACGCTACGCCCTTTCCTTGATGGTAAGCCCCATAATCTAAAGCCATAAGTTTCAATTCCTCACATAAAAAGAAAAAAAATGTCTTTTATGACCACTTCAGATAACACTGGATATTTCCCTTGTCATTAGGAATGAGAAATGGGAGGAAGGTAAACTTGTAGACAGGAGAATTGGTAGATGCTTGAAAGGATTTCTGAAAACTGTGCCTATCCAGGTGTACAAATGTGTTGACCAGCCAAGGCAAAGCAGTCAAACCATACAATACCTTATCCTCAGGAAAATGGACTTTTCTCCCAAATTGCCTTTTTCATGAAAAATATAAAATTCTCCAGTTTCAACCTCATGTTAAATTTCACATGTGAAGAAAACAGTCATGCACATCAGAAAATTAAATGGCGAGTCAAGACCAAATTCCTAGTCACAGTTATGTTCTGTTTCCAGTATTACCTTCTCACTTATTCATTTTGTTAAAGTGGAGCCAAAATAGAAGTGGGTGTCACACATCAAGAAAGACTGAAGTCGTACAAAGCCGATCCTTATCCAACGTGCATTAAAATATGCATCAGGCATGTGTGATGCATATAGTAGAAGTGGAACAAATCAGGCCAGGTGCAGTGGCTCACGCCTGTCAGCCCAGCACTTTGGGAGGCCAAAGCAAGCAAATCGCTTGAGATCAGCAGTTCAAGAAGTGTAACAAATCCTCTACAATATAAGTAGAGTGAAAAGAGATAGCTACAGTGATGAGGGAAGGCACTATAGTGATGTGGCATTTGAGTATAGCCATAAAAGAGGATAAATATTACAATACATGAATATAGGGTCTAAAGAAGTCTTTTCAAGTAGATTGTAAAATATTTCAAAAATGGTAAGTTTGGTGTATGTTGAAGCATACAGATTGTCTACATCCTAAAAATCATTTTGGTGAATAAAGGAAAATAAGAAAGGTAGTCAATATTCATTTGTTGCCTATCATTAGAAACTTCTCAAAGGTATATGAGAATTATTAAATAAATTTAGGAAGCCAGTGAAGGTATGGGTCCTGGGAATTGAGGATGAAGCCAGTAATTAGGGAAGATGCCCCATCTATAAGTGTGATGTATCAAATGGAGGAAAAGAAAAACGGAGGGAAGGAGTTCCCTTAAGAGAAGATTGAAATAGAGCAGACTTGGGGGGCTACACAGAGGAACTGGGACTACACAGTTCCAGCTTTAAGGCTATAGAAACAGAAATAGAAATACTGGTAAGTAAAAACCCAAAGGATTGGTGACTTATCACAGCTGGAGTGAATACGAAGGAGCATGAACTCAAAGAAAATATCAAGATTTAAGCAAGAATAAATAGGACAATGGTAGGTCCATTTTTAGAAATTAGAAAGTTGAACATAAAATATGTCAGGGTGGAGAAAATAATCACGTGTATTTTAAGCAAATAAGAGTATTAGATATTGAGATGCTCAGGTGAAAACATATGACAGGATATATGGGGGAAAAGTACGAATTCAACATGTAATTGTATAGTAATCCATATAAAAATAATAGACGGATGTGTAAGAGTGCATAAGGTCCCTGAAGGAAATAATACACAGGAAAAAAAGATTAAAAAGCAAAGACCCAACTATAGAAACTATCCACATTGATTATGTAAAGTAGGAAAAGGAATCAATAAACTAGACAGAACATCACAGAGGTAGGAGGACAAGTGCTGGCCTAGAGGAGCCAACACAGAAGCAGGTATCAAGAATAAAGGAGGAGAAGAGAGAACAAAGAGAGAGAGAAGAGAACTTCTGTGGCAGAAGATCAAGTGGGATGGTAGAATAAAGGAGAAGAAATACAAGAAAATTGAAATAAAATTTACAGAAATGTTCTACATTGTCAGTGGGCAGTTTTGACCTGGCACATTGTTGGCACACATTATAAATGTCAAATGTATTAATGAATGAATGAATGGATAATATAATGAATGTGATGGAGTTGTCAAAAGCTGAATTAATTAAAAGTCCCCACGAGAGGTTAGATGACAAAATTTTCAGAAACTTTCCATGCCACTCTGTTGTGACATCAACAGTGCTGGACCCTTGAAATCAAACCAAAAGGATTCCACCATGAGAATGAAAAGGGCTGAGAAGGGGAATGCTGGGTGACACAGAAGGTGACAAAGGGCGAAAGGTTTCTAGGCATTTGATAGACTGATGGACGTCCGCGCTGACCATAAGGCACAGGCCACACAGGAAGGAAAATGAGACCCAACGCGAAGAAAAGTAGGGCTAAACAGTCGGGAAAATGTGGGAAGAAGGATGAATAGTCATACGATCAACTCAGATTCCTCCCTGACATTCTTCTACAGCTTTATTCTCGTCCTTTGGGAGCCGAGATGTTCATTTTCCTACATTCTTAGCTGCCTACACACGGCGACTTTTCTCCACGGTGCCTGATCCCTGCTGCATCCTCCTTCTCTAGTGGCAACAGCAAATGGCCACACAGAAGGCAGACATTGCACCCAACTGAGGAGAATGTAATTCACTCATTGCCAGTCACAGACCTTGGCTCACCGATTTACTAAGTATAGATTTTATTTCTATCCCTCACCTACCTGTTTTGCCAAGGGAACTAAGAAAAGAGCATCATCAAAAATTCAGATAGGTATAGTTCTCACAAGATGAACCAGATCCAGTACGGCATCACTGCAGACATACACACAGAGCTGCATAAAACAGGAAGAGAGCTGCTAATCACAGCCCCAGAGGGTAGTGGCCAAAGTGATGCCTTGGAGATCCGAGAATGCCAGACTGAGATCACACGGCCTGGGGAATTACCGCCTATGGTCATTTTGGTTTTCCCGGGATAGCCAAGCCCAGAAACTGTTAATTGGGTGAAATAAAGCATATTTGATTTTCTTATGACAAAAAAAGCCTTTTGCCATTGTCTACAGATGATACTTTAAATCTTTATTTTATGACTAAAGGTGAATTCCAGAGCAACATTAAATGTTGTCCCTTTAAATTTTTAATCATTTACATAACGATTACCATAATATTCAATTTAAACATAAAATGTAATTGAAAGTATGAGATTAATATGTGGACATGAAATCATATAATATTCCATGGAAAAAACAGAATGTATAAGGCAAAGAGGTTTAAAGTAACATCAAAACTAACGCTCACTATACAAATTCTATGAAATCCTCATAATTACACTGTGAAGCAGGTGTTGTTAGAGCCACATAATCTCAAACAAATTATTTATTATCTAAAATTACATAGATATTAAAAGGTTAGGCCATATATGAATTTAGGATTCTCTCAAAAATTTTTTCTCTTTCTCCTACATCAAACTTCCCTAAATTATAGAAAAGTCACAATGTTACCAAACATATTCACAAAACACATATAATCTTGAATCCAAATTTCAGTTACAGCAGAAAAAATAAAACTCTAGATCAATCTCAATCGTGTAAATAAATTCAGATTTCCAATCTAAGAGTCTCAATTTGACATACTTCTTTCTCTCTCTTCTTTCAAACCAGGAGAAATATAAATATGAGCCACAACCTTACAAAAGCTAGAAAATATTTACAATTCCACACAACAACACATGAAGAAAACCTTCTGGACATCAAAAGTTTAAACCAGTCAAGACTGAACACCAAGATAAAGTGCATGCCTCTGAAGAGCTTGAGCTAGTCAAGAAGCCCAGAAATCCCTAAAAGAGGTGTGTATACTGAGGACTGAGGATCAAAACCTGTGATCTTTACTTGGAACAGAAATATTGCAGCATGTGAACCCTCCACAGAGTGACAGAGGGAAAGGAGTTTAAAGGGAAACATGCAAATGTATCACCTTTGGAATAATTAGGACACGTGTGTGGTGTAATGAAAGAAGGCAAAAAGATGGGGAAGAAGCCAGACAGATGGCAATTTTCATTCTATTATGAAAAGAAAAGGATAAGTCACAAGTCACATGATGAAATTAACAACTATGAATCCACTCTAAGCCATAGTCAATCCTATAGCCTAGGAGTCATTCTAACAGATGAGAGTGTTTTGGCGACAAGATTCCAAAACTCGTCTGCCTTCCATCATACTTACTACCCCCAGCTCCTCCTCCACAATATCCTTTCACAAGTATCTAGAATATTCAAAGACTAATAATATTATATAATTATTTATAATAATTGTATTACAAAAATAAAACTTGATGACCTTTATAAAAATACTAGAAGAAAAAGGGAAAATTACATAAGGTACAGAACATACAAATTATACCATGAAGCAGTAAAAAATAGGATCAAATTTTCTATGTTTTTTAAAAATATGCCTTCTCTAAAATGTTTTCTCTCTGAAATGATATTTAGAAGACATAATTGAAAATAAATACAAAATAAAGTGATAAAAAATAATCTGGCAAAATTCAGGATGTAATGAGTAAAGACAACCATGAAAGAAATGAAGATCAATAAAAGCAGGAAAAAAAGTGGGAAGTGGAGAGAATAATGCTGCTAAAAACACAGATAAGAATATAAATGACAGGCTTAAATATATCCTGAGCAAAACAAAATAGAAAACACAAGAAGGTGAAATGTAACATTAAAGTCAGGTCCAACAAATGAGAAATTAGTGTGAAAGAGCTCACAATATCTGGTTAAAAAATTCAAAGATAAAAGAAAACTTTTCTGAAATGAAGAAAACATTGAATCTAATGGTTAAAGGGCTTATCTTTATCCAGAAAAAATATGTTATAGTATGACCATATCAAGGCAGATGCAACTGAATTTACCGGACTTCACAAACACAAAATAAACAACCCACAAAAAAAAAAAAAAAAATAGAGTCCCCATGAGGCTTTAATGAAGACAACTATTAGAGGCCAGGCGCAGGGGCTAACACCTACAGTCCCAACACTTTGAAAGGCCAAGGCAGGAGAATCACTTGAGCCCAGGAGTTCAAGATAAGACCAGCCTGGGCAACATAGCAAGACCCCATCTCTATCAGAAAAACTTAAAAAAGAAAACTATCCACTAAAAATGAATAGAGATAACATGATACAAGTGAGCATTCTGAAGCCTAATATCAAAATGTTCTGGGGTTTGCGGTTAAAGAACAGAATGCAAATGTTACAAACCATAACTGTATAAAGACTAATTATATTCATAACAAAAATAAGAAGAGAAAGATAGTAGAAATATATTCTGGTCCATTCAACTTTCACAGTGGGAGAGAATCAACAAATTATGTTATGGGTGATTAAATATTATTTTAAAAGATAAAGGTCATTATTAGAAAAATTAAAAATAACAAAATCAAATAAAGTTGAATCACGACGGTGGGAGAGGAAAGTGGGTTAAAGGGGTAAAGTGGAACTATATTAAAAGAGTCAATGGAGAGCACCCTTGGAAATAACACAAAAATTAAAGAACTAAATATAATTTATACAGCACATAACTAAAATAAACTATAAATCTTCAAATTAAAAGAAAATATGTACATACAAAATATCACATAGAGAGAAATATTAATACCATAAAAATATTAAAATAAAAGCATAAAATTAATTCATTTATTTACCCTATTAGTATTTTTTGAACACCTACGTGCCAGGTATTGTGCTGGATGCCAGTAAGATATAGTTCCTGCATCTTGGAGTTTTCGTGGAGGAGACAGAGATTAATCAAACAATCACACAAATGTAAAATTGCAACCATAAAAATTACTCTGAAATACAATGAAAATTACTATAAGAGAGGGATTTGATGTGAGTCAGAGAAGTTTCCCCTAAGAAAGCAACACTGAAGCTGAGATCTAAAGGGTAAACAGCAGTTAACTGAGTGGAGAACAAAGGTTTTCCTGCAGGGGGAACAATCTGCTCCCCGAGGCCAGAGTGGGGCCTTGGGAGTTGTGCCTGAAACCACATTGTGAGGAAGTGAGGGGAAGCATTGTGCAGATAATGCTGAAATAAGTAGTGGAAGATGCTTCCTAAGAGAATGAGAAATCCAAGACTACTAAGCAGAAGAATGATTTGACCAGATTTCACATTTGTAAATATCACTATGGTTACAATGTATAGAATGGATTTTAAGGAATTCAAATTGGATACAGGTGAGTCAATTAGAAAGCAACATGCTTGCCAAGGCAAGAAATTTGATTACTTAAACTAGATATGGGAGTTTTGGAAATAAGTAGATAAATTTGTCATATATTTGAGATAATAAATCACCATGACTTGATGGTAGACTTAGTTGGAGATGCCCTCACTAATGCACCATCTAATGCTTCAAGTCTAATAATTATTCAATTCCTCCAGAGCCACCAATCCAATGGTTCTACCATATTTATGCTGTCATTCACTTTACTGATATCCTTCTTACCTTACCTCTTTTCCCACTTTATATTCCATGATCAATACCTTGCTCCCTCGTAATGATTGTACTCACTCTTCCAAACAACAATCCTGATAAATCCTACTCTCTGCCTTCTACATCTTGATACAACACAGCTATATGTGGCTAGATAAAACAATCACACTGACAATCATCCTATACTTTCTGAATCCATCACTCTTCTACTTTTTCAGATCTTTTCTTTCTCCCTCATCCTTACCATGTAATGAACTCATTTTGCATGTCAAGGGCTAAAAGTTGAATATTTTAAAAGTTCTCATTTTCCCACTACTATATAAACCAACAAATATCTTTAGTCTGCATTCACAAATAACATAACAAATGAGCTCTTCATATTTCTATCTGTGGTGAATTAAGATGACTAGAAATTTTGTGGCACCATCCCGTTGAAAACGTGGGGACATATTCTTTCTCCTTGAACCTGGGTGGGCTCTTTGACTGCTTTGACCAATAAAATACAGTGAAAGTAAAACTTCCAGTTTTGATGTCCAGATGTTAAAAGCCTTGAAGCTTCCATTTCTACATCTTGGAACCAACGTGTGTGGGTGCAGAGTCAGTATCGAAGAATTCTGCTTATTCTGCTTGCATTAGTCCATTTTCATGCTGCTGATAAAGACATATCCAAGACCGGGTAATTTATGAATAAAAAGAGTTTCATGGAATCACAGTTCCATGTGGATGGGGAGGCCTCACAATCATGGCAGAAGGTGAAAAGTGTGCATTACATGGGAGCAGACAAGAGACAATGAGAGCTGAGTGAAAGGGGAAGCCCCTTGTAAAGTCATCAGCTCTCATGAGACTTATTCACGACCATAAGAACAGTATGGGGGAGCCACCCCATCATTCAATTATCTCTCACCAGGTCCCTCCACAACACATGGGAATTATGGGAGCTACATTTCAAGATGAGATTTGGGAAAGGACACAGCCAAACCACCTCATTCTGCCTCTGGCACCTCCCAAATCTCATGTCCTCACATTTCAAAACCAATCATGCCTTCCCAATAGTCCCCAAAAGTCTTAACTCACTTCAGCATTAACTCAAAAGTTGGCAGTCCAAAGTCTCACCTGAGACAGGGCAAGTCTCTTCCACATATAAACCTGTAAAATCAAAAGCAATTTAGTTATTTTCTAGATAAGATAGGAGTACAGGCATTGGGTAAATGCAGCCGTTCCAAATGGTAAAATTTACCCAAAACAAAGGGACTAAAGGCTCCAAGCAAGTCTGAAATCCAGTGGGACAGTCAAATCTTAAAGCTCCAAAATGATCTCCTTTGACTCTATGTCTCACATCCAGGTCATACTCATGCAAGTGGTGGGTTCCCATGGTCTCAGGCAGCTCCACCCCTGTGGTTTTGCAGGGCAGAGCCTTCCTCCCGGTTGCTTTCACAGGCTGGCATTGTATGCAGCTTTTCCAGGCACACAGTGCAAGCTGTCGGTGGATCTACCATTCCGGGGTCTGGAGGACAGCAGCCCTCTTCTCATAGCTCCACTAGGCAGTACCCTAGTGGGCTCTGTGTTGGGGGCTTCAACCCCACATTTCCATTCCCCACTGCCTTAGCAGAGGTTCTCCATGAAGACCTCACCCCTGCAGCAAACTTCTGTCTGGAGATCCAGGCATTTCCATACATTCTCTGAAATCTAGGTGGAGGTTCCCATACCTCGATTCTGGACTTCTGTGAATCCACAGGCTCAACACCACATGGAAGCTGCCAAAGCTTGAGGCTTGCACCCTCTGAAGCCATGGCCTGAGCTGTACCTTGACCCCTTTTAGCTGTGGCTGGAGCAGCTGGGACACAGAGCACCAAGTCCCTAGGCTGTACACAGGCAAACAGCAGAGGGGCCCTGGGCCCAGCCTATGAAACCATTTTTTCCTCCTAGGCCTCTGGGTGTGTGATGGAAGGGGCTGCCACAAAGATCTCTGACATGGCCTGAAGACTTAGCGATTAACATTTGGCTCCTTGTTACTTATGCAAATTTCTGCAGCCAGCTTGAATTTCTCCTCAGAAAATGGATTTTTCTTTTCTATCACAGTGTCGTGCTACAAATTTTCTGAACGTTTATGCTCTGTTTTCCTGTTAAAACTGAGTGCTTTTAACACACCCAAGTCACTCTTGAATGATTTGCTGCTTAGAAATTTCTTCTGCCAGATACCCTAACTCATCTCCCTCAAGTTCAAAGTTCCACAAATCTCTAGGGCAGGGACAAAATGCTGCCAGTCTCTCTCGATAGCAAGAGACACCTTTACTCCAGTTCCCATTGAGTTCCTCATCTCCATCTGAGACCATCTCAGCCTGGATTTCATTGTCTATATCATTATTTGACATTTTAGTCAAAGCCATTCAACAAGTCTCTAGGAAGTTCCAAACTTTCCCACATTTTCCTGTCGTTTTCTGAGCCCTCCAAACTGTTTCAACCCCTGCCTGTTACCCAGTTCCAAAGTCGCTTCCACATTTTTGGGTTATCTTTACAACAGCACCCCACTCTACCAGTACCAATGTACTGTATTAGTCTGTTTTCATGCTGCTGATAAAGACATACCTGAGACTGAGTGATTTATAAAGAAAAAGACACTTAATGGACTCACATTTCCAGGTGGATGGGGAGGCCTCACAATCATGGTGGAAGGCAAAAGGCACATCTCTACATGATGGCAGACAAGACAGAATGAGAGCTGAGTGAAAGGGGAACCCCCTTATAAAATCATCAGCTCTTGTGAGACTTATTCAAGACCACGAGAACAGTATGGGGGAAATACTCCTGTGATTCAGTTATCTCCCGTTGGATCCCTCCCACAAGACACGGAAATTATGGGAGCTACAATTCAAGATGAGATTTGGGTGGGGACACAGCCAAACCATATTGCTGCTGAATAGATCATGTAGACAGGCTCTCAAACTACACGGAGAGCAAGAGAGGCCCACCTTACCACAACATTTCATCCAATCCACTAATAAAACAGGCACATCACTGAAGCCACCTTCAACTCTCCAGACTACCCAGCTGCCAGCTGAATACCACAGATGGCTACAGTTAATACCACACGGAGCAGAATCATGTAGCTAAGCCCTGCTTGCACTAATACAAGTCCACAATTTTTTTTAAGTTTGTTGTTTTAAGCTGCGAAGTTTTGAGGTGGTTTGTGGTACGTGGAATAAGATGTCACTCTAATATAATATAAACTTAAACTATGTGGCATTGGCTTTGGAATCAGACAATGGATAGAACCCAGAAGGATTTCACAAAGACTGTTAGTGAAAAGTGAACAGACTTCAAGGAAAATGACAGCAAAACCTGTAAAAGCATTCTGGGAACTGACAGTAAACACTGAATGGTCCTTAAGGAGACTGAAAACTTGAAAGAGCTTAAGAAGTCTACTGGAAAGGGCTTTAAGGATAATGAGAAAAAATCATCAGTGGAGACTGAGGAAAACGCACCAAAGTCGTATTCTGATGGGAGAGTTAGAAAACGCTTGCCTGGAATGATATAAAAAATAGGAAAAATACTGAAAAAGTTTGTGGATCTGGCTGGGGAGATTTTTGGTGTCAACTAAAGAAAAAAATTAAGCTTTTAAGAAATTAAAGTTAGATTTATTTAGGGGTCTGAGAACAAGAGACTGAGGATTACAGCCTAGGAGAAGTCTTTCAGAGAGGTTCTGTCAGACTGCTCTGGTGAAGGTCTTTAGCCCACAGTTTATATGCAGGCTGTACATATACACCATGGAATACTATGCCGCCATTAAAAAATGATATCATGTCTTTTGCTGGAATGTGGATGGACCTTCTATTATCCTTAGCAAACTAATGCAGGAACAGAAAACCAAATACAGCATACTCTCAGTTATAAGTGGGAGCTAAATGATGAGAACTAATGAACACAAAGAATAAAACAGACCCTGGGGTCTACTTGAGGGTGGAGGGTGAGAAAAGGAAGAGAAGCAGAAAAGATAACTATTGGGTACTAGGTTTAATACCTGGGTGATGAAATAATCTGTACAATAACCCCCTGTGACACCAGTTTACCTATGTAACAAATGCCCCTAAACTTAAAATAAAAGTTAAAAAAAAAGAAAATTAAAATCTCCTTATCATCTACCTGGTAATATGAAAAACACAAATCTTTCATTCATTCCTTTCAACTGATGAGGAAAATGAGGCATCGGGAGTTAGTAAAAGTCCACATTGAGATATGAGACCCACCACTGGCTGGACACAGTGGCTCACACCTGTAATCCCAGCACTTTGGGAGGCCGATGCTGGTGGATCACCTAAGGTCAGGAGTTCGGGACCAGGCTGGCCAACATGGTGAAACCCCCATCTCTACTAAAAATACAAAAATTAGCTGGGTGTGGTGGCAGGCACCTGTAATACCAGCTACTAGGGAGGCTGAGGCAGGAGAATCGCTTGAACCCAGGAGGTGGAGTTTACAGTGAGCCAAAATCACACCATTGCACTCCAGCCTGGGCAACAAGAGCAAGACTCTGTCGGGGAAAAAAAAAAAAAAAAAAAAACCACCACCATCATTTTGCAAGTGTTACCACTATTGTGTGTTAATATTGTAGAAGTATTCCTAATTATGATTTCTTTGTATTCCTAATTGTAATAGCTTTGTATTTGAAAAATTATTGATTCATACTCTATATGTTATTATTTTGTATGCGATGACAACAGAATATATTATCATGCTCCTTTTGTGAATCTCATTCATAATATAAAGTATAAATTTGTGATTTTGCTTTAATTTGAAATATTAATTTCAAATATGTTATCACAATTTGATACAAACTATTGACAGTAAATCTGTGGATTAAGTAATGTCTTAGTAGGTATTGGGAAAATTTGAAACTAGTAACATGGAGGACTATTGTCATTGTTTATTTCAAAGCCAGTTAAAATTCTGCAAAGCAGCGTACATAAAAATAATTTCAAGAAATTTATAAAATACCGAGATTATGGTGTATAAACAACTTTAGATTCTTTGTTTAAGAAATTCTGCCAGTTTGTAATATATGCTTCATTCAATGCAGCTAAGGGCTGTACCTGGCTAATAGTAGGCACCTAATATTTGTTGAAAAGGAATACTGAGTAGCTGGGACCTCCTGAGTAGCTGGGACCACACACATTTAACCTGTATTTATAAAATTACTGTTTAGAGAATAACATTTGATGGAATCATGCTTTTACTTTGTGCTTATGACTCAATTGTTTGTACTGACATTAACATCCCAAATCCTTAGCATGGCCTACAAGGCCCTGAGCAATGTGGCACCTGCTGAAGCCTGCTGCCTCATTTAATAACTCTTTGTCTCTTTCCCAGATCCAGCCACTCTAACATTTTTTAGCTCCTGGACCAAGACAAGCTCTTCCCAGAACCTGACCTTTGTACCTGTTCTTTATTCCTGGAGTATTTTTCCCCTGACAAATTACTTATCATCTATCATAATTCAGGTTAAATGGCACTAACTCAGGGAAGGCTTCCCTAACTGCCTCCCTTCTCCAACCAAATTAGGAACAATTATATGGCCACATAGTATCGAATCAAGTTTATAATTTTAAAATAATTGGGAGATTTTGTTGTTTAACACTTGTTTTCACTATAAGACTGTAATTACATGCAAGTAAGAACCATGCCTGTTTGTTCACTCCTGCCACAGTCAGAATAGTGCCTGGAATATGCAGTAAGGGCTGAACAAGCACTAAATAAATGAACAAGTGAATAAATGGATATTGTCTCATTTTTAGAACAGAGTACTGAATGGATCATGAACACTATCTGGTATGTCACGTAGGTAATTTACAAGGGCTACACTTTCAGCTCAGATTTACCTTTTCCTGGATACAGGTCTTGATAGGTCTCTTGATGTCATTTCACTTCAGATTCTTCTTTAGAAAACTTGGACAATAGCATTTGCTGTCTTGTCCAAATTGTTACTAAGAATCAAGAGAGATATCTGACATGAAATGACATTGGAAAACATTAAACACCATTGAAATAATGCTAGCCAATATGGTTATTATTAGAAACCAATTACATTTTCAACTTAAAAATAGTAATACTTATTGCAGACTCAAATGTGCTTATTCTAAAACAAGTAAATGTTTGCCTATGGTCTGAGATTCTAATCCACGGAGTTCATTCTAATCCACATTCAACACTATCATGTACCAGTGGGCCTCATAACCCACCTAGCCCTGTGATTTTTCAGGTTCACTTTTCTAAACTTGTGAATTAAATATTTATTTTCTTAGTTCAGAAGAGGAAAAAAACTCTTGTAATTGTTGCCCATTTCAGGAGAAATCTTGCATATGAAAACAAGAGATAAATATACACAACTGAGGGCTGTGGTTTAAACAAAATCTTGAGAATGTTTTTTGACCTTATACATTTGTGCTTTAGTATAACAAAATGATATAGACAAAGGTAACTTTTAATAGAACCAGTCACTAAATTAAAAAAATGACAAATTCTTCTGCTTAGCTAAGCAACAGAGAAGGTAAAATACTAATTCAATTCATCAATTTAAGCAATACTCATTAAGAGCCAAGTATGTGCTTACTGAATAAGCTGCTAAGGTTTGGTGGTTACAGAGTGTGCGGTGAAATGATGTCTACATCACAGTCCAACATTCACAGAGTTTAAAAGCCTACCAAGAATCAAGACAGACACAAATACCTAACATAGACGTTTGTATATGATAAGAGAGCCAGAGTACAATTTAGGAGAAGAAATTGTATGGAAGGAAGGTTCATTTCCATTAGACCAGAAAAGACAGCACATTTGAAGGCCTGAATAAGAAATATTCTGGATAAGATACTGTGGCTGCTACCAGAATGGCTCTTGATGATCTCTACCTCTTGGTATTTATACCCTTATATAATCTCTTTCCTATAGTGTAAGCTGGTCCCAGGTACTTGTTTCTATTGAATAGAATAGAACAAAAGAAATGAGATGCCACTTCTGAGATTAGATTATAAGATACTGTGAATTTCTTCTTGTGCCCTCTCCCTCTCTCTCTTTCTCTTGCCCTCTCATTTGAATGAAGCCAACTGGCATGCTGTCAGTGGCCCAGTGTAAGTCCTGTTACAAGAAATTGATGATTACCTGTAGCCAACCCTAAGTGAAGAACTGAGGTCCTCAGTCCTACAAATGGAGAGAAACTGAATCTAGCTAAGAACCATGTGAGTGAGCTGGGAAGAAGATCCACCCTCAGTTGAAATTTAAGATGACATATTGAGCAGACATACTGAGACACACTGAAAGTAAGAGAGCAGGAGGAAACAAAACCAGGGTCATACAAAGAACACAACTGATTTTGAGATTCTCACATAAGTATTACACCTTCAGTGAGCACGTGTACTAGAAATTTAAAAAATAAATAAAATAAACCTTCAAAGTGAGCTAGCAAATAAATTTCCCTATGGTCTCAGCTCTGAGTGGAGAGAGAAAATGTTCCCTGTGGAGTTTATAGCCAGAATCCAGCTCTCAAACAGGTTTCAGCCTGAACTCACACAATCTGTGTGGCTTCCAAATTTGCAAGCTGAGAATTTAATTCAAAGTGGTCTCAGGTTGATAGCAGTCCAAAATGCTAGGTAGGAAAAAAAATCCTCTCTGGACAAATAAATCATCAAAGCAAGCTCATAAGAGCAGGTTTCAAAGGTCATGAGCTTCTAACACACACACAAAAATCACACACACAAAATGGGGGTAGCAGCAACATGGGTAGCATATTCAAACTTGAAAAGACTTTAAATATTTGTATTATTAGATGTAGATTATGAAACACATATTTTAATGTGGTTAATTTTTTTAAGGAATCAAAACTATGAGTAAAGACCAAGAAAATTGTGCTGGATGGCCACTTCCACCATGGCTCCCCTCCTATTTAAGTCTGGGTACTGTGTCACCCGAAGTCTTCAGGCACATTGTTCCAGGTTTGGGTTTGCCTATGAAAGAAACTCATGAGAGCTGGAAGTGAGGAGTGAAGAGGAGGTCTTCACATAAAGCAGGCTTAAGGATTAGACATAGCAGGTTTGACAGATGTGATGGCTTGCAGAATCCTTTATGAGCTCCCACTGTCCATCTGGATAAGATTTACAGACCTTTCAGAAATTCCTATAAGCTTGGGTTCTGTGCCCACACTCTAGACTGTCAGGCTAAGATCTCTGATATAAAACAGACCTCTTCTGATTTTTGTCTAGCTGCTTTTCTAATATCTATTCACCAAGCTCTTCCAATAATAGCATAAGGCCCTAATTAATATTAAACTTTTATCATTATAATACATAGGATGTCTTCTGTTTTCCTGATCAAATTCTGACTACTATTAAAATATAAAGAATTGTCCAGAAATATATAAAAAAAGAATCACACATTGATCTTCTTTAAATGAAAATATAACAATTGTATGGACTAGGATGATTACAGTTGTTCAGTTCTGACTGTTATTTGAAGAAAAAAGCAATAAGAAGCCTCAGCAACTTAACAGAAGGAGCTGCCATTTACTAGGAGAAAAGATTGTGGATGAGAGTGTAGCAAAGGTCAGAATTCTGTGAAGCTTGAGATGTTTATTATAATGAATTATCTTTTATACTCACTACAATTTCCTAACAATTTTGGGGTTTATATTTTTGAAAGAGATATACCTTTAATTTTCTTTCTTTGTACTATTGTTAGGTAACTTTGATGTGCAGATTATACTACAGTGAAAGTTGCCAATGACAAGGCAAAGTCACTTACATCAGACCCAAAGCAAAGTGGAGCCGGGTCATGAAAAAGGGGATCTTGTGTGTCTGTCCACGATAAGCACTATCACAAGGACTTTCTATAAACTCACAAGAAATTTCTGCCCACCCAGCACACTCTGTTTGTCCAGCTCATCCTGTAGGTGTCTCTATAATAGGACCTATCATAAAAAATTCCTCAAGACTGCAGCATTTCAGATAAGCCACCCTCACAAGAACACTTGCCTAGCAATGGCTGTTTCTGCCAGTAAGTTAACACCAGCTCCTGCATCAGACCCTGTGACCAATGATGTTTGTTTCAAAACAGCTTGCATGGACTTCTTTTTGTCTTTACATATTTTCCTTACCTCAACCTCTTGGGATGCACCTATGATTGATCATAGCACAAATATCTCAGATTATAATCCTTGTTTATTTCCAAATAAATTTATTTCTTTGGAGATCCACTTTTTCTGTTATTATACATTGACATTGTTATTATGAAATTGGTTGGGTGATGTGTCTTATTTTCTTGTCTCCAGAAGAATTTCTGTAACAGTGCAATTAAACGTTCTTTGCATGTTTGCTAGAACTCACCTGTAAAATTGTCTGAGCAACCAAAGCCTGGTTTTTGTGTTTAGTTTTTCTTTTGTGATTGGGGAGGGGGGTTTATCGTACTGATTCAAGGTGTGAAGGTAACATCATTTTGATTTTATACATCTTCTTCAGTCCATTTAAGCATGTTACATAGCGTTGTTTGTTCTTTTCATGATATTCTTTACAGTAGTCTCCTAAATGTTCCCTCTGCTTCTGCCATGAGCCCCTACAATCTATTTCAACTCAGAAGCTATAGAGTTTGTTTAAAACATGTAACATATTATGCCACCTTTCTTACTGTAAAACATCCCATGGTTTCTCGTAGTATTTATAGTAAAAGTGAAATTTTTATGATGGCTTGAGAAACTTTTCCCATTAGATGCCCAAGTGCTGGTCTGGTCTGATCTTCTCATCTTCCCTTGGGTGATTCTGTGGCAGTCACACTAGCCTCCTTGCTGCTCCACAAAAACTCCAGCATGATCCTACTTCAGGATATTTGCCATTGTTACTGCATCTGCCTGGAACCTTTTCTCCCATATAAACATAGAGATTGCTCTTGCCTGTCCTTCAAGTCTATTCTTAAATGTCCCATTCTCTGTGAAGCTTTCCTGCCCACCCTATTTAAATTACAGACTTCACTCCCAATTCCCCATCTACTTTAAGAGTCTTCCTTTATCATTCCTTGACAAACTGTAAATATACATGTTCACTTTTTTATCGTCTGTCTCCAAATACTGGAATGTTAAGTTCTGTAATGTCAGATATTTCTGTTTGGTTCACTGGTGTATTCTTAAAGCATGTTACATACTAGGTATACTCAATGAATATTTGTTGAATAAATATCACATTGGGCTTATTCCAGAAATTCAAGCTTGTTTCAATAGTTAGAGCAATCTACAAATGTAATTCATTACATTAACTAATTAAAGGAGCTAAATCACATCACCACCACAATAATGCAGAAAACCACATTTGATACAACTCAATATTCATGTCTGCCTAACAAACATCTCATGATACTAGGAAAAGAGGAAGGGATATATTATTTTCATGTATAAAGCACTAACCATTGTAGCATGCCAATATACTCAAAATTCAATGAAATTCCTATCAAAATCTTAGCATTCCTCTTAGTCCTCAACAAAGCATTTCTAAAATGTGTATAGAAGACCAAAGGGCCAAAAGAGTCAACTTCTGAAGAAGCGCAAAAAGAAAGTTGAGGAAATCTTAAAACATGTTATTGAGCTTAAAGTTGCAAAAATAAACTCATGTACCATAATTCATGAGTAGAAAAATAGACTAGTGGAATAACATAAAAATAAAAACAATGCTTACATAAAATGTTGTAACTGATTTGGATGTCATTAGAAATCAGTAAGTAAATAGATGGACAATGTAATGAAAGATGCTAGGCAAATAATGTGGTAGGGAGAATAATGGCCCTCAAAGATGCCCATGCCTAACCCTGGAACCTGTGAATATGTTACACTGAATGCAATAAAGGCTTATCAGATGTGATTAAGGATGCAAACCGAGATGGAGAGATCTTCCTGGGTTACCCAGATGGGCCCAGTCTAATCACATGAGTTCTTAAAAATGGAGAACCTTTCTTAGCTGAGTCCAGAGAGAGATGTGACAATGAAAGAATGGTCAGAGAAATGTGACATTGCCAGCTTTAAAAAGAGAGAGGAGAGGCAATGAGAAAAGGAATGCTGATGTTCTCTAGAAGATAGAAAAGGCCAGGATATGGATTCTACCCTAGCCACCATAAAGAAACATGCCTGTCGACAACTTGATTTTAGTTCACTAAAATTCATGCCTGATTTCTGACTTGTGTACACTGTAAGATGACAAGTTTGTGTTATTTTAGGTCACTTAGTTTGTAGAAATTTGTTACAGCAGTAATAGAACAAGTGGTTATCCATATGAGGCAAATTAGATTGGATACCTATCTCCAATAGAAATCAATTCAAGGTGAATTCCAGGAAAATACTTAAAACATTTAGATTAAAAATAAATGAGAATTTTTGTTACTTTTGGTAGGTCATAGAACCAAGAAAAACAAACATTAAGGAGGAAAAATGAACATATGACTACATCAAAATATAAAGCTTCTCTATTTGGAAGATATCATAAGGTGACAAATCATAAACTGTAATATTTACAACATATATATAAGTGAATAAATATACATTTAGAATATATATGAACTCCCAAAAATCAACAGGAAAAATAAGACATAGAACAAGCAAAATGCATAAACAAAAGAAGGCAAAACAAAAATAATGACTCATAATTATATGAAAAGAAGCTCATCTTCATAGATGAGCAGATAAATGCAAATTAAAACCACCCTGAGATGCTTTTTACATCCATGAGCCTGATAAAAGTTAGAGTCTAAAAGTAATAATTAACAAAGATGGGAAGTAACAGAAAATCTTGTCCATTACTGGTTAAAGTATAAACTGATACAGCTACTTTATAGAATATTACATTATAGAATAAAGTTGTGAGTATGTATATGCAGTGACTCAGCATATTCATTGCTAGTATGTACTCAAGAGAAACTTACAGGAGTGGACTAGGAAGTAAATACAAAATGATTACAACATTGTTTGTTATATCAAAAAATAAAAAAGACACCCAATTTTCCAGCAAAAAAAAATAAGTAAAAATAAATCCTGGTGTATTCTAACAATGGAATAATATATAGCCATTAAAATAAATCAACCATTACTGTACATATGAATGTAAGTATCAGCAAAACATATTGTTTAGTGAAAAACTAAGAAGCTGAAGAAGAATATATACAATATGGTTACATTTATATGAAGTCCAAAAACTTGCAAAATAATGTATTTAGAAATAGATTCACATGTGAGAAAACTAGAAGAAAATTAATGAAAGGATAAGAGGGATAGCAGTAATTCTGAGTAGTTGAGGGAATTTCAATTGGAAAAAAATAATATCATATTCTTTAAGTCAGGTAGTGGGTATTAGCATTTGTTTTACCATCGTTCTTTATTCTTATAGCTACACTATATATTTTCAATGTATTTAATGTATTTTTTGCATAATTAAATATTATGCAATAAAAATGAGAAAACAAAAAAGTAGAAAATGATAAATTACAATAAAGAAATGGAGAAAAAATTATAATCTAGTTGAGTAATGGTATATTACATAGCTATTTTCTTAAGTAGATGTATGTACATGATGTATGCACGATTGTACATACATGTTCTTAATTATATATAAATATATATGTACATATTTTTAATATAAAATACTAAACAAAGTACACCAAAATATTAGCTCCTATGTTAGTGAGATAATGTTTTGTTTTTTTGTATTTTAAGTTTTACATAGTAGGTGTATTTTTCTGTTTTCATACTGCTATAAATAACTGCCCAAGACTGGGTAATTTATAAAGGAAAGAAGTTTAATTGGCTCACAGTTCAGCACAGCTTGGGAGGCCTCAGGAAATCTACAATCATGGCGGAAGACAAAGAGGAAGCAAGCCAGCTTCTTCGCAAGGCAGCATGAAGAAGTGCCGAGCAAAGGGGAAAGAATCCCTTATAAAACCATCAAATCTCGTGAGAACTCACTATCACAAGAACAGCACAGGGGAAACTGCCCCCATGATTCAATTACCTCCACCTGGTCTCTCCCTTGACCTGTGGGGATTATGGGGGCTATGGGGATTACAATTCAAGACGAGATTCAGGTGGGGATACAAAGCCTAACCATATCAGTAGGCATGTATTGAATTTTAAACTCAGAGAAAAATACTAGTGTTTTTATAGGATTCTTACTAAAGAAAAACCAGAAAGTAGTAAACCATCTACGCTAAGACATAAAATTCAGTTGTTTAGTTACAAGATAGAATGTGGCCTTGTAAGAAAGCAAATTAACTTCTAACATACAAAGCCTTAGAGAAGATTCAAGTGACTGACGGATCTTAAACAGAGCTATTATTACAACTCGAACTGCAGTAAAATATCCTCAGCAACATAGATGTGTGTGTTTCACTAGTCAGAGCAATACAAATTTAATGAAACTCCATTGGTGGTGTTTTTAATCAGACAATTTCTGAAGATGTCCTGGCTTATTCACAGATGCAAGCCAAATCTCTAGAAGAGTACCATAATAAGAAAAAAAAGAATACAGGCAATTGAGAGCTGTTCCAAAGTTTAGGGAGTTTTTGTAAGGAATTAATAAATAAAAATGTTCTTGAAAGACAGAAATTAATATGCAGTTCATACTGCCAGAATTGCAGGCAATTTATCAAAGTCCCCTAATCCTCCAAAATCGCTATTTTTTTTTTTGACACACACTTTACAGTACAGAAGAAAATGTCTCCGGCAATAAATCACAAAGTTAAAATTACCTAGTCTACAATTAACTACACAGTGATGGTAAATCATTTTCTACCAAAAGAAAGAAATGTCTTGTCTATTCAGGTTCTGCTCTACTTAAAAGTTTTCCTTGTTGGCGAGCAAGTGGTTAGAAAATCATATTTTATACGTACATTCAGCTTAACTATCATTCAGCTCAGGAAGATGACTCAGGGCCTTATCCATACCTTCAAGTTTGCTCTTAGCAAGTAATTGTTTCAGTATCTATATCAAAAATGGCTTAAGCCTGCAACATGTTTCTGAATGATTAACAAGGTGATAGTCAGTTCTTCATTGAATCCTGGATGCTTTATTTTTCTTAATAAGAGGAATTCATATGGATCAGCTAGAAAAAAATTAAGAGGAAAATCACATGGAAAGTTATATATTATATATCTATTATATATAATATTATATATCTATTATATATAATATTATATATCTATTATATATTATATATTGTATATCTATTACATATATAATATTATATATGTATTATATATATTATATATTATATATCTATTATATATATAATATTATATATTATATATCATTTCCAAATTCCCCAGCGTTCATATTTGTCAGTGCAAGTAAAGAGCCTTAGTGCTGATGAGGTTTGAGGTATGACCATTTGGCCAGAATTTATGAACTCTACATGTCGCTTGATGTGTGCTTCAGGGTACACTTTTTTTTTTTTTTTTTTGAGACGGAGTCTTGCTCTGTCGCCCAGGCTGGAGTGCAGCGGTGCGATCTCAGCTCACCGCAAGCTCCGTCTCCCGGGTTCACGCCATTCTCCTGCCTGAGCCTCCTGAGTAGCTGGGACTACAGGCGCCCGCCACTATGCCCTGCTAATTTTTTGTATTTTTAGTACAGACGGGGTTTCACCGTGTTAGCCAGGATGGTCTCGATCTCCTGACCTCGTGATCCACCCGCCTCGGCCTCCCAAAGTGCTGGAATTACAGGTGTGAGCCACCACGCCCGGCCAGGGTACACTTTTAAGCAGAGACACTACTTTGAAGGTCATAAAAAATATAATAAGAGATAAGGCTAATTTCCTTTAATAATAATAAAATCCTTTAATAAAAATATAAAGGAATAATATAATAATTTTCTTTAATAAAATATAAAAAGAGATAAGGCTAATTTCCTTTAATAAAATATAGTAACTACATACCAACAGAATTCCAAAAAAAGAAATGGAGAGGAAGGGAGCATGGGTCATTAATCTTGTCAAAAATATAAAATTATATACGAGGAATTTTTAGAAACTGTTTTCCTTGTCTGCGGCCATTGTGCTGCTGCTACACAACTACCGCAAGCAGCCCTTCACGCCCTCCTCCCAGTACAAAGCTAATTGACTTGTGAGAAATGTTAAGCTTGGAAGAGTCAGCATCGCTGCACTTATTTTTTATTCTACTCTGACATTAGAATAATCCTTGAGTGGGGGAAAGGTTAAAAACCCCCCTGGATAAGTGTTACTAATTAATGATGATTGTTTTAAACAATGTTTGGATAATTTTTCCTTGTCCCTTGACATAAACTTGATAAATAACTGAGAAGTGAGAAGGAGATTAGTGGGTTGATTAAATTCCATTCAGGTACTTAAAGTTAGCTCCAAAAATTTAGCTATTTGTAAATTGTCATGCATTGTTAATGTATAAGAGATGTAGATTTCATTTATCTTTGGTGGAGCGAGATGAAGCAGTGAATCATTGAAGACTGAAAGAAAGAAAAAGGTCTTTTCCCTTTTCTTTAAGAAGCATCATTAGTTAAAAACATGTTAGTTGATACCAGAGAACTATATTTAAAGGGACAGCAATAAGCAAATTGATTACTCTGGTGATTATTGGAGTGACATTGCCTTTTAGTTGTACTTTCACAAAAATTCACAATATTTGCCAAAGTCAAGTTATCCATTACACTATTAATTTGTCATTCTTTTGTTTATATAGTCAATATCTCTATTGACCTGCCAGTGTCTCCGCCGGTTGAAAGCGCGTGTCTGCGTCGGGTTCTGTTGGAGTGCGTTCGGTGTGCCGTGGGTCCGCGCTGCTTCCACCCAACTTCCTGTTAGGTAAGAGGCGCGTGAGGCTCCTGTGCCGGGGGCGGTGCTGCTCCCGAGTCGGCGCGCGGCGGGGACGCGAGTCCGTAGGTGCTGGCGGGAGCGAGAGTGGGGTGGGGACCCTCGCGAGCCCGCACTCCGCCTCTGGGTAGCAGCCTCTTCGGCCCCACACGGCGTGACGCGCGCTCGGGCTCCGCGTTCGCGTCGAGGCAGAGGCGTAGTAGGGGTCGGGCCCAGGGCTGGAGGGGCCGGGACCGGGCGGGGTGCCGCCCTGGACACCGCGCCGGCAGCTGTTCCGCGCGGGTTCATGTCATTCCTATTTTCAACCTGTCCTGCTCCGCACCTGAGATGATTTATAAATTCGGTACCTTTGGGACAGGCGTGGATGACATCCCATAATTTACTTCGTTATTAATTTCTAAATGTAATACATACCACTCTCTAAAAGTATTTTTTAATTTGAAATATATTTGTATATATGTACATATATATTTATTTATTTCTGAATTTTGTCTCCAGTACATATAATGAGGCTTGTAAAGTGGATAAGTGTTCAGGACATAGGTGGATTTTGCTTTTAAGTAGTAAAGACTTAATTGGTGACTTACTGGGGCTATTTGATAAGGTTTTTTTTTTTTTTTTTAATGAACATTAAAAACAGTGAAATTGTATTTCCGGATTTCATTAGCTTCATTTATATCTTAATTGGTGAAAACTGTAAGTTAATAACTCATTTTTATTTCCTTTGGAGATTCTTAAGTTTGTGCTACCAATGATTATTTCCAAAAAAAGGCACACTTCTGGTTTTCCCAGAACTAATGCTAGCTTCTCAATCTTTTGAGTTTACTTGATATTAATGTTTGACCTCAAATCATGTCACATTTTTGAAGAAAACTTTCCCTTAGCCAGTGGAACATAAACCACCCTGGAGTTCATGTAGAGGAGGGGTTCAAATGCCTCTGATAGTGTCGTGTTAAAACTCATGGCCAAACCCAAGGTCACATAGCTTTCTTTCCATGTTTTCCTCTAGAATTTGTATAGTTTTGTCATTATAAAATGGGTCTTGTCCTAGACCCCAAGAATAGGTTTTTGGATTTCACATGGGAAAGACCTTTTGGCAAGTCACAGAGTATAGTGAAGTTAAGATAGTTTATTAGCGACTACTCAGCTACATAGCAGGGCGTCCTCAGAAAGCAAGAGGAGGAATGCACCTGTTGTAAACATATAATTTTTTTTTTGAGACAGAGTTTCTCTCCTGTCACAATGGCATGATCTCGGCTCACTGCGACCTCTGCTTCCTGGGTTCAAGGATTCTCCTGCCTCAGCCTCCCAAGTAGCTGGGATTACAGGTGCATGCCAATATACCCGGCTAATTTTTTTGTATTTTTGGTAGAGACTGGGCTTCACCATGTTGGTCAGGCTGGTCTGGAACTCCTGGCCTCAAGTGATCTGCCTGCCTCGGCTTCCCAAAGTGCTGGGATAACAGGCATGAGCCACCCAGCGCCCGGGCTTAACGTTTGTTTATATAGGTTATTAAGAATCAGTTTGTGACAGGCCATTAGTATTGTTACTTCTCTTTGTTACTGTCGATTTTAACAACAATTTATGTGTGTACTATTACCTTTAAAGTAAAACTTATTTTTAAACTAAGAATGCTTTTTGTTCTTAAAGTTCTGGGACATTTAAATAAGTTTCGTGTCTTTATTAACTTGTTCCCACAATCATAAATATTTTATAACCAAAAGTGCTCAACCCCCTAAATATATAATCCAACAAATTTAACGTGTGTGTGTGTGTGTGTGACAGAGAGAGAGAGAGAGAGAGAGAGAGAGAGAGACAGGGTCTCACTCTGTCGCCCAGGCTGGAGTGCAGTGGTGCGATCATGGCTGGCTCATTGCAGCCTCAAACTTCTGGACTCAAGCAATCCTCCCACTTCAGCCTCCTGGGTAGCTGGGACTACAGGTACGTGCAAGCATGCCATCTAATTTTTTTTTTTTTTTTTTTTTGTAGACACAAGGGTCTTGCTATTTGCCCAAGCTGGTCTTGAACTCCTGATCTCAAGTGATCCACCCGCCTTGGCCCTTCATGTGGAAAATTAGAAACCAAAATCCCCTGTGAATCCAGCGCACTCGAGGTTCATTCTCCACACCCAAGGCGAGGCAGCCACAGGGCCAAGCTGCGGTCTTGGAACAGAAATGTAGCGTCAGGAAAGCAATTAGAACACCCGCCACACTGATAATAACCTCCGTAGTACTAATAACACTGCATCTGTGATGCTAGTGTTAGCACCCGTCGTATGCAGAGAGCACACCCGTCGGGGTAGCTGCCTTCCACATCCAACCCCGGGAACGTGGATGTGTCCCTCAGTGCGCACATAACGCTTGGAACTCGGAGATGACATTGTCACCTAACGCTACACCCGTCACACTCATATAATCCCTGGAACACGCATGTGTCCCTCAGAGCACACACGTAACCCCTGGAACGCCCGTGACACAGTCAGACTCACGCCACACCCGTCACACTCATATAACCCCCGGAACACGCATGTATCTCTCAGAGCGTACATACCGCCCGGGATGCAGACATGGCCTTTGCAGCCCACACGAGAGGGTCTGCAGCTCTGAGGATGGAACCTTCCGGCTCTCGCTGGGGCGCTGAGTTGACAGCCTCTGCTGGGCTGGGTTTGGGCTGGATTTGGCCTCTGTCATGAAACTTCATGGTGTTGTCTCTGCCTTACTGACGTGGTATTGCCACGGTTGTTTTAAAAAGTAGTTTACTTCCCAATAATGTCATACTTCTGGGAAACTTGCAACAGCACTTAGTATGCCTTCTCCTTTATCTCCAGTTCCCCAGCTGTTATTGCTGTGCCAGATTTGCAGCTTCACAAAAAATACCCCCGTGTGTTTCACCAAAACCAGGAATACTCCTCCAGGTGATCCCCAAATAACCCCCAATTTAGGAAATACATGGTTTCTATGTGAAAGTCCACTCCACAGACCTATTTCACTTCACTCCCTGCCCTAGGTGGGAGAAAAATGTCTATTTCCATGCGGGCCCAATTTTCCTTCTCGGGAACTGTTCCTGAGACTCAGTTTTCTGTTTTTGTTTTTGTTTTTTTTTGACGGAGTCTCCCTCTGTGACCCAGGCTGGAGTGCAATGGCGCCATCTCTGCTCATTGCAACCTCTGCCTCCCATGTTCAAGATATTCTTCTGTGTCAGCTTCCCGATTAGCTGTAATTACAGGCACCTACCACCACACCCGGCTAATTTTCTGTATTTTTAGTAGAGATGGGGTTTCACCATGTTGGCCAGGCTAGTCTTGAACTCCTGACCTCAGGTGATCCATTCGCCTCGGCATCCCAGAGTGCTGGGATTACAGGCGTGAGCCACTGCATCCGGCCGACTCTCAGTTTTCACAGCCTTAACAGATGTAAAGAGCAGAGATGACTCCAAGCTGGGTCTGCCCAGCGTTTCCTCCTAAACGTGTGCAGATCCTGTGTTCCTGGCAGGAGCATCCTGGCCTGGTGCCACGCTCTCCTCACTGCAGCCCACTTGGAGGGGCACCCATCCATCCCACCACCACTGGCGATCTCACTTGGAAATGGCAAATATTCATTTACAATCACAAATTTCATCCTGTCAAGCTCCGCATTTCACTTTGCCAGTGGTTTTCCCTGGCCTTAGAACCGTGGACTCCAGACCCCGAGTTCTCCTGCCTGCTGCCCTCTCCCATCCAGTCTGCTACAGCTGCCTGCAGTCCCACTCATGGGGACATGGACTCCCAGGTGTCTTGGGGATTTTATGTGGGTTCCCCCAACCCATTCACCCAGTGCTGACCGTAGTTTTTTAAGGCTTTTTCTAGATAAGTCCTTCAAGTCACAGCAGTTACGATATCTAAAAGTAGAAAAGTTAATGTTGATTTTCTAAAGACAAAAAAATAATTCATTATTAGATCGTCTGTGAGATGACCCTCAATTTTTTTATCTTTTTTTTGAGGATAGAGTCTCCCTATGTTACCCAGGCTAGAGTGCAGTGGCACGACCTTGGCTCACCACAGTCTCCACCTCTCGGGTTCAAGCGATTCTCCTGTCTCAGTCTCCTGAGTAGCTGGGACTACAGGCACCTGCCACCATGGCTGGCTATTTTTTGCAGTTTTAGTGGAGATGGGGTTTCACCATGTTTGCCAGGCTGGTCTTGATCCCCTGACCTTCAGTGATCTGCCTGCCTTGGCCTCCCAAAGTGCTGGGATTACAGGCGTGAGCCACCATGCCCAGCTGCCCTCAATTTATAAATCAAGGAAATACTAGTTCTCTGGAACCAAAGTTCATGTTTGAAATAATTAGGAAAGAAAAATAAAATCTCATTGCTGAAAGAAAGGCAAATAGCACAATTGATTATTGAAATTGCAGAAGAGGGCTGGGTGCAGTAGAGTAGATGTATGACATTTTTATTGCAGAATGAATGATGATTGGGGCATCTTAAGAGGAATTCTAGGGTGTTTCTTTCTGCATAGGTACCTCTTCTCCCACCTACCCACAATTGACAAGTGCCCATCCACTCCAGCACTAGAGATGCTACTAATATGTGAATTTTTGGTGGTACCTCCAGGTGAGGCTTCCCAGACTTTCCCTTTTCCAGGAGCTTCCCCCTCCTGTTCATGTCTAGCTATCTATCTACTCTAACAGAGCCCACTATCCTGTGTCTTTCCCAGAAATAGGGAACAGTTAATTGGAAACCATAAGAAATGATATGTGTGTAGATGAAAACTTTACAACTTACACAAATAATCACTCAAAATCATCCTTACACTAAAAATGCAAAACTGTACCATTTCTAGAAGAAACTATAGAAGAAAAGCTATGTGCCTTTGGGTTTGGTAATGAATTTTAACAAATGACACAAAAGGTTGATATACACAGAAGAAATGACAATGTGGATTTCTTAATATTTAAAGTTTATACTCTGGAAGAGACCTTGTTAAGAGAACAAAAAGACAAGCCACATATTGAAGAAAATATTTGCAAAATACAGATCTGAGAAAGAATTTGTATTCAAAATATATAAAAAAATCTTAAAACTAAACAATAAGTTAAACAACCCAATTGAAAATGCACACAGATCTGAACAGAACCTCACCAAAGAAGATCTACAGATGGCAAGTAAACATACAAAAAGATGCTCAACATACTAGAGAACCGAAAACCACAGTGAGATAGCACAGCTGGTGTATAGCTCTTAGAACTGCTAAACTACAAAATGACAAATTGCTGGAGGAAAAACAAGAACTCTTTTCATTGCCGGTGGAACACAGTGTATAAGACCAAAATATGCCACCCCAAAATATAATGGTAGGAAACCAGAATATGCCACCACAAAATATGTCCCTTTGGCTTAAGAATTATTCCAAGCTGATTATTTTGAAAAAAAAAAAAATGCTAACGAAGTTGTGAAAACAGAGTAGAAGTTACACTTGTGTAAGGAAAATTTACATCTATAAAGGAAATCACCATTTAAAAGCTACCTCTCTCGACAACAAGAAGAGAAGGATAACTAAATCACTAAAGAGTCTTATCAATGGAGAATGCGTGGACTTAAGTCTGTATAACAAACCTTACCCTTGTCTAATGTGCTTTTGCTGGTTAACTCCCCACTCACCACTGCACCTCAAATCTTCTTTCTTTAAGTTGAAGATAGTATTTATGCTTGAACTGAAAGCCACCTGTTGGAGATTTACTCATTTTTCCCTGAGTATCTCCCATGTATCCATAAGGTATACGTGTTTTTAAACTTTTCTGTTTTTCTCATTTTAATCTGTCAGTTTTTACAGAGGGTCCCATCTAAGAATTCCAAAAACATAGAAAATTTTTTTCCTCCCCATTACAAGTTGGGCAGTTTTTTCTAAAGCTAAACAAGTCTCACCTTACAATCCAAAAATCACATTCCTAAGTATTTTGACAACTACTTTGATGTTATTTCCAAACAAAAGCTACCATGCAATTATTTACAGAAGCCCTATTCATAATGACCAAAGGAAAAAAAAGGAATCAGAAAGTCTTACAATAGATGACTGTGTGGGACTCCACTCAGACATCAAAAGTTGTTATAAAGATTATTTAAATGAAAACATTTGAGATACTGAAGATAAAGGAAGAAATCTTACCAGAACTTACTTTATCCAATTAAAGCCAAGGTCACAGAAAAATACAGCTGCCATTAACCCCATCCAAGGAGTTTCTTGCGAATTCAGCTGCCATGGAGACAGCGTACCCTTTCCCATTAGCAATGATAAATGAAAATGAAATCCTAAGCTCCCAACTGACTGAACAGACCCACTCTTGGCTGAGGGGACCCAAGAGTAACTTTCAAAACTGAGTTCTCAGCTTGGCCAGCATGGGATGATGGGAGTCAGATACACCTTGTTATACCCTCTCCTTTGCTAACCATGATGAGGCTTTCTTCCCTAAGGATTTAACAGAAACCAGCCCTTGAAAAAGACTCCACCACTGATATCAACCAACTGCCTGAAGCCGCCTCTCCTTTCTTGCCTGATAAGAGACCACCCATGACGGAGAGGTTCTGGCCAGCGTACAGAGGATGCACAGAGTGAGTTTTCATGTCCTCTGCTTCACCTTTTAGTGTTAGGGGGCTGAAAACTCCATCCTGGGATCATGCTAACACTGCCAATTTTTGTACATGGGACCCATGAAGGAGCAAGACACTCAATTGCGCATGCACGCATTTCTCCTTTCATAAATATTCATGACTCCTCCTAGAGCTTATTAAATATGTGTATTTGGCCATGCCACTCAGCATAAATTACTGTTTCCTTTAACTCACATTTGAAAATGTCTGTTTCTGGCTTCTGGCTGGAGGCTATACTTCCTAGCCTGTCAGAAGAACTACCCTGCAGGCTGTAACCCTTTATAGGAAATAAATCTCTCATTGGACGCAGTGGCTCATGCCTGTACTCCCAGCACTTTGGGATGCTGAGGTGGGTGGATCATCTAACAGCAGGAGTTGGAGACCAGCCTGGCCAACATGGTGAAACCCTGTCTCTACTAGAAGTACAAAAAATTAGCTGGGCATGGTGGTATGCATCTATAATCTCAGCTAATTGGGAGGCTGAGGCAGGAGAGTCACTTGAACCTGGGAGGTGGAGGTTGCAGTGAGCCAAGATCATGCCATTGCACTCCAGCCTGGGCAACAAGAGTAAAACTCCGTCTCAAAAAAAAAGAATAAAGAAACATAAAAATAAAGAAATCTTTCCTTTCCAAATATATGAACTTCATCACTCTTCAGTTGACAGCATTAAAACGTTCAAAAAGACCTTCCATACTATCCCACAGAAGCCCTAGAAATTGTCATTTTGTTAATCATTTTGGATGCCCGAGAACTTGTAATCAAATGAGTAGAAATGTTGGTACCCCATCTGTGGCTCTCATCCTCCCAGTTCTCAGGAGTTTATATAAGCCTAAATCTGAAAAGGTCTCATCACATAAGGACCCTTGTCTCTTTTTCTGTTGCCTTTATCCACTGGCTCTGGCAACAGGGGTCTTTCTTTCTCCTTGGCTATCTTTGGATATAGGGGCTCCGTCTTCTGTGCCACCTTAGGGAATGCCTTTTGCATGCATGGCTAAGTCATTAAAAAGCCTAAAGTTTGAGTAACATCAAAATGTGAGTACTCTCTGAAGCTGGGTTGGAATCTCAGTCTTCTTTGTCTAGAAGGTAACTCTCAGGCTAGAAGTTTCTTATCCTAGCTTTGGTTTTGAGGCCTCTCTGTTCTCCTCTTGGGTTGGAACTTATTCCTGGATTTTGTTTCATGGTGTCTCTTCCCCTTCCATCAGATCTTGATCTTGCTCCTTTCATGGGAACTTCTCAGTTGACTAAAATCTCCCTTCCCAAACCTCCGCTGACTATGTGTTCCACCAATAAGGAACTAATCCTGTCTACTTCCTTTCCTGTTTGCATGACTTTACTAAGAATTATTTAGAACTTTAATGGCTCCTTTGAGAAAACTTTTATCTCTCAAATTGCCTCTGTTTAGACGTTTCCTTTCCCAGTTGAGTCTCTCAACTCCCTATAATCACTGAAACTTTAGGCACCCCCCTCCAAGCCTTGGAGGCTCTCAACGTGCTCAAGAATCTACAAAAGCAAACACTTGAGCCTGAAAAATAAAATAGAAAAATAATTTTAATTCTCAGCCTTCATAAGATTGTATGTCAAGACAAAAGAAAATCTTAAAAATCTCCAAAAATATTAGTGAGAAAAAAGCTTTAGCCCTCATATGAAGAAGACGAAAACTTGTTCCATTTTCCAGAAACAGTTATAATACAAATATAAAATGGGGCAAAGGCAAAAACTAAGTCTTCCATATAAACTAGTGAATTTTGTGTTATTGTAACCACATTAGGGTTCTCCAGAAAGGCAGAATCAATAGGATATATGTAGATAGATAGATGAGAGAAGACTCATTAGGGGAATTGGTTGACATAATTATGGAGGCTGAGAAGTTCCACGATAGGCTGTCTCCAAGTTGGAGAACAGGGAAAGCTGGTAGCATGGCTCAGTCCATGTCCAAAGGACTCAGAATCAGGGAAGCCAATGGTGTAACTCTAAAGCTCCGATGTCAAGGGCAGGGGAGGAAGGATATTTCAGTTTCAGAAGGAGATAATTCACCTTTCCTCTTCCTTGTTGTTCTATCTGGGCTCTCAATCAATTGGATGGTGCCTGTATTAGTCCACTTTTATACTGCTATGAAAAAATACCTGAGTCTGAGCAATTTATAAAGAAAAAAGAGGTTTGGGCTGGGCACAGTGGCTCAGGCCTGTAATCCCAGCACTTTGGGAGGCTAAGGCGGGAGGATCATGAGGTCAGGAGATTGAGACCATCCTGGCTAACACAGTGAAACCCCGTCTCTACAAAAAATACAAAAAATTAGCCAGGGGTGGTGGCAGGCACCTGTAGTCCCAGCTACTCGGGAGGCTGAGGCAGGAGAATGGCGTGAACCCAGGAGGCAGAGCTTGCAGTGAGCCAAGATCACGCCACTGCACTCCAGCCTGGGAGACAGAGCCAGACTCCATCTCAAAAAAAAAAAAAAAAAAAAAAAAAAAAAAAAAGAACAAAGAGGTTTAATGGGCTGGCAGTTCCATATGGCTGGAGGGGCCTCACAATCATGGCAAAAGAGGAAGCAAAGAGTCCTTCTTCACATGGCAGCTGTAAGGAGAAGTGCTGAGCAAAAGGGGAAAAGCCCCTTGTAGAACCATCAGAGCATCAGAGCTCACTCACTATCATGAGAACAGCATGGCAGTAACCACCACCATGATTCAATCACCTACCACAGGGTCCATCCCTCAACATGTAGGGATTATAGGAACTACAATTCAAGATGAGATTTGGGTGGGGACACAGCCAAACCATATCAGTGCCTATCTACATTGGGTCAGGGTGGATCTTCCTTATCTCAGTGTCTTGCAGAAACACCCTCACACTTGTGCCCAGAAATTGTGCTTTTCCAGCTATGTTAGTATCTCTTAATCAATCAAGCAGATGTCTAAAATTAACCATCAGAATATTTATGCCTGATTCATGGCTAATATTTCAGGATGAAAGCTATGAGACCTCTATTTGTGTTTGTATGTATATTAATGTATGTTATGTATATGTGATTTTTCTTCACTCCAGAGAGCATTGCAAAATTCACTTATAAAATCTTCTAAAAGTGCTCTATTCTAACTTGGCTTGGAAAAAAAACCAAGCATTTATAAATAAATATTCCCCAAACTCCAATAAATATAGGAACTGATCCAAATGTTTTTCAAGTTAACACAATTTCGATAAAACTTAGTTAAATAAGAGTAATTTTATATTTTTGGTGTAATAAAACAACTATGTCTTCAGAGTTATCACTATTAAATATAAAACAAATTTCTATTCTGCTTGAGTTCTACTCAAATAAGCTAATATTATACTTACTAGATCCTTAAAATCTTAAAGCTTATAGATTTGATTCTAATTGTCATTCTTATTAAAAGCATTATTTCAATAATAATTTTTTACAGTAAATCTGCCTAATAATAGTTTCCAAAATACTTTTGGTAATTTTTAACCTTAAAGTTAAGCTAAGTAAAAGATTTGCATTCAATATCTAGATCATTTTAAATAAGATACGATACTAAAACATTAATTACTGAACATAAGTAATTCAAGTTTATATACTTTTGGCTTCTTGTTTTTACAGAGAGAGTAAAGATATTTTGGCCCGTTAATAAACGTATTTTTGTCTACCACACTGAGAAATTGTACAATGAGGAAACACATCCCTCTAGATGTTGGGAGATGGTATACTCATACATTTTCTAATCTACTATAGAATGCTAATGTATGACAGTTTAAAATTGTCTTCTTCCTAGTTTCTCTGGAAAATAGAGATTACTAAGTATTAAAAACTAGAAGCAACTCTATGAAAAGTATGCAAAAAGCAGGGCATGTTTTGCAGGTAAAGTAGGATGTATTTTTTATAAGAAAAACCATACAAAATATAAAATAAAAAGAGATACCTAACCTTCCCTGGGTTATATTTGTATGGATAAAATGTTATGTTTTCAGAAATTGTATAAAATTACTGGAAATTTGTCAATGTCCTCCTTATCCATGCTATGTGCCGGTATACTGTTTTGAGTCATAATTTCAATTATTATTTTAAACGTTGTATGCCACCAAAAAAATCGAATATCCTTGTCAGTTGTGGTATAATGAACTCTCATCTGACCTTTCATCACAGCCATTTCATACTCTTTGGCATTTAGATACTATTTCCCCCTGATACTTTCCTGAAAGCTCCTGCAATCAGCTACAGGTCAGAATGTTTGTCTCCAACACAGGACTCGCTCTGAGACTCACGAAAAAGCCTATGACAGGTACTCTGGTTGTAGGCTTCTGATGATATTGCTTAAATAACTTTAAGACCATACACTTGACTCAGTGAAGATCTCCAGAAGTCTGGTTGAGAAATCGATGGGTTCGTGACACTGCTAACCCAAGATCCAGCAAGACTGGAATTGATTACATGGCACTGAATGAAGTGATGAAAATTGATTATAATTTTATAGCTTTTTTGGAGTACTGCTGGTTCTTTAATGTTCTAGTTTCTGGATTTAAGAAATCTCTTTCTCTTAAGCTAACTATAACTCACAAAAATTTAGTAGATTATACTTTTGTAAACAGAAATGAGGCTGGGTGGGGAAAAAAAAAAAATCTTTTTTTCCCTGCCTGATTTCTCCAGAATTTTGAAAATCTTACTGAATACTCTTATTTTCATGACAATATAGTTGTTAGCAGAAGTCCAATAAGCATCTGTTCACCTTATAGCAAGACATAATTGGAAACTTTGATTATATTATCAGGCTTTTACTGGAATATCATATTTAGGAATAGTATACCTGAGATCAGTTATGACCAGCAATTTTAAGGAACTAAGGCTGACTTTTATGAAGCCAATGCTTACAAAGCACTTTGAGAAAAGCCAGCCTGGTACCTACATTACACGGTTCACAGCCTTACAGGTTAGTAAAGAAGGTAATTTCCTGCTAGGCCCAGGAATTTGGGGATATTTTGGGGGCGTCAAGAAGAGAGGAATTCACATAAAGCTACAATGACTGCAGCTGAAATTTGAAAGTATGTTCTTGGCTTGGCTTTTAGCCTCAATAAGGCCTTTAAAAGTCCAATCTGAGATTCTGTATGAAAACTTCCAGCGAAGAAGCTTGAAAGCACCTACGTGGTCACCTCCTGTTCTTGCTGCACTTACATAAATACTCAGGCAAAATCTAACGAAACTAGACTTATTTTTAAAACAAGAATAATCTCACATTGATTATCTATGATCAAAAATGATGGTTACTACAGAGAGAAATTTTATGTTTCAATGGAAAACTATAACTCAGCCGTGCATGGTGGCATAAGCCTATAATTCCAGCACTTTTGGAGGCCAGGAGTTCAAAACCCCACCTCTACTAAAACTGCAAAAATTAGCTGGGCATGATGGCATGTGCCTGTAGTCCCAGCTAATCAGGAGGCTGAGGAGGGAGGTTCGCTTCCACCCAGGAGGTAGAGGTTGCAGTGAGCTGGGATTGCACCATTGCACTCCAGCCTGGGCGACAGAGCCAGACTCTGTCTCAAAAAAAAATTTTTTTAAAAAGGAAAACTATAGCCCTTGTGGGTTATCAGATTCTAGTCTTGTTTCTCGTTTTGGGCTATTTTCACCTCTTTGTAAACTAGATCCTGCCATCTGATGAATTTTGTCCCACAATGATACTTGTGGAATAAGAAGCCAAGTATTGCCTCTCCTACTAATGTATCTATTGTCAGTTAATTTGAAGGTCTCCAACCCTGGAACAAAGTTAGAAGAGGAAGGTTTTGCTCCCTAAAATGCATAACCAAATTGTGGTACATTCATGCAATGGAATACTATTTAGCCATAGAAAGGAACAAGCTATCAACTCACACAAAGACATGAGTGAATCTTGCATGCACATTACTGAGTGGAAGAAGACAGTCTGAGGAGAACACACACAGTGTGACCTCATTTAATGAGATTCTGGAGAAGGCAAACTGCACAGATGGGAATGCCATTGGCTGCATGGGGTGGGGATTTGAAGCATTCCATATGATTCTTTAATAATGGATACCTGCAACTATGCATTTGTCAAAACACACGGAATTTTACAGCAAAATGGGTAAATCAAACTCTATTCAAATTAAATTAAAATATTCAGGATGTGGAGTATCCCAGCACAGAATACATCATGTGAAAAAGAATTTAACTATGCTACAAATTACTAAGGTTTCGATGTGGTTTGTCCCTGCAAAATCTCATGTTGAAATTTGACCCCCAATGTGGCAGTGTGGGGAGGTGGGGCCTAGTGGAAGGTGTTTGGGTCATGGGATGGATCCTTCATGAATAGATTATTGTCCTCCACAGAGGTGAGTGAGTTCTGCTCTCACAGGAATGGATTAATTCCTGCAAGAGTAGGTAGTTAAAAAGAGTCTGACTTCCTTGGCTTCACTGTTGCTTTTGCTCTTGCTATGTGATCTCTGGTGCACTCCCTTGCTCCCCTTCCACTTTCCACCATGAGGTGAAAAAGACTGAGGCCCCACCAGATGCCTCTGCCCAATCTCAGACATTCCAACCACCAGTATTGTGAACCAAATGAACGTTTTTTACTTATAAATTACCCAGCCTCAGGTATTCTGTTACAGAAGCACAAAATGGGCTTATTTAAAACATTGTTATATTTTTGAACACTTCCTTGTTTAATTATTTATACCATGAATTACTAGTAATTTACACTGTTAAATAGTCCTGTCTTTTAAATAAGAGCATTTATGACACAAAAAATTAAACAATACAGACTGATATATAAATCAAAACAAATGCTCTTTACATGTTTTATGTTACAGTAGTAACACATATGTGTAAACTTATTTATCAGATTTTTTTCTTGTGCTGTGGTTGTGGTTCATTCTCTAAAATGCTGTTCACCTTAGAACAGGAAAAAAATAATCTTACAGACTCTCTTTCAATTCATGGCTAAATATTTTCAGAAGAGTGACGTAAAAATATGTTCCAATGGCAAATTGATTCATTGTGACTGGATCACTTATTCAAAAGACCTCTTGTCTTTATTTTGTTCTCATGCCTACCTTTTACCCATAATACAACAGAATCAAATATTGGCCACTGGGAAAAAATATTCAAAGAAAGAAAGAATGTGAACAGAACTTGTGACCATTATGATTCAATGTTTCACCACAATGCTTTCTAAAACAGAAGAGTGTAAAAGGATATTCAGAGTCAATTTCCTCAGCGAGGCTTTGCAGAAAATGAGGAAACTAGAGAAACAAAAATGGCAGGACATTCTACAGGTGATTTTAGATGTTGCTTTGTTAAAATATTTTAGCTTCTAAAGAATCACAAAGAATTATTAGAAACCCAAACTCTGGAATGTTTCCAAATTTAGTTGAACTTCAGTGTAATTATGTGTATATAACTAGTCATGAAATTGATGTTTTTTAAAAAATCTGTGCCTTATTTTTGTAATAAAATACACAATGAATAATTAATGCTCATAGGAAACCATGTTAGACCTTACAAAAGAAAAATCAATCTTGGGGACCCAAAATCACTAAGCTAAAGGGAAAAGTCAAGCTGGGAACTGCTGAGGGCAAACCTGCCTCCCATTCTATCCAAAGCCACCTGTCTGCTCATAAATGCATATCTGATTGCCTCATTTGGAGAGGGTAATCAGCAGCTCAAAAGAATGAAACCATTGGTCTCTTTTCTACCTATGACCTGGAAGCCCCCTGTTTGGCCTTCTCTTCAAGTTGTCTCACCTTTCTGGACTGAACCAACGTACATCTTTCACATATTGATTGATGTCTCATGTCACCCTAGAATATATAAAACCAAGCTGTGCCCCAACCACCTTGGGCACATGTTGTCAGGACCTCCTGAGGATGCATCACAGGCACGCATCCTCCAACTTGGCAAAATAAACTTTCTAAAAAATCTGAGACCTGGCCGGGCACGGTGGCTCATGCCTTTAAATCCCAGCACTTTGGGAGGCCGAGGCAGGCGGATCACCTGAGGTTGGGAGTTCGAGACCAGCCTGACCAACATGAAGAAACCCTGTCTGTACTAAAAATACAAAAATTTGCCGGGTGTGGTGGCACATGCCTTTAATCCCAGCTACTGGGGAAGCTGAGGTAGGAGAATTACTTGAAACCAGGAGGCAGAAGTTGCAGTGAGCCAAGGTCGCACCAATGCACTCCAGTTTCGGCGAAGAAGCAAGACTCTGTCTCAAAAAAAAAAAAAAAGGGAGAAAGAAAAGAAAAATCATAATTGTGAAGAATATAATTTCTATTCCTTTGTATGTTGGATTTAAGTATTCAAAACACAACTAAAGTGTAAAAGTCTTCTGTGGGTTTCTCCAAAGCACCTCTTTCTTTTCTTTCTTTTCTCTGTTTGTCTTTCTTTCTCCTTCCTTCCTTCCTTCCTCCCTTTGCTTCCCTTCCTTTTTCTTCCCTTTCCTTTTCCTTTTCCTTCCTTCCTTCTTTCCTTTCTTCCTTTCTTCCTTCCTTTCTTCCTTTCTTCCTTTCTTTATTTGAGACAGGTTCTCACTCTCTTGCCCAGGCTGGAGTGTCAGGGTACAATCATAGCTCACTGCAGGTTGGTACTTCTGTGCTCAGGCAATCCTCCCACTTCTGCTTCTTGAGTAGCTGGCATTAAACACTCCTGCCACCATGCTCTGCTAATTTTTTTTCTGCAGAGACAGGGTCTCTCCATGTTGTCCAGGCTGCTCTGAAACTTCTGGGCTCAAGCGATCCTCCCACCTTAGCCTCTGGTAGGATCCGGGACCCCTCTTAAGGAGGCCTGACCCTAGCCACCATCCCTCCTTGGCAGAGCCTTCACAGGATGTGAGATCACTCAGGCCAGCACACTTGCATGAGACCAGCTTCAGTTGGGAACTGAGTTTGGTCAGAAAGTCGAAGCGTTTGGTTCCTTTGTTGCTTTTAGCTCAAGTAATCCCTGGGCTATTTGCTCACTGTCATTACCTCTGCCTGCCACACATTAAGGACCCCAGTGCCACATTGATGAATAAGCTGAGAGTGTGTTTTGTGGTGGATGATGGGGTATTTGCTTTCTTGGAAACTCTTCCCACTTTTGTACTGTCCATTATGGGCACTCTGGGATAAATCCTGGAGATCCCTAAGGGCCCCAGCAATGGAAAATGCTCTGCTGAACCATGGGACCTGGACAGTTTATTAACATCTTCCACCTAAGAGCCCTCAGCTCTAAATGAATGCACTAATACCCCATATACTTCATGGGATTTACAATGTTTGTCCCCTGCCACAGCTGGTACTGCTGCAGTAGATTTATGCTGCACAAATGCTGTGAGCCTTCTGCCTGGGGAACCCCCACAAAAGTTCCCAACAGGAGTCTGTGGACCATTGCCAGCAGGGATGATAGGATTACTTCTAGTAAGGTCTAGTTTAAATTTAAAAGGGATACAAGTACAAACAGGAGTCACTGATTCAGATTACAATGTGGAAATTCAAATTGTTATATCCACTTCTGTTCCCTGGAAAGCAGAGCCAGGAGAGCTTATAGCACAGCTCCTGATTGTGCCGTATGTAGAAATACGGAAAAGTTAAATTAAACGAACAGGAGGATTTGAAAGCACAAATAAACAAGGCAAAGAAGCTTATTGGGTAAATCAAATTACTGATAAACATCTTACCTGTGAAATAACTATTCAGGGAAAGAAATTTAAAGGTTTGGTAGATACAGGAGCAGACATTTCAATCATTTCTCTACAGCACTGGCTGTTTGCGTGGCCAATTCCACCCGCTCAATTTAACATAGTTGGAGTTGGTAAAGCCCCTGAAGTATATCAAAGTAGTTATATTTTGCATTGTGAAGGCCCGATGGACAACCTGGGACTATTCAACCAATTATAACTTCTGTACCTACAAATTTATGGGGAAGAGATTTATTACAACAATGGGGAGCACAAGTTCTAATTCCAGAACAATTATATAGCCCTCAAAGTCAACATATGATGCATGAAATGGGGCATGTCCCTGGTATGGGACTAGGAAAAAAATTGCAAGGTTTGAAGGAACCGCTTCAAGCGTAAAGACAAAGTTCCCGCCAAGGTGTAGGATATCATTTTTGATGGCGGCCACTGTTAAGCCTCCAGAACCTACACCTTTAAAATGCTTAACAGATAAGCCAATTTGGATAGAACAATGGCCGCTAAGTAAAGAGAAACTGGAGGCTTTAGAGGAATTAGTTACTGAACAATTAGAAAATGGGCACATAGCGCCAGCATTTTCCCCTTGGAATTCTCCAGTTTTCATAATTAAGAAAAAATCGGGTAAATGGAGAATGTTAACTGACTTAATAGCTATCAATTCAGTTATACAACCTATGGGAGCATTACAGCCTCCTGGATTGCCTTCTCCTGCTATAATTCCAAAAAATTGGCCTTTAATTGTCACAGATTTAAAGGACTGTTTCTTTACTATCACTTTAGCTAAGCAAGACTGTGAATGGTTTACATTTATAATTCCTGCAGTAAACAACTTGCAGCCTGCTAAGCATTTTCATTGTTTCACAGATGGGTCTAGTAATGGTAAAGCTTCTTATTCTGGCTCAAAAGTTAAAGTTTTCCAGACACCCTATACTTCAGCTCTAACAGCAGAGCTTGTAGCTGTAATTGAGGTATTGACTGCTTTTAATATGTCTATTAATATGATTTCTGATTCTTCATACGTGGTTCATTCCACACAGTTAGTTGAAAATGCTCAGTTACAATTTCAAACAGATGACACTAATGACTTTATTTACCCAGTTGCAAACAGCAGTTAGGAGTAGAATGCACCCTTTTTACATCACTCACATTAGGGCTCATACACCTCTTCCAGGACCTTTGACTGAAGGGAATCAAATGGCTGATCACCTAGTTGCTAAAGCAATATCTACTGCTAGACATTTTCACAATTTAACCCATGTTAATGCCTCTGGTCTGAAACACAGATACAGCATTACCTGGAAAGAAGCTAAAGTTATGATCCAGTGATGCCCAACTTGCCAAATGGTGCATTCCTCATCTTTTGCAGGAGGAGTTAATCCTCGAGGATTGGAACCTAATTATCTTTGGCAAATGGATGTCACACGTTACATGTATGTGTGCACACCTTTTCTCACTTTGCATAACAAAAGGTTGGGAAATAGGTAAAATAATAACTTGGGGTAGAGGTTATGCTTGTGTTTCTCCAGGCCAAAATCAAGAGCTGATTTGGATACCATCAAGATACCTGAAACCTTATCATGAGCCAGATGCTGAGGAAGAGATTCCAGGAGGATCCTGAGGACCCCCTGGTTGCAGCCATCTCAAGACTGATGCTGAGGAGGACCCCAACTGTCACGAGCAACACCCATCAAACACAGCCACCCACTTGGGGACAGATCAAGAAGCTGTCACAGTTGGCAGAAGAAAACCTGAGGAAAGCAGGACAACCAGTCACAGTGAGTAATTTAATGGTAGCTATGACAGCGGTGATCACCATTGCCATGAGTATTCCTTCAACAAGTGCTGACACAGAGAACAACTGTACTTATTGGGCATAGTTATCAATCTTGGCTGGCAATAATGCCTGGATGTAATCACTCTATGACACACTTACACATGCTTTCTGATCTCAGTATTTACCATAATAAATCTGCTCCTATAATTAAGGCATACTGCCCTCAAAAACCTATTTGTAAACAGGATTGGACCCAGTTAGAAAAAATGAATGTACTTGTTTAGGAAGACTGCATTGCAGAACAGGCAGAGGTGCTGCACAATGCTTCCTATGGAATCATTATTGATTGGTCCCCTAAGGGGATGTTTGGCTTGAATTGCACCTCTCAGTCTGCATGCCACAGCCACACTATGTTCAGCTGGTCTGAACAAAATGGTCAGATGGTAGAAATGATAAGACATGGCAAGAGTTCCTATCATCTGGAACCATGGCGGTATAGTGGCACCTCAACCTCAAATGATATGGCCCACTCTAGGAGCTTAAATAAGGATTTGTGGAAATTATTAATAGCTCTTAATTAGATCAAAATTTGGGAAGGAATTTAAAAAGCATCTAGAAGGACACTCTACAAGCTTGTTTTTGGATATTGCAAAATTAAAAGAACAAATAAAGCATCCTAGGCACACCTGACCTTAATGCCAGGAAAAGGAGTGCTTAAAGGAGCTGCAGACAGATAAGCAGCTAGCAACCCATTAAAATGGATGAAAACACTTGGAAGCTCTGTGATTTCGATGATGATTGTGCTTTTAATCTATGTTGTTTTTGTATAGTCTGCAGATGCGGATCCTGACTCCTGCAAGAAGTAGCTCACCGTGACAAAACTGCCTTTGCTTTTATCACTTTGCAAATCAAAGAAGGGGGACACGTTGGGACTAGGCCCCCAAAATCTGGCCATAAATTGGCCGCAAAACTGGCCATAAACAAAATCTCTGCAGCACTGTGACATGTTTGTGATGGTCATGACACCCATGCTGGAAGATTGTGGGTTTATCGGAATGAGGGCAAGGAACACCTGTACCACCCAGGGCGGAAAACCACTTAAAGGTGTTCTTAAACCACAAAAAATAGCATGAGCGATCTGTCCCTTAAGGACATGCTCCTGCTGCAGATAACTAGCCAGACCCATCCCTTTATTTCGGCCCATCCCTTTGTTTCCCATAAGGAATACTTTTAGTTAATCTATAATCTATAGACACACTGCTTATCACTGGCTTGCTGTCAATAAATATGTGGGTAAATCTGTTTGAGGCTTTCAGCTCTGAAGGCTGTGAGACCCCTGATTTCTCACTCCACACCTCTATAATTCTGTGTGAGTGTCTTTAATTCCTCTAGTGCCACTGGGTTAGGGTCTCCCCAGCCAAGCTGGTTTCGGCAATAACCAACTTTTGATTTTATTACTTTCTCTGTTTTTTGGGTCTTCCATTTATTTCCACCCTAATCTCTGCTATTTTCTACTTTCTGCTTGATTTAGATTGTTTGCATTTCCTTTTTCATTTCTAATGGTAGAAGTTTAGATTATTGAACTAAAATCTTTCTTTTTAAATATAGGTGTTTACAGCTGTAAATTTCCTTTTCAACACTGTCCTGTGTCCCATAAATTTTGACATGGTGTATTTTCATTAATCTCTACATATTTTCTAATTTCCCCTGTGATTTCCTTTTTATCCCATAGGTTATTTTGTTTCATTACTACTTATTTGTGAATTTCTCACATTTTCTTCTTTTATGGATTTCTAATTTCATTTTATTGTGGTTGGAAGACATACTTTGTATGACTTCAGTCCTTTTAAACTTATTGAGACTTGTTTTAGGGCCTAACACATGGTCTATCCTAGAGAATCTTTCATGTGTATTTGAAGAATATATATTGTGCAGTTGTTGGATGCAGTATTATACAGATGTCTGCTAGGTCTATTTGGTTCATAGTGTTAAGTCTTCTATTTTTTGTTGATCTTCTGCCTAGATCTGTTCATTATTGAAAGTGGGATATTAAAGTCTCCAACATTTATTGTTGACCTGTGTATTTCTCTTTTTAAGTTAGTTTTTGTTTCATTTACTTTGGTGCTCTACTGTCAGAGGTATATATGTTTATAATTGTTATGTCTTCCTGATACATTGACCCTTTGATTATAAAATGTCTTTGTCTCTAATAATTCGTGCATTAAAGTCTATTTTGTCTGGTGTTTATATAGCCACTTCAGCTGTCTTTGGGTACTGTTTGCAGAGTATATTTATTTCCATCCCCTTTCTTTCAACCTATTTGTTTTCCTGAATGTAAAGCAGGTCTCCTCATATAATTGGAGAATGGTTGCTGTTTCTGTCTGTGTTTTGTGTTTTAATCCATTTTGCCAATCTCTGCCTTTTTTATTAGAATGTTTAATTCATTTACATTTAATTACTGATATGGTAGGATTTGTGCCTGTCATTTTGCTCTTTATTTTCTGTATGTTTCAAGTCATTTTGCTCTCCATTATTGCTTTCTTTACTGTTAGATATTTTTAAGTGCCATTTTATTTATTTGTTTCTTTTACTCTATTTTCTTAGTGACTGCCTTTCAATTAACATTTAATTTCAGTTATCATCTTAATTTAAAACAATCTAGTTCAGATTAATACCAACTTAATTCAAATCATACACAAAAACTTTACTCCAATATAGCTCTATTCCCATCCCTCTTATTTGTGGTATTACCATCATGCAAATTAAATTTTCATATAACATTGTCAAAACATTTTTATTGGTATTGTTTCCTGCAGTTGTCCTTTAAATCAGAGAGAATGAGTTACAAGCAAACAAAAATACATTTATACTATCATTTTTATATACCTATGTAGTTACTTTTAACCGTGCTCTTTTTTCTTCTGTAGATTCAAGTTATGTGTAATGTTCTTTTATTTCAGCCTGAAAGAGGAGGCCCTTTAGTATTTCTCATAAGGCAGATCTATGAATGACAGATTATCTCAGTGTTATTTGTTTATTATTAATTTGGGAATATCTCATTTTTTTTTTATTTTTCTTCTTTGGTTTTTGAAGGCTAGTTTAGCTGGATATACAATTCTTAGTTGGCATGCTTCTCCACCCCACTGCCTTCCCAAGTATGTCATTCTGCAGCATTTTGTTCTCTGTGAGTTTTTTACAAGAAGCCAGCTGTTAATCTTACTGATGATCTCTTATACAAGATGAATTGTTTTTCTCTTGGTGCTTTCAGGATTCTCTCTCTCTTTTTTGGCAGTTTGACTATGATGTGTCTAGGTATGGACCTCTTTAAAAAGTATGAGTAGGATACACTTAAACTTTTTAAAATATATAAATTTTAATCAAATGAAAAGCTTAATGGAAAATTTTGGCTATTATTTCTCCAAATAGCCTTTCTGCCTTTTTTCCCCCTTGTTCTCTCCTCTGGGACTTCCAGATTTGTTTGATGGTATCCCACAGATTTCTAAGGCTCTGTTCATTTCTCTTTATTCTTTTTTCTTTCTGCTCCTCTGATTGGGTAATCTCAATGTACCTATCATCAAGTTTGCTGTTTCTTTCTTTTGCAATCTCTAATCTGCTGTTGAGTGCCTCTAGCGAATTTTGTATTTCAGTTTTGTAATTTTCAACTCTAGCATTTCTTACTTGGTTCTTCTAATTCTTATCTCTTCATTAGTATTCTCTATTTGGTGAGATATTCTTATACATTCCTTTAGTCTTTAGAAATGGTTTCCTTTAGTTCTCTGAACATATTTATAATAGCTAATTTAAAATCTTTGCCTAGGAAGGATAACATCTGGGCCTCCTCATGGAGAATTTCCATTGACTTCTTTATTTTCCTGTTGGGAACAAGCCCCCCAAAATCTGGCCATAAACTGGCCCCAAAACTGGCCATAAACAAAATCTCTGCAGCACTGTGACATGTTCCTGATGGCCATAACACCCAGGCTGGAAGGCTCTGGGTTTACCGGAATGAGGGCAAGGAACACCTGGTCCGCCCAGGGCGGAAAACTGCTTAAAGGCATTCTTAAGCCACAAACAATAGCATGAGCGATCTGTGCCTTAAGGACATGCTCCTGTTGCAGTTAACTAGCCCAACCTATTCCTTTAATTCGGCACATCCCTTCGTTTCCCATAAGGGATACTTTTAGTTAACTTAATATCTATAGAAACAATACCAATGACTGGCTTGCTGTTAATAAATATGTGGGTAAATCTCTGTTTGGAGCTCTCAGCACTGAAGGCTGTGAGACCCCTGATTTCCCACTTCACACCTCTATATTTGTGTGTGTGTGTCTTTAATATCCCCTAGTGCCACTGGGTTAGGGTCTCCCCGATCGAGCTGGTCTCAGAATTTCCTCTGCATGGGCTTTTGTTTCTTTGTGTATCTCATATTTTTGCTCAAAACTGAATATTTTAAAGACTAGGATGTGGTAACTGTAAGCCAGACCCTTCCCTCTCAAGGGTTTTGTTGTTGTTGCTGTTGAATTTTTTAGTGACTTTCCCTGACTAATTCTATGAAGTCTGTATTCTTTGTCATGTGTCTTTCAGTCTTTGCTTAGTGTGCTGAGTGGTCAGCTAATGATTAGATAGAGATTTCCTTAAATGCCTTGAACCTATGTCTCCCAGCCTTTGTAGAGTGGCTTTGTATGTGCTGGGACACATCTTCAACACTCTGGCAGTCCAAGTCTGCTTTAGCCTTCACTTTCTGATGGCACAGAACCCCAGAGTCAAATGTAAAACATTACAGCTGCCTCAGGTCTTTCATGGCCACGCACAAAGCCCTGCCCCTGTGTAGCTGTCTAGATTTCTGGAATATATCAGAGCTTTTCAAAGCCTTCTTTGAACATATCATTCCCCAGGATTTCTTTTTTTCATTTTTAAAAATTGTGGTAAAATACACATAACATAAAATTTATCATCTTAACCATTTTTATGTGTACAATTCAGTACTATTAAGTCCAGTAAGTCCTCATTTATCATGGATAGATTCTTGGAAACTGTGACTTTAAGCAACACTACTGGTAATAAAACCAATTTGCCATGGGATGATTGATATAAACAAGAGTTAAGTTCTTGTAACATATTTCTGGTCACAAAAACATCAACAAACGTCTAAATAAAGACCCCAAATATTTCTCATTTTAAACATTGAAATAAATGTGAGCTATACATTTAAGAAAGATTGATAAAAACAAGATAATTTTTTTTGGAGATGGAGTCTTGCTCTGTTGCCCAGGCTGGAGTGCAGCGGTGCGATCTCGGCTCACTGCAACCTCCACCTCCCAAGTTCAAGTGATTCTCCTGCCTCAGCCTCCCAAGTAGCTGGGAGTACAGGTGCGCACCACCATGCCTGGCTATTTTTTGTATTTTTAGTAGAGACAGGGTTTCACCATGTTGGTCAGGCTATCTGCAGCTTTTAACAATTGAGTAACACATACTCCTATGAACAAAATTTGGAGCACATTTGGTTCTCTCTACCCGATTTCTCCAGAATTTGGAAACTGTAAGTATTCTTAACTTATGACAATACAGTTATTTGCATAAGTGCACTAATAATCTGTTTTCATTTGTAACAGGACACAATTGGGGAAACTGGTTGTTTACCAATGCTTTTACTTGACTTACGGAGCCAATTAAACCCCCTTGGAAAAACCGTCCTCATAACTTTGTCTACACAGCTCCTGTACAGGGTTCCTGACCTGTGGTAAGTAAAGAATGTCACTTTCTGACAGGCCCAGGAGCCTCAAGTTTATCTTGGAACCTCAAGAGGAGAGGATCACCAAACTCACAGGTATTTGATGGCACAAATCCATGGCTGGGCTCAGCTTTTAAAAAGTCTTATCTGAAATACCCTCTATGGAACAAAGTTCCATCAAAGCCAATTTAAAAGCCAATGTTAAAAAATAATTATTCTTGCTGCACTGTATACAAATAATTCGGCCAAATATAATAAGGCAAACCTATCATGATTTGTCTTTAGTATAAATGGGAAACTAGAGACTGGAAAACTATAGTCCACCAGTTGTTAGATTCTAGTCTTGCCTAATGTTTTTCAATTTTTATCATTTTCTACAGTTTGGACCAAATTCTAATTTTTGTGGGCTACAAGTCTTCAAAATAATGTTTTCAATTTTTTTCCTTCTTTTTTTCCCCATTTTTCCTAATTTGGAGTCACTTAAAACTAAGCTGTCACTAAACTAAGTCACTTAAAACTAACTTTCGTGAAGCCCTGTGAACTGAAGTAGACAACTTAAACTTCAGAAGAAAATAATGGGAACCTATTTACATACATAAGCCACTTTCATACCTGCTTACTGATGTATGGACTTCAGAGTAATGTGGCCTAGATCAATTTTCCAAGATTGTTCTTATTGTTCTCCCTTCCTCCCCAAATTTTCTCTTGATAGGATATTAGACTTCACAACCTTCTAAAAATGAGCTTTCCTAATAACTCAGGACCTACCCTTCTAGGAAAAAACCATCCTAGCCATGAGAGAGCAGATAAAACCTGGGAACAGAAACTTATTTTCTTCAAAAATGCTTTCTCCAAAATATTTTAAAAAAGAAAAGGGGGGAAATGTGAAAGGAAATTACCTTGGAATCCCATAATCACTAAGCTAATGGGAAAAGTCAAGCTGGGAACTGCTTAGGGCAAACCTGCTTCCCATTCCATTCAGTCATCCCTCTGCTCACTGAGATAAATGCATGTCTGACTGCCTCTTTTAGAAAGGTGAATCAGAAACTCAAAAGAGTGCAACCATTTGTCTCTCACCTACCTGTGACCTGGAAGCCCCTCCCCACTTCGAGTTGTCCCATTTTTTCTTTGAGTTGTCCCACCTTTCCTGACCAATATTCATTTTACATATGTTGATTGATGTCTTATATCTCCCTAAAATGTATAAAACCACCCTGTGCTCTGACTATCTTAGGTACATGTCGTCAGGACCTCCTGAGGCTGTCATAATCGTGTGTCCTTGACCTTCGCAAGATAAATTTTCTAAATTAACTGAGACCTGTCTCCAATTTTTGGGGTTCATACAGGTTAAATTGTAAAAGATCTGTGTCAGAGGAGGAAGTCCATTCAGAGGGTTGGGGGGCCTTATTTTATTTTTGGTTTATAGGATTCTGACCCTTTTTATTATTTCAAGTTGGCAATGAAAAAAACAGCAAAAGTATATAGGACTAAGGATTCTAGGCTGGGTACAGTAATTCACACCTATAATCCCAGCACTTTGGGAGGCCAAGGTGGGAGGATTGCTTAAGCCCAGGAGTTTGAGGCCAACCGGGGCAACATATGAGACCTCGTCTCAAAGAAAAAAAAAATATGTAGAAAACTAGAGAGGATAAATTAAAATTCCAATAAGAAAAATATATTAACCTGGAAACCTACAGGAAATGGGTGATTGCCTAATAAAAATACACATGAACAAAAGGAATCCTAAAATAAGAAACATACAAATAGGCCAGTTAGTATAGAAAAGCTTGGAATGATGCTTAGACATCTCTCACTGGAAAAGACCCCAGGGACATACAGATTCAGAGTTAAGTTTTAACTGAACTTGGTTAAATTTGTTGACCTTCAGCAAATCCTGATTTTATTTAAAATGGTCAAGGCCTAGTTGAGGGAAGGGGAAAGAAGTGATTTTCTTCAATTACTTTTACGGTATAATTTCTGTGAAAGGAAAATAAAACTCAGGACCACAAAATCACTAAACCAAAGGGTAAAGTCAAGCTGGAAACTATGTCAGGCAAACCTGCCTCCCATTCTATTCCTAAATAAGATAGCTGCCAAGATAAGAGGCTACGTACCTCCCTTAAAATTTGCCCACAAGGAAATTCCTTGTGGATAAAGGACAGACAGAACTCAAAGTTATCCCTTTAAGGTGCGCCTGAGACAAATGCATATCTAATTGCTTCCCCTCCCCTATTGTTTACGTAAAAATGATAATTCACTGAGCCAGACTAAATTGTGTATTCAGTGGAAGGCTGATCAAGGACTCAAAAAAATGCGATCTTTTGCCTCTTATCTACTCATGACCTGGAAGCCCTCACCTCAAGTCCCGCTTTACCTGACTAAAGTACATCTTACACATACTGATTGATGTCTCATGTCTCCCTAACATGTATAAAAGCAAGCTGTACCCTGACCACCAAGGGCACATGGTCATCAGGGCCTTCTGAGGCTGTGTCACGGGTGCAACCTTAATCTTGGTGAAATAAACTTTCTAAATTGATGGATGCCGGATGTGGTGGCTCATGCCTGTAATCCCAGCACTTTGGGAAGCTGAGACGGACAGATCAACTGAGGTCAGGAATTCGAGACAAGCCTGGCCAACATGGTGAAACTCTGTCTCTACCAAAGATACGAAAATTAGCTGGTTGTATTGGCACACACCTATAATTCCAGCTGCTCAGGAGGCTGAGGCAAGAGGATCGCTTGCCTGGGAGGCGAAGGTTGCAGTGAGCCGAGATCATGCCACTGCACTCCTCCAGCCTGGGTGACAGAGCAAGATGCCATCTCAAAAAAGAAAAAAAAAAATTGATGGAGAGTTAACTTTTGGTTTACAATGTAAATGTTTATTTAAAAACAGACATTATTTTATGTACCATTACAAATATACTGCTACCCAGCTGCTCGGGAGGCTGAGGCAGGAGAATGCTTGAACTCGGGAGGCGGAGGTTGCAGTGAGCCGAGATCGCACCATTGCTCTCCAGCCTGGGCGACAGAGCGAGACTCCATCTCAAATAAAACAAAAACAAACAAATATACTGCCAACTAAACTGTGATTTTGTCAAAAATAAATGTTGTTGATGACTTTACTTCCATTAAAGCCACTGTAGTAGCCAAGGGAAAGCTTCCTTTTTGTCCTCTGAAGGTTCACTGAAAAGTCAACTGACAAAAGGCACATTAATTGGAGAAAGGGCATACAAATTTATTAACATGCACATGGGGGAGAACCAGAGTGATTTTGCTGAAGCCCCAAATGGGGTTCAGAAACTTATATACCATCTTGAGGTTACAGAATGGGGGTTTGGATTGTGGCATAACAGGTTATGCGGGTGGAGACCTGGCTGACAACCACGGTCTTGTTATGTAAATGAAACCTCCTAAGTAGAACTCCTTAAAGAGAACAGGTGGTACATGTTTCTTTCAGACCTTTGCAAACCAACAGTAAAATTCTAAACCCTCCAACCGACTGATGGACCCTCTGCTTGCCCAAGGGCATTCTGAAGTTAACCTGAAAAACTAGTTCAGGCAATGATGGGAAGTGGGGGTTGGCCATGCCTCATTATACACTCCTCCCTTGGAATTCAGGTACAGCAAGCCAGCACTAACATTAAAACAGAGACCTTAAGACTGACAGAAAAGACTCTTCTGCAGAGGCTTCTTCATTACTCTCAGGCACACAGGATTCTTGGTTTCCGCTGTAGGGTCCTCACTTTACCTGTTCAACCTTCATTTGTCTTTCACTGCCTACTCTTGGTTAGCACTCGGCCAGCGCACAGGTTTCCCACACCCTGAGGTGGACACCAGCAGGGAAGGTTTGCGGGAGGGCTCTGCCTCCCTGGCGGCCACCCGCAGGCCCACAGCAAGACATGTGCAGAGGTGAGCGGAGCGCCGTCACCAGCTGCCACTCTCCCAAAGACCAGAACCATCCCAGAGCACCCGGAGGCACCAGGAAAGCGGCTCGGAGGCAGAGGCGCCAGGGGCGGGGCTGATGCCGAGAGGTTTCCTCTGCCCCGTTCCCTCGCATTGGTCCTGCAACCGCTCCCGTCAGACGCGTTTCCGCCTCCTGTCCTCCGGAAAGGTGCCCGCCTCTTGCCTTCCGGCCCGGCGCCCGATTTCCGCCTTCCGACCCAGCTGTGGGCTGCGCCCCACGCCAGCCCGCGCCCCGCATGGCTGCCGCCGGGGCCAGGCCTGTGGAGCTGGGCTTCGCCGAGTCGGCGCCGGCGTGGCGACTGCGCAGCGAGCAGTTCCCCAGCAAGGTGGGCGGGCGGCCGGCATGGCTGGGCGCGGCCGGGCTGCCGGGGCCCCAGGCCCTGGCCTGCGAGCTGTGCGGCCGCCCGCTCTCCTTCCTGCTGCAGGTGTATGCGCCGCTGCCTGGCCGCCCGGACGCCTTCCACCGCTGCATCTTCCTCTTCTGCTGCCGCGAGCAGCCGTGCTGTGCCGGCCTGCGAGGTGAGCCGCCAAACGGGGTCGGGACGGGGCCATGCCTCCGACGCGTGCGCGGCGTTAATTCCGGGAGCGACCAGGGGGACGGCGGCAAGCACCGCTGCCGCCCCAGCCTCAGAGCTCCCTCTCCGCGCTGCCCCAGGAGCACCTTCTCCCGGGCCCTTCCAGGATGTGCTCATTTTTGCTACATAAGCTTCTAACTGTGCCCACGCGCATTGGTAACCCCCAGCTTTTAATCAGTGGGTACCAGGTATGGTGTTAATTCAGATAATAGAAATTGTCTTGGAAAGATGGATCCCAGTAGCTTTTTCGTATTTTTGGCAGTCGTTCTTAACGATCAGTCTTATTAATTTGATTAACTCAAACCACCTCTAGGAGGCAACTCAGTTGCGTGTACCGGACGAAATCTAGTTTCTGGATTTTAAAAGCTTATTCCTGAAAGCAAAAACTTTCATTTCTTTTTTGTTGTTGTTATTTTCAGTTTTACGTGCAGAGGATAAAATATGTGAATTGCTGTTTTGTTTGAAGATAAAACTTTTCTCTGTATTCTTTTTTAGTTTTTAGGAATCAACTACCCAGGAAAAACGATTTTTACTCATATGAGCCACCTTCTGAGAATCCTCCCCCAGAAACAGGAGAATCAGTGTGTCTCCAGCTTAAGTCTGGTGCTCATCTCTGCAGGGTTTGTGGCTGTTTAGGCCCCAAAACGTGCTCCAGATGCCACAAAGCATATTACTGCAGCAAGGAGCATCAGACCCTAGACTGGAGATTGGGACATAAGCAGGCTTGTGCACAACCAGGTGGGTAATCTTTTTTTTAAGTCTCAGTTCAGTTTCATCGCCTTTGTCAACCCAGATATTTCCAGGACAACTTTAAAGGTAAAATTAGGAAAGGTATAGTACTTTAAAATTTTTCATGCCTGGAACACCTTTGTAAAAAAAAAAAAAAGGCTGTGAAGTCTGAATCACTGAATAATGTCACCATATAGGCATTTAATTTATGACCCTTTATCTAAAATGCCAGAACTATAGGGAATATAGTACTTTAGAGACAGCAAATTATTAGACTGTCTTCAAAACTAAATGATTACTAATAGTGCTGTCCTTTTTGTTTCAGATCATCTGGACCATATAATTCCAGACCACAACTTCCTTTTTCCAGAATTTGAAATTGTAATAGAAACAGAAGATGAGATTATGCCTGAGGTTGTGGAAAAGGAAGATTACTCAGAGATTATAGGGAGCATGGGTAAGCAGTTTCAGGACTTCATTCATTAAGTGGTTAAACATAATACTTGGAAGAAAGGGCTCCATGTGCCTAGAAGAGAGGTACTGAGAGGAAGACTCACTTTGGAGGCTGTAGCATACAATTTTCAGATATTGCCTCAGGTAAAAATATACTTCCTGGACTTTGTTTTCTGACACATAAGAGGTGTGTTCTGCTCCCTGTAAAGACAAGGGTGGGTATCCAGATGGTCCCATGAGTAGGGCTGCACAAGATGCTGGAGGCTTGGTAAGTTCCTCTGGGTCGCAGATCGGTTTCTCGGGTCGGGATAGTGTGAGTGCCTAGCACAGTGTCGGGCACGCAGAAGGGCCCCTTAAAAGTTTCTCTTTCATCTGGCCAGTTTTAGATACACAATTTTGTCAGTTTACTTACAGTGCATACTCTTGGGTAGTACTTGTGCTGACCAAGTATCTTAGAGGCTTATTTTATTATAGTAGCCAACATTTATCCAGCACTTACCTTATATAAAGGGCTGTTTGTGCATGAGCTCATTAAAATCGTGACAGCAGACCAATGAGTGAGAAACTGCCCCATTTTGAAGGTGAGGAAATTGAGGTTCTGGGTATAACTTTCTTTGGTCACATAATATTAAATTTTACAATTTGAGCCTTGAGCCATACACAAAACCACCACAAAATTAGATTTATAGACTCAAAATGAAAACATCAGCTTACTGGTTTGTAGTTCATACCAGTCATACATTCCAAAACATGTTTTGAGTCTTACTCTGTGCCTGACCTTGTGCTTGATAACAGGGATATAATGGGAAGCAACACTCCAGTGGTCAGATGCTCACAGTCTTATGGAGGAGCCCAAATAATATCTGGGGAAGTTAAAGTCCATATAATGACTGATAAGAGTACAATACAGGTGCCATGGGAACACGTGACATCACTGAAGACTGCCTGGAAGGGGCCGCGCGTGTGTTCATGCCTATACGATAAACATGATACATAATGAAAATGCTTATCTTTAGGAGAAAGGAGAGCCTAGAGTAGCAGGATCAAGGATGAAAGCTGGACTTCAAATATGCCTTGTTAGTGTAAATGTGACTGTGGAACTGTATGAGTATTTTAAGATTATGGAGTAAAGTAAGTTTTAAAAAGCAGTCCCTAATCATCAAAAGTAAAAAACTCTTGATGTAGTCATATAACCACACTAAGAACTCTTCCAGGTGACTTCAAAACATAGGACAGTACATCTCTAGTAGAATATGCCCTGAGAATGAAAAGAATGTAACAGTGTTAGTATTTTGAATAAACATGTTATTACTAGACTGTTGCTTTTATTTTGAGATGGTTGTGTGTGTATTGGGGGGAAAGGAAACGAGTAATTATGTTGGTGTTACTGAGAACTGAGATGTTGGGCGTAGGAGGAAGATAATGTTGATTGTGTCTACGTACCATTTCTCTCTAAAAGGAACTCCAGGCTCTTTGGAGAGGTGGTTGATTCCAGAACTAGGTCAGGAAACGTTCATATAATGTGGGAACATGGTCATATCAAAGATTAAGGATAAGGATTACTAGGGCCATGTCAGAACTCAAGCAACATGAAAAGGCTCCTGCTTGCAAAAGATGGACAGTTTGAACATCCACAAGGACGCTAACTGCATCAGATATGTTTAATGGGTTCAAAATGATACTTTAAAAAAACTCAGTAATCATCTTTATAGGATACTTGGGAACAGACTCATTTTCAAATTGGTAAATAAAAGGAAAGAGTTTGCCTTCGAGGGGTACATAACTTAATTATGAATGAAGTGATATGTGTGGAATTTACTTCAGAGTAATGGAGGTGGAAGTGGCAGAGAAAGGAAACACTGGACTTGATAGTGTTGAAACTGATTAATGATATGTGGCGGTTCATTATAGTATTTCCACTTTTCTGTATGTCCAAAATTTTCTAAAATAAAAGGAGAATTGAATAGAAAAATGCTTCCTGGAGGTAGCTGTGTCTTACCTGAGACTTGGCAGGAGGCAGTAGGGCCTGAGGGAACAGCATTTACAGTGTCCTAACGGTTATACTGAAACTTTCCACGTATACTTGATGGAACATCAATCTGAAGGCATCCTACACTTCCTCCATCAGACCTGATGGTGCAAGTGAACACCATCAGTGCCTTTCCAGTTTCATCAAAGCAGTTATTTTAGCTTCTCTGACCCAAGGTATATCAGTTCTATTTTAACGTACATTACAAAGACTAATGGTTATACTTAGAGACACGGGTCTGTTGGGGACAGCAGTGGCTTAGGGTGGCTGTAATCCCAGGAAGGAATGTGGAGAAGGAAATGAACATTTTTTTTTTTGAGACGGAGTCTCACTCTGTCGCCCAGGCTGGAGTGCAATGTCACCATCTCGGTTCACTGCAGCCTCTGCCTCCCAGGTTCAAGTGACTCTCCTGCCTCAGCCTCCCGAGTAGCTGGGATTACAGGCACCTACCACCACGTCTGGCTAATTTTTATATTTTTAGTAGATACGGGATTTCACCATGTTGGCCAGGCTGGTCTTGAACTCCTGACCTCAGGTGATCTGCCCGCCTCGGCCTCCCAAAGTACTGGGATTACAGGCGTGAGCCACTGCTCCAGGCCAGAAATGAACACTTGATGACTGAGTGAGTGAGCCTACCAGCTGAGGATACTAATGATAAGGGCTCACATTTGTTGGGTGTCCTGTGATGTGCTGGGCAGTCCTAAGCCCTTGACCATTCTGTTATTTTGAAGCTTTAAGGAGATGCACTAAATGGAAGTCCATATAATAGAGTTGGATGGAGTACCTGGAAATTCAGATGGTCCAACTTGAATGAGTGAATAAATAGGGAAAGCTATCTGATTAAAAGTGGGTCCCCTCTCCATGTGTGAATTGTCAAGTTGTGGGGATTACTCCTGTTTTTCATAATAGTTACGTTGATTTTTCAGGTGAAGCACTTGAGGAAGAACTGGATTCCATGGCAAAACATGAATCCAGGGAAGATAAAATTTTTCAGAAGTTTAAAACTCAGATAGCCCTTGAACCAGAACAGGTAAAGTGGAGCTCATAGCTCCTCATCGTGTTCTCTTCAGGCCATGTTTTATGAGTATAATCTGTAAGAAATAACTTCATAGTAACATTAGTCTGTTCCTTAGGAGCCTATAAAAGCAGGCTTTTGTTATCTTGTTAGAGGAGTTCCTCACACAGATGGGCCATGTAGAAAGGTGTTTTGCAGTGCTGATCCATTTAATAGTTACTAAAAGACTAAAGGTTATACTGTTTATCATACAGGGTTCATTTTCTAAAGCAAGCATCAGGGATGGGAGATGAATGAGATGTTGCCTAAGGTACATGAGGTTTAGGCACCATTGGCCCCCCCGCCAGAAAGAAAAAAGGTTATTTTTGCCCATTTCCAACAGGTAACTTTGGCTTGTAAAATGTGACATGTTAACATTTTTCTCCTTAACCTCCCCTACCATAAACGTAAATCACGAAAGAAAACTAAACTCCCATAAACCAGTCACTGGTTCAAATAAATACACAGGAAGAATAGATCTAGGTCTTAAACACTAAGGCAGTTTTTAGCAATGCATATGCTTTTAGACAAAATACAGAAAACCACTCAGTTGCTGTAGGAAGCTTATTACAGTGAAATTTACTTATGTTTGTAGTAGTTTTCAAAACACTATGTTTCACTTGGTATTTGTCCCTCCTAAAATTTTTTAACTATGAAGGTAGGCACAGACTCTGGGCAGAATTCTGCAATTAGAGCAGAGGCTCATTCTTAGTCCCTTCACAATATATTCATAGGATTAAGTTGCCAACATTAGGTAGTAAAAGCATCATCTGGGAGATATATTTTGATGCCCTCTGAGTCAGATAAACTGAAATAATCACTTTGAGGTGATTGAGAAGGCATTAGTGGCACACTGGTACAGCCAGGTCTGATGGGGGAACTGTGACATGCCTTTTGGGTCAGTGCTACATCAAGAGTAGGAACATTCATGGAGTAGATAGCATGTTACCATTGGCAACTTATAGGTAAGGTATTGATTATTTGAACATGATCTTCATTGATTTTAGATTCTTAGATATGGCAGAGGTATTGCCCCCATCTGGATTTCTGGTGAAAATATTCCTCAAGAAAAGGATATTCCAGATTGCCCCTGTGGTGCCAAGAGAATATTGGAATTCCAGGTATGACCTTAAATAAGGACCATTTAGTGTGTAATCACCATGATTGTTTTTAAACATTAAAAACTTCACCAAGGTAATTTGTGCACATGGGTCAACATGGCAGTATGGAAGGGTACCCTATAATGAAAATCATCAGTTTCCTGCCTCACCTTGGGGCTAGTTCCCTGGAAGGAACTGTCTTGTTTTTTTCTGTTTCCTAGTTTTCAGACACGGTCTATTGACTGACTTCTGTGACAATGAGGATATCTACACTGCTCTCCACCTCCAGTGTGGTTATGTCATTATTATTAGTGCCTCTGTTAACTTTTGTTATTTTAAATAATGTATACCTTCCTTTCTTGTTCTAGTAATTAAAGTCTTTGACTATATACTTTATGAGAGGAGTCTTTACTGTTTAATCTTGGTTTGTGGATTTGTTAGAAAAAATGGATATAAGCATTAAAGATAAATGTCCTTCCCTGCCCAAAAGGATTTGTTAGCATCAAAATCCATTTGGGTAGGGTGGAAATGCTCTTGAGCTATGGATTCACTAACCTTACCAAAGTCATAGCTAATATTGGTTTGTTTCTTTGGGTAAAAAAGGAATTATGAGGACCATACACAAAACTCTGCTTGGTTCTTAGTGCCAAAGCTCTCAATGTCCAAATTGAGGTGACAGGATTTGTATAAAGTGATTCCATATCAGGTGGCTATTCTGCCTATTCACTCTTTGAGTTAGACTACTTCTAAGATTCCTCTCTGGTCTCTATAACTACATTGATAGATGTCCTTTCTGTATTCATTACTAGTAATTAGTGTTTCTTGAGTCAAGAGTAACAACATCTGCAATGATACAAAGTAAAAGTTGCCCAAATAGAAGCCTCAGCCCTTTTGAGTGGCATATTAGTAATGAAAATAATTCATTAACAGCCACTTGTGAACTTCTTTCTCAAATGGAAAAGACCAAACAGAAGGTGAGAGGGGCTTTGAAGTCATAAGGAAGTTTTAGATTGTTAAACATGTTAATTGTATAATGTCTATAATCCTGCTTTGTAGTATGAGGATTGAAAGACCAAGATCCCTATAATCATCCTGGCTGAGAAGGTCTCGTGCTCCCTGCTGTGAAGCAGCTTTCTAACTGTGTGTCACCCTCTTCTCAGGTCATGCCTCAGCTCCTAAACTACCTGAAGGCTGACAGACTGGGCAAGAGCATTGACTGGGGCATCCTGGCTGTCTTCACCTGTGCTGAGAGCTGCAGCTTGGGTACTGGCTATACAGAAGAATTTGTGTGGAAGCAGGATGTAACAGATACACCGTAAAGGCATCTTAAAGCCTTGAAAAATGTTAATAATCTTTTATACCTTGCAATTCCATTTCTGGGATTTTATCCTAAGGAAATACTTATACCAAAAATAGAGGTGCAGAGATGTTGACAGATTGCTTACACAGTGTCTACTTATTAGTGAAACAAAAGTGTCCAGTGACAGGGAATTAAATAAATTTTGGTACATCCACAGAGGAAGGCTACACAGTCTTAATTATAACACCTATATTGACAACAGACATACCATTATAGGTGGTATTCATGGTATGATCCTATTCTTGTAAAAATATTTGTATGTATGCACAGAAATCTGCAAAGATGTACACTTAGTGAACTGGTTACCAACGAATGGTGGGACTAACTAAAATGGTCTTTTTACTTATATGTGCATTTCTTTTTATAATAAAAATGGGTTATATGCCTAATGAAGTCAAACCATCTCACTCTGAGCATTTCCCACCCTAGGTTTTTAAAACACAAAAATACTTAGGTAAAACTCCCAACAAACTTGTCTGATCATTAGCTGATTATCACAGGCTCTAGTATGTACTGGAAGCCCAGAATATTTGAGAAATACCAAACCTCAGGTTGGTGAGTATGATGAACAGGAAACCCAGTAATTCTGAAGCAGCAGTATCACAGTTGGCAGGATGAGGAACAACAGTGGCTTTGTGATCACAGAACTGGAATTTAAAGAGGCTGGACCTTCAGAACTGATCTTGGTCAGCCAGCGGCCCTGCTTACAGATGAGACACTGAAAGGCAAAAGGCGATGGTCTTCCCTTTCCGTGTCAGCATTGTATACAGGTTCCCTATCGCACATACAAGGGTTATGGAATGTAAGCCAAAATAAGGGTCTGGCCTAGGAGGCAGCAGCCTGAGGAAAGGAAGGCCCTGAAGTCAGTTTTCAAAGGGCTGACCCTTGGCCTATTATGTTTCTGATACATCTGTTTAAGCAAGCGGCTCCTAAGACTACACTAAGGTTTCTTCCATCCCCTAGCAGCTCACAGTTGACAATTCCCAGTTCTCTCAGCACCAGTGATGCCTGCCCTTAAGACACATTGCTGTTGATCAGTGCTTGAATACTGACGGCTAATTCTGATAAATTTCTCAGGCTTATTTCCTTAATCTACATTGGCTCACATTGTCCCCTAACACATCCCTGTTAACTGAAATGCATTGCCACCATAAATCCTCACGTTTTCATAGGTAACATCACTTGCTAATGTAATTGTCTACTTGGCTATTTTATTTGTAATTTAAAAAGTTCTGTCCTAGTAGTCCATATTATATAAGTATACATATGCAATTTGTATTAATTGTATAAGATAGTTATACATAGCACCATATGGGAAACTGCAGTATGGAGTTTCTCCCATGGGGAGGTTATCAGCTACTTAAGAGCTAGAGGATACTAGTTTCGAACCTGGGATGGCTAAATCTATGAAAATCACCTATAACTATGGTGTCACAGCCCTGTGGCTACTGGAGTAAGTTGTCATCAACTAGTGACAAGAGCTGGTCGCAACACTTAGTAGGAAGCACAGTGGCATAAGGAAACCTGGACTAGTGGGGCCTTTATATCTAAAATTATGTATTATTCCTTATAGGCAGAATCTGTAAGTACGTTATGACTGCTAATGACTTTTAAAGCAAACATGTTAACGATCTTTCTATGGTAAAAACTGTTATTTGGGGACATCACCAGATGATGTGGACATTCTTGCAGGTATTTTGGCATACCCAGGCAAGCTGTCATTGGTGTATATTCCAGTTAACCTCTGGAGATGATCGTAACAGTTTACAGGGCCTTTCCATTTGGGATGGATATATCAAGAGGGAGACAAACTGGTCCAAATCACCAGAAAGAAAATCTCACAGCACCGACTTGGCATCTGTGTTAAAAAATAGCAACTATATTTAAAATAAACTGTACAACATAAAAAATTTAAATTAAAAAATGCATTAAGCAAGTTGCCTTTAGAAATGTGAAGACATTTTAAAACACTACAAGATAATGAGCAAGTCTCACCTACATAATCATGGCTCCACAGACGGTGCCAGTCCATGCATCCACCATTTCTCAACACCTACAAAGTTTTAAGATCTGCTTGGTTCAGATACTGTCCAGCCACAGCAGCTCCCTCTGCTGTAGAGAGCAGCATATTCAGCTTTGCCTTTTTATTTCAGATACTGAATATCCTTTGGCAATTTCAGATATCACAGCAAAAAAAAAAAAAGTTCCAAGTGTTTTTGGCAATCATATTGGTGATAGTGTTTTTGTTACTCTTAAGAATGTTATGGTGGAGGTGGGAGGATGGCTTGAGCCTAAGAGTTCAAGAACAGCCTGGGCAACAGTTGAGTGACTTTGTCTCTACAAAAATTAAAAAAAATTAGCTGGGTGTGTTGGTGTGCACCCGTAGTCCTGGCTAGCTACTCCAGAGGCTGAGGTGGATCACTTGAGCCCAGGAGTTTGAGACTGCAGCAAACCATGATTGTGCCACTGCACTCCAGCCTGGGCAACAGAGACCGTGTCTCAAAAAAAATTGCACATATAACAGATAAAGTAATGATAAAGTAAATACGTAAAGTAAATGAGTAATTATGGGACATTCTAATTCCTCATCCCCTATGTCTTTAAGAATTAAAAATTCTCAGTGTAGAAGGAAGAGTGTAATACAGAATTGGTTAAATAAAAACCCTATAAGCTTTGAATTTGAATTGGATATACAATTGGTAAAATAACCCTATGAGCTTTGAATTGGACATATTAATATGAACTCATTTTATCTTGAAAACTTAAAAGGGGAAAGTATTCTGCTATATGGAGCACAACACTTTATAAAAGTATTCAAATTAATAAATGAAAAAGAAATGAAATGACTAAAATGTCATTTTGCAACCCACTAATGAATTAATAGATCTAGGAATTACACAGCAGCTTCCAATTTGCAGGAAATACAGAGAATAGGGAAACTACACCATGAATTTCCAACTAGCAAACCCCAGACTATGAGAAGCTCTACACACTAAATGGCCTGTAAATTGGAAAGAAAAGAGATGGACGAGGAACTTCAATTATCTTTAAATGCGTGAGAGTCAGGATAATAGTCACTGCTTGAGGGAAGCCAGAAGTGTGTGTCTGGATAGGACCATAAGGAGGGGCTTCTAGGACAGGCAGCAAAATTGTTTCTTGACCTTGTTGGTGGCTGCAAGGGTGTCTGCCTTTGTATAATACATTATGCTACACATTTGTTAGATTTCCTGTATATGTAGCTACAACTCTAAGAGATGTTTTTTTTAAGTTATATACATTAAAGTCCTAGGCACTGATAGGAAAAATAAATGTTGGAAAGGAAAACATAAAATTACTATTTACAGATGATTACATGCCTAGAACTTTCAATGCAATCAACTAAATCAGCAGTAATAGGAGTTCAGTAAACTCGGAATAAGAAAAATATTATCAACAATAACTTTTAAAGTGTTAGGAAAAACTTCCAGTAATAAAACAGAAATGATACTATACTTAGGAATTAAGGAAGTAATACTTATGAAATATAAAAGCCCTGTGTGAAAAAAAGTACAAAACTTTACTGAGGAACATAAGACCTACATACATGAAGAGATACTTCTTTCTTAGATAGGAGATAATATTGGAATGATGTCTTTCCAATTAATCCATACATTATTGGCATCACTAATGATTGGAAAATGCAAGAAAAGGGCATTTCATGCACCGTTCTCTTTGGACTGCAATCTGGTATCAACTGATTAAAACTCAGAATGTATAGTCTTTAGTTCCTCTTCTAGGAAAGTTTACTACATGAATACCTGCACTCATCCGAAAAATACACATACAAGGATGTTCCCTGCAGCGCTGTTGATGATATTGAAAAACTAGAGGTCATGTAAATGACCATAATTACAGGAATAGCTCAGTAAGTGAAGGTACCTAAGAAGAGTATCCTAGATTCCCAATCATGGAAATAGGTTTATGATATATTGACTGAAAAAAGGGAAAGCTATAAAATTGAATGTATTATTTCTTTTTTCCAAAAATGGGATCAAATGCCATGCCCAGAAGATAGACAGAACAGGGCTTAGAAGATACCCACTAATCTGGTCGTTATCTTGGGGAAAGAGGCAGAAGAGAAAGGAAGGAAGGACCTCCCCTTTCTGATTTTATTCCTGAGTCAGCTGAAGATGTACTTTTACAATTAAAAACAACAAACCACTCTAACAATAAAACCTAAGAACCCACAAATGTCCACCTGATAGTCCATGAGAAAAAAACTGCAAAACAAGCAAAAAAAAGTTACTGCAGAGAGTTGGCAGCCTGTGGATAGGGCACCAGCTTCTACACCTGAAGGACTCACTCATTTTTACCACTTACTAGCTGTGTAACCTCAGCCAAGTCCCTCAGCTGGGGCTTCCTTATCTCCTCACCTCCAACAGAGGAACAAAACGTAACTGAAGCTTTGTGAGGATTCCAGGCATTGTATGCAAAATACCTAGAAAACAGGAGTTGCTCAATATATGGAAGGTTCTCAGATCATTAATCTGTTTTCATTGCAGCATACAATGAAATACTGACTGAAGCAAACACCAAAATGGTTTCAGGCATTATATCTAAAATACAACTTTGTAGAAAACAGTATGATCACATGACTCTTACAAGGTATAACAACAATCTAACACTTTTATAAACTGCATTTATTGTACAGAGTACTCTGAAGAAAGAAAAAAATATGTACAGCCATTCATTTTCATTAACACATATATTCTGTCCTGCAATACTGGAGAGGTGGAATGTGTCTGGCACAGAAATAACCCCTAGGAGTTATAAATTAGAAAAACAACACTTTTAAAAAAGATTTTTACTTTTCTGGTAGAAATATAAAAACTGTGGTTCATGGGGAAAAACATTAAAATTAAAAAGTCCAATCAATTATAGAGGTGGCTTTAACACTTAAAGTTTTCTCCCTCAAACCAACTTGTCAACAGCAGTGTTTAAAATCTACATATAAATAAATGGGCAGCGCTGCCCAGATAGCAGCACGGTATGAGCAACTCACAGTCACGCTGCGCGGTGTTCTCAGTGCACAAATAATGCCCCTTCCCGGCATCCCGCGGTGGGCACTTACAGAAGGGCATCACCTGGTGCCACACCCTGCAACTCAACATCCATCTTCTCACAACACCACCATTTAAAGGTACCAAAACAAACTGATTTGTTTAAAAAAAAAAAAAGAAGGGGGTGGGGGAGGCAAGGGTACATGAGAGCCATTACGTCGTCTTCCTGAATCCCTTTAGAATAGGGTAGATGTTTTCAAATGCTTCATAAATTTCTGCTCTGACTTTAGCACCTAAGAAGACAAGTTGGAGTAGAGATGAGAGACTGAAATGGCACTTCTTAACATATTAAGATGGTAAAATTCTTACCTTAAAGCTGCAAGCACAATTCTCACCATACCCAGTCAGATTAAGGCACAGGCATGAAAACATTAATAGTGGAATCCCTTGTCACAATCTTATTTTTGTTTATAAAACAATACTTTTAAAAAATCATCTTAGTGACTCCAGCGTCTCATTCTATAGCTCAAGAGGCATGTATTCACACTTCTCTCCTTGGTCCTGAACCAGGCCATAAACCAAGCAGGACGGCAATGATAACAACTGAATCTTCTTCTCTGAATTGCTGCCTTCAACTAGACTCATTTCTGAATCTTCCTTTCTTGTCTCATAATCATATTGCTGAGGAATCCTAAAGCTTCAGATAACTAATTCCAAGTGAAAACGCCATCTTTTGTTCAATGCAATGCTCACCTCCTCACTGTAAATGGAAGTCTGCTTGCAGAGCTGTGGTCAGACTTCCCTGCTCTCACTGTGCCTTTAGTGGGCACGTTTCTCATCAGACTTTGGGTGGGAGGCCTTTGTACAAGAAGCTAGCCCACTGTCCGAACACTGAAATTTCTTTTCAGCACTGAGAAAATGCCATACTCAAAACACTTACAAACTTTCAGATACTACTTCCTGTTACAACTTACCTGTTAATACAACTTTTCCAGAAACAAAAATAAGGAGAACAATTCTGGGTTTGATCATTCTGTAGATTAAACCAGGAAATAACTCTGGCTCATAACTAGAAGGAAAATTGCAAAAAGTTTAGAAATCAAGAGCTTTGTGTGCTTTTAGATAAAATGAGGACCTGTACAAGGAAAAATACTGAATAAACAAACTAGTCAAGAGGTAAAACACAGTTCTTCAAGCAGCATCAAAGGATAGAATAGAATAATTAAAGCAAGTGAGGCCGACTTGTAGTCGTCAGTTGATAACCACTGGATGGAAGGCTATTTGTCCTCCTATCACTTTACCCTATTTCTATTGAATCTGGATTTTCTGATTTAAGAAAAAGAGCCCTGTAGTTATGTCTGCAGTCTCTATATCATTAGATATAATGATATCTAATGCAGATAATAATCCTTTACTTTTACAGTCCTAATAATTACTATTACAGTCCTAATAATCATTTACTTCTAAGATCCAATACTGACAGTTTAACTTTTAATCATATCTTACCTCCTTAAATTGAAATATTCTCTAGCTGACAATTGTGGTCAGGAAATTTAATCAAACTTATATACTAGCCTGAGAATTAACCTATACCTGATTAAGCTGTCTGACTGAATGGACTATTGGTATATATTCTTTTTTTTTTTGAGACGGAGTCTTGCTGTGTCGCCCAGGCTGGAGTACAGTGGCACGATCTTGGCTCACTGCAACCTCCATCTCCTGGGTTCGAATGATTGTCCTGCCTCAGCCTCCCATGTAACTGGGATTACAGGCATGCACCACCATGTCCAGCTAATTTTTGTATTTTTAGTAAAGACGAGGTTTCACCATGTTGGCCAGGCTGGTCTTGAACTCCTGAACTCAACTGATCTGCCTGCCTCGGCCTCCCAAAATGCTGGGATTACAGGTGTGAGCCACCAGGCCAGGCCTGGTACATATTCTTCTAAGCCTAGTAATCTCATTTTTCTCAGTTCGGAGAGACTGAAAACAGGATGCCTCTGTTTCTGTGTGTCTGACCTAAGACAAAATTCAGGACAGGCTTCTCTGAGGAAGAGTGGAATGGGTAGACATATGGAACTCAAGTGGGAGCTTCCTAGGTGAAAAGGGAAATGAGCATACTAGGCATAAAAGTGGCAAGTGCAAAGGCCTAGGGCAGGAGGAACCAAGTGAGCCCCAGGGGCACACAGAACTAATGTGCCTGTGAACAGACACCAGAAGACCATGAGATGAAGCAGTGAGGTGGGCAGGGCTGCCTGCCTGTGAGTCTTCACCTGCAAGTAGCAGGGAAGATAATTAGAAAGTTGTTCCTATCGCTCAACTTCACACTTTGCTGGTAGATCTGACACAATGTTGACTAAAAGAGAAGATCCAAACTGGGAAAAAAAATTGATACAAGGTTAGGGTCAATTCATGCATTCCAAGTGTATTCAGCAATAAAACGATAAAACATACAGAAGTAGAATCAAATTCATTCCAGTAAAGGGGAGTTATGGGTACCGCAAAGTGATAAGGGAAGCAGAGGCTGGTGAGGGTGATAAATATGACTGAGAACATCAGGAAGACAATGCAAGAATACATACAACTATAACCATGTCAACTGTTCTCATATACTGAATATTTTGCATGTGTTTTATTCTGAACAATGTTTAGATTATAAATGAACTGTTGCCAATAACAATCATAATACATTTCAGACTTACCTACTAAATTGTTGGTGGGTGAGCACAAGGCCTTCTAACCTTATAGGAAACTTCACATCACAGCTCCCCACCATATTCTGAATCTTGAAGTCCAAGAACTTAGCTGGAAAACCCAACTTCTGTACAACTCTAGCATATTTTCTTGCTGCCAGTCTGGACTGTTCTTCACTAGGGAAAGGAAAAAAGTGAGTTATTCATACTCAGAGCCAGCTAAAATACTTATTTAGACTAATAACTTATAAAAAGTCCAAAACAGTAAACTAATAAAGTGTAAACTGGTCAGCCTTCTTGCAATAGGAGAAAAGACTGACAGGCATTCACAATTCCTTATAAAGTATTCCTGGATCCTTGACAGAAAACTGTAGGCCTGCCAAAATGACCTTTCAATCCGCCAAATTATTGTAGCCCTAGATTTTATGGATGTGAATTATCACCATCATCAGTCATCACTATTTCTGTATTTTAGCCCATGCATTTCTACTGAGAGGAAAACTAACAAACTTCATTTTGATCAGAAAATGTTGATGAGATTTATTATTGAACAATGTATTCACTAATTCTATCCTCTTTTATACCAAGACTCATCATGAATAGACATTCCTATGTCATTTGTTGAATAAACTACGACTTAGCAGTTCAGAGCTTACATAAGAAAAGCAGAATGTGGGCCAGGCATGGTGGCTCACGCCTCTAATCCCAAGCACTTTGGGAGGCCAAGGCGGATAGCTCACCTGAGGTCAAGAGTTCGAGACCAGCTTGGTCAACATGGTGAAACCCTATCTCTACTAAAAATACAAAAATTAGCTGGGCATGGTGCCAGGCACCTGCAATCCCAGCTACTTGGGAGGCTGAGGCAGGAGAATCACTTGAACCTGGGAGGTGGAGGTTGCAGTGAGCCAAGATTGTGCCACTGCACTCCAGCCTAGGTGACTCCACCAAAAAAAAAAAAAAAAAAAAAAAAAAAGAAAAGGAAAGAAAGAAAGAAGAGAAAAAAAGAAAAAATAAAAGAGAAAAAGGCAGGCAGGCAGGTCGGGCACGGTGGCTCACACCTGTAATCCCAACACTTTGGGAGGCTGAGGCAGGCGGATCATGAGGTCAGGAGATTGAGACCATCCTGGCTAACACAGTGAAACCCCATCTCTACTAAAAATACAAAAATTAGCCAGGCATGGTGGTGGGCACCTGTAGTCTCTGCTACTCGGGAGGCTGAGGCAAGAGAATGGCGTGAACCCAGGAGGCGGAGCTTGCAGTGAGCCGAGATCATGCCACTGCACTCCAGCCTGGGCGCAGAGCGAGACTCCATCTCAAAAACAACAACAACAACAAAAAAGAATGTGAAAATATTACCATAAAGAGACTATCAGGTGCAGGGGATCAGGAAGAACAAAAATCAAGCATATATATATATGCTACGCTTTTAAATTTCAGGTAAATGTATTGGTGGTTTCTTGTCTTGATGAAATAGTCATCCAACTACATATACAATATTCAGTTTTCAGATGCTCTGGGACAAAAAGGCTAAATGCTGCATGAAAAGCTTGCCTTGATAAACCAAAAGTTTCTGATGTTCCATGCAGGGGAAAACAAGCAAACAAAAACGCTCTTAATTAAAGAGGTTACTACTGCATGTTGTGGCCAAGGGGAAGTGAAAGGCAAGAACACATCCTTGTCCTGCATTCTGAAAAACCTCGGAGATCAGGAGCCAGAATGTCCACACCAATGGCATTCCCATCACTGAAAGACAATTTCAAACTTCAGAATAAGCAAAAATATCCACAGCCCCCTTCTATGTGTTGATACCTCCAAGTACATTTAATACTCTTTCATTTAAAAAGTTTTAGTTTATTTGTTCAGTTCATTTATGAAGCTAATGTCACTAATTTTCCCCCTAGTTTTTGACTTCTACCAAGTATATAAGCTCTGTTTAGAACAGTCAGGGCCGCAGAGTACTAACCTTCAGACAGGATCACTTCAGATGGAGAATATAGGCAATGACATTTTATAACAAGGGTGCATTCCTTAAGATCTGCACAACTCAAACACTATTAATGAAAGCTAGTTCCAGTGAGAAGGCAGGTTTCTGCAGCCAACACATGTGATGCTGTCACGCTGCCAGGCCCAATAAGGTCTGCAAAGCCCTTACACCATTAGCTTAGAAGTGTTTTAATTCTTGATCAATTTTTTCTTCCATTTCAAGATGTATTTGTGTTATTTACAACATTTTTCACATAAAGGGAATTTTATTAATAGTTCTGATGTTGTATTACATCTTACCTAATTTTTTTCTTTTTTCTGGAGAAAGTGTCTTGTTCTGTCTCCCATGCTGGAGTACAGTAGCATGATCTCAGCTCACTGCAACCTCCACCTCCCGGATTTAAGCGATTCTCGTGCTTCAGCCTCCCAAGTAGCTGGGACTACAGACATCCACTACCACGCCTGGCTAATTTTTGTATTTTTAGTAGAGATGGAGTTTCACCATGTTGGTCAGGCTGGTCTCGAACTCCTGGCCTCAAGTGATTTGCCCGCCTTGGTGAGACACCACGCCTGCCCATATCTAATTTTTAAGAAAATGAAATCACTGCTATCTAACATTAATAGAATCAAATAATAAATAAATAAATAAAAATAATTAATAGAATCATATTAAAATGGTTTTTATAAGAAAGCAATAATAACATGTTAAAGTGCTAACCTAATAACCTAAAAACAATGAGATATCACCTTTTCATTCATAACCCATAGACCAGAAGAATGAATTTCTTACGGCTACCTCTTGGCTCCTGTGCACACCATTTTCCCAGAACTGAAAATCAGTGCCGTGGTTCGTGGCTCTCTTATCCTCATGATTACCGCAGCAAACCGCTACAATGGTCAGAGAGAATCATTAGTGAGGTCATGCCAAACTGCTCAATGTTGTTAGGCGAACCACCCATTGACAAAAAAATCACAACTGGTAGGAAGGACATAGTACATCTAGTTATCAAAATATTTGTTCTGTATTTCTGTATATCTGTAAAGGATTTGCATACACCACATGTAACAAATATTCCTTTGCATAAGGAGCAGAAAATAATCAATTGTGACTAAGTTATACCAAATCTGTATGTTCTTTCACATGAGCATTCCATCAAGAGAAATGTTTGCAAAATTTGGTTATGTTCTCAATAAATACAAGTGCTTCTGTTTCTACTTTATATTTGCTGCTTATCATGACTATAGCTTCTCTGATACATTTTGTTTTATTAATATGAATTTTGAGGCAAATAAACCAATAAACCTTTTCTACCTTAATGGAATTAATAAATCAGATTACAAGCCTATCAATACGTAATGAAGTAAAATCATGCTTTCAATTGGTCTTTAGAAACAATATTAATGTATTAAACACATAAATGCAAATTAGGAAAAAAACACAGTTTTAACTTTTATTTTCTGCTTTTTATGCTTGAAACATGTTAATTCTTTCAGAAAATTTTCTTGCTAAGGTGGTAACTCAAGGGGAAAATATTTCAACTGTGGGTTGAATTAATGGCCTCAGTTATTAGGTACATGATAAAAAGCAAATAATTACTTTGAAACAACTTAAATATTTTAATACATTTAATTATACAATAAAAACCTACATGTTTCTAATTAAGACGACTCTTTGACAAACTAGATTGCTTTAACAATTTTATTTTTTTATTTTATTAATTTTTTTTTTTAGAGACAAGAGTCTCACTTTGTTGCCCAGACTGGAGTGCAGTGGTGCAATCATGGCTCACTGCAGCCTCGAATTCCTGAGCTCAAGAGATCCTTCTGTCTTGGCCTCCCAAGTAGCTGGGATTATAGGTGTGTGCCACCAACCCCAGATAATTTTTTAAATTTTCTGATGAAACAAGGCCTTGCTATGTTGCCCAGGCTCGTCTTGAACTGTTGGCCTCAAGTGATCCTCCCACCTTGGCCTCCCAAAGTGCTGGAATTACAGGTCTGAGTCACCATGCCTGGCTTTTAACAATTTTAGTTTAAAACCTGCTCTATGTCTTCCCTGTGATTTTATCAACATCTAAAAAAGCTAGCAGTATATAGTAGTTTATATACGTCCCAGGAAAAGCCTAGCTATTTTGAATTTCCAGAATTTCCTCTACTATTTTTATTGGTTAAATATCACTTAAGAACGTAAAGTAATAAAATTATGTATTCAACTAAATGTGATTATAATAGATGAAAGATTAATTCTTAGAATGCTACATGTCATACAGACTCATTATGAGTGGTTAAAAGGTGATTTTCAGACCCTTAGCTGTCTTTCAGATCTCAGGCATTATGTTTCAGGGATTTTAAAATGCACCCTAAGTCCATTACTTAACATTTCTCTCAACCCAGCTAATGTTTATCCAAATTACTTTGCCTACTATAGCTGGCTAACATCATCCCTATACATATACAAAATTCTTCACATGATCCCAATACAATACATATATAACTTAGCTTATTTTATAGACTGCTGTACTCCCAGGGATTCTTATATCACAGACACTCAATAAAAGATACAAAACAATGCACATTTTACTTTAGATCTTCATTTTATTGGTGTCAAGGAATAAGCATAACACAAACTCTTTGATATACAGATTTTTTTTTTGAGGCGGAGTCTCGCTCTGTTGCCAGGCTGGAATGCAATGGCGCAATCTCCGCTCACTGCAACCTCTGCCTCCCAGGATCAAGTGATTCTCCTGCCTCAGCCTCCCAAGTAGCCGGGATTACAGGCGCATGCCACCACTCCCGGCAAATTTTTGTATTTTTAGTAGAGACGGGGTTTCACTATGTTGGCCAGGATGGTCTTGAACTCCTGACCTCAGATGATCCGCCCACCTCGGCCTCCCAAAGTGCTGGGATTACACGTGTGAGCCACCAAGCCCGGCCAATTTTTTTTTTTTTTTTAAGAGACAGGGTCTTGCCATGTTGCCTGGGCTGGTGGTGAACTCCTAGGTTCAAGAAATTCTCCTTCCTCAGCCTCCCAAAGTGCTGGGATTACAGGCATTAGCCACTGTGCCTGGCCTGATCTACAGACATTTGTTTTATAGCGTGAAATACATTAAAATATAGAGACACGGCAGAGGAGACAAAAAAGAAAAAAAAAAGAAATACATTAAAATAGATCTAACCTTGGGATTATATTCGGCGTTTCGGGCACGAAGTGCAATGGTCTTTAGGTCAAGTTTACAACCAAGATTCACTGTGGATACAATATTTCTGTAAGAGATTTAAAAAGAAAACACGACTATTTAAATTACTTAAGTTTCATTGGATGAGGCGTTAGAAATTATGCAGACATCTGATTATTTCAACCAGGCTTTACTTTTTTTTAATTGCTCACATTTATTGTTTAACAAGTATCATGCACATGTTGAGCATTTTATATAGATTATTCCATTTAATACATATAACGCACTGAGGTAGAAGTTACCAGTATTCCCACATTTGGATAAATAAGCTGAGGCTTAAAGGTAGAGTGCAACTTGCTCAGGACGCAATGGCTCCCAAGTGGAGGAGCCAGGATTTGAGTCTGTCTGTCTCCAGAGCCTGCCCTTAGCCTTCTCACAGACAAACTCAATTCTCATCTGTGAGCTCTGAAAAGCTACCACCACCACCCTATTCCTAAGTAACTATTTATAATGAAAACAAGCAGGCATGAACTGCCCAGTTCTCTCAAAGTAAGTATCTTTTGAAAAACAAGAGCTAAGTGTCTTTAGCAAAAAAAAAAGGCAAAACCCTGCTTTCTCTTCTAATTAACTCTCAGTAAATAAGGATAAATGGAGCCATCTGGGTCCACTGACCCTTTTCATTTCTCAGTGTTCTTAAATCACTTAACGAATAACTTATACAAGGATAAAGATATACTAAAAAGCAACTCTATTAGAAATTTTAATAAAAATTTAAACAACAAACCCACATTTTCATTATACATTTTTCTGCTTATGAAAGTATATATAGTTGAAATGGGCAATGCCCTTTGAATGCAATTAACTGCTCAACAACTGTCTCGCATGGACCTGGAAATCACCATCCCAAGAATATCGAGTCCAGATTTCAAATACATAGGTTCAAATACAATAGGTTTCAGCTCATTGTTGCTTCTGGTTCTTTTTCTTGTACAGTCTATGATACACAACTGTAAAGCCAATTAGGTTGATCCACACAATGAATGTTTTCATTTCCATATCATCTATTTCCTTCCAATCACCCTTGTATACACACCTGCCTTTAGCATTTGTCCACTTATGAACTATACCAAGTAGATTTTAGTATATCTATCACAACTTTAGTCACATAATTGTTAAATGTATTCTTATATATTTTCATTAATTAAATATTTACCTTAATCCCTCTTAAGCCTACAAGATGGAGAGGGCACTGAACTACCACCCGGGAGGGTTCTTAGTAGATAGTGGAAATTCAGGAATGTGGATGACTGGATGCTCTGGGGAGTATCAGAACAGCAAAGGCACTCGCAAGAAACAAACACCTGACTGTACTGTTTATAATTTATTATTTAAATCAGAAATGCAAACTTAAATATTCCTGGGAGTCAGACAAGCATGCTGGACACATGGGAGTGGTATAGACAAGGGTGAGCTAAAAAGGGCTCTCTCTAAAATCACTAAAATTACTTTGTTTTTAAAATTGTGTGTGGGGTCAAACAAAATTGTGGAGGCAAGATTTAGGTCTTTGGGTGAAAGTCAGCATCCACGATTACACACCACTTAGTTCCAAAAATGATGAGAGATAGCTTATAAACAACAACCATATATGTAACAAGGTGAATAAATGCAAATAGGAAATACTAGATCTAAAGGGAGTATGAAGGAGGAAGGTATCTGTACAAGAAAACTGAGGAGATGCAGAGACTGCAAGTAACCTTTTAATTTGGTCATAAGCTTTCTAAAATGAAAAGCTATACACTTCTTATTGACTGGAATTATTTGGAAATATTTGCTGGTTTTTCAGGAAGATGAAATTATTTCCTACCCCTACTACACTGTTACATATAGAACCCACTTCATTTAGGTAGAAAAATCCATTTATGACAAAAACAGTCGTCTTCATTTTGTGGGAAGGACACAGACCTTCAAAGATTTATATGCAGCACCCATAGTAAAAACAAAAAACAAGAACTACCAGAAATTATACTGATATTGTGACTAAAGACCTAAAATAGCATAAGGGAAAGAGACTACCTAACATTGTGATTTAGCGATATCAGATACAGGGAAATGTCTATAATATAATAATAACGACAGTGAAAGTCAGATTAAATTTTATTGGCTCAGGTATGTAAACACAAATGACCACATTTCTAAACCTGTTAAGAGCCTTTTACTGAGGACACTGACTAAGATAGCTTTGCTTCCCTTTCCCAAATGTGAGATAAAGCAAATTTTGATACACAATTACCGTTAGTGCCACTCCCTCCCTTAATAAAAGGATCCATCTGAAAACAGAGCAGGAACATAACTCAAAGGGACTCCTAAGTGGGAGGAAACATAAAACACGAAGTACTCACTGCAGCTGCGGTACAATCCCAGAACTCTCCGAAGCTGGCGTGGCAGGAGTGATGGGGGTCATGGGAGTCATGGGGGAGGGATACAGTGGAGTGGTGCCCGGCAAGGGTGCAGTTGTGAGAGTCTGTGAGTGGAAGAGCTGTGGTGCCTGGCCTGAGGTTCCCTGTGTTGCCTGCTGGGACGTTGACTGCTGAACGGCTGCAGCTGCCACTGCCTGTTGCTGCTGCTGCTGCTGCTGCTGCTGCTGCTGCTGCTGCTGCTGCTGCTGCTGCTGCTGTTGCTGTTGCTGCTGCTGCTGCTGCTGCTGCTGTTGTTGTTGCTGCTGCTGCCTTTGTTGCTCTTCCAAAATAGACAGACTATTGGTGTTCTGAATAGGCTGTGGGGTCAGTCCAGTGCCATAAGGCATCATTGGACTAAAGATAGGGATTCCGGGAGTCATGGCACCCTGTGGAAAGCAAGGAGAAAAACAGGTTAGGCTGGCTGCTGCTAAGTGTTTGTGGAACTTTCTTGGTGGAACAGCAGGTCAGGTGTGCAAAGACAGATGCCTTCGGAGAATAATGGGGTTATTAAACATTAATTACGGAAGAACCAGCTATTCTTATACACATTGCTTTCTTCTTTAATACCACACAGTGGATAAACATGAAGAAAAATGGATAAACTGAACTTCGGAAAAATTAAAAACTTCTGTTCTTTGAAAGACACCATTGAGAAAATTAAAAGGCAGGCCAGACTGGGAAAAAAATAACTATAATACATACATCTGAGAAAGGACTGGTAAACAGAATAATAAAGAGCTCTGACAACTCCATAAAAGAAGATCAACAAATAAAATAATAAAAAAGGGCAAAAGATGTGAAGGACATATTACAAATGAAGATACAGGCATACCTCGGAGATACTACAGGTTAGGTTCCAGACCATCTCAATAAAGCAAGCGGCATCAATTTTTTGGTTTCCCAGTGCCTACAAAAGTTATGTTAGCACTAAAGTCTATTAAGTGTGCAATAGCATTATGTCTAATAATATGTATATAACTTAATTTAAAAATGCTTTATTGCTAAAAATGCTAACAATCATGTGAGCCTGCAGCAAATCATAATCTTTTTGCTGACAGAGGATCTTGCCTCGATGTTGATGGCTGCTGACTGATCAGGGTGGTAGCTGTGGCAATTTCTTAAAATAAGACTGACGAAGTTTGCCACACTGACTGACTCTTCCTTTCACTGAAGATGTCTCTGTAGCATATGATACTATTTGACAGCATTTTACCCACACTAGAACTTATTTCAAAATTGGAGTCAATCCTCTCAAACCCTGCTGCTGCTTTATCAACTAAGTTTATGTAATATTCTAAAGTCATCAGTTCTTCACCAGGAGTCAATTCTATCTCAAGAAACCACTTTCTTTGCTTACTCACAAGAAGCAACTCCTCATCTGTTCAGGTTTTATCAAAAAATTGCAGCAATTCAGTCACATCTTCAGGTTCACTTCTAATTCTAGTTCACTTGCTATTTCCACTACACCTGCAGTAACTTCCAGCACTGAAGTCTAGAACCTCTCAAAGTCATCCACGAGGGTTGGAATCAACCTCTTCCAAACTCTTATTCATGTTGATATTTCACCCTCCTCCCATGAATCATGAACATTCTTAATGGCATCTAGAATGGTGAATCTTTTTCAGAAGGTTTTCAATTCACTTTGCCCAGATTCATCAGAGGAATCACTATCTATGGCAGCTACAGCATATGTCCCTCCCTGCTTCCTTTCTTTGAGACAGGGTCTCCATTGTAGCCTTTAACTTCTGGACTCAAGTGACCCTCCCGCCTCAGCCTCCCAAGTAGCTGGGACTACAGGCACATGCCACCATGACCAGCTAATTAAAAAAAAATTTTTTTTTGTAGCAACAGGGACTTGTTTTGTTACCCAGGTTGGTCTTGAGCTCCTAGCTTTGAGTGATCCTTCCACCTTGGCCTCCCAAAGTACTGAGATTACAAGCATGAGCCACCATGCCCTGCTGTATTTCTTAAATAGTAAGAATTGAAAGTTGAAATTACTCCTTGATCCATGGGCTGAAGAATGGATATATTATTTAAGCAGGCATGAAAACAATATTAATCTCCTTGTTCTTCTCCATCAGAGCTTGTGGACAACTAGTTACACTGTCAGTGAGTAATATTTTGAAATTAAACTTTTTTTCTGAGCAGATCTCAAAGAGCTTAAAATATCCAGTAAATCATGCTGTAAACAGACGTGCTCTCATCAGGTTTTGTTGTTCTGTTTACTGAGGACAGGCAGAGTAGATTTAGCGTAATTCTTAAGGCTCTATGGTTTTAGAGCAGAACATGAGCATTGGCTTCAATTTAAACTCACCAGCTCTATTAGCCCCTAACTAGTCAGCCAGTCCTCTGAAGCTTTGAGGCTAGGCACTGATTTCTCCTCTCTAGCTATAAAAGTCCTAGATAGCATCTTCTTCCAGTAGAAGGCTGTTTCATCTACATTAAAAATCTATTATTTAGTATAGTCACCTTCATCAATTATCTCAGCTAGATCTTCCAGATAACTTGCTGCTTCATGTTGCATTTTTATGTTGTGGAGAAGGCCTCTCTCCTTAAAGCTCTGAATAAACCTCTGCTAGTTTCAAAACTTTCTTCTACAGCTTCCTCTCCGCTCTCAGCCTTTACAGAATTGAAGAGAGTTAAGGCCTTGCTCTGTATTACACTTTGGCTTAAGGGGATGTGTGGGTGGTATGATCTTCTATCCAGACCATTCAAACTTTCTCCATATAAGCAATAAGGCTGTTTTGCTTTCTTATCACTTGTGGGTTTACTGGAGTAGCACTTCTAATTTCCTTTAAGAACTTTTCCCTTGCATTCACAACTTGGCTAACTATTTGGTGCAAGAGGCCTAGCTTTTAGCCTGTCTCAGCTTTCAACATGCCTTCTTCACTAAGTATAATCATTTATAGCTTTTGGTTTCAAATGAGAGATGTGCAGCTCTTCCCTTCATCTGAACACTTAATTAAAAGTCACTGTAAGGTTATTAATTAGCCTAATTTCCATATTGTTGTGTCTCAAGGAATAGGGAAGACCAAGCAGAGGGAGAGAGATGGGGGAATGGTTGGTCACGCTGCAGACATTTATCAATTAAGTTCCTGTATTATACAGGTGCAGTTTATGGCATTCAATAATAATTACAATAGTAACATCAAAGATCACTGATCACAATAACAGATAATAATGAAAAGGTTTGACTAGGCACAGTGGCTCATGCCTGTAATCCCAACACTTTGGGAGGCCAAGGCGGATGGATCACTTGCAGCCAGTAGTTTGACACCAGCATGGTGAAACTCCGTCTCCACTAAAAATACAAAATTTAGCTGGGTGTGGTGGCGCATGCCTGTAATCCCAGCTACTTGGGAGGCTGAGGCAGGAGAATCGCTTGAACACGGGAGATGGAGTTTGCAGTGAGCCAAGACTGCACCACTGCACTCCAGCCTGGGCAACAGAGTGACTGAAAAAAAAAATTAAAAAAAAAATACAAAAAAAAAGAAAAAAAAAAGTTTGATAACAATAACGGATAATAATGAAAAAGTTTGAAATCCTGCAAAAATTACCAAAATCTAACCCCAAGACATGAAGTGAGTACACACTTTTGGAAAAATAATGCCAACAGACTTGCTGGGTACAGGTTTACCACAACCTTCAATTTGTCAAACATGCAGTAAAGTGAAGTGCAGTAAAGTGAGGTGGGCCTGTGTATGAGTGGCTGACAAGCACTTGCCAAGGTGCTCAGAAACATTAGTAATCAGGCAAATAAAAATCAAAACCACAATAAGATACTACTAAGCAATCACTAGAGTGAAAGTAAAAAGACTGACAGCAGAAAGTGTTGGTGAGGATGTGGAGCAACTTAAATCTCTTATGCTGCAAAACAATACAGCCACTTCAAAAAACAGTTTGGCAGTTTCTTATAAAGTTATACATATACCAATATAGGACCTAGCAATCCTACTCCTAAGTATTTACCCATGAGAAGTAAAAACAGTGCATTCAAAGTCTACACAAATGTTTACAGTGCTTTTATTCGCAATAGCTCCAAACTGGAAAGACCCCAAATGTGAGCAACTGGAGAATGGATGAACTGTGGAACATCCAAACAATGGAGTGATACTTAGCTATACAATGGATTAACTACTGATATACAAACAGTACACTGGGCTAAGAAGTCAGACATACACAAAAAAGCATACACTCTGATTCCATCTATATGAAATTCTAGAATAGACAAAACTAATCTTCAGCATTGAAAAGCAGATGCAGTAGTTACCTGGGGCCAGCAGAGTGACTATAAAGGGGAAGAAGGGACTTTTTAAGGTAACTGAAATGTTCTGTAATTTATACATTATATATAATTATCAAAACAGACACTTAAAATGAGTTTTTTTGTATGTATATTTCAACAAAAGTTATTGATTTTTTTTTTTTTTTTTTTTTTTTTGAGACAGAGTCTCGCTCTGTCTCCCAGGCTGGAGTGCAGTGGCACGACCTCTGCTCACTGCAACCTCCACCTCCCGGGTTCAAGCAATTCTCCTTGCCTCAGCCTCCCGAGTAGCTGGGATTACAGGCACCCGCCACAACACCTGGCTAATTTTTGTATATTTTGTAGAGATGAGGTTTCACCACGTTGGCCAGGCTGGTCTCGAACTCCTGACCTCAGGTGATCCGCCCACCTTGGCCTCCCAAAGTGCTGGGATTACAGGCGTGAGCCACTGCACCCAGGCTGAAAAATTTTTAAAGTAGATGGGTGGTTGAGAGCTTGAAATGTAAAAGGGGAAAAATAAAACTAGAAAATAATTTGGTGAGGGTGATTTTCAAAATCAAAGACCCTATATAGTCATTTGGAACATTCTCATAAGTGTTTATCAAAAGATTAGGTGTTTCATAAATATATAACTTAGCTTCCAGACTTCCCAAATAAACACCATTGTGCCTATTCAAAGCCTAATAGAACTTCTCAACAAAATAAGGCTTAAAAAACATATTAAACCATTTTCAAAAACAGATCATTAAATGCCCTTCCTTGCCTTTTGATACCATCTCTTGCAGTTCAGATTTCCGCCCTCCCTATTCTCTCCCTCCTGCTATATTACCTGAGGGGAGGCCAAGCCCTGAGCGTAAGGTGGCAGGCTGTTGTTCTGATCCATGATGTTCACTTTCTTCTTGGCAAACCAGAAACCCTTGCGCTGGAACTCGTCTCACTATTCAATTTTTTCCTAGAGCATCTCCAGCACACTCTTCTCAGCAACTTCCTCAATTCCTTGGGTTATCTTCACACGCCAAGAAACAGTGATGCTGCTTTGGAAAAAAGTCTAAAGTTTAATTTAAGGATCCAGGTAACCTGTACAGTCCTATAAGCCAGTTCTATGGCTATACAAAACACAAACATGAAAACCAATGAAGCTATTTTGGAATACATTTGTTTTTACCTTATAATCCTAAAGTTTTATTCCTTCCATGTTTCCGGCGATTGCATGTAAAATCGCCAACAAAACAAAAATCATTTTGTTACATGTTTAAATAATCGGAAAATGCTCAAAATCGAGCTGTCATAACCAGCATTAAAAACTTTTGAGGAAAAACACCTAGAGAAAAATAATTCCTAAGCAAAATGTAATATCAGAGCAGAATATTCACTAAGCACTGTATACACAGCACTGTTAGGCAAAGTTTAGATCTTTAAATATTCCAATTTTACATCCTCTACAATGTCTTGGGCAAAAAATTAAGTAAATATCAAATTCAATCCAATATACTTCAGAGTGATCATTTATCAAGCTCCTACTGTAATGAAACTGTTAAAAAAAAAAAAGCCGCACAAAGATAAAGCCCTGAATTTTTATAAATGTAATAACCTTACCTCTTTAGAACACATTAATGCAAACTGTGCCTGTTATCTGACTTTTCTTAAATCATCATCGCTTTACTCACTACACATCTGAAATGAGTTTATAACAACATATTCTCACATAGAACTTAGAGGTCTCAAAGTTACAAATTATATGTCCAAAGATCCTTCAGGCATATGCACTTCAAGCATGTGCTGGTACAGAACAGACACTCAGATATTTGCTGAATGTATGAAAGACTCTGACGATCACTTTGAAAGGGCAAAGGCCCCCAAAGACTATCTATCCTACATACTCATCACTGAAAAACAGACCAAAAAAGAAAGCAAGCTCTGCTTCTGGAAATAAATATATCAGAGATATTTTTTAAAATATACTTTTTTTTTGACAGTTATCCTATAATAACAATAACAGAAGTCCTGCAGATGAGGATATAAAGATAGGAGGATATAGTCCTTGGCATCAAAGTGTTCAATATGAAGGGTATGCAAATAACTACTGTAAAACATAGTATTATAACAGCAGGTATGGTCTAAGCTAAGTTCCTTGAATGCAGAAACCAGCCTACATGTCTTTGTGATCTCTGCATCTAGCACTATGCCTGGAATACAGTATGTGATCATGAATGAGCCCATATACACCCCTGGAAGAGAAGACAATATAGACTAACAGCCAATCACTGTGAAGAGAGCGCAGTGTTTTCACAAAGCAGGGACCATCTAACTTGGGTCTCACAAGGTGAGTAGGAATTTACACATCAGGGCTTCAGACAAAAGAGAAATCAAGCAGAAAGAGACAGATTGAAAAAGCATGCAGTATGCAGGCAACAAGCTTAGTATGACTGTATAGAAGGTCACTGCAGCAGATGAGACAGCACATATTGGTGGGCTCATACTATCAGGAGTTTTCAATGTTATTGCATAGGCAATAATAACAGTTATGGAATTTCGGAAGTGCAGTATGAACAGATCTAATTTGGCAAGACTAGATGAATTTGAGAGGAGTAAAACTGGAGGACGGAAGTTTCGTTTCAGGAATCTAAGGTTGAGGCAAGAGATAATGACGGCAGGATTTAAAGCCATTATAAGTATGATTAGAGATTTATCCAGGACCTTCGGTGGCTTCAGGCCACTTTTTGCAAGTAAGTCTACAGAAGAAACCGCACAGTGATTACTGCACTAATTTATCCTCAGAAAAGAGTTGTTTGCTGGGTATCTTCATCTCCTGGAAATTGAAACATCAAATCCGATATTTTTTGGAGGCAATCAAATTAATTCTGCATAGCCTTCTAGTGTCTGTATAACTAAATGAAGCACAGTCTTTTCACAGAAAAGTCTACCTAGAGATTTGGAAAACCATGATGGCCTGAACCGAGAGACGGGAGACCCTGCAAATAAAGTGGTGTGTATTATATCTTAAGCGCTACCGTGCCCGCTGTCTCAGGCTTCTGACAAAATATTTAAGTCTCAATGTTGGCAGCAAAACAGGCGGGCACAGATCTGGGTGAATCTGCTTCTAACATGGAGAAGAAGCGGATGGCAGGACAGGGCAGGGTAAACTTAGGGTCTTCGATGCAAGGGACTGTCCTGTCCCGCCTGCCGCCGCCCAGCCAGCCAGTAGTACCCTGAGCCCCACAATCGTACGATGGGAAGCTGCCTGCGAAACACAGCAGAGTAGGGCACCAGGCGGGAGTGGCGGCCGAGTGGCCGTTACAGGCCGGAACGGCGGCAGCACGAAAGGGAGGAACGTCCCCCGAGGGGCCTGCACGCGCGCCAATTCCTAGTCTCTTCCCCACCATTGCCCCCAGGCCTCAGTGCAGTGGTGGCCTTCGCCCGAACCGTCAGAAAAGAGTACAATCTGTTACCTGGGTCACTGCAAAGATCACTATGGGCCAGCGGAAGCGAAGTTAAACAGCCGGCGGCCCAGGCGCCCGCCACAGCGAACCTGCCCGACCTCACTGAACCCCTGGCGCGCGTTGATAATGTCACTTCCGCCAGTTCTGCCCTCGGCTTCAGCGAGTTGCTCCCACTAGGGCCGAGGCCATGAGAAGTGTGAGCATAGGTCACTTCCTGTGTTTCCATAGGTAAGGAGGGGCGAAGCTCTTGAGGAGTTCCGGGGCGGGGCCGCCGTGCCACAGCCATCTCTAATTGGCCCTTGCTGGACGTAGGAAAGATCGATTTTTAAATGGCGTGTGTGTGTATATGTGTGAGTGTGTTTTGTTGTTGTTGTTGTTGTTGTTTAAAGCAACTAGCGGCGTTACCTTCGACAAGTTACCTGACCTCTCCCCCGCATTTTTTTTCTGTAAAATTGAATAATGATAACAGTGCTTACCCTTGGGCTGTCGGGAGATTGACAGAGATTGACAGAATCAGTGCCTGAGCAGTGCTTGGCACTCAGTAAGCGCGTCCTCCTTACCTGTCAGCAAGAACGCTAGCTGATCTTCAAGCGTGTAGAATGACAAGGAACACTAAGCAAAACAAACAGCTTGTGTTTACACATGCATTTATATTCAGTTCTGCCACTCCCAGTTCATGCACTGTTGTCACATGGCTCTTTCCGCAGTTGTTTCTTAGTGGGACTTCAGCACGCCTTGATTTTCCCTTCTGTAGTTCATTGTGGCGTAATCATATGTTATACTGCTTGTTTTCTTTGTACTTTTTATTATCAGTGAGGTTGTGAGCTCTTTAAGGATAGGAAATGTTATATACATTTTTTATTAGCCAGGACAATTAACGTTCCCACCGTTATTCGAGTTGCCGTTGCGCCATAGTTCTGACAATTTTTTTGTATGGTCAGACTTAAATTTTTGTCCATTGGGGTGAATTCCAATGTTTTCTTCGAGGGGGAAAAAAACAAAAAACAAACAAAAAAAACCCTTTACATCCCTGTCAGCGCTTTTTGGAATGGGCGGGATTCAACTACCAAAGGGACAAGCCGCCGTGCAGCCCTCCAGGAGCAACGACTAGCGTGAGATAGAGAGGCCGGGAGCGAACTTCAGGAGAAGCCGGAAGTGGCGTAACGTCCGGTCAAGGCAGCCATCTCGCCGTGAGACAGCAAGTGTCGGATCCGCAGGCGCAGCCGTGCGATGTTGTCCTCTACAGCCATGTATTCGGCTCCTGGCAGAGACTTGGGGATGGAACCGCACAGAGCCGCGGGCCCTTTGCAGCTGCGATTTTCGCCCTACGTTTTCAACGGAGGGTAAAAACCCCAGAGAGCTGCGGCTTTCACTTTCGCCCTTCCCCCATCTGCTGAAGCCTATTTAGGAGTCACCGCCGTGATGGCGCTGCCCCGGGCTCCTGCAGGCCTCAGAACCCTGAGCTGAGGGGGTCCGCACAAGGCCGGTCTCCCTGCCGTCCTCTCATGCCCTGTGTTTCCCTCTTCAGGCTCGCTTTGCTCAAGTTTACTTGGTGATTGCGATACAGCCTTGGTTTTTAGGGTTTCCCATTACAGTCATGTCATTTGAGTTTTTATGTGGACCGCCACTCCGTGCTCCTTGCTGCTGTAAGACAGTAAAGTAGAAATTGAAACATAGCCTCTGCTCTGTGGAAGACCATTAAAACTGGACCTCATGTACACGTTTCTTATGCCAGCCGGCGAGGGTAGAGGGTTAGCGTCTGAAACTTAAAAGTTAGGGTTGTTTGGTCTGTGTTGTTAGATGCATAGCTGGGTTGGTAGCCGAGATGTCTAATTGTAGCCGCCTGATTTCTGTTATTTCTAATTGTAGCAGTTTAATCATTTTGTTTTATTTCAAATAGAAGGTGGGATTGGCTGAGCAAACTTAGTTTCATAGATAAGTGCTTTTTTTTTTTAACGTTTAGCTTAAGTTCAGGAAAACAAAATACTCAGAAGATGGACCTTTTAGTATGTGTGTTCTTGTATGTTATGTTCAAGTTTTGGTTTTTATTTTAATTACCAGCTTTATCTTGAGTAGTATAATTTTCCGTGGTGGCACGCCAGAGATTTAGGGTTATAGAAAGATGCTCTGTTTAAGACTCTTGACAGGGAAGAGCTGTAAATTGAAACAGTGGTTATAGTTACCAATCAAGCCTTGTACATTAAAATATACACACGCAATTTGAACGAACCGATGGTTCTTAAAACAGAAAATATTGGCTGGGCAGTGTGGCTCGCACCTGTAATCCCAGGACTTTGGGAAGCCAAGGCAGGAGGATCATCGCTTGAGGCCAGGAGTTGAAGACCAGCCTGCGCAGCATAGCAAGACCCCATCTCTACAAAAATAAATTTTAAAAACAAAGCAAAAATGTTAATTGGTTCCTCATAAATTTGAAATATAAATGCACATTTTGGGAGTGTGTTAGAAAGATAACGAAAGTCTGATTTTAGCCTTGGTTCTGCCACTAAAGGACACTTTGGGTACTTCTGAACTTCTTGAACCTAAATTTCCTTATCTTCCTTAGTAGCTTCATAGTTTTTGGTGAGAATCAAGAGAGATGCATTTTGTAAATTGCAAGCTGTCATCTTATTTAATCCTCATGAAAAGTGAATGTTAGATGATATTAGCATCCTAGGGTTATATTAGACGTTAAACTGTCAGGGTCAGAGAGCTGGTGTGAAGTTGAGCCAGGACTTAATTCATAGCTATTTCACCACTGAGTTTATGGATGCTTTTCCATTATACACCTTAACACTTCCTGTGATGACTAATTAAGTTGTATATTGTAGGGAGGGTTATTGGACCCGTTTCGTAAGGCTATTCTCTATAAATAAGAATTTTCAGTGTTCAGTATGCCCTACTCGTTACTCACTTTTTAATCCCTTGTAATCCAGTTTAAGCCATTACTGCCCTAAAAATTACTTAGATCTTTCTGATTACTTTTTCTCAGTCATTGTTCTTTTTCTTTAGTGTTTACTGCAGCTGGCTCTCAGGCAGCCTTCGCTTCCGCAAAATGAGGCCTCATTCTCTTTTCCTACTCTGTCTTTAAATGTAGTTAAGTCATTAGCCGCCTTGTTTATCGCTCAGCACTCTTTCATGTCTCATTGCTGGGAGGATTACTCCCAAATCTGGTTTTCCAGTTCTGCCTCTCATGAGTCCCTCGATTCGGCTTCTTCAGTAAAACATTTTTAACTGGTTTTTCTGCTCTCAGGGCAACTCAAGACAGCTAGCAAAACAAAAAGCAAGCTAATTATTCCCCTTCATCTCCTCTTCTCCTTTCTTCTTATTTTTTGAGACAGAGTCTCACTCTGTCACCCAGGCCGGAGTGCAGCGGTGCGATCTCAGCTCACTGCAACCTCCAACTCCTGGGTTCACGCATTTCTGCCTCAGCCTCCCGAGTAGCTGGGATTACAGGTGCCTGCCACCACGCCTGGCTAATTTTTGTATTTTTAGTAGAGATGGGTTTCACCATGTTGGCCAGGCTGGTCTCGAACTCCTGATCTCAGGCAATTGACCCCCCCCCCCCCCCTCAGCCTCCCAAAGTGTTGGGATTACAGGTGTGAGCCACCGTGCCCGGCCTCCTCTCCTTTAAAATACTTATAATTATGCCATCATTCTGTTCATCTAAGTTCTAAATCTTGGATGTCATAATTGGTTTTCCCAGTTCCTAAAACATTTGCGTAGATATAAAAATTTGTCTATTTTGTGTGTTTGTGATGATTTTGGATTTACTGTTCACCCTGCTACCTTACTATTGCATTAGTAGTATTAGAACAGTGTTTCTGTCCCATTTCACATACTATGTTATTGTCAGAGCAGTCTTCCTAAAACCCCACTTTGTAAATGGAACTTTTCTCTCTCTTGCATTCCTTTTTTAAAGACCAGGTCTCACTCTAATGCCCAGGCACGATCATAGCTCACTGCAGCCTTGAACACCTGGGCTCAAGCAGTCCTCCCACCTCAGCCTCTTGAGTAGTTACAACTACAGATCATTCTTGCTCAGAATACCTTCATGATTTCTTGCTAAAATTCCAAAATCTTTAGCTTGGCATTTGGGATTTTCTACAGTAGGAACCCTGTCCATCACATAAACCTTAACGTCACTACATGTGCTTATGCAAAAAGGGCTGCCTGAATGAGTTGCTTGAATGTATGTACTATTTGAATAATTACCTGTTTGCCATTGCTTGCTGTTTATATTACCTGGAATGCCATCCTTTTCTTCTTGAGAGCTTTAGCACAAATCCCTCCTCAGTAAAAATAGTGGCTTAAGTTTCCTGAGTGCTTACGTCTGTGAGGCACCATGCCTTTAATTTCCACTATTGCATTGAAGCAGTGGTTATAGTTATCAGTCAAGCCTTGTACATTAAAATATACACACCCAAATATATATACACACCTTGTGACACAGGTACTGTTATCATCAACTTGCATTTGGAGGATTTGTCCAAGATCACATACCTAGTAAGTAGCAAGAGTGGGTCTCTGTCTCATGTAATTCCAGAGCCCAGGTGCTTAGTCATACTCCAGTGCCATAGCACTTATAGCTAACACTTACTAGAGGACCAGTTACATGTCAGGGACTGCTATAAGGGCTTACATATTTGATCCTTTGAACACCCTAATGAGGTAGCAACTGCAGTGATCTCTGTTGTATATATGATGAAATTGACGCTTTGAGAAGTAACTTACCCACAGTCTCATATCTGCGAAACGGGAAAGCCAGAATTAGAACCCAGGCGGTCTGCTTTTGGAATTCTACTGTAAGTCTCTTTGATAAGCTGTCAAATTGTACAGCCACAGAGGGAAAAATTTACTGTTTGTCCATCTATTTGTCATTATATAAGGGATTGGGTATAAAGAAATAAGCATTATATAGGCGTTATATAAGGACTTGGATATAAAGAAATGAAGCAAGAAAAAAAAATCTCATCTTCTCTAAACTCATAGAGCTTGCGTTGTAGTACCACTGTCTATACCTGATCCTCAAGGGCACAGATGTGGTATTTAGTTGTTCTGTATTAGTAGTACCTTGCGCGAGTAAGTATTTAATGTGTTGGTGATGATAATTCATTGGCTTTTCTGTTAACTCCTGCCAAGGAGACTTTGCCCTGATTTAGGCTTATTAATAATTTTTTTTTCCCAGACAACTCGTAGCCAGGCGTTCATTCTCTTCCCGCTCATCTTTCCTCTTCCCATTTGAATCATGTTTTTGTTGACATCTAGAGTATTTTATCCCATTATGTACTATGGAGCATTCTTCTATTTGTAGGGATAGGATTACCACCCTGGAGAATTAATTTTTTTCTTTTTTCCTCAGTACTATACTGGCAATTGCTGGAGAAGATTTTGCAATTGTTGCTTCTGATACTCGATTGAGTGAAGGGTTTTCAATTCATACGCGGGATAGCCCCAAATGTTACAAATTGTAAGTAAATATTTCTAAAGACATTTCACAATGCCTTTGTAATGATTTGATGTTGTGAGAGTTTCTACTTCTAAATGATTTGTTTCATGAGTTTTTAAGTTGCTGTTGGGAGCATTTTTATTAGAAAACCATTTTCTAAGTTAATGTTTCCTAATAATTTAATGTGCAGTCTTAATAATATTTGCTGTATTCAGGGTACCAAAAGTGCTTTCGGTAACCTAAATGTGTTCACCCCAGCATTTTACCATGAAAAATTTCCTGCTGTGTCTTAACATGGTGGAAGGCCAGAGAAAGAAAGAAGAGCAAGCGAACCCACTGCTGTGATAATGTCCATTCATGAAAGCTGAGCCCTAGGACCTAAACACCTGGTCCCAACTCCCAGTACCATCACAATGGCAATTAAATTTCAACATGAGTTTTGAAGGGAATATTCAAACCACAGCACCATTAATCCATTAAATGATATTTTTTTTAAATCTGCCTCCCCACACTTTTTTTTTTTACCTGAAACATTCGTTTTAGAAATATCCTAAGCAATTATGTCCACAGCTCAGTTTTAATAGGCTAGCTATGTTTTTCCTAAAACATGAAAATAAAGCCAAAACTTAAAAAAACAAAAAGCCTGCATAAATACTGAATACATACTGCAGATTGGCAGTGGTCTGTATTTACCAGTTTTGGAAATGCTTATAAATGGTCATGAATTCCTGGGTTAATTAAACTTGAATTGTAATAGGAATGGGACTTACGAGGTTTAGGTCCTTTGGATGGACCCTCCTTGTATTGTAGGAAGTAGGTACAGAAGAAAAGATACGTTGTCTTTCCTGCTCCTAGGGATGGCCCACATCTTAAAAAGCAATGAAGTTTGTTTTCGTCTTCCCAGTTCTGTTTCTCTCCACTTGCATCTTTTGATACCCCCTTTCTGCTTTCTGTTTATGGTGCTCTTGTGTTACCTTTTTTTCTCCTCAAGGACGACACTTGTACAACTTGAAAGTAGTAAATATTAGAAATAAGATTTTAAAACAACTTTATGGATACCATCCTTGTACTAGCTTTTACTCATCTTTTAAATATTGCTTTAGTTACGTTTGCTGGTGAAGTGAGCACTTTTTTTTTTTTTTTTTGTGAAACACGTCAGATATAGAGATAGAGAATAAGAACAATGCAGCATTAACGAATGCCTGTATATATCCCTCATCCCACGTCCTGTGGGTCTGACCTAGAACTAAGCTTGCCTCTTCCAAACCTGTTTCAGACTGTATTCTTTGCATGAAAACTCCCATTCCTTTGATGCACCTGGATATTTGGGAAAAGCATCTTGAAGTTCTAAGATTTCTGTCTTTCCCTGTTGGTATTGTCAACCAATCTTGTCAGTAAAGGCAGTAAAGCCTTATAGGGGATTGGACGTCTTCACCTTAGTGCAGTGAGGTTGATGGTAGGCATAGATCAGGTGATGTTAGTGATGACCCTAGAGGTGTCAGCTGCTCTCCTAGTAGGACAGGTATGGTTTGTGCGAGTCATTCGTAAGTTTCCAAGAGGAATTGTGTGGCCTCTGCAAAATATTGTTTAGGTTTCTTTATAGATTCATATCAAGATCTAGGAATTAATTTTTGAAATACACGGTTGAATTTGTATGTCTATACCAAATTTTAATCCTCTCCATACAGATGGACATTTAGGTTTTGTTTTGTTTTGGGGTGCTATTTAAATGAGTACTCACTGGTGAGTCTAGAGCATCCCTTTGCATACTTGGATAAGTATATTAACAAGATGGATTTCTAGCAATAGAATTGGTGAGAGTGGTGTGTATTTAAATTTTTAATAAATACCACCAAATTGCCCATCTAACAGGTTAATCAGTTTATACTGTTTCCACAACCTCACCAGCATTTAGTTAGTTAGGCATTTTTAGCCAGTATAATTGGTTGAAATAGTCTCTTTTTGAGATTTGGATTTCTGAGTAACATAGAGGCTCTTATGTTTATGGTGACTTAATGTCTCTTTTTTCTGTGACTTGTCTGTTCATAGAAGTTACCCATCTTTCCTTTATGTTATTGCTTTCCTTATTTGTAAGAATTTTTATAGAATTAAAATTAGACTTTGGGGGTAGATGCTACTAATATATTTTCTTAGGGTTTTAAAAAGCTATTCTTAAATTTCCCTGTAGAATTTTATGTAGTCAAATTTATGAAATTTTTCTGTGTGGCCCTTGGATTGTGTTGTTTAAATCTACCTTCACGAGGCTGGGTGCAGTGGTTCACACCTGTAATCCCAGCACTTTGGAGGCCAAGGCAGGTGGATTACCTGAGGTCAGGAGTTTGAGACCAGCCTGGCCAACATGGTGAAACCCCATCTGTACTAAAAATACAAAAATCAGCTGGGTGTGGTGGCGGGTGCCTGTAATCCCAGATACTTGGGAGGCTGAGGCAGGGGAATTGCTTGAACCCAGGAGGCGGAAGTTGCAGTGAGCCAAGATTGCGCCACTGCATTCCAGCCTGGGTGACAAGAGCGAAACTCCGTCTCAAAAATCAGTCAATTAACCTACCTACGTATCTTCCTCAGCCCAAGATAGTAAAAAAAATTCACCCATGATTTATTTAGTCCATTCATAGTCGCATTTTTAAAGTCTTTGATCCACCTGTAATTCATCTGGAATAAGGGGTAAGATGGAATACAGACCCCTCCTCCCCAGAAGGGTGACTGTTTGTCCCATTACCATTTAGGGAATAGTGGGAATCAGAATTTTAAATTTAAAATTGCCGAAGATATGTTTTGCTCTACTATCTAACCAGCTCAGTTTTCTGAAATGTGCTTTTTACAGAACAGACAAAACAGTCATTGGATGCAGCGGTTTTCATGGAGACTGTCTTACGCTGACAAAGATTATTGAAGCAAGACTAAAGGTAGATGCTTTTGTACATTTCTACACTATTTTAAATTAATAGTAATTCATTAAATTCTTTTAAGCCTACAGCATGACTGTTGGTCAGATAGCTAGAGAGTCACTAGGTTAGTAGATGAATTACAAATGTATGCTAGAAATGAAATGATATCATTAATGCAGGGTCATTAAAGTAGCATAATGTGAAACAGCAGCACATTCCATTTGTTAAAGTCTTGTATCATATGAAGGGTTCTCTACCCTTTTAGAAGGAGCCTGGGAGGAGTTCTTCTTCTGAAGATACTCTTCCCTCAAAAACAAAGCAAATCAATTTCTGTGGCAGGAGAGAGCCCAGGAAAGATTTGACACAGGAGCTTGGTTTGCATCACCATCAGTTGACAAGCTTTTCCTCTTTACAGTGCTGTGCTCTTAGTTGGCAGGATGCATGAGTAGAAATACGAAAGAATGAATAAGCTGGGAGCTTGGATGGGAGGCACAACATGCACCATTAACGTCTGTCACCTGACCAGCTTCAGTTGATAGCCAGCTGCCAGAAGTCAGGGGTGATCACATTCTGTTTTGCCTATTCATGAATAACACTTGAGATTATTTACACTTATGAGTGGTTACTGGAGTATATAGTATATTTATTTAACTGACACATGCTTTTTGAATGTGTAGAAAGGATTTCACTCAGTATTTATCAATTGTTAATGCTTTTTTAGAAACTTACATTGAAAGCCATAGTGACTTACATTTATTGGCATATTTATATGATAATTCCTAATGCTTATTTTATAAATGGGAGTTAGAAGACAAAAGTAAACATGATATTGTTAATAAAACAAGGAATGGTGAATTCTACATAATACACACCCCTTCCTGAAGTTTTTCTCTCATACTTTATTAGGTGGTGAAGTAAATAAATGTTGGTGCTTGGTTTCGAAATGAAATGGAATGAAATTTTTTTTTTTTTTTTTGAGACAGAGTTTCACTCTTGTTGCCCAGGCTGGAGTGCAATGGCATGATCTTGGCTCACTGCAACCTCTGCCTCCTGGGTTCAAGTGATTATCCTGCCACAGCCTCCCGAGTAGCTGAGATTACAGGCACCTGTCACCACCCCTGTCTAATTTTTGTATTTTAGTAGAGACGGGGTTTCACCATGTTGGCCAGGCTGGTCTCGAACCCCTGACTTCAGGTGATCCACCCATCTCGGCCTCCCAAAGTGCTGGGATTACAGGCCAGCAGTGAGCCACTGTGCCCGGCCTATGAATAATTTTTTATAGTTTTTATCTTGGAAAGGCATTCCTCTATAAAAAACTTACCTGTTACTTGTAGTTCATTTCTAATCATTTTTCAGTGTTTTGACTGTCATTATTTAATTTTACGGTGCTAGTTAGATATCTATCTGTCTATTTATTTAGAGACAGCGTCTCACTTTGTTGCACAGGCTGGAGTACAGTGGCGCCATTGTAGCTCACTGTAGCCTTCATCTCCTGGGCTCAAACATTCTCCCGCCTCAGTTGGGATTACAGGTGTGAGCCACTATGCCTGGCCATTAAGTTTCTCATTAGAGATGTTTGCTATGTGGTTAACAAAAATTGGTGATCTTGAATTCATTTTATGTTTATAATTTTTGTGAAGTTTCTCTACCAGTGGGTAATGTAGGGCTCGCAAAGGTATAGTAAAGCTAGGATTTGCAGTCACTGTATTGTCATGCTAAGACCCTGTTTTGGATGCTTGTGTTCTCTACTGTAGATGTTTTAAGGATCACGACCACTGCTGTGTATTAAAATCATGCAGAGTAAGGGTGCTGCCCTGTGTCTTCTGTTCTCACAGAGATCTGCTCCACAAAGAGAGGGACTTACATCTAGGTTTGATCAGGGATTGCCGTAATTTTTCTGTAAAGGACCAGATAGTAAATATTTACAGCTTTATGGGCCTCATTTGATCTGCTTCTGTAGTGAAAAAGCAGCCACGGACAATATTCATAGCAATAGGGAGTAGGCTGGATTTGGCCCCTGAGCCAAACTACAGGGGTAGTTTGTTGACCCCTGGTCTATATGCAGAGTGAGGGAGAGAGATGGATTTAAACCCATCTTCCTTAGGCCACTTCATGTGCCCTTTCATACACATTAGCTCTTGGATTAGCAGTACCTGAGATAAGGGTGGTATGGAAAATAGAGTCTAAACCAGAGAGCTGAGGGCAAACTTGGCATTCCTTCCCTTAAAATTTTATGTTAGTAATACTGTGTTGGTTGATCATGAAGGAAATAGGCATGCTTTCCCCTTCCACTGTGGTATGCATTTATTTATTCACTTTATACTGTTGATTGTTCTAGTCTATAATGGCCTCTGCCTCTACATGCCTGTGACTTTTATCAATAATTGCAGATGTATAAGCATTCCAATAATAAGGCCATGACTACGGGGGCAATTGCTGCAATGCTGTCTACAATCCTGTATTCAAGGCGCTTCTTTCCATACTATGTTTACAACATCATCGGTGGACTTGATGAAGAAGGTAGAATTCCTTCTTTCTGGAAAATGGTGGGGGGGAGGAGTTATTATTCCCTAGATGTGTGTATCCATCTAGAGTTGAAAAGAACCATAAATACCATCTGACACAATTCTCATTTCATTTCTGATAATGAAAGTGATGAAGAAACTGAAGCTAATGTATGACCTCCAAAGGCACATTGAAGCTCTAATAGTGAATGTTGAGCAGCCAGTTATTTTGCTATTTTCTCAGGAACTTGCATGAGTTAGTAGTAAATAATTAGGCATTTTTATCTTATAGAAAGAAATCGGACCTAGAAAGCTTGACCTAAATGTGATTCTGAGTATTGAAAATTTTTTTATTAACAAATACACTTCAAAAAAGTTCTTTAACGGTTCTAGAAGTCATTTGGGGTAATTAATAATAAGCATCTACTCCAGTGTTTTCAGAACTTTTTGAAACACCTCTCTGATTTTGTCAGAGTCAGACCAGGATTCCCTGAGAATATTAAGTCTTGTTACTTAATATTCCATCCCATTTTTGTTCCAGAGCTGCATTACGCCACATGGGCACCAATGTTTTCCATCCAAATGTTCCAATCCATTTGTTCTCATTTGCAATCCAAATGTTCTCATTTGGATTGGCTTTTGGTTGCATCTAAAAATCAAATACAAGTACAGTGTCCCAGGACAGATCTTTGTCACTTAGAGTAGTCCATTGACACAGATGGATAAGTAGTCCATCTGTGTCATTTAGAGTAGTCCATTGAGATAAGAAGTTACAGAAGTGTCTAGATGAGGATATCATTGGAGTAAGCCCATCTTCTGTGTTCCTTCTGGCTGAACCTGTGGCTGAAGTTGCCCTAAAAGTAGGGGCAGAGGAATTCCTGTAAGGGACTGCCCCGAACCTAGTTGGGGTTCCAGAACACTAAATCTCAGGGTAATCAGTCAAAAGCATTTAGTGCTGCAGCAGTCCTCTCAGCAGACAGCAGGAAAAGATGTGTCCAAGGTGAGGGAGTTGATTTGAGTGTTGAAGGAATTTGGTTCAGGGCCAGGGATAGTTTCTGTGTGTTTAGCAACAGGGGTAATTTCTCAGTGTTTCAAGCAATAGCCTAAACAACATTGTCAGCGCCTGGGAATGTTCAAGGCAGGCCTTGGCTTGGGTCAGAGCCTCCAGGGGAATACATGCGGCTGGCCACATCACAGAACATCTCAGTTGGACACAGAAAGAAAGCAAGGGGACTGGGGACCCTAAATCCTGTGAGGGAAAATTCTAAGAGGAAAGGGTCAAGCTTCATTTCAGCGCCCTGCCTCTCGGTTGTTGACTCCTATCGCTTTCTGTTCCATGAGCGTTTTCTTTGCGTGCGCTATCTCTGACTCTTAACATCCGCCCCCATACACAGCCTTGGGGAACATTCTGATCATTTTACCTGCCATGGTTTAGGCGTAGACAAATTAGGTTGACACAATTTCTTTTTAAGGCTTTCAACCTTACTTGAAAACCAAGAGAAAAAGTAAAGTGTAGAAATAGTAAAAATAGAAATGAATTACCTTTAACATGGGTAATTAGAGTCTAGCTACAAATTAATTTGCCTAACTTAGCAAGCTGGATGCTTCTGGTGTCTTTTTTGACTTACATTATGCCTGGCTTTAATGTCAGATTAATAGATTCAGATTTTAGCAACATTAAAAATAGCTGAGCTGCCATTGAATTTCAGCAGGCCAGACAGCATCCTTTGAGTTTTTCCGAGAGTTAGAGAGTCTAATCTGGGAAAGCTGATACCTACTAAGCAGCAGACCTAAGATTCAGGTTTGGCTTTTGTTTCACTTCAGAGCCCTGTTCTTTGATTTCCATGTAACAGTGTTGCTAGTTTTGGTGACAACCTCAGGTGTCTCTAGAACTGTCTTTCTAAGCTTGTCTGTCTGGTTGGCTTTTAAGTGTTCTTTAAACTAATTTTTATTTTATAGAGGAATTTGTGTGAATAATAAAGCAGTCCTCTATCTTTTTTTTCCATTGCCCTAAGACAGTTTTCAGCTCTTTTACCTGTATTTCCTGGTACTTACCTCCATTTTCCAAAACTCTGTATTTGTACTGCACTCTTTTGAGATATCTTTTGGTGTTTTGTTCTGGTAGATGATGGTTCTTAGCTCTTTTGTGTCCTCTTCCTCATTAGCATCCTCCTTTAACACATTACACTTTTGGTAACATAGACCTTTAATGTTTTTATTATGACCAGATAGATATTGATCTTTGTTGCGCCAAGTAGCATGCATTAATATTTTCTTTCTTGTGTAACTCGTTTTTATTTTTTTCTTAAGTTAACTATCTCTAATTGGCTCAGATTTCTTTAAACTTTTTGTCAGTTCCTTGTACATTCTCTGAGTACAATTCATCTGGTTGTCAGACCTCACATACTAGGTGGATCCCTTTTCCCCTTGCTCCAGGATGGACCACTGCCATCCTGAGATTCCCCCACATCCTGTGTTCTCCTCTTTCTTGATTTATTTCCTTATTTTAGAGGCTTACCTCCTAAAAGATTTCTGAAAAAAACAAAACGGGACCTTTTTGAGACTTTGCTTTTAGGATCTTTTCTTTACCCTGGTGTTCTGAAATTGTATAGTGATGTTCCTTGCCTAGAGTTTCTTATTTGTTTTATCCTCTTTCTCCACCTTCTTTCCTCTCCTCCTCCCCTACCCCTCTGCACCTTCTCCACAACCACCTGGATTATGACCCGGTACTTTATTTTTGACTCCCCATGTTATCCATGTCTGTCTTTTTTGTTCTACTTTATGAAGATTTCCTTAATTTTAGCTTTTCATCCTTTACTGATTGCTTTTATTTCTGGTGTCATTAATTTCCAAGAGCTTGTACTTATTTTTTGTCTTTTTAAAAAAAATCCTGTTTACTTTCTTTGCAGTTTTCTGTATTTCATCAGAATGTTTTTTTTTTCATGTTATGTGTTCATTTTTGGCCTCTGTCTTCTATGTTAGAGGCTTCCTTCAAATCTCTGATTTTTTTTTTTTTTTTTTTTTTTTTGCTGTCCATTCACATTGAAGAGTCTTGTACCAAAATTTGATTATGAAAGTCCTTGTTGACATGGCTTGTCAACTGACAGCCGTTAACTGGGTGCTTAAGTAAGCAGCATTTTCTTCAGATGAAGAATTTCTTTAATCTTTTTTCCTGAGGTGAGGTGGGACTACAGGAAGAGAAGCCCGGTTGGCAGCTTTTTAGGCCTCAGAGGAGGAAGGGGGCTGAAGGTCTGTGTTTTGTTTACATCAACTTTCCATTTCATGTGTTTTGCTCCTACCCTTTGCCACTCTAGAGCCTGGTCCCCTAAGTCCAGAGCCTCTGCTAATGTCTCAGGAGACTTCCTTTACTGTCTTCTGTGTTGGTGGATGCAGGGACCTGGAGAGCAGTGCTCCATATTGAAACCTTCAGGACAGCAAGGTCCACAGCTCTTTCCCTTGGTGTCAACCGCTGTCTGCACTAACCTCTCTGTCTTTAATCTCTTAGCTGCTCTCATGCCTTTTAAAAATTTTTCTCCCAAATTAAAAGTGGCTTTAGTTTTTCTGTAGTGAAAACAATCAGTACATGTTTATACATACACTCATGCAGTTTTATGTAAGTAGGACTTTGGTATCTGTTTTTCTGTAACTATACATTATGTATTATCAAGGAGATCTAAGCTATATGCATAATGATTTTTGTATTTAATTAACAAAAAATTTTTTTGTCTTCTGTTTTTGCTGCTGTAATACATAGCATCATTTACCTAACCAGTCCTCTAAAGGGCATTTTGGCTTCCTGTTTTCTTAATATAAACACTATGATGAACATCCTTGTACATACATTTTTGTGTACTTCCCCAATTATGCTTGTCTTGCTAGAATAAACTTCGAGTAGTTGAAGTATTGGGTCAGATAAATTTTTTTTTGTATTTTGTTGAGTATACTCTTTCTGAAGGATACGCCAGTACCCTGAGTACCCGATTTTATATAACCTTCCCAGTATTAGAATTAACACATTTTGAAACATCTTTTTGCCTATTGAACAGTTTATTATTTTCATTTATATATATTCTTGGGCATGTTTTCATATGTTTATTGACTTTATAAATTTCCTCTTTGGAGACTGATTCATATATTAACTGTTGCCCATTTCCTTATTTGCAGGTTAGTTTTCTTCTTACTGATTTTCAAGAACTACATTCGACTGTGTCAAATGTCTGTGATATTATAGATACTCCCAAGAGTGTTATTTGTCTCTTTTGGGTGGTGCCTTTTGCTACACAGAAATTGCTGTGTTTCATACAGTCTAATCTGTCAATCATTTCTTTATGACATTCAGTTTCTTGCCTTGTTAGAAAAACTTCTCCCATCCAAAGCTTAGCTGTATTTCTTTTAAGACTTGTCTGATTTTATTTTTTACATTGAAATGATTGTGCTTTTTGGATTTTACTTTGATGAGGAAAAGCACTTTGTAATCAAGATTCATGCCATTCTACATTTATTTTTGTTTTTATTTATTGATTTTTGCTGTTTTATACTGATTTTACTAGTGTCTCTCTTGCTTCTTCTAGGGGGTCTTTAAAGCTGTGTTCTTGGACATAGCCCACCCTTTCTTTGGTTTATTTTTTTAAATTTGTTGTGTGTGGTTTTCTGAGATTGGTTCCATCCTTGGGTAAAGCTTTTGGGCCTCAGTTTACTTGTGGCCTGTCATCCTCATGAGAGATACAATCATTTTTCTGCCTTTACACCTTACATCTCTTTCTTTTTTTGTATATTGAGGTTAGTGGATTGCCTGCTGTGATCTCATGTCTTGTCCCAAGCTTGCTTCCAGCAAAAATACTTCCCAGTTTCTTAGGTGACCTCAGATGGTGCCTTCTCCACCAGAGAATTCAGTTTACACAATCCTTTTTCTTTTTTTGAGACCAAGTCTCGCTCTGTTGCCCAGGCTGGAGTGCAGTGGCATGATCTCGGCTCACCACAACCTCCGCCTCCTGGGTTCAAGCGATTCTCCTGCCTCAGCCTCCCAAGTAGTTGGGAATAGAGGCACGTGCCACCATGCTCAGCTAATTTTTGTATTTTTAGTAGAGATGGGGTTTCACTGTGTTGGCCAGGCTGATCTCGAACTCCTGACCTCGTGATCGGCCCACCTCAGCCTCCCAGAGTGCTGGGATTACAGGCGTGAGCCACCGCGCCTGGCCAAGTTTACGCAGTTCTATAGTAGAAAACATACAAAGCTAACAGTGGCAGTTGTACATGGTTAGTAAGGAGATTGTCCCTATATCACATCTCCCAGGGTACTGAGTTCTGGTATATAATGTGTTTTCTAAATCAGTTATGTTTTTAAAAAATCATACCTTGTAAATGACTCGTGATTTCTCATACCCAGAACACGGTTGTTTTTAACAGGCCTTTTTAACGATTGTAGAATCACCTGTGTTCTTTGTAACAAACTCAAATAAGATAGAAGCACATGAATTAATTCCCTTCTTTTCTTGCCTCTAATTCAGAGCTCAAAGATGACCAGCCACAGTTACTTATCTTTCCAGACTTTTTTGTGCTTGTACAAATAGTTTTCTTATTCTTTTAAACAAAAGCAGTATCGTATTTTACAGGTTACAGAATTCTCTTCGTTTTACTGTGTCTTGCGGATGTGTCCCTTGGACCTGTCTATATACATAAGTCGTGCTTTCCTTCAAGTTCTCCTCTTCGTTAGCTTAGGAGAGCCAAGAAATAAAGACTTTCTTACAAATGACTGTTTGAGTTTGGCTGATGTGTCCTACAGAAACCTCACCATCTCTCTCTGTGTTCTCCCTACTCTCTTACGGGTCCTTACCTACTACCATGGCTTGGATTATTTTTGTGTATTCTCATGGCTTCCAACTGTTTTACATCTGCAGTGGTTAATTCTCTTGTCATCTTTACCTGAAGATCATAAAAATGCCTTTCTCCCTCTTACCCACCCTTTCTGTGTTACTCAATATTGTATTTTAACTCCCAAGCCTACAGTTTACCCTTGAACAACACACCAACACGGGGATTGGGGCTGTCTGCTGGGTGGCACCTGTGCAATGGTGACTGGGTTCTGGCTGTCACATGTGCAACAGTGTGTGTGCTGCAGCTGTCACCAGTGCAACAGTGGCTGTGTTCCAACTGTTCCCTGAAGTTTTAGCCAAGGTGATAGTCCGTTTTGTGTCACGTTTTGACCTGATTTATTTTTGCGATGATTTGGGATTGTGATTGGATACCATCCTTATGAATACTGTTTTCTTCTTTAAGGAAAGGGGGCTGTATACAGCTTTGATCCAGTAGGGTCTTACCAGAGAGACTCCTTCAAGGCTGGAGGCTCAGCAAGTGCCATGCTACAGCCCCTGCTTGACAACCAGGTAATGATACTGTGTCCAGGTAATGATACTATGTCCAACTTGTCATGGTGTTCAGTTGAAGTGCCTTCCTCCAAGTTCTCCTCTTCATTAGCTTAGGAGAGCCAAGATATAAAGACTTTCTTATAAATTACTGTTTGAGTTTGGCAGACGTGTCCTACAGAAACCTCATGGTCTCTCTCTGTGTTCTGCCTACTCTCTTGTGGGTCCTTACCTACTCCCATGGTTTTGATTGTTTTCCTGTATTCTCATGGCTTCCAACTCTTTTATGTCTGTAGTGGCTAATTCTCTTGCTGTCTTTACCTGAAGATCATAAAAATGCCTTTTTCCCTCTTACCCCCCCTTTCTGTGTTACCCAATACTGTACTTGAACTCCCAAGCATACAGTTGAGCCTTGAACAACACGGGGATTGGGGCGCCAGTTCCCCGAGCACTGGAAAATCCACATATAACTTTCGACTCCAAGAAAACTTACAAATAAGCCTACTGTTGACTGGAAGCCTTGCCAATAATGTAAACTGTGGATTATCACGTATTTTACATATGTATTATGTGCTGTATTCTTATGATAAATAAACTACAGGAAAGAGAATGTTATTAAGAAAATTATAGGAAGAGAAAATACATTTACAATACTGTATTTGTTGATACTGTAAGTTTACATCATCTGTTTACAAGGAGAATCATCTGTCTGGAGTGGTGGACAACCACAGCTGCAGACCTCAATCTACAGTACATATCAAGCAATTCAGCTTTTTCTTGTGATGTCATAACTTTCCCTGCTTCTTGGGGAGCAGTTCCAGCATCACTAATAGTGCTTTGTTTGGGCCACTTGTTATTTAAGGTTTATAATAATCGCACTAAACACAATGAAAAACAAAGGAGAACATTGAGAGATCACTTTAACTTTTTATAATCAGTTTATGTGTATTTTATGGTAGTAAATGATAAAATAGCTAGTATCTACATATAGTTTATACATTTGTGGCATACCTTTCTCTTAATTTTTAAGGTATTTTTAGGCTACTTGGCTCATCTGAGTTTTTCAAAGTGTTGCGAGTCTCCAAAAACTTCTCAGTGTGTTTACTGAAAATTTATGTGTCAGTGGGCCTGAGTGGTTGAAAACGGTGTTATTCAAAGGCCGCCTGTATTTCTAATTCGTCCCTCTTTGTGATTACTGCTGGCTAAATTCAGACCTACATTATTAGATTATTGGATTTATTTCCTAACATCCTTTCTGCCTACAAGTTTACTTCCCTAATTCCTCCTGCTCAGTTTTCTGAAGGATGTCATATATAGCTACTCCTCTGCTTATTGCTTATTGACCTCATCTCCTGTCACCCCACTACACCCAGACCCTAACTCTGCTTTTCTCAGAAAAGATGTGCTTTTCCTAACTCCGTCCCACATCTTCAGTCTGGAATGTTCTGTGCTCTTCAGTGTAGCCTTCAGCGCTCACCTACTTAAAAGTCCTTTCTGCTGAAGCCTGTCTTCTTCTAGGAGACTTAGTGGACATCTGTTGGGGCTCTCCTGGCTCTTATTTTCTTCTTAGTTATAGCAATTCTCTGATCACTTTGCTTGCATACGTCCACCTCTCCGGGTCATGTGCTTCTCAAGAGTGGGAGCTTTGCCAGGGAATCGTTGTCAGATTTCTGATGTGTGTAATTCATCCAGGTCTGGAAGGGTCTTTATTCAGTCTGAAGGACATTTTAATTTTGTGTAGTATTTTCATCACAAATCCTCGTACACATGAGGGTATTGGAAGAAACTTGAACCTTTCCTTTGTGCTCACTGTCACATGACATCTCACCCAAGTTTCATGTCCCACCAGGTTGGTTTTAAGAACATGCAGAATGTGGAGCATGTTCCGCTGTCCTTGGACAGAGCCATGCGGCTGGTGAAAGATGTCTTCATTTCTGCGGCTGAGAGAGATGTGTACACTGGGGACGCACTCCGGATCTGCATAGTGACCAAAGAGGGCATCAGGGAGGAAACTGTTTCCTTAAGGAAGGACTGATCTGTGTGCTCTTATCACCAATCAGTTCAGACCTGGTTGATTTTGTACTTTGGAACTGTACCTTGGATGGTTTTGTTTATTAAAAGAGAAACCTGAAGTACTCATTTTGCTATAACTTGTCTTCTCTAAGCAGGACAGATATAGGAAGTAGAATTTCTTTTAATTTTCTTCATTTTTCCCACCCTTTTCTATTTTTCTGAGATTTTTTTTTTTTTTTTTTTTTTTTTTTTGCATTTTAAGTAATGAAAACAGGTCATGTTAATTTTCCCTTACACTAATGAGGTAGGAATTTCTCTGTAAAAGTTGACCTTTTGAGCAAACTTATCTTATGAAGAGGGCTCTGGTGTTTACGCAGCCAGCTTGCCTGAAGGGACCTTTAAACCATCCAGAAGGGAGAGTATTTACTAGGGTTTTATTAAGACTCTAATGGTTATAAATGAAATATCTTAAGATTTTTCACTTCTGGGACTGTTAAGCCATCTGGAATAGCTATTTTGGAGAAAAATCTTCAACCAAAATAAAACTGTAAAAAAAAAAAAATAGGCCTTTATACAAGCTGTAGCCAGAAATCTGGGATAATTTTTACAAGCACTTTAGTAATGTTATAATTGAGACCTAAGTTTTGATAGAGCCAAAATTTTTTAGATCTATTAAATACATTTTAACTCCATTATAATATTTGAGTAATTTTCTTGTTATTGAACAAGTCAAATTATATGTAACATGGGAGTTATTGTATGCTTTGTACCAGAACAACCTGTGGTATAAATGGAATTTTACTAAGTTAGTGGTTAATCTTAGATACCACTTTTGTTTATTTTGCCTTTTATAAATAATTCAAATTATCGAAAGCTGCTAGTAGATACACATTGTAAACATTTATTGCACAAACATCAATACTGTCACTCACTATCCCAGGCATTGGGGACACAGTGGTAACACCTGGTTCATCTCTTAACAGTGTCTGTATGAGGATTCTCCAAAGACTCAGAACCAATAGGATATGTTTGTATATAGAGAGAGATGAGAAAGGGTTTATTAAAGAAATTGGCTCACTCAGTTATTGAGACTGAGAATTCCCATGCCTGGCTGTCTGCAAGCTGGGGAGCCAGAGAAACTGGCAGCATGGCTCAGTCCAAGTCTGAAGGCCTCACAACCAGGGAAGCTGATGGTATAACCCTTGAAGTCCTGAAAATAAGGAGTTGGGTGTGAGGGGTTGCTAATCAAGTCCCTGGCTCGAGGAGAAAGACAGTGAATTATTTGCCTTTGCCTTTTGGTTCTATCTGGGCTCCATTCAGTTGGATGGTGCCTGCTCACACAGGCTGATCTGCACTCAGTCCACAAACTCCTAGGCCAGTCTCCGGAAACATCCTCACAGACAAACCCAGAAGTAATGCTTTACCTGCTGTCTTGATATCCTTTAATCCAGTCAAGTTGACACCTAAAATTAACTATCCCAATGTCCCAACTAAAAACTGTAGAGTATCCCAATTTCAAATCTACATTTTTTCTTCTTTATATACACTAGGTATATTCTTATTCTAAAGGATTTCCCATTTTGGAATTTTCTGTTTATATAAAGTTGTGTATCTAGGATTTTCTATAAGGTTCTCACCTCCCAAGGTGTATAGGGAAGTTCTACAAATTGAGTAATGATTGATGGCACATAATTAGTGTTCCATGATGTTTTTTTACAACCTTCAGCTAACATTGTTTTAATCCAGTATTGCTGTAGACTTTGAACATGGTCTTAGTTTTGGAGTGAACACGACTTAGTCCAGAATGTGTTTGGCATATGGCTCCTAGAGCTAACCTGGCTACTAGTTATTTGGGTAGTTTTATAGATCATTCAGGCACATTCCTTGTGTGAAAAGAAAACCTTTGATAAACATTAGAAGTATGATTCATTCTTAAGAGTTAGGCTTGAAGATTCCAGTGAGAAGCTGCTGATGTAGAGACTTTCTCTTCATTACTGCCTGCAAGGGGATTGGAAGTATCTGGTAATATTACAAGTGATTGATGGAAAACTGCTTGAGAGGTTGGCCATGACTCCATTTATACACACAGAATGCACGTAGATGTTTGGATTTGTCTTAATTATCCGACAGATGGCATAAATACTTTCCGGCAGTCTGCTCAGTGGGGCTGTGCTGACTTGGGAGGTTAGAAACAAACTGAGCCCGTGACTGCCAGGTACCACTCGTGTCTCCATATTTCCCATGCAGCAATAGCTCCTGCTGTAGTCACAGTGACTTTGCAAGCCTACCCAAGGGGAATGTAGACAATTTAGTAGGAAAATAATATTTCTTACCAAAATGTCTTGGCCAAGCACAGTGGCTTACGCCTGTAATCCTAATACTTTAGGAGGCTGAGGTGGGGAAATCACATGAGCCCAGGAATTTGAGACCAGCCTGTGCAGCATGGCCAAACCCCCTCTCTACAAAAAATGAGCCAGGGATGGTGGCACATGCCTGTAGTCGTAGTTACTCAAGAGGCTGAACTGGAAGAATCACTTGAGCCCAGGAGGTCAAGGCTGCAGTGAGCTGTGGTTGTGCCACTGCACTCCAGCCTGGGTGATAGAGCAAGACCCTGTCTCAAAAAAAAAAAAAAAAAAAGGCATAATTATTACCCTGATAGGTTTCCTTTTTCTGCCTTTCTGTACCTGTTACCTGGGTGAGCACTTAATGGCCCAAAAGTGTATTAACATGCTTTCTGATTCTAGGTCTCTCATTCCTTGTATTTGTGAATTTCAAACTGTAACTGGAAGATTCCCTGTATCAGAATTACGTAGAGCACTTGTTCAAAATGAACTCCTAGGTTCAATAGACCTATTGTCCCAGTCTCTGAGCTAGAAATCCCAGGTGATTCTTATGCATACACAATTTGAGAACTTCTTTAACTCCTCATCAGACAGGTTCAATCAGAGAAGCCCTAGGAGACATAAAAAGATTTATTACAGAGTTCGGCCTCACATAAGAAGAGCTGATTAGATGATCTATATAAGCCTGTTTCTGTTTGGTGCTAGGAGCCTAAAACCCATAGCACAGGCTGTCAAAGGGGCGATGGTGCAAAAGGAGGAGGGTCAACAGACTGGATTGTGACCTGGGACCATGGGGGACACCTGTGGCAGTCCCACTACCTTAGAACTTTCACTTAGTGATCAGGTACTGGCCTCCTTTTTCATGGCTAGACATGCACCTGGCCCAAGAGCTTGGGAGAAGTTGCAGAAGGGCCTGACAGGAGCTTAAGGAGCTGGGACCCCATATGCAGCCCATGCCGCCAGGTGAGTCAGCAGGTAAAGAACACGCGTGAGCGGTGACAGCCCATCATGCTCTGCTCAGCAGCACAAGAGCAGATGGCTGCTGCCTCACTGCACCTTCTGCATCTTAGGCTCCTTTCTCTGAGTGCAAACCCACCAGAGCTGTTCAGTACCCATCGGTGGTCTTCATTACTGCACGAAGTCCAAGTCTTTCTCCGCTTTGTGAAATTAATTCAAACTTAAAGCTGTTGGAACTTCAAATTATTCTGAGCCTTGAAAGACATGTGGCTATGCAGAGCCTGAGTTATGCGGCATGCAGGCGCAACTTCTGCCTTTTCCCCTGTAAACAAGACAAAAAGGCACCAGACATAAGACCCCTCAAATCACTACTCCTCCGCACAGAGTAATAAAGTAATCTTGGAATGAGCAGCAATCTATAACCAATCAAATTGCTGTGGCGAATGCACTGGTCTTGTATGGAAAATGTGATCCTGCTAAAATTTCTAAGTGAAACCTTAACTTCTCCACTTTGAAACATTAACCTTACTGGTTTAGAGTCAGTGTTTCCAGGTGGCCATTCTCAAGCTCTGCACTCGAATTAACCCTCTACTTAATCATATTTTCTAAATCTCATTATTTAAGGTTGATAGTTTTCAGATCCCTCCACGCCATCCTCGCCTCCCCCACCCAACTCCCTACCTCTTCAACATACTTCTTTAACTAGCTGGGCTGCTTTGTTAAGTGGGTGTGATATTCTCATTCTTCAGTGATTCAGCTAACATTGTCTGACTTTGTGTACTGTCCCCTTGAACTTTATAAATCATACTCTTAAAGTCCAGATCAAGTTTTATTTTCTCTATTGAGATTTTCCCAACTTTTCTAGATTTTATGAATTTCTTCTGAGCGTCTATTAACTTGATACTTGTAGTTTATATTAAATATGAATGCAATTGTTTGCTGTTATTTCTTAAATATTGCCCCTCCCATTTACTTTTCTTATATATCCATTATACGAAGTCTGAACACATAGGAGGCACCTAAAACCTATAAAGAGACATGGAACTTGTTTAAAGGACCCAGGAGTGATCCGTTTGTTAGTGTTGATTGAAAATCCATCCTGCTGCCTACTTCTGGTTGTGAGAGAAACATTAAATCTGTGAGCAGTGCAAACTTCTTTCCATCCCTCCTCTGGAGTTCCTAGCAGCAGGCCTGGGTCTAAACGTGGGAAGGAGCTTCAAATCTTTTATTTCAAGTTGTCACTTCTATGGAGGGGTAGTAGCTCTGTCCATGGGCAATTTGGAATGTTGGAGGAGCCTGAAGGCAAGTGGAGTTAGGAATACAAGTGTCTCACCCTTGAGTTCCGCTCAGCAGAATGAAGAGTATGGGTGCACTGCTTCACCCACAGGATTGCGCTGATTTATCTGTTGACATACTGTGCTAGTTTTCTCCCTAGACCGGGAGGACCGATAGTGTATGTGGGTGCATTTCAAGGCAGCCACTTTGTATGGCCACTATGTCCAATGAAAGGAGAGGCCTGTGGCCCCACTCTTGTCATGAGCACCCTCCCAGCCAGGCTCGGTGTCTTGTGCCTCCTCCGCCAGACAGAGCTTCATGTGCATCTGCTCCACTCTTGAATGAGTTTAGCTGCCAATTTGCTCTCCCTTGTCTGAATGGCTCCTGGAGCTTGTGAATCATCTTTGAAAAATATTTCTATAATGGGAAAATATTTTAAAAACAGCATGGGGCGTGAGCAGATGTCCACAGGGCTGATTGTTAGAAAGTATAGGTGATCGAAAGTGTGATCCTCCCACTTTGTCCTCAAGCTGACCAATGGCCTGACCTCTTCTGCAGTGAGAAGCTGCTGGAGAGTTGGCTGAGGGTCAGGAAATCAAGGGACCTTCATTCTTCAATGAAAGCCAGGCTCCACATCACCCTCCAAGAGGCCGCCAGATGGCAGTGTTGACTCATCCAGCCTCTGTGAGAACCACAGTTTTCTAATGCTCAGAAAACTGCTACCACAGTTTTCCAGTGCACAGACTTTACTGAGTGACTAGGAAGGGGCCTTGAGCCTAATCATTAATCCTGTTTTATAACCTGGAAGGAGGTACACCTTGTTGCTGTCCTAAATCTCAGCTATTCCTCAGATCAAAGCGGAAAGGACAGAAGGAGATAAACCCAGCAAAATTGGTAGTAACCTATGCTGGAGGTGTGCAAAATTGGTAGTAACCTATGCTGGAGGTGTCCTAGGTGTATGCAGGGGTTGGGAGGTGGGTGGGTGGGGGAGAGGGAAAGGGGGAGAGAGAGAGAGAGAGAGAGAGACAGGGAGAGAGAGAGAAAGAAGAAGAAGGAGGAGGAGGAGGAGAGAAGGGAGCAGGGGACTGGTTGTGGTTTGGAGAGACAAAAATCAGAACACAGAATTTTTTTGGAGCTATATACTTTCATAAACAAGGAAACTAATGGACAGAGAATACATTAAAGTGCTCTGTGCAGGCTGCTGACTAGTGGCAGAACAGATTAAGACTCAGTGTTTAGTTTTTCTACTTCTCTCTCTCTCTCTGGGTTTCAGTGTTTAGTTTTTCTGCTTCTCTCTCTCTCTCTCTTTCTGGGTTTTCTTTGTTTTGTGCTATCAAGTTCTTCTTATTTCTTTTACTTCAATAAATTTCTTTCAAATGAATCTAAATGTTATGATCTAAGGACACAAGTTGATAAATGCAATTAAGATTCTTGGTTGAAGATTTTGTGTAGGTGGTATTAGTAGAAAGTATCCACAAAGTCATGGAGCAAAATCTCAGATTTACAAAGTTCTAGGTCTGCCTTGGCCTTCCAAAGTGTTGGAATTACAGGCATGAGCCCCTGTGTCTAGCCTTATATTGACATTTTTCACTTGCATTTTAGAATTGATTGTTGAGAACCCCTTGAGTGACCTAGGTCAAGAGACTGCTGATCTGTCTGTGATGGGTTTGATATTTTTTTCTCCTCACCAAAAATGCTAAGAACATTCATTTACAAAACTGGAGACATTGGTAAGCTCTTACCTTTCTCATCCTGTGGGACTGCACCAGCCTGTCTTACTGCTTCCTGGGAGGTTCTATGCACAAATTCTCTGGGACCTTCTCAGGTTAGGCAAGACCTCCAGAAGACCTACCAGCTATCTTGCTCCTGAAGTTCAAGGCTCTGAAAGCCTTAAATGTCATGAAGCATGAAGCATTTCCAGGAAATTTGTGGTTTTCTCTTGAAACTTCCCAAAGAGAACTTTTTCTGAAAACTGTTTACAGCAATTTGATGGAGACCAGCATTTCCGAGGGCCCAGAGGAAGGATCAGAGAACAAGGACAGTGACAGGGGGATTTGGTCATGAGAGTCAGAGGCCCGTGTGATTTGCAATACTCCTTTCTGGAAGCTCTAACGAATATGAATAATCAAAGATGCCATTACTGCATAACAAGAGCATTGGACACTAAAATATAACTTTTCCGAGAAATTGAAATTTGCTTATTTATGTTGTTTATTTAGGGGTATGGTCAGGGTATTTTATTCAGACACTTAGTGTGCTCAATTTATTCATTTTTTCAACAGTATTTCTGGAGCTCCTATTATGTTCTAGGCACTATAAAGACACATGCACACGTATGTTTATTGCGGTACTATTCACAATAGCAAAGACTTGGAACCAACCCAAATGTCCATCAGTGATAGACTGGATTAAGAAAATGTGGCACATATACACCATGGAATACTATGCAGCCATAAAAAATGATGAGTTCATGTCCTTCGTAGGGACATGGATGAAGCTGGAAACCATCATTCTCAGTAAACTATCGCAAGGACAGGAAACCAAACAATGCATGTTCTCACTCATAGGTGGGAATTGAACAATGAGAATTGTTCAATTGTTCAATTGGCAATGCAGGGCCTGGGAAGGAGCTTCCTGCAGGCCGAACAGAAACAAAATGACACTTCCCTCCATTCTAAGCCAAATAACCTAGTGGTTCCTGTATGTGCCTCAGAGTGAAATTGAAATCCTAACCCTGAAGTCATTTTGTAGAGGCCTTAAGCTTCTTGTTGTGAGATGTTTCCTGGTTCCCTTCAGAAAAGGGCTCTGACAGGGTTTAGCAGAACTATTGATGGACGACTTGGCATGAGTACATCTGGATACATCAGAACTTTGTCACAAGAGTGGTGTTTTAGTTTTAAATTCCTTAAATAACCAATAATTGGGACATGGTTAAGTAATTTATGAAATGTTCACTACATGAAATATTTTCTGGCCATTAAAAGTGGTGGCCATGAAGACCTGGCAGCAACATGTCAGAATATTAACGCAGAATGCTAAATGAAAATCAAGAGTCCAGAATTGTACACAATGACTGCAGGTGTGTGAAAACATGAAAATGCAGACGAAGAACATCCAAATTAATGTAGTGGACTGGCCCCCTATAAATGAACCAGTGGACTGGTTCATTTTATTGACCATTTTAGGACAAGACTTTATACATTTGGAATTCTATATTTAATAGCACCCCTTGAATTTTTGCATGATTTTAAAAGACCAACCAAACTTCTTATAATACTTAAGTTTGATTGTGGCTGCAATCTAGCAATCAATTTAATGAAAAATATCTAACTGGAAACTTTGAGTTGATAAAAAATCTGTTTGATAGATTATTTCACTTTTAAATAGCCTGTTGCTATCAATAGATACATCTGATCATCTCCTAATTAGTAAATAATGAAGACTGTTGTTTTCATAAGTATTAATAAGCCACAGATATTCTGGGATGGGTTGCTGGCAGGAGGAAGATGTTGACTTGCTAACTGAGGAGTATGAACCCGGTCAGTGCTGCTTCTGTACATAAAGACTGTTAGTTTAGATGATGGCCTCACCAAAATAATATTCTGATTTGTCTGCTTGATTATGAAGGTGCACAATTAGCAAGAAAAATCTGAGACTTTTTAGACAGACGTATACAAAACCTCTGGGTTGTCTTGAGAAAACCCAGAAAACCGACTTCTCTCAGGCTTCATGAAGGGGAAAAGGTGTTTTAACCTTTAGCACATGTTACAAAAATCTAATACGGCAAAAGATATTGAGAAGTGGAGAGTTTCACTAAAAATTATTGGGCTAATAAATGCTTAGAGCCAATATGTACACACAACACACACACACACACACACACACACACACACACACAAAGGAAAAAGCTAATGGAAAACAACTAAGCCCTATTTTATTCCGTTGGAAGCCGTGAGCAATGCCAAGTGTCCACACTTAAAAATGAGATACAAACACGTTTTCTCTCATGTTTTTCACAAATTTGAAGGAAACAATTATCAGTCAAGACTTGTCAGAAGATTTGGTATAAATTTAAGGGCATATTTACTTTCTCTTGTCACTTTAACAAGTTTATGTTGTCCCGTGTCCCTTATAAATCTGCTAGAAAAATAAGTTTGGAATTTCAAAGTAGAAAAACCTTGGAAATAAGATCTTCAGTGGCTTGAAGTTTACACCCAGTCTGGAGCTAGGGCCTCCACATGCATCAGCACATCTCATTCTTGTGTGAAAATTTTTAAATTGATATGTAGTATTTGTACATATTTACAGGGTACATGTGATATTTTGTTATTGCATAATGATCAAGTCAGGGTATTTGGGGTGTTCAGCACCTTGAGTTCATCACCTTTCTATGTGTTGGGAACATTCCAAGTCCTGTCTTCTAGCTATTTTGAAATATGCAAATATTGTTGTTAACTGTAGTCACCCTACTCTACTGTCGAACAACAGATCTCACTCCTTCCATCTAACTGTCTGTTTGTACCCATTAATCAACCTCTCTTTCTCCTCTCCCCCACACATACCACCTTCCCACCCTCTGCTAGCGACCGTTCTACCTTCTACTCAGCACATCTCATTCTGACTCTTCCATCTGATGTGAGCAAGTCTGTCCTGAATTAGAGCTGTTTTCTAGAGGGCAAGATCTTATCTTTGTTTATTATTTAAAGTGTCCAGCACGCTTTGATTTATTACTAAGCACGAGCTATTTTTTACTTGAATTTCTATAATGCTTTGTTATTCATTCGTGTTTTTTATTATGGAAATGTCAAATAAGCCCCTTGTATATTTCACCCACCACTATTCATGGTAATCTTATTATCGTTGTTTATTTTGAAGTAAATCCTATAATTTTATTAGTAAATATTTTAGTGCTCCTAAAAGATAATGATCGCATTTAAAAATATAATCACAGTATCACAATTGTACCTTTAAAAATTAACTATAATCCCTCAACATTCAATATGCAGTCCATGTTCAAATTTCCTTGATTGTCTCATAAATGTCTATTAACATGTCATTCAAATCTGGAAACAAGCCTTTTTATCTCTCTCTCTCTCTCTTTCCTTGAAATTTACATGTTGAAGAATCCAAGTCGTTTGTCATGCAGAATCTTCCACATTCTAGATATAAATGATTGCATTCCTGTAGGTTCTGTCCTGTCTTTTCCTATAAATTGGCAGTTAAATTTAGAGGCTTGATTAGATTATGTTCAATTTTTCATCAATAAAGCAACTTATGTTCATATAAATCTTATCATTGCTTAGATGAACAAATTAGACCTGTTTCTTTTTCTTTTCTTTTCTTTTTGAGAGAAGGTCTCCCTCTGTTGCCCAGGCTGGAGTGCAGTGGTATAATCATGTCTCACCGTAGTCTCTACGTCCCTGGGCTCAGTGGTCCTCTCACCTTAGCCTCCTTAGTAGCTGGAACTACAGGTGTGTGCCACTATACCTGGCTAATTTTTGTACTTTTGGTAGAGACAGAGTTTCACCATGTTGCCCAGGCTGGCCTGAAACTCCTGGGCTCTAGGGATCCACCCCCCTCAGCCTCTCAAAGTGCTGGGTTTATAGGCATGAACCACAGCACCTGGCCCAGACCTGTTTGTATTGGTTAAATGATAATGTACTAGAGGAGAAATCTTTTTTGTGATATGACATATCTCAAAGTATCATTGATTTTTGAGTTTGTGTCAATATGAGATAAACTTTAGTTTCTAAAAATAGCCACAAACTTTCTTTAGATCACAGAATCACAGATTCCACTTGGGCAGGACTTGAGCCTCTCACTCATGTAGGGCCCCTTTCCACCTTCCTGGAGGTATGGTCACCTGTCCTTTGCGTGACCAAGTCGGGATGAGGAGTTAGTTACACGCAGACAGGCCACTGGTAAGTCTCTCACAGTATTCCAGCTTTTCCTTCAAGGCATTTTTCTTCTAGGGTTGTTGTCTATTTTGTTGTTGTTGTTGCCTGTTTGTAACAGGTTTCTATTCTATCGTGTTACCCTGCTCTGTGTTAATAATATAAATACCTAACAAATTTTCTAGACTATCTAGCCCTTTAACTGAGGGTTTTTTTTTCTTTTTCTTCTGATTCTTTTTACAGCTAAGCCCCTATACTTAACACTCTCTTTTCTCTGCTCCTGATGGTTAACACCTTGATTTACATACTTTATTCAAGGGATAATAGTAATACTGTATTGCTATTAGTCTCAGTCACCTCTGTGTCATCTTTCCTACTGCTGTGTTGAGACTATTTTGGGGAGTGTGCCTCAGCGACAGCTGTGAGCCACATTTAACCCACCAGCTGAAGTCTTGCAAAGTGCCCTTCATGTTCCCGCGTGTACAGATGGCTCTGCCTGATACTAATGGCAGCAGCAGGGTAAATGTGACTGAGGCGTCTTCTGGGGAGGCTCAGGTGGTCCAGGTTCCCTTTTAGAAACTTCAGAGTCAAGCTATTCGTAGTGGTGACTCTTGTACGCTCCAGCTGCCTGGCCTGTTCCCTACCCATGGGGGCTCAGATCCCTGATGGCCTTAAAAGGAGAGGGCTTGAGAAAAATGCCACCCTGAGTCAGGGTGTGGGCTGCACAGGCCAGCAGCTTGTCTCTGAGAGTGATGCCAAGGGAGTGGTTTGCAGGAGAGAGAGAGGGTTCTCCAAGATATCAGCCTCAAAATAGCCTGGCCATCCTGAACTTCCCTTAATAGCCTGCCACAGATCAATCACCCACAATCTAGGGAAAGCCTTTGTAAGCCTATTTGGACATTATGCTTGTGCTGCCTTGAAGAGCAATTGAATTCCACCTATTATTCTGAGGCATAAGATATTTTTCCGTCCTATTTTCCTAAAACTAAAGCTATCTCTAAGTTTTGAGAGTATCCTCTTGCCTCTGTGGCCTGGGAATGGTGGAATGTGATGAGAGTGACAGGGTGGCAGCTGCACCCAGGATGCTGACTCGGTGTCACTGTCGGCTTCAGTTGATGTGGCCACCACACGTTAACCACGTGACATCAGTTTCTGGGCAGAAGTTAAGTGTCTTGCCTTCTGCAGTAGATTTTATCTCTAAGAATTGTCCAGAAAAGGAAAAGCCTGTTTATCTCAATTTCCTCTGTGATTATATTCCAAAATAAGCTTCCATAGGAAAAACATTCTATGCAAGTGTGGCAGATGGCCTGGGCTAGGCCACAGCGATTCTCCCTTCCTTTAGAGAAGTACAGCCGTGTCAAGTGTGTGTCCCCGAGGATTGCATTAAGGAAGACTTTAAGAAGAGTTATAGATTGGAAGGGAATTTATGTGATTTTTCCCTCCAGAATGCATCTGAGCAGGGCTCACTCAGCAGGTGGATGACTTGGGGCCTCAGAGAAACCCTGGGTTTTCCAAGGAGCCCTGAATGTTTATAAGACATCAGGTTAGAACAGGAGTCCAGGGGCGATATGTTAGAAAACCTAACAAGAACTGGACATTTACAAGAAGTCAGGTGTAAGGACTGAGGAGACGTGGTTTCTTTACTTTTGCAGAACAGCTGTGCAGCCAGTCCCTGGGATGGGCTCCTGTCCGGGGCTGCGCACTCACAGGCTGCCAGAGTGAGCAATGGAAAGGCAGGTTAGGCTTCTCCCCATGCTACTCAGGCCGCTGTGCTCCACCACAGCCTACGGGAGGCAGCCAAGCTCCTCTGCTACGTGTACTGTCAGAGGCTGGTCACCTCCCCTCACTTTTAAGGGTCTCTGACCCTCACTTTTCTGGCAACAGCAAGTTGCTTATCGTTGCCCAAAGATACTGAAGTGGTTGTAGGCTCTGGAATCCAAAAGACAGAGAATCAGGCCTACCCCATCTCTTCCTGTCTGTGTGGCCTCAGGCAGTTAGTGGAAGTCCGTAGGCCTTGCTCCCTCACTTATGAAATGTGGATGATAGTACCTTCCTCATAGGCACCCAGTGAAGAGTACATGAGATAATGTTTGTAAAGCTCTTGTTCCAGTGCCTAACACAGTACGTCCTCAGTGAATCACAGTTATTCCTGTTATGCCTTACAGGCTATTTTCCCAGCGGGGACCCACAACCCCTCCATGCACCCCTAGCTCCCATATGCCTGGAAACTCACATTCATCTTTCAAACGTGAGTCAAGTTTTGACTCAAGTGTGCCTCTCTGTGAAGCTGCCTCTGATCCCGTCCCCCGCCTTCTTTTTCTCTGTCCATTTCCATTTCTTATGACTGCATAGTATTCCATAGTGTATATGTACCACATTTTCTTTATCTAATCCACTGTTGATAGGCACCTAGGTTGATTCCATGTCTTTGCTATTGTCAGTAGTGCTGTGATGAATGTGTGTGTGCATGTCTTTTTTTCTTTTTGAGACAGAGTTTCGCTCTTGTTGCCCAGGCTGGAGTGCAATGATGTGCAAACTCTGCCTCCTGGGTTCAAGCAATTCTTCTGCCTCAGCCTCCTGAGTAGCTGGGATTACAAGCATGCGCTACCACACCTGGCTAATTTTGTATTTTTAGTAGAGACAAGGTTTCTCCATGTTGGTCAGGCTGGTCTCAAACTCCCAACCTCAGGTCATCCTCCAACTTCGGCCTCCCAACGTGCTGGGATTACAGGCGTGGGCCACTGTGCCCAGTGCATGTGTCTTTTTGGTAGAATGAATTGTTTTCATTTGGATATATACCCAGTAGTGGGATTGCTGGGCCAAATTGTAGTGCTGTTTTAACTTTTTCAAGAACTCTTCAAACTGCTTTCTATAGTGGCTGAACTAATTAACCTTCCCACCAACAGTGTATAATTATTCCTTTTTCTCCACAGCATCACAGCATCTGTTGTTTTTTGACTGTTTAGTAATAGCCATTTTGACTGGTGTGAGATGGTATCTCATTGTGGTTTTGATTTGCATTTCTCTGATGATTAGTGATATGGAGCATTTTTTTGCGTTTGTTGGCTGCATGTCTGTCTTCTTTTGAGGAGCGTCTTTTCATGTCTTTTGCCCATTTTTTAATGGGGTTGTTTTTTGCTTGTTCATTTGTTTAAGTTCCTTGTAGGTTCTGGATATTAGACCTTTGTCAGATGTGTGTTTTTTGAATATTTTCTCCCATTCCGTAGGTTGTCTGTTTACTCTGTTGATAGTTTCTTTTGCTGTGCAGAAGCCCTTTAATTATGTCCCACTTGTCAATTTTTGTTTTTGTTGAAATTGCTTTTGAGGACTGAATTACAAGTTCTTTCCTAAGGCTAATGTCTAGAATGGTTTTTCCTAGGTTTTCTTCTAGGATTCTTAACAGTTTGAGGTCTTACATTTAAATCTTTAATCCACATGAACTAATTTTTGTATACGGTGAAAGGTAGGAATCCAGTTTCATTCTTCTGTGTATGACTAGACAGCGAACCCAGCACCATTTATTGTTTAGAGAGCCCTTTCCCCATTGCTTATTTTTGTTGACTTTGTTGAAGATCAGATGGCTGTAGGTGTGTGGCTTTATTTCTGGGTTCTGTATTCTGTTCCATTAGTCTATGTGTCTGTTTTTGTACCAGTGCCAAGTTATTTTGGCTACTGTAGTATTATAGTATAGTTTGAAGTCGGATAATGTGATGCCTCTGGCTGTGTTCTTCTTGCTTAATATTGCTTTGGCTATTTGGATTTTTTTTTGTTCCATATGAATCTTACAGTAGTTTTTTCTAGTTATTTGAAAAATGACATTGGTAGTTTGATAGGAATAGCATTGAATCTGTAGATTACTTTGGGCAGTATGGCCAGATTAATGATACTGATTCTTCCAGTCCATGGGTAGGGAATGTTTTTCCATTTGTTTGTATCATCTATGATTCCTTTCAGCAGTGTTTTGTAGTTCTTCTTGTAGAGATCTTTCACCTCCTAGTTAGATGTATTCCTAGGTATTTTATTTTCTTTGTGGCTGTTGTAAATGAGATCATGTTCTTGATTTGGTTCTCAGCTTGAATGTTATTGGTGTATAAAAATGCTACTGATTTTTATACATTGACTTTGTATTCTACAACCTTACTGAAATTGTTTATCAATTCTAGGAGCCTTTTGGTGGAGTATTTAGGGTTTTCTAGGTATAGAAACATATCATCTGCTAAGAGAGATAATTTGACTTCTTTTTTTCCTATTTGTATGTCTTTTATTTTTTTCTCTTGCCTGACAGCTTTGGCTACCACTTCCAGTACTATGCTGAATAGGAGTGGTGAGAGTGAGCATCCTTATCTTGTTCCAGTTCTCAAGGGGAATGGTTCTAGTTTTTTGGCTATTCAGTGTGTTGTTAGCTGTGGGTTTATCATAGACAGCTCTTGTTATTTTGAAGGGTGTTCCTTTGATACCTAGTTTCTTGCGGGTTTTTATCATGAAGGGATGTTGGATTTTATTGAAAGCTTTTTCTGTGTCTGTGGAGATGATCATATGGTTTTTGTTTCTAATTCTGTTTATGTGGTGAATCAGATTTATTGATTTGTGTGTGTTGAACCAATCTTGCCTCCCAGGAATAAAGCCTAATTAATCATGATGAGTTAACTTTTCGATGTGCTGTTGGATTCAGTTTGCTAGTATTTTGTTGAGAATTTTTGCACGTATGTTCATCGGGGATATTGGCCTGCAGTTTTATTTTTTTTGTTGTTGATGTGTCTTTATTAGGTTTTGGTATCAGAGTGATACTAACTTTGTAGAATGAGTTAGGGAGAAGTCCCTCCTCCTAGATTTTTGGGAACACTTTCAGTAGAATTGGTACTAGCTCTCCTTTGCACATCTGGTAGAATTCAGCTGTGAATCCATCTGGTCTGGGGCTTTTTTGTTTGATAGGTTTTAAAATTATGGATTCAATTTTGGAACTTAATATTGGTCTGTTCAGGGTTTCAATTTCTCCCTGATTCGATCTTAAGAGATTTTGTGTTTCCAGGAATTTATCTATTTTTTTTTCTAGATTTTCTAGCTTGTGTGCATAGAGGTATTCATAATAGTCTCTGAGGATCTTTTGTATTTCTGTGGGATTGGTTGTGTAACGTCACCTTTGTCATTTCTGATTGTGCCTATTTGGATCTTCTCTCCTTTTTTCTTTGTTAACCTAGCTAGTGGTCTATCAGTCTTGTTTATCCTTTCAAACAACAAACTTTTGGTTTAGTTGACTCTTTGTATGGATATTTCGGTCTCAATTTCATCCTGTTCTTCTCTGATTCTAGTTATTTCTTTTCTTCTTCTAGCATTGGGGTTAGTTTGTTCTTGTTTTTATAGTTCCTCTAGGTGTCATGTTAAATTGTTAATTTGAGATCTTTCTAACTTTTTGAGGTAGACGTTTAGCACTGCAAATATTCGTCTTAACACTGCTTTTGCTACATCCCAGAGATTTTAGTATGTTGTGTCTCTGCTTTTATTTATTTCAAAGACTTTTCTGGTGTTTGCCTTAATTTCATTGTTTACCCAAGAGTCATTCAGGATAGAGTTGTTTGATTTCTATGCAATTGTGTGGCTTTGAGAGGTCTTCTTAGTATTGACTTCTATTTTTATTCTACTGTGGTCTGTGTGTATGGTTGGTATAATTTTGATTTTTTTGAATTTATTGAGACTTGCTTTATGGCCAAGAATATAGTTGATCTTGCAGTATGTTTGGTGTGCAAGATGAAAAGAATGTATATTGTGGGTTGATAGGTGTATTCTGTAGATGTCTATTAGGTCCAATTGGTCAGGTGTTGTATTTAAGTCCAGAATTTCTTGGTTAGTTTTCTGCCTCTATGATCTGTCTAATGCTGATAGTGGGGTGTTGAAGTCCCCCACTATTATTGTGTGGCTGTCTAGAAGTACTTGTTTTATGAATCCTGTTGAATTGAACTCTTTATCATTATGTAATGGCCCTTCTTTGTTCTTTTTTACTGTTTGGCTTAAGGTCTACTTTATCTGATATAAGAATAGTGATCCCTAATCTTTTTTGTTTTCCATTTGCATGGTAGGTTTTTCTCTAACCCTGTACTTTGATCCTATGGGTGTTGTTACATGTGAGATGGGTCTCTTGAAGATAGCAGATAGATGGGTCTTGTTTTTTAATCCAACTTTCCACTCTGTGTCTTTTGAGTGGGTGTTTAGACCATTTACATTCAACACGAATATTAATATATGAGGTTTTAATCATGTTGTGAAGTTCTTAGCTGGTTGCTTTGTAGTTTCTATTGTGTGGGTGCTCTGTAGGATCTGTAGGCTGTGTACTTCAGTGTGCTTTTGTGGTAGCCAGTATCATTCTATTGCTTCCATGTTTAGACCTCCTTTAAGGATCTCTTGTAAGTCTGGTTTAGCGGTAATGAATTCTCTTAGCACTTGCTGGTTGGGAAAATATTTTATTTCTTTTAGCTGAGTTTGGTGGGATATGAAATTCTTGGTTGGACTTTCTTTTCTTTAAGAATCCTGAAAATAGGCCCCCAATCTCTCCTGGCTTGTGAGGTTTCTGCCGAAAAGTCCACTGTTAGCTTGATAGTGTTCCCATTGTATGTGATTTGACTTTTTTCTGTAGCTATCTTTAAGATTTTTTCTTTAGAGTTGACCTTGGACAGTCTCATGACTCTCTATGCCTTGGTGATATTTGTTTTGTATAGTCTCTCACAGGTGTTCTCTGGATTTCTTGTATCTGCATGTCTACTTCTCCAGCAAGAATACGGAAATTTTCTTGAATGATTCCCTCAAATATGTTTTCCAGATTATTTACTTTTTATCCTCTCTCAGGAATGCCAATAGTTTATAAGTTTGGTCTATTTGCATAATCTCTTAGTTCTTGAAGATGTTGTTCATCTTTAAAAATTCTCTTTTCTTTATTTTCGTATGACTGGGTTAGTTCAAAAGACTGGTCTTCAAGCTCTGCAATTCTTTCTTCTGCTTGGTCCAGTCTATTGATAAAACTTTCAATTGTATTTTTAAAATTTCTTAAGTGAGTTTTCAATTCCAGAAGGTCTAATTGATTTCCCCCTTTGGAAGATGTTTGTCTCTTTCTTCATTTCGTGGATTGCTTTGAAAGTTTCTTTGTGTTGATTTTCAACCTTGTCTTAGATTTCATTCAGCTTCCTTGCAATCCATGCTTTGAATTCTTTATGTGTCATTTTTGAGTTTCCATTTTGGTTATAGATCATTGCTGGAAAGCTAGTTCAATTCTTTGGTGGAATCACTATATTCAAATTTTTCATGGTGTCATAATTCTTGTGCTGGTTCCTTCTCATCTGGAGATGTTGACACTTCTAATTTTTGTGAATATTTTCATCCAGGATTCTTATCTTTTTCTTTCTTTTACTATAGTAGTATTATTAGTTTTCTTTCCTTTTCCCTTTACCCCCTCCCTAGGGGTGCAACTGTAGAGAATGCTGGGTAGGGTCTTTTGGCTTTATTTCTATAGCCCTGTGCACTTCTTTCAGCTTTTATATTGGGCTGTGCAGTTCGACCTACAATCCAGTAGATGGCACTTATAGGTAAGAGCCAGCAGCAGCCAACGTGGCTGGGTCTATACTTGATCCTTCTTTAGTGGCCGAAGCTTACCGTTGCCTCAGGCAATGGGGTGATTCTGGATTGCACAGTGGTCTGAGCTCCCTGCTCAGCCCTAGGGGGTGGAATGGGGGCCACAGTGGGCAGGCCTGGACTGGGCAGGTCTGCCTACAGGTCCACCAATGGCAAGCACAAGCATCCTTTTACTTTCAATCTCCCTGTATCATTGTATTTGAAGTGAGTTTCTTATAAACAGTGTATATTTGGGTCATGCTTTAATTCACTCTGCCAATCTCTTCCTTTTAACTGGTTTATTTAGAGCACTTACATTTAATGAAATTGTTGATACATTAGGTCTGAAGTTGCCATCTTTTTTTAAATTTTCTGCTATTTCCCTCTGTTTTGTTTTTCTGTTATCCCTACCTTCCTATATATTTCTTGAATATTTTTGTTTTACAATTCCACTTTGATTTATGTATTGCACTGTTTAGTTTATCTCTTGGTATCGCTTTTCTACTTATTACACAAAACACGGTCTATCTGTGTTAGCATTTTACCAGCTCCCGTGAAAAGTAGGAAAAAAGGTGACCTCCTTTATGTCACCTCACCCTCCTCATTTATAATTTAATAATCATAAATATTTGATATTAATAATATGTTTAATGTAATTGTCTGAAATATTTCCTCCATGTGTATTTACAACCACATCAGTTAGGGTTATAATTTTTGCTTCAACTATCAAACATAATTTAGAATATTCAAGAGGAGAAGGAAAATGTATTTTTTAATCTATATTTTTACTATTTTCCTTGTTCTTTCTTTTTTCCTAATGATTGAGAACATGTCTCAGAGCGTCTGAGGAATGTGAGATATGAATTTTTTTTTTGAGAGAGACAGGGCCTTACTCTGTCACCCACACTGTAGTGGAGTACAGTGGCATGATCATAACTTATTACAGCCTTGAACTCATGGGCTCAAGTGGTCCTCCTGCCCCAGCCTCCTGCGTAACCAGGACTACAGACATGCACCGTCATGTCAAGTAATTTTTAAATCAATCTTTCCTTCTTTTCTTTTTTTCTTTCTTTCGTGGAGACAGGATCTTGATCTTACTGTGTTGCCCAGGGCGGTCTTGAACTCCCATTCTCAAGTGACCCTCTCACCTCAGCCTCCGAAAGTGCTAGGATTATAGGCATGAAACACCATGCCTGGCCTGATATGGAAAATGTATCAGACGCAGAGAGACATAAACATGAGACTCTAATCATGTCCTCTGCAGCCATACCTGGGGGCAAGTTTTTAAAGGCATTTTGATTTTTTTTCCCTTTCTTCTAGTTTCCAGGCTAGCTGATAAATTACCTAAAATGTTACCACAAGTTGCACAATGTAACTCTCATCCATAATCTTCATGTTCATGGAATTTGTGATACAAAGAAAAATGTATAGCCAACCAATCACTTTTGTTATTTTAATAAAGCAAAGTAAATTATTGGTAAACAACTTAAGGACTGCACTTCTTTTTTGCTTTTACAAACCACTTGTAGTTACTGTTAATTGGAGCATGGATCAAGGCAACTTGCATGAGTCTCCTGGGCTTCAGTCCTCAGCTTCAGCCCAGATAAACTCTCTACTTATATTAATTTTGCCTCAGTTTTTTTCCTTTAGGTTAACATGATCCAAGATTCTTTCTTTTATTAGTTCTTATCTGTTTAGAAAACTTCCCTTAGCCATTATTTTAGAGGAGGTCGGCTGGCAACAAATTCTCTTACACTGTTCTTTCATCTGAAAATATCTTCAAGTCCCCTTCATTCACCTTTATATTTTCTCTGAATAAATAATCCTGGGTTGACAATTCTTTTGTTTGAGCACTTGAAAAATGTTGTTACTTCCTTCTGGCTCCCTGGTTTCTGATGAGAAATTCCGTATCATTCAAATTGTTTTCCCTTATAGGTAGATGTTATTTCTCTCATTGCTTTCAATATTTTTTCTTTGTCTTTAGTTTTCAAAAGTTTAGTTATAGCATGCTTTGGCATGGATTTCTTTGGGTTTATCCTATTTGGAGTTCACTCAACATTTTGAATCTGTAGATTTATGTCTTTTGCCAGATTTAGAAAATATTCATCCACTATTTGTTTGACTACTTTTTAAGTCATGCCCTCTTTCTCCTCTCTCTGGGACTCCAATAACATAAATGTTAGACCTTTGATTGTGATCCTGTAGGTCTCCAAGGCTCTGTTTATTTCTTTCTGCAGTTCAGATTAGGTAATTTCTTTTTTTATTTTATTTTATTTCCCTGTTTTAATTCCCTGTTCACCAATTCTTTCCTCTGTCCCCTCCATTCTGCTGTTGAGTCCATCTACTGAGTTTTAAAAACCTTTGTTGTTATTGCATGTCTCAGTTCTAAAATTTCCATTCAGTTATTCTTAATATCCTCTAATTATTTGCTGGAACTTTCTATTTTTCTAATATATTTCAAGTGTTTTTGTATTGCTTGTTGAAGTTTTTTTATTTATTTTTATTTTATTTTATGTATTTATTTTTTTGAGACAGAGTCTTGCCCAGTCACCCAGGCTGGAGTGCAGTGTCGTGATCTCGGCTCACTGCAATCTCCACCTCCTGGGTTCAAGTGATTCTCGTCTCAGCCTCCTGAGTAGCACGTGCCACTATGCCTGGCTAATTTTTGTATTTTTAGTAGAGATGGGGTTTCACCATGTTGGCCAGGCTGGTCTTGAACTCCTGACCTCAAGTGATCTGCCCGCCTTGGCCTCCCAAAGTACTGGGATTACAGCTGTGAGCCACCATGCCCAGCCTGAAGTGTTTTTATGATGGTTGGTCTAAAATCGTTGTCATATAATAATTAATATATCTGCCAGTGTTAGCAGTCCTTGTTGTTTCACTCTCCCATCAACATGTGACATTGTCAGAGTTTTATTAAAGCCATTTTGCTAGGTGTACAGTAATATTACATTGTGGTTTCAATTTGTATTTCCCTAATGACTAATTATGTTTTAAATCATTTTTATAATGGGTCATTTGTTTTCTTATTATTATACCTTCATTGGTTTTTAAAAAGCTTCCTAGCACCTAAAACACTCCTTACCATGGCAGGTAAGGCCCTGTATGATATAACCCCTGCCTATCTTTTCAGCTTCATCTTTCACTTAAGTACTGTCCATATAGCTTGATACTCTACTGAAACAAGTTATAATATCATAATAGACCTCCTTCGTATTCTCACTCCCAAATCTGTAATTCTACCTGCACCTTTTGCTCTTTATTCCATCCAGATAAAACTGGAGAAGGTCTCCCCTACTAACAAAAATCAAACCCTTCACAGGAGATTTTGATCCCATTCCCTCTCATGGGGTCATTGTCTAGAACTTCTTTCTTTTCCTTTCTGTTGTGTGCTATTGATCTTTCATTAGTATTTAATCATCCTCACCAGTAACTAATATGCTTTATTACCTCCCATTATAAAGAAATAAGAGAGCCTCCCTTGTTCCCTAATTACCCTCTAGCTATTGTACCCTCTAGCTAATTCTTTTCATAGTCAAACCTCTCATAAATGTTGTCTATAAATGCTGATCCCACTTCTTTCCATCCTTTCCTGCTTTCTGATCTGGCTTTTGTCCCCACTACACTAAAATGATCTTGTCAAGGTACAAGTGATCTCCTTGTGGCCAAATAGCATGATAATTCTCTTGATTGAAACAGTCTATTCTCTTAGCTTTGGTGATGCCACATTCTCTGAAGTTTTCTCCCGTTTCATTAGCTGCTACTCAGTTTTCTGTACACTTTCTTTTTCTCTAGCCAACTTCTAGTTGTGGCCATTTCTCAAGGCTCAGTCTCCTTCCACTCTCTCCCTAGCTTTTCAACCAGCCCCATGATACTAAATGTCATCTATATGCTGATCAGTCCTAAATTTATATTTCTGGACTAAACCTATCCTTTGAATCCTAGACTAAAATATTCAATGACTATAACATCACTACTGAGATTCTCCAATAGAAACATGTCCCAAAGTGAATGTTGGTATCCAGCTTTTCCTACAATCTGTTCATCCAGGAGTCTTCTTCATGTGCCCTTTCATCAGTTGCTCACACTATAGACCTGAATGGCTTTCCTTTCATTCCTTACATCTAGTCCAGTACAGATCTTGTCAGTTCTACCTACCATACATATCTCAGACTCAACCACATCTTGTCGTCTTCAGTAACCATCATTTAACTTATCATCTGCACAGGTCTGGGCCATTCGGATAGCCACTGCACTAATTTATCTAGCTATTCCCCCACCAATCTCACCAAACAGCCAGAATGACCTTCTTAAAGCATATGGAATCATACCAATTTCTCCATTGTGTTGTGTTGCTCATCCACATGGGTTGTCCATGTGCGGCCCCTGTGTGTGTGTGTACCCTCCACATGGCTCATCCACATGTGGTCTCTGTGTGTGCATCCCCTCCAGGTGAATCATCCATATGTGGTTTTTGCGTGTGTGTGTGTGTCCCTCCTGCAGGTAGTTAATGCATGTGTGGTCTCTGTGTGTGTTTCCCCCTCAGCCGCCTCTCCTCCCTCATTTCATGCCCCTCTCCCACTGACCACCGTCCTCCAGCTCCCCTGACCTCATTTTTTCCCTTGAACCTATAGAGTTATTTTCTCTCAGTGGCTTTGGCCAGTTTGGTGTGTCAACCTTGCATGCTCATTCATGCATGGCTCCTCATTCTCACCTGTCAGTACTTGTTGCGCCTCCAAAGAGCAACCTTCCTAGTCCTCCTTTTAAGAAGAAATAGGTTCCATACTCCATTGTTCACTGTGGCCTAGCCTGTTTGTCTCCTTTATAACATTACTCCATTTGCATTTTTATTAGTTTTTAATTTCCTTGATCTCTCTCGGACAATAGATGATAAATTCCATGTGGGAAGAAACTATGTGTTCCATATATCAGTGTATTCCCAGCATCTACATAGTATCAAGTGTATAATAGGCATTCAATAAATATTCTTAACAAACTATTTGTAACTCTAACACTCAAGTTCCTTCACTGTTTCACACGTCTAAACTTTTGTGTTGTGGCGGTATTTTCTTGCCTAACTGATCCCACCTTCTTAAGGACTTTTTAGAATGAAAGGTATTGGAGGTCTCAATGATCATTGGCTTCATAGTTCATACATGGTCTTCTCTTACTGAGGATGCGAAGTACCCACAACCCCCACCGCACCTGCAGGAAAATGAGAGTGATGCTCACTGGCCATCAGAATGCAGGTGATGAGGCCGCACATGATCCAGTGTTCGGGACAGGTAGAGTGGAGACTGCCCTGTCTCCATAGCCAGACTGCCCCAGCTCAAAGAGGTTGCACATTTCAAGCATTGTAGTCGTAGTATAAGAAGAGATTCTTAGAGCTAAGAAAACTCGATTTTTGCCAGCTGCCATTTGAATTCAAATTTTAGATTAGATTTGAACTCAAATTTTTCTCTTTTTGTAAAGCTTAGTTTCAAGAGGAAATGACTGAGCTATAATTTTTCTCAGTTTCCCATGATGTTAATATATATCTACAATTTTGGTAATGAATGTATGAATTCAGACATATTCTGAAATCCGAGTCTGGGTGGCAAAATTTTGGCAATAATTTGAGACTGTCAAACTTGTGAAAGTATGTTGCTTTGGTAAAAGTGTTGAACTAGAAAGTTAAAGATTCTATCATTGATGTAAACCCCACAGTACAAATGACAGACCTCAAGTGATATAGCCCACAGTCTAGTAGAATAAGTTAGTCAATCACATGTCGGCGTGCATTTGCATTGGTTTTATTTTAGATTGAGGAACATGTGCATGTTTGTCACATGGGTATACTGCATGCTGGCGGGCACAGGGCTTGTAGTGTGCCCATTACCCAAATAGTGAACATTGTAACTGACAGCTAATTTTTCAACACTCACTCCCCTCCCAACCTCCCAACTTTTGGAGCTCCCAGTGTCTATTATTTCCATCTCTATGTCCATGTGTACCCATTGTTGTTAGCTCCCATTTATAATCAAGAACAAGCAGTGTTTGATTTTCTCTTTCTGAGTTAGTTCACTTAGCATAGTGGCCTCCAGCTGCATCCATGTTGTTGCAAAGGATGTGATTTCATTCTTTTTTATGGCTGCTGATTAAGATGGATCAAAGGCTTACACCAATCTGTAACTGGGCACTTGTGTATAAATAGTCAATTTTCCGTTGACTGCTTTGGGAAGAGCAGGAGAAGTGACAGGGAAGGGGCCCCCAGGAGAGGGTGCCAGACAAGAATGCAGAGCAGAGAAAGCCACGCATGCAGCAGGGCAGAGTGAGCACACGCAGCTCACACGGCGTGAACGCGCAGCAGAGCAGAGGGAGCGCCCGCAGCTCACACGGCGTGAACGCGCAGCGGAGCAGAGTGAGCGCGTGCAGCTCCCACGGCGTGAACGCGCAGTGAGTGGGGAAGGCTTGCAGAGGCAGCTCCTTTTGGGCCTTGGGGAGCATGTGACAGATGATGACCTTTTATCTCAAGACCACAAGACAGTCAGAGAAAGGAGCCACACAGCCAGCTGTTATCCTGGTTGCTGTGGGGAGTGGTCCAGGATAGTGCTAGTAAGAGTGATAATGGTACAGAGGCTGCTGTGGTGTCCAGATGAGAGATGGACAGCTAACAAGCTCTCCCTATTATGTCAATAAGGACCACGAGGCCACCCTTAAAGAAACTGGAAAATGCTTTGCTTTGTTATTTTAAATATTTTCATTTATACTCTGCAATGTAAATATATTAATATTTTCATTAAAAATACCCCACAGTTATATAAAGAGTGAAAATTCCACTAACCACTCACATACAGCCCCACTACTCTCCCCAGAACCAAATAGGCCCATAGCTGGCTTCTCCAGCCACCGTGCCACAGGCTGCTGGCAGCCTGGCCCCCTCTCCCTTCTCCACACTGTTGGCAACGGCTTCCCTCAGTTCTCCAGCACAGGTTACATCTCTCTCAGCTAGCCTGAGTATTCTTTTTCAGAGCAACCTGATTATTTTGTTCTAGAAAAAGCACAACCTGTAATTATTTGTTCACTTGAGTATAATCTGACTCCTCCATTATAATAAACCCTCTGAGGCAGCAACGTGGTCTCAGTGTTTCTGCCCCAGTGCTTGAAACAAACATGATGTAAGGGAGAAGCGCAGTAAAGGGCTGACAGCTTCTACTGGGCAAGCTTTGGGGTGCAAATATTCACATTTTTTTTCTCTCCACACGCGAGGTCTTTCCCTCTCTCTCTAGTTGACCCTCATTATTCATGGATTTCTTATTTGTGAATCTACCTACTCACCAACATTTATTGGTAACCCTCAAATCAACCCTCTCAAGTGCACAGAGAAGTGAAAAGTTTGTGTCTTCAGAGCACATGCCCCCAGCTGCATGAGGTGAAAGTTTGTCTTCAGAGCACATGCTTCCAGCTGAATGAGGCGAAAGTTTGTCTTCAGAGCACATGCTCCAAGATGAATGAGGTGAAAGTTTGTCTTCAGAGCACATGCTTCCAGCTGAATGAGTGAAAGTTTGTCTTCAGAGCACATGCTTCCAGCTGAATGAGGCGAAAGTTTGTCTTCAGAGCACATGCTCCAAGATGAATGAGGTGAAAGTTTGTCTTCAGAGCACATGCTTCCAGCTGAATGAGTGAAAGTTTGTCTTCAGAGCACATGCTTCCAGCTGAATGAGTGAAAGTTTGTCTTCAGTGCACATGCTCCCAGCTGAATGAGGCGAAAGTTTGTCTTCAGTGCACATGCTCCCAGATGAATGAGTGAAAGTTTGTCTTCAGAGCACATGCTTCCAGCTGAATGAGGTGAAAGTTTGTCTTCAGTGCACATGCTTCCAGCTGAATGAGTGAAAGTTTGTCTTCAGTGCACATGCTCCAAGATGAATGAGGTGAAAGTTTGTCTTCAGTGCACATGCTTCCAGCTGAATGAGTAAAAGTTTGTCTTCAGAGCACATGCTCCCAGCTGAATGAGTGAAAGTTTGTCTTCAGTGCACATGCTCCCAGCTGAATGAGTGAAAGTTTGTCTTCAGTGCACATGCTCCCAGCTGAATGAGGCGAAAGTTTGTCTTCAGAGCACATGCTCCCAGATGAATGAGGCGAAAGTTTGTCTTCAGAGCACATGCTCCCAGATGAATGAGGCGAAAGTTTGTCTTCAGAGCACATGCTTCCAGCTGAATGAGTGAAAGTTTGTCTTCAGTGCACATGCTTCCAGCTGAATGAGTGAAAGTTTGTCTTCAGAGCACATGCTTCCAGCTGAATGAGTGAAAGTTTGTCTTCAGAGCACATGCTTCCAGCTGAATGAGTGAAAGTTTGTCTTCAGTGCACATGCTCCCAGATGAATGAGGCGAAAGTTTGTCTTCAGTGCACATGCTTCCAGCTGAATGAGTGAAAGTTTGTCTTCAGAGCACATGCTCCCAGCTGAATGAGTGAAAGTTTGTCTTCAGTGCACATGCTCCCAGATGAATGAGGCGAAAGTTTGTCTTCAGTGCACATGCTCCCAGCTGAATGAGTGAAAGTTTGTCTTCAGTGCACATGCTCCCAGCTGAATGAGTGAAAGTTTGTCTTCAGTGCACATGCTCCCAGCTGAATGAGGGGAAAGTTTGTCTTCAGAGCACATGCTTCCAGCTGAATGAGTGAAAGTTTGTCTTCAGAGCACATGCTTCCAGCTGAATGAGTGAAAGTTTGTCTTCAGAGCACATGCTTCCAGCTGAATGAGTGAGTTTGTCTTCAGAGCACATGCTTCCAGCTGAATGAGTGAAAGTTTGTCTTCAGAGCACATGCTTCCAGCTGAATGAGTGAAAGTTTGTCTTCAGAGCACATGCTCCCAGCTGAATGAGTGAAAGTTTGTCTTCAGTGCACATGCTCCCAGATGAATGAGGCGAAAGTTTGTCTTCAGTGCACATGCTTCCAGCTGAATGAGTGAAAGTTTGTCTTCAGAGCACATGCTCCCAGCTGAATGAGTGAAAGTTTGTCTTCAGTGCACATGTTCCCAGATGAATGAGGCGAAAGTTTGTCTTCAGAGCACATGCTCCCAGCTGAATGAGTGAAAGTTTGTCTTCAGTGCACATGCTTCCAGCTGAATGAGTGAAAGTTTGTCTTCAGTGCACATGCTCCCAGCTGAATGAGGGGAAAGTTTGTCTTCAGAGCACATGCTTCCAGCTGAATGAGTGAAAGTTTATCTCCAGTGCACATGCTCCAAGATGAATGAGGTGAAAGTTTGTCTTCAGTGCACATGCTTCCAGTTGAATGAGTGAAAGTTTGTCTTCAGAGCACATGCTTCCAGCTGAATGAGTGAAAGTTTGTCTTCAGTGCACATGCTCCCAGCTGAATGAGGCGAAAGTTTGTCTTCAGTGCACATGCTCCCAGCTGAATGAGGTGATGCTCGGCCTTCTGGTTTTAACTCATACTGTAAGCAACTGTTTTCTTTTCACAGTTTATTTTTTATTTTTTATTTTATTTTATTTTTTGAGACGGAGTCTCGCTCTTTGGCCCAGGCCAGAGTGCAGTGGCGCAGTCTTGCCTCACCGCAAGCTCCGCCTCCCGGCATGAACCCTCAGCCTCCCTTGTAGCTGGGACTACATTCACAGTTTATTTAGTGCCACTTTTTTCGCCGCATTTTTATGCTTTTTGTTGGTGATTTCACTGTTTAAAATAGCCTCAAGCACAGTGCGGAAGTGCTGCTTAGCGTTCCTGAGAGCAAGAAGGCTGTGAGGTGCCTTTCGGAGAAAACACGCATTAGATAAGCTTCATTCAGACATGAGTTACAGTGCCGTTGGTCATGTTACTTACTCTACAATATATACTAAGTAAGGTGTCTTTAAACAGAAACATACATAAAACAAGGTTGTATATTGATGGGGTGATGCTGTGTCCTGAGGCTCACGGGAACCTAACGCGGTCTTTCCTCCATGAGCGATGGTTCACTGTTCACTAATTCAATGTTCGTGCTGAAAAAGAAAAATGACATCCTAAGCCCCTGAGCTGACTGAATGGACTCCTTGTTGGCCAAGGGGGCGCCAGAGAAATTTTAAAAGCTGAGTTCCTGGCCATGATGGAATGGGGAGTTTGGACACGCCTTGTTATACCCCCTCCCTCGCTAATCGCCATTAGACTTCCTTACGCGAGGGTCAATCAGAAGCCACAGCCCTTTCCAAAGACTTGCCAGACTCCCCTTCCGTGGTTTTGACACAGTGACGAACCGGCATTCCTTCCTGATAAGAGACCACCGACCGTGGACTGCTTCTGGCCGGTGTACAGTGGCTGCACACGGGATGCCTCTGCGCCCTCCATTTCATCTTCTACATACAGACCTAATTTTAGTGCATTTAAACGTTAAGTGCTCACCCCAGATTGAATGTGGACGGACATGCATGCATGTTTGCTCTCTATGCATGCATCCATCCATCATGAATAACCTGTTAGATACATGTACTTAGCCAACCCATTTGGCATAAATCCCTGTTCCAGCCTTTCCGCCCTCAAAGTGCCTGCTTTTGGTTTCTGCTTCCTAGCCTGCAAGATGGCCAGCCTGCAGGGTGCAATCCTTTGTCAGAAATAAAGCTCTCCTCTCCAAATGTATGAACCTCGTGATTCTTCAGTTGACAGCAGTGACTTTACAAAACACAGCTACTATAAGTAATGAGCATACTTGTTTATTTTGCTCAAACTTGCCTTCCCCTTACTAACAGTTGAGGAGGAGGTTGGAAAATAAATGTGTATGTGTATGTTTGTGTATATATTTGTATCTTGTCTGTCTTCTATGAATTGCCTGTGGTTTTTTTTTTTGCCCATTTTTCTGTTGAGTTGTCTTTTTCTTGTCAGTTTGAATAATTCATTTATATATTATTCATATTAATTTTTAACCTCTTAAATACTTTGCAAATATTTTATTCAAGTAGACACCTTAAAAGAAACTTCATTTATGTGGGCTTTTCTCATAGGGTGGTTTTAAGTGTGTATGTGATGAAGTTTGCCAGTATTTTCCTTTGTTACTCCTGGGTTTGTTTCTTCTATATTTTATTAGTATAGGTTGAAGGCTTTCTTCAAACTATACTAATAAAATATAATTCTCTGTTTTCACTAGGTTTTAAAAAGTGAGTCTTTTAATTCATCTGGGATATTTTCTGGTGTGCCATAGCATAGAAAACTATTGAATTTAAGCAACTAGTCAGTCTCCTTTTCCTATTCTTTTCAATTGATGTACAAATAATAATACCTTCAGTATTGTTGTATTGCTACCGAGTGAGGAGCTCATTCCTCCCTTTTTTTTCTTCCAGTATTGCCTCCTCCTGCTGCTGTCAGTCTAGAGAGTGGGCTCAAGCTACCATGGTGGGAGTTCTGACCCAGAGCTGATTCTCATTTGTGAGAAATCTCCATTCCATTCCACTCTCCAGCAGCAGGTCCCATGAGCTTACAGTTATACTTTATCTATACTTCAAACAAACCTTTAAAATCTTTATATATAAGTTTAGACTAAAGTCTAGACTTCAAATAAGACTTTAATGGGGAGAGACCCTTTTAAACCTGAAGAGACTGGGAAGAGCAGAGTGCTCCGATTCTGTCAACATAGATGCATGCTGCTCTCTTATGAATTATGTCCCCGAGTGCTCCTTGTTGGCCGCATGCCAGCGTCATCGTGAAGACGTCAGGCATCAGCCAACTGGGGCAGCAGGGCTTGGCACCTGCCCTGAATCCTTAGGTGTCTGATCACGTCACTGAAGAGAGACAACCTCAGCCGGACGCCTCTGGCAGGATCCTCCATGCACAGCAAGACAAACCCTCCCTGACCTGTCAGCTGGCCATGGGCTCTTTGTGGGTGAAATTAGGTTTCCTCACATCAGTGTGGGGCTAAACTTTGCTTTGGGGCCTTCACTGGGCAAGAAGTTAATGTGCACAGATGAGCTCCTGCTCCCATCGCCTTGTCCTTTTGTGTCCCTAGCTCAATAAAGCTAAGGATGGTTAGAAAAGAACTTGGAAACTCCAGAGATCTGTTCCTTCACTGATCCCAGGGCCACAGGGGTGCACAAACCTCCAGAAACAAAAGGAAGTGAGCAGAAAAAAACGTCATAACACAACGGCCATCAACATGCAAAATGCAGGAGCCTTAGGGTCTTCCTTCCAGATACTCGATGTGTTCCAATTTCAGGGTAGTCTCCAAAAGCCTCCCCAGTAGAAGGAACCTTCATTTCTTTCATCCTCCACAGGCCACATGTCCAGAACTGTTTACTGTTTTTCAGATTCTTTAATACAGTTAATTATTTTAAAGGGGAAAAATTGCCTAAAGAATTTGACCATTAGGGACTTAATCCAGGGCCATATTTTCCTGGTGATCAGATGTTCACAGACACAGTGCAATGATGGTGAGGGAGAAGAGGTTTAAGCATAAGAGCAGAAAGGATCTTGTTCCCTCCCTTCAGGGGGCCTCTGAATATTCTCCAGTGAGTTACGACGTTGGTACCATATCTCAGGAAGTCACACCAACTAGACACTTGTAGAAGCCAATGTGTTCCCTTGCTGTGGTGTATGTGGGTTAGAAAATAATTTTCAAGTGTTTGCTTTTCCATTAAGCTTCATGAGATCAGAAGAAAATCTTACTCCCTGTCCAGAGCACTTGCAGGTCTCTCGTGCCTCCTGCTCTGCTTTTCGCTGGTGCTCTGGTAAATGATGCATGTGCTCAGAGAGCCTGACCAAGAAGGGCAGCCTTGATTTCCCACTCAGCAGGCAGGAAGCCACCTTCTAGATCAGCAGAGGTCCTCCCTGGAAACTCCATAGGCCTGTGGGACACCAGCTTCTGTGGCTTCCTGTGGGACACCAGCTTCTGTGGCTTGCTTGGAAGACTGGAGGGGAGCTGGACAAGCTTGATGCCTGCTGTTTGGTGACCTAGGACTCATTCCAACTCCCCTTCCCAGGTGGCTGCAGGACTTGCATTTAATTTCCTTCTCCAGACAGCTGCAGGATGTACCCTTCATTCCCTTCCCCTGATGGCTGCAGGATGTGACCCACATTCCCTTCCCCAGAAGGCTGCAGGACATGCCCCTCATTCCCTTCCCCTGATGGGTGTGGAACATACCACTCATTCCCTTTCCTTAATGGGGGCAGAATGTGCCCATCATTCCCTTTTCCTGATGGGTGCAAGACATACCAGTCAGTCCCTTCTCCTGATGGCTGCAGGATGGGCCCATCGTTCCCTTTTCCTGATGGGTGTGGAACATACCACTCATTCCCTTTCCTTAATGGGGGCAGAATGTGCCCATCATTCCCTTTTCCTGATGGGTGCAAGACATACCGGTCAGTCCCTTCTCCTGATGGCTGCAGGATGGGCCCATCGTTCCTTTCCCCTAGTGGAGGCAGGACATGCCACTCATTCCCTTGCCTTAATGAGGGCAGAATGTGCCCACCATTCCCTTCCCCTGATGGGTGCAGGACATGCCCATCAGTCCCTTCTCATGATAGATGCAGGACATGCCCATCATTCCCTTCCCCTGATGGGTGCAGGACATGCCCATCATTCCCTTCCCCTGATGGCTGCAGGACATGCCCATCATTCCCTTCCCCTGATGGCTGCAGGATGTGCCCATCATTCCCTTCCCCTGATGGCTGCAGGATGTGCCCATCATTCCCTTCCCCTAGTGGGAGCAGGACATGCCACTGATTCTCTTCCCTTAATGGGTGCAGGACATGCCCCCTCATTTCTATGCCCCAATGGCTGCAGGATGTACCCCTCATTGCTGCAGGGCATGCCCTTCATTCCCTTTCCCAGATGGCTTCAGGATGTGACCTTCATTCCCTTCCCCGATGGCTGCAGGATATACTCCTCATTCCCATCCCAAGTTGGTTGCAGGACATGCCTCTTATTCCTTTTCCCAGATGGCTGCAGGACATATCCTATCCCTTTCCCCCAGATGGCTGCCAGATGTGACCCTTATTATTTTACCCAGATAGCTGCAGTACATTCCCCTCATTTCCTTTCTCTCATGGCTGCAGAACATGCCCCTCATTCCCTTCTCCTGATGGCTGCAGAACATGTCTCTCATTTCCTTTCCCTGATGGCTACAGAACATGCCCTTCCTTTCCTTCCCCTGATGGCTGTGGGACATGCCCCTCATTTCCTTCCCCTGATGGCTGCAGGACATGTTCCTCATTTCCTTCCCCTGATGGCTGCAGAACATGCCCCTCACTCCCTTCCCCTGATGGCTGCAGAACATGTCCCTTATTTCCTTTCCTTGATGGCTGCGGGACATGCCCCTACTTTCCTTCCCCTGATGGCTGCAGGACATGTTCCTCATTTCCTTCCCCTGATGGCTGCAGAACATGCCCCTCATTCCCTTCTCCTGATGGCTGCACAACATGTCCCTCATTTCCTCCCCCTGATGGCTGCAGAACATGCCCCTCATTCCCTTCTCCTGATGGCTGCACAACATGTCCCTCATTTCCTCCCCCTGATGGCTGCAGGACATGCCCCTCCTTTCCTTCCCCTGATGGCTGCAGGACATGTTCCTCATTTCCTTCCCTTGATGGCTGCAGAACATGTCCCTCATTTCCTTCCCCTGATGGCTGCAGAACGTGTCCCTCATTTTCATCCCCTGATGGCTGCAGAACATGTCCCTCCTTTCCTTCCCCTGATGGCTGCAGGACATGCCCCTCCTTTCCTTCCCCTGATGGCTGCAGGACATGTTCCTCATTTCCTTCCCCTGATGGCTGCAGAACATGTCCCTCATTTTCATCCCCTGATGGTGGCAGAACATGTCCCTCTTTTCCTTCCCCAGATGGCTGCAGAACATGTCCCTCATTTCCTTCCCCAGATGGCTGTAGGACATGCCCCTCATTCCCTTCCCCTGATGGCTGCAGAACATGTCCCTCATTTTCATCCCCTGGCGGTGGCAGAACATGTCGCTCATTTCCTTCCCCACATGGCTGCAGAACATGTCCCTCATTTCCTTCCCCTGATGGCTGTGGGACATGCCTCTTTTTTCCTTCCCCTGCTGTGAGACATGCCCCTCATTCCCTTCCCCTGATGGCTGCAGAACATATCCCTCATTTTCATCCCCTGACAGTGGCAGAACATGTCCCTCATTTCCTTCCCCTGGTGGCCGCAGGACAGTTCCCTTATTTCCTTCCCCTGACAGCTGGAGGACATGCTCCTCAGTCCCTTCTCCTGATGGCTGCAGAACATGTCCCTCATTTCCTTTCCCTGATGGCTGTGGGACATGCCCCTCATCTCCTTCCCCTGACGGCTGCAGAACACGTCCCTCATTTCCTTCCCCTGATGGTTGCGTGATATGCCTCTCATTTCCCTCCCCTGATGGGTACAGGACATGTCCCTCATTTCTTTCCCCTGATGGCTGCAGAACACATCCCTCATTTCGTTCCCTTGATGGCTGCAGAACATGTCCCTCATTTCCTTCCCCTGATGGCTGCAGAACACGTCCCTCATTTCCTTCCCCTGATGGTTGCGGGATATGCCTCTCATTTCCCTCCCCTGATGGGTACAGGACATGTCCCTCATTTCTTTCCCCCGATGGCTGCAGAACACATCCCTCATTTCGTTCCCTTGATGGCTGCAGAACATGGCCCTCATTTCCTTCCCCTGATGGCTGCAGGACATGTCTCTTATTTCCTTCCTCAGATGGCTACAGGACATGTTCCTCATTTCCTTCCCCTGATGGCTGCAGGACATGCCTCTCATTTCCTTCCCCTGATGGCTGCAGTGCATGCCCCTCTTTTTCTTCCCCTGGTGGCTGCAGGACATACTCCTCATTTCCCTCTCCTGATAGCTGTGGGACATGTCCCTCATTTCCTTCCCCTGATGTCTGTGGGACATGCCTCTCATTCCCTTTGGCTCTGGGATGGGACATGTCCCTCATTTCCTTCCCCTGATGGCCGTGGGACATGCCCCTCATTTCCTTCCCCTGGTGGCTGCAAGACATACTCCTCATTTCCCTCTCCTGATGGCTGCAGGACATACTTCTCATTTCCCTCTCCTGATGGCTGTGGGACATGTCCCTCATTTCCTTCCCCTGATGGCTGCAGGACACGCCTCTCATTTCCTTCCCCTGATGGCTGCAGGACACGCCTCTCATTTCCTTCCCCTGATGGCTGCAGTGCATGCCCCTCTTTTTCTTCCCTGATGGCTGCAGGACATGCCTCTCATTTCCTTTTCCTGAAGGCTGCAGTGCATGCCCCTCTTTTTCTTCCCCTAATGGCTACAGGACATACTCCTTATTTCCCTCTCCTGATGGCCGTGGGACATATCCCTCATTTCCCTCTCCTGATGGCCATGGGACATGCCTCTCATTCCCTTTGGCTCTGGGAAATGACGGTTCCTCAGAGAGGTCAGTACTACTCTGCTTTGCCAATGCCTGCTTTTTGGTCATGGGCTTGTTCTTTTTGGGCCGGACATTCTCTGTTCTGATCTAGTAGATGGGAGCCTGGCATTTAGTAGTGTTCAGTAAATGCTTGTGGAGTGAATGCATGGGTCCAGCTCTCCTACCTGTGCAGAAAAGCATTGGGGCTACATGGCCATGTGACATGGGACAGGTGATCTCTTGTCTCTGAGCCTCAGCTGCTCACACCACATGGTTTTTGAGGGAGACTTGTTGATTTGGTCATGGAAGTGCCTGAGAAGACAAAGCGACACCAGGAACCACAGGCAGAAAGTGAGGCATCTGGTTCCATCAGTGAGCAGACAGTGGGGAGTCATCCAAGACCAGAACTAGAACCACTGGGGCAGGGAGTTTCAGAAACAGCAGGGGCAGGGGGGTGTGACTGAGGAGACAAATATAATACCAAGAGGCCAGAAGAAAACACTCCTGGTTAAGGGTTTCAGACCCCTCTCTCATCGGGACCCTCATCCCACCCCAGAGAGCCCACTCTGGGTGGTTAAGGTTTTCAGACCCTTCTCTCATTGGGACCCTCATCCCACCCCAGGTAGCACTGCAGTTCCACAACTGAGAGATAAGCTTAGTCAGAAAACAAAACAGGACAGAAAGGGAGGGTCCAGTGGGGGTCTCAAGGGCCTACAGGCCAGGAGGCTTCCTGGAAGGCCTTAAGTGTCATGCAGGGGTCTTTGGGTCTTGTAGGGAAGGGCCACCTTCCTGAGGGGTTGACGGTCAGGGACAGATTTCAGGGAATGCCAGCAGGGAGGGATCTGGAGTGGGCTGAGGGCCTGTGTTAGCCGGGCCCAGCAGGGAAGGTGCTTTGGAGAACAGGCTTTTCCACTCACACTATGGTACGCCCTCCGGGGGAGGGTAGGGGATGGCTCCACGTGCCATACCTTCTCTGTCTGTCTCTCATTAGCTCTCCGGTGGCACTACAGTGCTCAAATCAGGATTGCCAAAGTTCAGAATTAGCTGTTCTGAAGAAACGTGAGCCCACAGAAGGGCCCCAAGCCTCATGGAAACTCTCTCTAAAGCAGTGGTCTGAGCTGGGGCACCCAAAACAGACATCTTTTGCTTTCAAAAGCCTCTGCACTCCAAACAATACATGTGAGTCCTTCCTCGCTCCCTCTCCACGCCAACCCTGAGTGTGGGCTGGATTTAGTGGCTTTAGAACAGAATGTTAAATAGAAAAACTAGTTACTTACAGTGGAGAAACCTGGCAGACCCACCTCAACCAGGAGATGAAGGCTAACATCACCCAAGTCACATTGCTATCCTGGGAAGGGCAGCTCACATTCTTCCCCAAAGCCCACAACCTCAATCTAATCATGAGGAAACAACAGACAAACCCAATTCACGGGATATTCAAGGAAAGACTGAGGAACTGTCACAGACCAGAGTACCTGAGAAGGCATAACAACTAAATGCAGCACAGGGTCCTGGATGTGTCCTGGGGCAAAAGAACGGGTGAAATCTGAATATGGTCTGGAGCTTAGTAGTGGTGATGTGCCAATGTTAACTGCTAGTTTTGATACATGTGCTAATGTTAATTCTTAGTTTTGATACAAATGTCAACATAAACTCTTAGTTTTCATACACGTGCCAATGTTCATTCTTGGTTTTGATACATATGCCAATGTTCATTCTTAGTTTTGACACGTGTCTATGCTAATTTTTATTTATTTTAATTGTATTTATTTGTTTATTAATTACCATCTATGGACTCACAGAACCAATGTTATTTCTTAGTTTTGGTACATGTACCAAGGTTACACAGAATTTTGACATTAGCGAAGCTGGGTGGAGGATATATAGAAACTCTGTACTATCTTTGCAACTACCCTATAAATCTCAAAGACTATTCGAGAACAAAAAGTTAGAGGAAGGCCCGCAGCAAGATTCCACTCTGTTTCACCTGGGGTGTCCTGGTCACTCAGGCCCTGGGGCAGCCATGCAGTGGGTCCTGCCTGCTTTGCTACCCCCTTCATTCTGTTCACGCATGTTAGCTGTGGGCTACCCCAACTCCACTCCCCAGCCTTACAGCCATGCCCTGGGCCTCCACATGTCCAAGAGGGTCTTCAGACTAGGTGGGGGACAGTGTCCAGGACCTTCCTCACAAGAGGGGCAGTTCAGGCCAGGTGTGGTGTCTCACACCTGTAATCCCAGCACTTTGGGAGGCCGAGGTGGGCAGATCACCTGAGGTCAGGAGTTCAAGACCAGCCTGGCTAAAATGACGAAACCCTGTCTCTACTAAATAGACAAAAATTAGCCAGGTGTGGTGGCACGTACCTGTAGTCCAGCTACTTGGGAGGCTGAGGCAGGAGAATCTCTTGAACCCAGGAGGTGGAGGTTGCAGTGAGCAGAGATCCAGCCACTGTACTCCAGCCTGGGCGACAAAGCAAGTCTCCATCTCAAAAAAAAAAAAAAAAAAAAGAGGGGTAGTTTGGGAATCTCGCCCAGGTCAGCTCCCTGGCCATCTCAGCTGCTGACAACCAGCCAACTGGAAAGTTTCAACTGAAATTCTGTGCCGTCATCAACCTGCCCTCATCAGTAAATTCCTGGAGGGCCCAGGCTCAGACAATGGTTGTATTCAACTTGAAAGCAGACATATTTGAAGACAAAGCCCCTGCCATATGTCTATGAGCAAGAGCCAAACAGAGCAGTGGGCTTAAGGGGAGGGGCACAGCTGACAGTCTCTCCTCTCTGGGAGACTCTGGGAGGAGGATTACTTAGGGCTGCAGACATAAAAGGAAAGTGCTTCTTGCTCCTCCCGGGTCTGCAACTGGGTTTTGTTAGCCACTGTAGGTCAACAAAGGTAAGAAAGGAGCTTCATGTTAACCCAACCGGCCCAGAATCCAGGACAATGAGTTGGCCCAGCAGGAGGCAGGAACATGAGAAGGCAGTGGAGCCTGGCTGTGTGCTCGCTGTGGTGCTGGGCTCTTTCCATCATTATTTCATTGCAGACAGCAACTCTGTTTTGTCACATAGATGGAGAACCTGGGACTCAGAGAGGTTAAATTCTTTTCCAAAGTCATGCTAGCTAGAAAGTGGAAGAAGTTGAATCTGACCCCAAAGCTTGTAAGATTACAGCTTTTAGCTTCTTACAGTTCACTGAAAACTACAAACAACAGCATAATGTTTAAGAGTTCAGACAGGATGTGAATCTTGGCTTTGTCATTCAGTAACTGTGCCACCTTGGATAAGTCAATCTATCCAATGCCTCAGTTTCCACATCTGTTAAAAAGGAGGGATAATGGTAGCATCTATTTCATTGGACCAAGTAAATCAATTAACATATACAACCTAAAAGAATACCTAACATGAAATAAGTGGTCACTATAAATAATAGCTGCTATTATTACATTTAAAGAGTTATTACAATGATTTAAAAATCTATCTTTGCAGATTTATCTCCTGTTGGTTGCTTAACTTCTAGAACAACCTGTAGTTTCTTGGACTTCCCCTGCTTTCCTGCCTCAACATCTTGATTCACTGTGTCTACAGGACTTTGTAGGTTACAGGTAACAGAAAAACCCAACTAAAAATGGCTTAAACAATAAAGCGACTTCAGGCGAGACTTGGTCCAGTCACTGAATCCAAGTTTTCCTTCATTTATCTGGTTTGCCTTGTGTATTTGCCTCTTGTGTATTATAACATCATTGATTCTAACTGGGCTACAAGCCTGTCCCTGAAGTAATGGCTCTGATCAGGAAGATGGGAAATGCTGATTGACTTAAGCCACTGAGGACCCAGTCCTGGAGCTGGGACTAAAGGTCAGCTTTCTCCAGTTATGTGAAGAGGAAGCAGTAGTTTCTGAGAGGACAACCAGGGCCCTGTTGTCAGAAGATAGAACCAATTCACTTTGCTGGCTGCCTTACCTACTATTCCCTCAGCCCCTCCATCCTCGTTTTCACCACCGCTCTGTAGTTCCTCCAACCCCGTCCCCCTCTTCACCACCGCTCTGTAGTTCCTCCAACCCCATCCTCCTTTTCACCACCGCTCTGTAGTTCCTCCAACCCCATCCTCCTCTTCACCACCGCTCTGTAGTTCCTCCAACCCCATCCTCCTTTTCACCACCGCTCTGTAGTTCCTCCAACCCCGTCCTCCTCTTCACCACCGCTCTGTAGTTCCTCCAACCCCATCCTCTTCACCACCGCTCTGTAGTTCCTCCAACCCCATCCTCCTCTTCACCACCGCTCTGTAGTTCCTCCAACCCCGTCCTCCTCTTCACCACCGCTCTGTAGTTCCTCCAACCCCATCCTCTTCACCACCGCTCTGTAGTTCCTCCAACCCCATCCTCTTCACCACCGCTCTGTAGTTCCTCCAACCCCATCCTCATTTTTACCACCGCTCTGTAGTTCCTCCAACCCCGTCCTCCTTTTCACCACCGCTCTGTAATTCCTCCAACCCCGTCCTCCTCTTCACCACCGCTCTGTAGTTCCTCCAACCCCATCCTCCTCTTCACCACCGCTCTGTAATTCCTCCAACCCCGTCCTCCTCTTCACCACCGCTCTGTAGTTCCTCCAACCCCATCCTCCTCTTCACCACCGCTCTGTAGTTCCTCCAACCCCGTCCTCCTTTTCACCACCGCTCTGTAGTTCCTCCAACCCCATCCTCCTCTTCACCACCGCTCTGTAGTTCCTCCAACCCCATCCTCCTTTTCACGACCCCTATGTAGTTCCTCCAACCCCATCCTCCTCTTCACCACCGCTCTGTAGTTCCTCCAACCCCATCCTCCTTTTTACCACCGCTCTGTAGTTCCTCCAACCCCATCCTCCTCTTCACCACCGCTCTGTAGTTCCTCCAACCCCGTCCTCCTCTTCACCACCTCTCTGTAGTTCCTCCAACCCCGTCCTCCTCTTCACCACCGCTCTGTAGTTCCTCCAACCCCATCCTCATTTTTACCACCGCTCTGTTGTTCCTCCAACCCCATCCTCCTTTTCACGACCCCTCTGTAGTTCCTCCAACCCCATCCTCCTCTTCACCACCGCTCTGTAGTTCCTCCAACCCCATCCTCCTCTTCACCACCGCTCTGTAGTTCCTCCAACCCCATCCTCCTCTTCACCACCGCTCTGTAGTTCCTCCAACCCCGTCCTCATTTTTACCACCGCTCTGTAGTTCCTCCAACCCCATCCTCTTCACCACCGCTCTGTAGTTCCTCCAACCCCATCCTCCTCTTCACCACCGCTCTGTAGTTCCTCCAACCCCATCCTCCTCTTCACCACCGCTCTGTAGTTCCTCCAACCCCATCCTCATTTTTACCACCGCTCTGTAGTTCCTCCAACCCCATCCTCTTCACCACCGCTCTGTAGTTCCTCCAACCCCATCCTCCTCTTCACCACTGCTCTGTAGTTCCTCCAACCCCATCCTCCTCTTCACCACCGCTCTGTAATTCCTCCAACCCCATCCTCCTTTTCGCCACCGCTCTGTAGTTCCTCCAACCCCATATCCTCTTCACCACCACTCTGTAGTTCCTCCAACCCCATCCTCCTCTTCACCACTGCTCTGTAATTCCTCCAACCCCATCCTCCTTTTCACCACCGCTCTGTAGTTCCTCCAACCCCATATCCTCTTCACCACCACTCTGTAGTTCCTCCAACCCCATCCTCCTCTTCACCACCGCTCTGTAGTTCCTCCAACCCCATCCTCCTCTTCACCACTGCTCTGTAATTCCTCCAACCCCATCCTCCTTTTCGCCACCGCTCTGTAGTTCCTCCAACCCCATATCCTCTTCACCACCGCTCTGTAGTTCCTCCAACCCCATCCTCCTCTTCACCACTGCTCTGTAATTCCTCCAACCCCATCCTCCTTTTCACCACCGCTCTGTAGTTCCTCCAACCCCATCCTCCTCTTCACCACCGCTCTGTAATTCCTCCAACCCCATCCTCCTTTTCACCACCCCTCTGTAGTTCCTCCAACCCAGTCAAAATTCGATTCACCCTTTTGGGTCCCTCCTAAATGCCTGTGTGCCTGGGACATAGTGGGTGTCCAATAAATTTCTGCTGAGTGAATGAACTTCCCTCTTCAAGAAACCCTTCCTGATGCTACCGATAAAACAATTTCTGCCTTCTCCCAACTTCCACAGATCTTGTATGTAACTTGCTTATGGCATTTAGTGTCTTTCTGTTGTTGCTTATGTGATTGTTCTGTTCTCTTCATTAGACTATTCAATACTTTATATGTGGTCTTTTTTTCCTACCCTTTCTTTCCTGGTATGCAAGAAACCCCATAAATCTTTGGTGATTTATTTAATAAATGAAAGAGGAAGTGAATGGCAGATTAATAGACTGAAAACAGCCATTTAGGTGCTGAATTGTTGTAGATTTAAAGCTTGGGTCTGGGTGAAATTCCTGGGGAAGAGAGAAGAGCCATAAAGAACCTGGGCACACCAGCATCTGAGGGCTCAGCAGGAGAGACTAAAAGAGCAGGAGCAGGAACAGCCGTCTGGCAACCTCTATGCTCAGCAGTGCATGTGGCCTTGTTGTGGCAGCTGGAAGCTCCCCAGCTGTAGGAAGATCAGTAACATTTTGCAAAGGAGAATGAGGAGAGGGCAGATGGAGAGCCCTGGACTTCATTCTGAAGGCTTCAGGAAGCCAACCAAGCATTTCAAGCAGGGGGATGAGTGGTGAGACTAGTGATTTTGATCCATCATTCCAGCAGTTGTTCAAGTTCAGCTGGAAGAAGAGATACCAAGTCAGAACCAAGGCTGGGTTCTAAAAAAGCGGCCGGGCGCGGTGGCTCACACTGTAATCCCAGCACTTCAGGAGGCCGAGGCGGGTGGATCATGAGGTCAGGAGTTCGAGACCAGCCTGGCCAACATGGCGAGGCCCCATGGCTACTAAAAATACAAAAATTAGCCAGGCGTGTTGGCACGCACCTGTAATCTCAGCTACTCGGGAGGCTGGGGCAGAATAATCGCTTGAACCAGGGAAACAGAGGTTGCAGTGAGCCAAGGTGGCGCCACTGCACTCCAGCCTGGGAAACACAGTGAGACCCTGTCTCAAAATAAATAAATAAATACATAAATATTAAAAAGAGAGTTATAGTGGAGAAAAGTGGTGAATTGAGAGGTGCTTAGGAGGCAGATCTGCAGGACATGGTGACTGGCAGGTGTGAGGAAGAGGAGCAGCTACAAATCCGCCTTTCATGGATTCTGAGATCCGGGAGCCTCAGTACTCACATGTCCACCATCCTCCTCACCTTCCTCTCCTCCTCCCCTCCTCACCTCCTCTCCTCCCCTCCTCCTCTCCTCCTCACCTCCTCACCTCCTCTCCTCCTCTCCTCCCCTCCTCCTCACCTCCTCCTCTTCCCCTCCTCACCTCCTCCTCTTCCCCTCCTGCCCTCCTCCTCTCCTCCTCTCTTCCTCCCCTCCTCTTCCCCTCCTCCCCTCCTCCTCCCCTCCTCCTCCTCTCCTCCCCTCCTCCCCTCCTCCTCCTCTCCTCCCCTCCTCCCCTCCTCCTCCTCTCCTCCCCTCCTCCTCCTCTCCTCCCCTCCTCCCCTCCTCCTCCTCTCCTCCCCTCCTCCTCCCCTCCTCACCTCCTCTCCTCCTCTCCTCCCCCCCTCCTCCTCACCTCCTTCTCCTCTCCTCCTTACCTCCTGGTCCTCATTAGAAATAGGCACAAAGAGCAGGGCTAGGAATTAAGGGTGGGTGATGGAGTAGTACCTTCATGGGACCAGGGAGGCTGCTCAGGTGTATGACTCTAGACAAAGGAGTCCCACAAGTTCCTGGAGCACAGCCCCATTTACTTGGATTCAACAGTCTCATCTGGGAAGAAAGTGAGTCTTGCAGAGCCCTGTCCCCTCTGGGCCCCTTGGGGCCCTGTTTGTGAGTGGCATGTCTGCCAGGGAGAGGGTGGCTGTGCTGTCACAGGCTAGAGGTCTGAGGTGGCCAGTAGAACCAGTAGCCAGGTAGAGAATTGCAAGAAGGCCTGGGCCAATGGCATCCAATGCCCAGGTTAAAGGGCTGTCCTGGGGGCTCCTCCAGTAAATGGGAATGAAATGTAGGACTTTTCCCAGAGCCTGGGATCTTTTATTCCTTGGCAGGGGTAGTAGCAATCACTTTCACTATCACCATAGTGACATTAATAGTCATGACTTACTGATATTGTGCATTGGTCACTATGATCCATGATTGACACATATTATCCAACGCAATCTTCACAACACTCCTTTGAGGTAGATACTATCATTATGCCCACTGTGTAGATGAGAAAACTGACGAGGCACAGTGGCTCAGGCCTGTAATCCCAGCACTTTGTGAAGCCCAGGGGGGCAGATCACCTGAGGTCAGGAGTTCTAGACCAGCTGGCCAACATGGTGAAACCGCATCTCTACTGAAAATACAAAAATTAGCCTGGCATGGTGGTGCATACCTGTAATCCCAGCTACTCGGGAGGCTGAGGCAGGAGTATTGCTTGAACCTGGGAGATGGAGGTTGCAGTGAGCTGAGATAGCACTACTGCACTCCAGCCTGAGTGACAGAGTGAAACTCTGTGTCAAAAAAAAAAAAAAGAGAACTGAGGCACATAAGTCAAGTAATGCATTTGTATATACCTGGATTTTTGACCTGCAGGTTAGGGATTAGGAAATGGTAACCACCGTAATCCATGTAAGCAAACACTATACTGAATTCTATGGGAAAATTTGGCTTTCCCAATGACAGGGGAAAGAAAGTTCTATTCCCCTTGGGAATTTTGGACAGTGTGTTAATGTGCCCTGGATGTAGAAGGAGATTAATATCTTTCAGAAAGAGAGAAAGCATGGCAAACATTACTAGAATACCTAGTATTCTAGCATTACTAGACAACCCTGCATGTGCCTTGTCTCTAACCCAGCATTCAAAGATTTCACTGAAAAGTGAAGATTTCCCACCCTGTGAACAAGAGTTGTCTGATGGCATCCATTAGAGTCAAACAGGCACCCCCAAAACCACAGCCCTGGGCTCATATAGGCACTGGAATGCATTATCCTGAACAAGAAACTGGCCCCACCAAAAGCAGTTGTATATCATTGTTTTCTGAGTCAGTCTGCGGGAGTTGAAACTACAGACTAGTGAAATAAATTAATTCCCTAATGTTAGCATACATACAAAGAAACTCTGATATAATTAACACAATGAATGTAACAGGTATTAGTTACAGAATACTAGCTACCATAATGAACAAACCTGAACTTTTAGTGGCAAAACACAATAGAAGTTTCTTTCTTGTGAAGCTCATGGTAGGAGTTCCTGATGAGTGGTTATAGCAGTGGTGGTGGTAGGTCTCTGCTCCATGTAGACATTCAGGCACCCAAGCTGATGGGGGTTCTGCCACCTTCCATGTGTGATTTCCAAGGTTATCCTGAGTCTCAATATCCAGCAGGCAGATTGGAAAAGAGGGAACATGGAGTATCTGTCTTAGTCTGCTCAGGCTGCCGTAACAAAATACCGTAGACGACTGGGTGACTTAAACAACAGGAATTTATTTTCTCCCAGTTCTGGAGGCTGGAAGTCTGAGATCAAGGCATCAGCAGGGTCAGGCTCTGGGGAGGGCTCTCTCCTTGGGTTGCAGATGGCTGCCTTCTTGCTGTGTCCTCACTTGGCCTTTCCTTGGTGTGTGCATGTGGAATGAGAAACACTTCTCTTCCTCTTCTTGTAAGGCCACCTATCCTATTGGCTCCCGGCGCTATTCTTTTGACCTCATTTAACTTTACCTCCTAAAAGCCCTATCTCCAAACATGGTCACACCGGGATTAGGCCTTCAACATGTGAATTCTGGGGTGCATTCAGTTTATAGCAGGCCACCTGGGAAGGTTTTATGAGTCAGGCTTGGAAGCAGTATAAACGCTTTGGCCCATATTCCACTGACGGTACCTCAGTCCCATTGCACCCAACTGCAAGGGGGCTGAGAAGTGCAGTCCAGCTGTGCCCTGGGAGAGTGAGGTGAGTTTGGGGAACAGCTTTGTCAGCTTTGTCATTCCACAGTGCCTGCGAGTCTCTGGTTTCACCGAGAGGGAGAGGGCATTTACGTTAAATTTCAGCCTTGGCAATTGTGGTATCTCATAATAGGCATAAGGTAGATAAAGGTGGATGTCTTAGTTATCTACTGATGCATGACAAATCACCCCCCAAATTAAATGGTTTAATCAATAACCAGTTATCCTCTAACACAGTCTGTAAGTGTAGCTTTGCTGGGTAGTTCGGGCTCAGGGTCTCTTAGGACACTGTCATGAAGCTGGGGCTGAAGTCGTCTGAAGGCTTGACCTTGACCTTGACCTGGTTGGAAGATCTGCTTCTAAAATGGCTGAATCCCATGCCTGGCCAGTTGGTATTGGCTGCTGGGTGGGGGTTTCAGCTTCTCACCACAAGGACTCTCCATAGTGCTGCTTGAGTGGCAGCTGGGTTCCCCCAGAGCAAGTGACCCAAGAAAGTGAGCAGGGTACACATGCTTTCTTATGACAAGTGACACCTCTTCATTGCTTCATGTTCGATTTGTATGAAGTGAGTTGTGAAGCACTGCCACGCTTAAGGGGAAAGGAATTAGACTGCCTTTTGAAGGGAAGAATATCAAAGAATTTGTGGACATATTTAAAAATCATTGTGATGGGTGTGTCTAAACTTAACCCATAAAACTTGACCCCCAAGCCACCTTATAAATATTACTTGGTGATCTTAATTTTGTTGGTAGGTTTGTAATGCAATATAACCTAGTCACATACCAGCTGTGGGAATTTGGGCTAATTCCTGAGCAGTTTTGTCATCTGTTGATTAGGGAAGACTTGTGGCAGCCCCACTCCCAACCCCAGGGGACACCTCGTGTCTCTAGTGTGCACAAAGGTCTGGATAGTAGCAGAATCTACCTCATAGCAGCTGGGTGAAGACTAAAGGCAGTAAGAGAAGCTGGCACGTAGCATAGCATGGACTTCCCCACTGTGAGCTGTTTTTGTTACTAATGGCTGCGCCTGTGCCTGGGATCTCGCTATCTCTGAGCTCTGTTCGTTTTGCAAAGACCCATGGCTGCTCCGCTTTCCTCCTTTTCTCCAACTTCAGGCCTTAAGAATGAAAAAGCGGTGGAGTAAGAGTTCGATTAACTGGACTTATACGCCCCTTGGAGATTGATGGTTCTGCCACTCAAACAAAATGGTTCTGTGGAAATTAGCGAGGATGTGCGAAGTTTTGACATGGCCACAGTGTGGCTCTGCCTGAATTTTCCATCTGCACTTTGTTTTCGTCCTTCTTTTGTGCTGGGGTTGCTGGTTTGGAGTTTTCTGGGCAGCATACCCTCCATGGAGGTTCAGTGTCTGAAGGAAGGAAGGCCAAGCAGCTTGGATGTCACCTGCTGAGCCTGAAGAAGAACTTGAGTGAAAATAATCCCACTCTCCTTTGTTCTTCTCTGTTTGCTTTTTGTTTGCCTGACAGATGTTCAGCCTGGTCCATAGGCACCGACTGGCTTCTCAAAGCCTCCTGAGTGAGTCTCGGCTTATTGATTTCTGCACATCCGTGTTTTTGTCATTGTTACTTATGATGCCTGAGATCCCCAGCACCTCCGGCCTTCCCTTGGAACCCCTCACTCTCTCCTGGTACACCCCAAACATGGGGCCAACACCAGGAAGCTTGGAAAGCATAACTGCAGATAGTTTGGGACAGCCCTTATTTGGAGGATCTTTCCTCATGACTTTACCAGATGCTATAATACTAGTGCTCCTATTTCTGATGTAGAAGATATTATCATTCTTCTAGAGGACTCTTCTTTCTCTGTGGTTCTTATTATTCTTTCTGGTGTGCTCAGATGTTCACATTAATAAAAATTAGGAGTAAAGTCTGAAGCTAGAGTGGAACAGAAAACCTGGAATTAGAGTCTAGGTTCTTGCTTTGTTCAGTCTATTTAGCAAAACCTCCCAATCTGTGTCTCTTGCTTTGTTCAGTCTATTTAGCAAAACCCCCCAGTCATGTTGTAACTTCTAAGAATTTGCAACTTAACCAAACAGAATTAGGAACTCAGAGTACTGTATTATCTTAGGTTGAGATTAAAATTATATTGATATCATGTCAATAATGATATCCATCCTGTGAGCTAGGGCAGAGACCCAGAAATATGACCCAGAAAATACAAGTTTATTCTAGAAAGCTTAGAAAATACAAATAAGTAAAAAGAAAAACAAAGCAATATACTAACCAAGACAACCACTGTTAACCTTTTCTTCAACATTCTTTTTGACCTTTCCTACACACTCCGCATCACTCTCTCTCACGCATCCACCACGACCATGCTCAAGCCACTGTGATCTCTTGCAGGATTTATCTGGAAACTCTCTTTCCATTTGTGTATAAATGAATCTCACTGGCTGCCACAGCTATTTCTTGGAGGAATAAAAGCAAACGCTTGGACACTGAGGAGTGGATTGGTAGGTGAAAATAGTGGGTTTTGATGATACTTCTAAAATTTTGATTGTATATTTAAAATATGTTTAGAAAATCAAGTTGGAATCATGCTCTGCATATCAGCCCAGACTCCTTTAATCCCAAATGACAGGAAACTCAATTCGTCTGGACCCAAGCAGTAATAGAATGCATAGACTTACCAAACTGAAACTCCAGAGCAGGGTTACCTTCTGGGAGACAAGAATAAGTGGCTTGAATGAGTTGGTTTCTCTTTCTCTTCACTCTGCTCTCTGAGCTGTTGGGTCCACTGTCCCCAACCATCAAACATGGCAGCAAAGTACCTGTCATCATTCTGTACCACTCGGGGCAAGAGAGGATCCTGAGTGGCTCCTTAAGAAGAAACATATTTTCTTTTTTACAGAAGCCTCAGGAAACTCTTGCAATCTTATTTTTCATAATTGGGTGCCATAGCCACAGATGTGGCCAGTTGGGTGGGATGTGCTGACTGGCTTATGCAAGGGGACACTCCTGAGAAGCCAAACCACCAGCCATGTGGTGAAGATGGAAAGAGGTGGTTCTTAGAAACAAGTTTTGGTGCTGTTCCTAGAAAAAAGGAATGAACTTTGGACAGCAAACTTTTCTTTTGAGCTTTTTTTCTTTACTTAATAATGCTGGCTGGGTGCAGTGGCTCGCGCCTGTAATCCCAGCACTTCGGGAAGCCAAGGTGGGTGGATCACCTAAGGTCAGGAGTTCGAGATCAGCCTGGCCAACATGGTGAAACCCCGTCTCTACTAAAAATACAAAAGTTAGCTGGGCTTAGTGGCATGTCTATAGTCCCAGCTACTCGGGAGGCTGAGGCAGGAGAATGGCTTGAACATGGGAGGTGGAGGTTGCAGTGAGCCGAGATCACGCCACTGAACTCCAGCCTAGTGACACAGCGAGACTCTGTCTCAAATAAATAAATAAATAATGCGACATCAGCCAGGCACAGTCACTCACACCTGTAATCCTAACATTTTGGGAGGCAAAGATGGGCAGATCACTTAAGCCCATGAGTTCCAGACCAGCCAGGGAAAAATGGTGAAACATTGTCTCTACCCAAAATGCAAATATTAGCCAGGCGTGGTGGCATGTGTCTGTAGTCTCAGCTACTAGAGAGGCTGAGGCATGAGAATTGCTTGAGCCCAGGAGGCAGAGGTTGCAGCGAGCCAAGATGGCACTATTGCATTCCAGCCTGAGCTACAGAGCAAGACCTTGTCTCAAAAAAAAAGAAGGAAAGAAAGAAAGAATAAAGAAAATGTTACATCATGAACAACTTTGTGTGCACAAGCACATTGTTAGAGTTTTGTTGATTTATTTGTTTATTTTTATTCATTTGTTTTTGAGACAGGGTCTCACTCCGTTGCCCAGGCTGGAGTGCCGTGGCTCAATCACGGCTCATTGCAGGCTTGACCTCCCAGGCTCAAGTGATTTTTCCCACCTCAGCCTTCTGAGTAACCGGAGTAGCTGGGACTATAGGTGCATGCCACTATGCCCGGCAAATTTTTTTATTTTTTGTAAATCAGGGCTTCACCATGTTGCCCAGGCTGATCTTAAACTCTTGGGTTCAAGGGATCCACCTGTTTCAGCCTTCCAAAGACTGGGATTAAAGGCACGAGCCACCCAGAGTTTTATTTTTAATGGATGCATGGCTCAAAATATTTCCAAAGGTTATATAATCTATCCTGTGTGTGTGTGTGTGTGTATATATATATATATATATATATATTTTTTTTTTTTTGAGACAGAGTTTCACTATTGTTGCCCAGGCTGGAGTGCAATGGCACGATCTTGGCTCACTGCAACTTCTCCCTCCCAGGTTCAAGCGAATCTCCTGTCTCAGCCTCCTGAGTAGCTGGGATTACAGGCGCCCACCACTACGCCCAGCTAATTTTTGGTGTTTTAGTAGAGACGGGGTTTCACCATGTTGGCCAGGCTGATCTCGAACTCCTGACCTCAGGTGATCCAACCACCTCGGCCTCCCAAAATGCTGGGATTACAGGCGTGAGCCATCGTGCCCGGCTCCTATCATATACTGTTATTTAAATTGTTCACACTTTATTGATATAGTATTAATATTATACAAAGCCTCTTCAAGCATATCTTTTTGTTCACTTGTTTGATAATTTCATTAATTAATTTGAAAATTTTTCTTCAGTACCTACCATGTGTTGGTCACTCTGCTACGTACTGGGAATTATTTCGTGAGTGAAACAGATAAAACATGCTCCTTCATGGAGCCCATATTTTATGGCAGTAAACAAATGCATAGTATGTGAGTGGGTGGTGAGTGCTGAGAGTGAGTGCAGGGAAGAGATATTGTAAATCTTTTCTTCCTCTTCCTCCCAAATTATTTTGCACATAACTCTGTCATGCACCTGTCCCACGTTGAGAACATTGACCTCCCCTGTGAAAAGCACCTTGAAGGCAGACAGGGATGATAGAGCTTCTACACTCACATTCTCTATGTGAATGTAACTGCCAGGTGGTAGCTGATGTTCAGTAAGTACTCAGCAATGCAATTCCACTGCAATCAGTACTGGGCTAAGAAGGCATGAACTGTTTGTCACGGGGGTTGCACGAGCATTCCCTTTTCACTGTATCTATAGACTGGAGGACCATGCTAACTGACTTTTAGCTCCCTGATTGAGGTTGTGATGTCAGACATTTGTTAAGTAGGCTTATGTTACTCAGGCTCTAAGATTCACAGTGTGAGATGGGATTTGTGTCAGTCAGGGTCCAGACAGGAAAGTAAAAACTGCACTGGTAATTCAAACAGAGGGAATTTAACCAGATGAATTGGTTACATAGGTGTTGGAAGTCTGGAAGGGTAAAATGCGAGGTGAAACAACCCCGATATTAGGAACTAAAGAAGCTGCCCGTCCGTGGCTGGGGATGATGGTGCAAAAAAAGAGAGGGAAGGTTACCAGAACCTAAGGCAAGCAGTGCTCAGAGCAGGGTTCCTTGGCACTGGTGCTCAGCATGAAGTGGGTGGGACTCAACTGGGGCTGGAGCCAATTGACAGAAACAGGAGAATATGAGGAAGTCGCTCCTCTCTTCTCATCTTTCAAACTCCTAGGAGCTCCCATTGGCAGAACCTAATAAGAAGCCTGCTATGAAGGGAAATGCAAGTAATAAAAGCCAGCTATCTTGCAAGTGCAGTTTGCAGAGTGCTGTGGTTTGAGTGTTTGTCCCCTCCAAAAAACTTGTGCTAAAATTGAGCTGCCAGTGTGACAGTATTAAGAGGTGGAAACTTTGAGGGTGATTAGGCCATGCGGACTCCGACCTCATGGGCGGAATTAATGTTGTCATGAAAGGGTAAGTTTGACCCCTCTTGTCTGTGCCCTGCCTCCCTTCTCAGCCCATCTGCCTTCTATCATTAAAGGACACGGCAACGCGACCCTCGCCAAATGCTGTTGCCTGGATCTTGGACTCCCTGGCCTCCGTAATGGTAAGAAAATGAATTTCTGTTCATTGTAAATTATCCAGTCTCAGATATTCTGTTACAGCAACACAAACTAGACTGAGAAATGTAGTTTTAGCCCCAGCATTACAGAACAGAATATAGACAATGAGTCGAGAGACTAAGGTAAACAGTAGGCACAGTCCTCCTACTCGCTTCCATTGATTTCCTTTACCCGTGTTTGAACTGCCACACAAAACAACTCATGCTTATTCCCAATAAGACGCAGCCATAATTTGTACCAATGACATTGCTCAGCCAGAAAGGCGAGATGACAGTTCCATTAGTTGCTGCACCCATCTCAGTGTGACGTAAAGTCCCACTTGAGTCCAAGCAAAATCCCACCCAAATGTTCTAAATCTAAAAGCTAAGTTGTAAAGTTAACCACCATCAGTGATTATTACGTAAAACAATGGAAGAAAAGAGCAGAGGAAAATAATATATATAAACACATACATAACCAAAAGGAAGAAAATTCAAAGCTGCTATGGCCTTATTTATCCTGTAACTTATCTCTGGGCCACAGCTGACCTCAATAACATTCTTTTTAAAGAGAAATTTAGTAATTTACAGAATATACGCATCAGAGAGTATTGTATATCTATGAAAACACTGACATTAAGGGATGTCCATCAGGTATTATTGAATGAGAAAGGCAATTTTCAGAAAAGTGATACAATTATTACATGCTTGTTAAACAGTGACCCAAAAGGTCAAATATGTCTCTGTATCTATATTTGTATATGATTATATGTGTATTAAAAATATTGAAAAGTGGCCAGGCATGGTGGCTCATGCCTGTAATCCCAGCATTTTGGGAGGGCGAGGCAGATGGATCACTTGAGGTCAGGAGTTTGAGACTAGCCTGGCCAACATGGTGAAACCCTGCCTCTACTAAAAGTGGAAAAACTAGCTGGGCATGGTGGCACATGCCTGTAATCCCACCTACTCTGGAGGCTGAGGCAGGAGAATCTCTTGATTCTTCCCGAGAGGTGGAAGTTGCAGTGAGCCAAGATTGCACCACTGCACTCCAGCCTGGGTGACAGAGCGAGACCATGCCAAAAAGAAAAAAAAAGAAAAGAAAAAAATATATATAAAGGTATACAGAAATTTTGTAGAGCAGGTCTGCTGGTGATAAGTTCCTTCAACCTCCATATGTTTAAAAATGTCTTTACTTTGTTTTTTGAAAGATATTTTTGCTAGGCATGGAATTCTAGGTTGACAGCGTTGTTCTGTTGGTACTTGAAAAATGTGGATCCACTGCCTTCTGTCTTGCATTATTTCTGACGAGGAGTTGGCTGCCATTCTAATCTGTTCCTTTGCACATTATGTGTGTTTCTTGACTGTTTTTTGTGTTTTCTTTTTAATCATTGGTTTTAAGTAATTTATAATGTACCATGGTTTATTTTTTTTGTTTCTTGTGCTTGAGTTGTGTTGAGTTTTTTGAATCTATGGCCTATAGTTTTCATCAGATCTGAGACTTTTTCTACAGCCCACTGATGCATTATTCTTTACTTTAAATTAATAGACTATTTTTTTTTTAGACTGAGTCTTGCTCTGTCACCCAGGCTGGAGTGCCGTGGTGCAATCTTGGCTCACTGCAACCTCTGCCTCCCAGGTTCAAGTGATTCTCCTGTCTCAGCCTCCTGAGTAGCTGGGGCTACAGGTGTGCCCCAACATGCCTGGCTAATTTTTTGTATTTTTAGTAGAGACAGGGTTTCACTATGTTGGCCAGGCTAGTCTCGAACTCCTCACCTCAGGTGATCTGCCCGCCTTGGCTTCCCAAAGTGCTGGGATTACAGGTGTCAGCCACCATGCCTGTCTAATAGATTATGTTTAATGAACAATTTTAGACTTATAGAAAAATTGAACTATATGCAGAAAGTTCTCACATTACACCACTCCCCTCTCAGCACACACATTTTCTCTTATTGTTCACATTTTGCATTAGTGTGGTACATTTGTTCCAATTAGTAAACCATACTGATACATTATTGTTATTAACTAAAGTCCATGCTTTACAGTAGGGTTCACTCTTGGTGTTGCAAATTTCTATGGGTTTTGAGGAATATCATTTATCTATCATGACAGTACCATATGGAAGAGCTTCAGTGCCTTAAAACCCACCTGTGCTCTGCCCATTTTTTCCCTCCTTCTCCCAATCTTCCCTATGGAAGAGCTTCACTGTCCTAAACCCCCCTGTGCTCTGCCCATTTTTTCCTCCTTCTCTCAACCTCTAGAAACCACTGCTCTTTTCATTGTCTCCATAGTTTTGTCTTTTCCAGATTGTCATGTCATTGGAATCATATAGGATGTTGTCTTTTCAGACTGGTTTCTTTTACCTCATGACATGAATTTAAAGTTCTGCCACGTATTCACGGCTTCATAGCTCATTTCTTCTTATGGCTGAATAATATTTCATTGGATATACCACAGTTTGTTAACCCACTAGCCTACTGAAGGGCAGTTTTTGGTAATTATGAATAAAGCTGCTAAACATTTGTATGCAGTTTTTTTTGTGGACATATTTTTCAACTCATTTGAGTAAATACCTAGGTGCATGATTGCCAGATTGTATGTGAAGACAACACTTTGTTTTGTAAGAAACAGACTATCTTTCCAAGTGGCTGCACCGTTTTGCATTCCCACCAGCAATGAATGAGAGCTCCTCTTTCTACACATCCTCACCAGTGTTTGACGTCACTTTAAAGATTGTGGCCATTCTAATAGGTATGAACTGGTATTTCATTGGTTTAATCTGCACGTCCCTGATAACGTATGTTATTGACCGTCTTTTATTTGTTTTGGGCTTTTGTTTGTTTGTTTTTTGGAGAGAGGGTCTCAGTCACCCAGGCGTCAATGCAGTGGTGTAATCATGGCTCACTAAAGCCTCAAACTCTGGGCACATCTTTTATATACTTACTTGCCATCTGTGTATCTTCTTTAGTGAAGGGTCTGTTCAGATATTTTCCCCATTTTTAACAAGGTTACTTTTTAATTGTTGAGTTTGAGGAGTTCTTTGTGTACATTATATACAAGCCCTTTGCCATAATGTGTTTTGCAAATATTTTCTCCCGGTCCATTGCCTGTCTTTTCATTCTCTTGAGAATGTCTTTCACAAAACAGAAGCTTCTAATTTTAGTAAAGTCCAACTTACCAACATTTCATTTCACGCATCATTATTATGGTGTATTTACAAACTCATTGCCAAGCCTAAGGTCTCAGTATTTTCCCCTACATTATCTTCTGGAAGTTTTTTTTTTTTTTTTTAGACAGAGTCTCGCTCTGTCGACCAGGCTGGAGTGCAGTTGCGCGACCTTGGCTCACTGCAACTTCCGCCTTCCGGTTTCAAGCGATTCTCCTGCCTCAGCCTTCCTAGTAGCTGGGAGTACAGGCGCCCGCCACCACTCCCAGCTAATTTGTTTTTTTTTATTTTTGTATTTTAATAGAGATGAGGTTTCACCGTATTGCCCAGGCTGGTCTCGAACTCCTGAGTTTAGGCAATGCCCCCGCCTTGGCCTCCCAAAGTGCTAGGATTACAGGTATGAGCCACCGCATCCAGCCTTTGTTTTATGTTTAGGTCTATAATCTATTTTGAGTTAATTTTGAGAAAGGTATAAGGTCTGTACCTAGATTCATTTTTTTTTTGCATAATAATTTCCTTTTCCTACTTTTCTTCCCCCCTGGATTCCATTCGCCCTTATCTGTTACCTCAGCTTGATGGAGTTTTTTCACATTGTGAGGTAATCCAAGCCTTCATTTCTGAAGGGTCTGAATCCTTTGTGATTGTACCTTTGGTACATTGCTTAATTTTCCATTCATCTTTACTTGGATCTGGAAATATCCCTGAATTCCAGACATAGTCTCTCTTCTCTCCTTCCATAGCAGCAAAGCAATTTCCCCCGGGTAACTGGGATCAATTATCCCAGGGCACACAGTAACCCCTTTCTTTGTCTGTTGATTCAGTAGCATGAGGAGCGTGAAATGACCAGGTGGCAGTTTCAACTTCAATTCATCAGAACAATTCTGTCTTCTTTTGAGAACCAAAACCTCTAAATCAGCCTAAAGTTAAGGGGACACACAGCAAAGGTCCTCACATGGGTTATCAGACACTGCAGCAAGAGAGACCACTTTCACGTCTCTCCTTTGATTCTTGGGCTCTGGCTATAGGAGGAACCTTTGCTGGATCGAAGTTCATACGATATCCTGTTAGGGGAGCATTCAGATATTTGGGGTGTAACTAAGTTAAGCCATTCCATTATTCAACAGCCAGATGCTTGTAGCTGCTGGGGTGGGAGGAGATCCATGCTTGGTACACAACAGGGAAACTGAGTCTGTGTGGCTCCCTGCCACTGTGTTCCTGCCGTTTTAGAAGTGGGTGAACCAAGTCCTGGCTAGCCGCCAAGGTACTCAGAGGCCCTGGGCTCTGAACCTTTTCCAAGTTGTTCTGGAGGTCTTCCAGAATAAGTGGCTCTCTTTTCAGTTTCAGAGCATGAATGGTTTTGAAGCAGAAGTCAGTGAAGGCGATTGCTTAGAGCCAGAAGGGCCTGGTGGGGTTGTCTCAGGTTAGGAGCCCATTCTGTGAGCCCAATGTCCCTATGCAGAGACTCTGCCAGAAAGAGCAGGGGCCTGGCTGACCGTCCTGTTCTGGGATCCCCTTCAGCTGGAATGCAGTTTCTGTCACTGCTGCCCTCTAGGAGGCTTTGGGGAAACCGTCAGTATCTAACATTTCAGTTGTTTCTCCCTGTCCTCCTCTCTCTCTGACTCAAGGCTAGGGCCTGCCCTCTTCCCTCCAGTTCTTTCTGCTGCGTTGCCTTGAGACTTTTTCACTAGGAAACAAGCTGTTGATCCAGCTGCAAATACTCTCATTGGTTTTATTGTTGGATTTCTTCTTTTTCACAGGGAGGTAGTGGGGGACAGGACTGTTTTCCATGGCTCCAGGGTATATGGTGACTATGTTCACCTGGGACACACACAGTCCCAGGTATTAGCTTACCCATCCGAGCCCAGGGCCTTCACAGGAGGAGGCCTGTGATACGTAAGCTCTTTTCCTCAACCTTAAAAGGATATGGTGAAAAATATGACCCTCTGGTTCTCAAATCCAGTCCAAGGTTTAGTTTCCCCAGTTTCTTCTCTAATCTTCCAAATTCCCAAAAAGAGACTGGTCTAATTTTAGAGGCTGCTTGCGTCCCCACTGAGGAAAGTAGGAAAGGGCTGTTGAAGGAAGATTCCAGATCTGCGTTGGAAGTGACTCTAGACAGTTTTGCACCAACATTATCAAGGTCCCCAATGTCGGCCCAGGTCAGACGGCCACCAGAGGCAGGGCCTGCAGGAAGCCAACAAGGACCTGCACAGCCCCTGAGCTGTCAGGACAAGACAAGGCCGAATTCTGTCCTCAGGTTTGCCATGGCATGCCATAAAATCCCACCCAAGTGAAGAGGCAGGCCCAGAAGAGCAGTGTGGAGGCAGAGTGGATTAACTGGAAGATATCGCACATAGAAAGCATGAAGAAACCAACACCTCCCCAAACCTACCATGTTCCATGGCCTAAGGATGGGCGAATAATTGGGAGAGTGCTCAAATCTATTCTTTGGTTTGTGAGTACATAAAATTACTCAGGATAATTTAGAGAGATTTTTACTGTAAGACTATGAATAGTTCAGTGATCCAAAAGGCATAAAATTAGACAAAGGAGGAAAGCCTCATGGGTGGAGAGCAACCAGCCACAGAGAGCCTGCAGCAATGACAGGCAGGTCAGGATGCTCCTGGGAGGCCTGAACCACCTGGACTTGGTTTTTATGTCTCAAGCTGAGGAGACACCTGAGGGGTCTAAGACTGTGTCAGTTTAGACCTCGATAGGTCCATGATTAGTGGATGGCCCTGGCAGCACCAGCTAAGTGATGATGGGAAGGCTCTGAGAACCGCTGGGGAAGTCTGTACAGCTCCAGTCATCCCAATACTGTGAAGGGCCTCACCCCTGTTCATCTCGACACTGTGAAGGGCCTCACCCCTGTTCATCCCGACGCTGTGAAGGGCCTCACCCCTGTTCCTCCCGACGCTGTGAAGGGCCTCACCCCTGTTCCTCCCGACGCTGTGAAGGGCCTCACCCCTGTTCCTCCCGACGCTGTGAAGGGCCTCACCCCTGTTCCTCCCGACGCTGTGAAGGGCCTCACCCCTGTTCCTCCCGACGCTGTGAAGGGCCTCACCCCTGTTCCTCCCGACGCTGTGAAGGGCCTCACCCCTGTTCATCCCGACGCTGTGAAGGGCCTCACCCCTGTTCCTCCTGGTGGGGTAAGGGTCTCATTTCTGTTCGTCCTGATGGAGAAACAGTCTTATCTGTGATGATCTGGGTGGTAGGAACACCCTGACAAGTTTTGCTCATTTCGTGAGTGTGGCTAGGCCCTTGCTGCTCTTTTCATCCTTGATTGTGGAATGGTCCTCTGACCCCTGTTCATGCAACTGATGTTTAGATGACTGTGTATCATTAGTTTTCTGAGAATTCTGTTGAAAACATGCACCTTCCTGGGAGTGCCCAATTCTGCCTCAACTGCCAACAGAACACTACATGTGGGACCAGGAGATGAAGCCTGAAGAGGGTCCACTGGGGCTCCCCTTGGGTCCTGGACTCTCCCCTCCTTTTGGTGTCCGGAAGAGCTGCCCAAGCCATTTGTTTGCCTCTTTGCCAGGTGTTGTGTGGGGTGCTGGATCGTCAGGGCAGAGGAAGAGCGAGATGAGGGGAAACACTCAGAGTTCCACACAGCTGCTGTAACCAGATACCTCAGCCACAATTTTGTGATTGATAAAGGATGAAAGAAGATGAAAGAAGAACCTGGAAGAAAAGGAATTACCAACAGTCAGCTTTCAGAAATCAGTAGAAAGTTTTCAGAAACAATGTTTGATGCTTACTCTGGTAGGTAGAACACAGGTCAGCATATCCTGTGCATTTTCTCATTTTATTCTCAAAATTACGCTTGGAGGTTTTGCCAGCTTTTGCGACGATAATGCCCAAATCACCCCAGTGCTTGGTGATATACATGCATCATTTCTCACTCAGGGTCTTATGGCAGAATCCTGGGCTATTCCATGTGTCTCATCTGGAGCCTGGAGCCCGGGCAGGTTCTTCTCATGGGGTGGGAGTGGGGCAGCTCGGAGCAGAAATGCTGCTGTCCTTCAGCTGGGTGCAGACACGGTTCACTTTCCCTCCTGCCCAGGCCCCACTGGCCCAAGCAATCCTGTGTCCACCCAACACCCCTGAGGAGTGGACACGTGACCCTCCTATGGAGGGGAGATTCGGAGTGAGTGTTCACTGAACAATAACTCATTCTACCACCTATCATTTTATAGGTAAGAAAAAAGAGGCCCTGAGAGAATGATTTGTTAATCAATAGCACCTGATGACAGAGACCATATTCATAGTCTTGGTGTAAGACTCGCCACTGGAAAGACACAGTCAGGGCCCAGTTCAAGGCATATACAGGAATCTTTTGTTTTTAAGAGATGGGGTCTTGTCATCTAACCCAGGCTATAGACATTTTTTAAAATTGATCAGGGTTTATTTGCAGATATGTACATCTACTACAGCTAGTTTAAGCAGCCAGGAATGTCATACGGGGATTAGGAGAATCCAGAATCATCGAAATGGATGAAGGAGCAGGATCTAGGCTGAACTTCCTGAAATGACCCAGTAGCACCTCCACAGACCCGGCCTGGTAAGAGAGCTGATGCTTTTGCTGCAGTCAGAATTCACATAATGGAGTCAGCTATATTGAATTGTTTCCATGAGGTCAGTTAGACACAGAATTCGTTTCCAAAGTTTCTAATTTTTCAAGAGAAATTAAAGCCTAAATTTTTGAAACTCTCCTGCCTCACGAAAATAAATAAACAAATAGATTAATTAACCCTAATTCTGAAAACTAACAGTCAGAGAACTTGAAGAACAACTATGACCTAACCAGTGCTCATTACCTCCTCCATTAGCATTTGTCAGTCCTCCTCATCTGCCTGAATTACTGCCATAACCTTCTGACTGACCTGCTTGCCTCTGCACTAGCCCTGTTAAAACTCATCCTTAATACGGAAGTCAGAAATTTTACACTTTTAAAATGTAAATGCGAGTATTGTATATTAAAAACTGCCCAATGAGTTGATATCTTGATCACAATAAAATCCAAAATTGTAACAATAAAAAAAAAAAAAAACAAGAAAGAAATCCAGGGATCAGGAACCAGCCCCCGTGAGTGCCGGCTCCAAGCCCATGCTGCCTCTTCTACAGTCTATGCCAACAGAACAGAGGCCTGAGCTCTGCGTCACACACCACAAGACCACAGGGACACTCAGCATCGTAAAGCGAAAGAGGAACAGGTAGAATAAAGGGACATTTGCTAAGTCTTGTGGTATTTAATAACTAAAAACAAACTTTTCCCAAGAAAGTTGGCTTCCAATTCTCTTATCAGAATTGGAGGAGGTTCAAATTGAATTGTCAACTGATAGAGCATTACACATAAATCTTGATGAGATACTACCATGTCCATGTGATTTTTTTGTTGTTGTTGTTGCGATAGAGCCTCGTTCTATCATCCAGGCTGGATTCCAGTGGTGCACTCTCAGCTCACTGCAACTTCTGCTTCCTGGGCTTGGGCAGTCTTCCCACCTCAGCCTCCTGAGTAGCTGGGACTACAGGTGCTCACCACCACACCCAGCTAATTTTTGTATTTTTTGTAGAAATGGGGTTTTGCCATGTTGTCCAGGCTATTCTTGAACTCCTGGGCTTAAGCAATCTGCCCACCTTGGCCTCCCAATGTGCTGGGATTACAGGCATGAGCCACCGTGCCCGGCCTACCATGTGATTTTTGACATATAACTCTGGAGGAGTTCAAACAATTGAGTCCTGTTGCTCAATGAAACTCTGTATGTGGACAAAGTTTCCTCCATGCTTATAGCCCTACAAATAAACACTAGGAAAATAATTGATGCTGGACTCTCTATCATTCCAGTAATAGGTATTAGCCACCCACAGAAAAACTCATTGGAAAAAACTCCCAACCTCGTCCATCTCATCAAGACATACATTTTAACATAAATTTACTTGGAATGTTATTTATTTGTCAAATTGTATAGCACACATATGCTCTTTTGTTCAAGTATATATTACTAACAAGTTAGTACTGATGTAATGATCGTGCAATTCAGAATAAATTTCTTATGTTTAGAATAGGGTCAGATTCTTAATTTAGTGTGTTCATGAACTTGAATGAAAAAATTACATTTTTTCCCACTAACCTCTAAGTGAAAGTTAGCATTTCCTTCCATTATACATGCAAGCAATAAATGGTAGCGGTCTTAAAGTGTCTGTGACTTTGTCACCAAGAGAAATCAGAGATAGTTTCTATCACATTATAATTGTTGCAGATAACTTGAAACATCGTTTCTGCTTAGCATTGCTTCAAAGTTGCAATAGTTACTGGACTTACATATTGTTACTAGGATTAACAAACTAGACCTTGTTAATGTGTGTGTGTGGGAAAAACTCTCCTCAAACCGTGTTTCTCCTCTGCTCTCACACCACAGCAGTCATCAGCACAGAAGCCTTCTGTGGCCAAATGTGTGGGGTTTTCCCCACACACCTAGCAGCTGATGCCAGCTGAGTGTGCTCTGGTGTTCTGACACCATCTTCCCAGAGTTAGCATCAGATATCACAGGTTGAGGGCTCAGTCCCCAAGACTGCCGGCCCCCTGCACCAGTCACAGGCCCAGGCTTCTGGAACTTCCAACAGGCTGCCTTCAAGTTGGGCTTCCCATGGCTCCCTCTTTGGGTTCGATTAATTTGCTGGAGGAGCTCATAGAACTCAGAGAAACACGTTAACTGATTTATTGTAAAGGATATTGCTATTGCAAAGGATACAGATGAAGAGACAGGTAGGTCAAGATATAGGGGAAAGGACACAGAGCTTCTAAGGTAGGTCAAGGTACAGGGAAGGGACACAGAGCTTCTAAGGTAGGTCAAGGTGTAGGGAAGGGACACAGAGCTTCTAAGGTAGGTCAAGGTGTAGGGAAGGGACACAGAGCTTCTAAGGTAGGTCAAGGTGTAGGGAAGGGACACAGAGCTTCTAAGGTAGGTCAAGGTGTAGGGAAGGGACACAGAGCTTCTAAGGTAGGTCAAGGTGTAGGGAAGGGACACAGAGCTTCTATGCCCTTCCTGGGTGTCACCCTCCAGGAACCTCCAAATGTTCAGCTCTCTGGAAGCTCCCGGATCCCAGTCCTCTAGGGTTTTTATGGAAGCTTCAAGACATCAGCATGACTTCCCACAGGCTATAGGGGGTCTTGCTTCATGGGAGGGTCTTAGACCCACAACCAGAAAGGCAGGGAAGATTAGAATCCTCCCTTGGGACAGAACTCTAATCTGAAAGGGGGCAAGAGGTCAGAGGCTGCCCCTGAGACCTAACACAGCCAAGGTTATAACAAAAGACTGTAACAAGAGGCGTGGGAGTTATGAGCCAGGAGCCTTGTACGAAAACCGGTATCTATCATACCAGCACGATGTGTTAAAGAGGCACATGTGTGACTGTACCATGATTAAGCTCATTTGATGGGTGTATTTTGGTACACTTGTTTTCCTTTTTGATCTTGTGTATTTTACTTTCTGCATTTAAGGACATTATTCTGAGAAGAGGTCTATGGGTTTCACCAGATCACCAAAGGGATCCATGGCAAAAATTTAAAAAACACAAAATTAGTGGCTTACGGTCACAATATATTTTTTTAAATGAATTTTTTATTGAGGTGAAATTAAAGAAACATAACATTAACCATTTCAAAGGATAAAATTCAGACACATGTAACACATTTATAGTGTAGAATTCGGCCACACTCAGCACATTTACAGTGTAGAATTCGGCCGCACTCAGCACATTTACAGTGTAGAATTCGGCCGCACTCAGCACATTTACAGTGTAGAATTCAGCCACATGCTACGCTAGGAACCCACCTAGGAGGGGGTTCCTAGGTTCCCAGTTATAAGAATTCTCTTAGGGAGTGAAGCAGAGTTTTATTTCAAAATGGGGGTGCTTCCTAGTTTTAAGAATTCTCTTAGGGGCACAAGCAGAGGAGTTTTATTTCTGTGTGTGTGTGGTGGGCTCCAGGTTTTCAGAATTCTCTTGCAGGGTGCATGCAGGGTTTTGTTTCAGGCAGCTGTGTAGAGATCCAGGAGGGTCACTGCCTTGCAGCACCTTTTTGTTCACTCACCAGCTAAACTTTGTTTCCCAAGCAACTGCTGTACGTCAGGCATTCTGCCAGGTGCAGAAACAGAGCTGAGCTCGTGGCCGGGTCCTGTGGTTGCTCCTGGAGGAAAGGGGGCCTGAATATTGGATGGAAAAAGTCTTATGAGGAGCCTGGAAAAGAACCTGTCAAGTTCAACTGTGAGCACCAGAGCCTGGGCAGGCAGAGAGACAAGATGGGGCAGCTGGCAGAGGAGCAGCATCTCTGCCCTTGGCAGTGTGAGCATCTGTCTGTCAGCAGCTGCCTCTGGTGGAAGCCTGCAGGCAGCTTGTACCTCCTGGCAGTGGGAGGAGACACCCAGCACTAAGTGTCAGCCACGGAGGGAACTGTCAGTGAAGGAAGGAGGGATGTGACTTCAGTGACATCTGTTCAACCTTCTCCAAGGCCTGAAAAAGAAGGAGCCATATAGCTTAGAAAGACAGGGCTCTAGGAAAGGATGGGAATTAGGGCATTCAATAGAGTCCCAGAAAAACTGGACATGTGAATTGAGGAGCAGGCACAGCCCTGCAGGAAGTAGGTGAGGCAGGCAGGTGGAGTGAGCAGCTTTGCAGAAGTGGTCGCAGTGCAACCTTCAGGGTCTACATACAGATACATCTCGGCATTTACAGTGTGTGTTTTGTAGGATTTTTAAAATTGATTTTGGCCGGGTGTGGTGGCTCAAGCCTGTAATCCTAGGACTTTGGGAGGCCAAGGTGGGTGGATCACGAGGTTAGGAGTACGAGACCAGCCTGGCCAACATAGAGAAACCTCATCTCTACTAAAAATACAAAACAATTAGCTGGGCGTGGTCGTTGGTACCTGTAATCTCAGCTACTCAGGAGGCTGAGGCAGGAGAATCGCTTGAACCCGGGAGGCGGAGGTTGCAGTGAGCCAAGATCACGCCACTGCACTCCAGCCTGGGTGACAGTGCCAGACTCCATCTCAAAAAACAAAATAAAATAAAATAAAATTGATTTTCCTTCTTAAAATAACTTTGTGGCAAGATAAAGTGCCCTGTATTTCATATATTTCCAGGAATGCTGGGAAACGAGGAGAAACACTATGCTTTTCACAGCATCACAGACGGTACTGGACCCTTCCTATCAATGGGACCATTTCAGGGCTGCCACTTGGCCAGGGCATCGCAGTGGGCTGTTGGATCAGACCGAGAGGCACCAATTCAAACGCCCCCGGCAAGAACCTATGTCAGGTGGATGGGATGGTTATAAACGGCAGAGCTATGCCTGCTATCAAGGATTAGAATGAAAATATCTGAGCAGCCTCAGCAGACAGTAGCTGGTGGCACCTCAGGAGACCGGAAAAGCCCTACCTGCCAGGACCCCTAGACCCAGCCCTTGCCTGTCTTGAAACAGCAAAGGGAGTGATCTTGGGGACACCAGAACAGTCTGCTTGCAGAGATTAGGAACAGGACAGCTTATTCCAGTCAAACAGCGAGACTAAAAGTGAGTCTAAGGCTCCAGCCTCTCCAGATTCCTCCTGGCCCACGCATGAACATGGTCTCCGTGGCCATCGATTCTTCTGAGCCCACCTCCTCCACGTGAGTACACACGCTTGTCTACCTATGGTCTGTGAAAGTGCACAGACTTTGGGTCAAACAGATTTGAGTGTAGAGTCTGGCTTAGAATTCCAGACCCAGCTCTTCTTCACTGTGTGATTTGGGGCAAAATAACCTGGCCTCTGGAAGCCTGAGTTTTTCATCTGTAAAATGAAAGCAGCACTATTTTTCACTACGATGTGCCAGCACACCACCCATCTAGACCCTAAACAAGGTGGACCCCAGCTGGCTCCCTGGTGACCAGCTCCAAAATGCCTTCCTTTGGACTTCACGTTCTGTGAGAGAACGCAAACCCTGACATCTGGTTTCATCCAGTTCCTTAGCTTTTCAGTGACAGGCAGCTGAACTCAATTGTTAATTGACTGATCTCCATTGCATAGGGTTACTGTGAAGCGCATATGAGATCACAGCTGTTAAAGTGCCAAACCACGTGACTTATTTAGGACTCCTGACTTTCCTAATGTTGCATGGAGGATATTTAATCATAAAACAGTTAAATCTGGCATAGTGGGCTACCAAGAAGAAGGCAGGGTTCCGCTTACCATACTGAGAGAGGGATTGAGGCAGAAACTCCCTGGAACTATGGGCAGCAACAAAGGAGGGAGGGCAGGTCACCTGTGCAGAAGAACATGCACACACACAGGCATGCACACATATTTGTACACGGGCACACTCATCTGCACACACACATGCACGCATACGTGCACACCCTCCAGCACACATGTGTTCAGATCATGCTCTCATTTACACGTGCACACGGGCATGCACACTCATGCACATGTACTGTTGACTCTATCTTGAGCTTACACATCAAAGCCACGATCTGGTTCAGTACTTACTTGTTTATTGATATTCCATTTAGCATTTACCAAGTACCTTCTATGTAACTTGGCTAGGCAGTCTTTTTTTCTCAAACAAAATCCAGTACAAATCCTCCCTCATCCATGAAATCTTTCTGGATTCTCCAATGGGATTGAACTAATCCTCATAGAACTTTCCATGTGCCCCTGCTTGTCACGAATTTCATTTACCTTCAGAGTAAAATTGTTGCACATACTTCTGTTTCCTTAAGTGGCTGTGGGAGCTGACATTCTAGGCCCCAGTGAAAAGGTCTGGTCCTGAAACTGCGTCTCAGTTCTTGGCTTGAGAAAAGCACAGCTGGTTAGAAGTGCTTACACCACGGAGGCATGAAGAGGACGTGAGGGTGGCTCATTTTAAAAGCAATGCGTTTATCTTATCTTCCAGTGCAGAGAGAGAGAGAATCCCCTGCTTAGAGCACAGAAGCTGGTGCACCGTCCTGTGCCGCATTGTCCTCTGGCTGCCTGCCTGGGGAGACCCCTCTCCCCTCTCCTTCCTGAACGCAGGCACGAGGATTTGTACATACGTGCACATAAATATGGTATTTCCCAGAGGGCCTGGCATAAACATTCTTAATATGTGCTTGTTATATTGCAGTGAACTAACACCCACAGTCAGTCAGGAAACAAAGTGCATTGCATGTTACCTGGGGAACAGTCAGCAGAACCTTGATTTTACCTGGAGAGTCTGGGGCTGCACTTTTGGCACGTGGGAGTTCCCACAGCTACCAGTCCAGGAATCCCAGGGTGACTGCCATTTTCCAAGGGTTACATCCCCCAAATATGTCACAAAACATGTTTAAACAAATACCTTGGCTTCTGCTTTTTTATCTATACAACAGTTCTCAACATGGCCACAGATTAGAATCAATCCTGATGCCTTTTTAGAGTGTACATTACCAGAGCCCCCAGGCTGACCGAGCCAGAACCATGCCTGAGGCCATAGCACGTCAGTGGTCTCAGAGCACACGGGAGATTCCGTGGCACCCTTAGGCCATAGCACGTCAGTGGTCTCAGAGCACACGGGAGATTCTGTGGGCCCCCGAGGCCATAGCACGTCAGTGGTCTCAGAGCACACGGGAGATTCCGTGGCACCCTGAGGCCATAGCACGTCAGTGGTCTCAGAGCACATGGGAGATTCTGGGCCCCCTGAGGCTGTAGCACGTCAGTGGTCTCAGAGCACACGGGAGATTCCGTGGCACCCTGAGGCCATAGCACGTCAGTGGTCTCAGAGCACATGGGAGATTCCGGGCCCCCTGAGGCCGTAGCACGTCAGTGGTCTCAGAGCACACGGGAGATTCCATGGCCCCCTGAGGCCATAGCACGTCAGTGGTCTCAGAGCACACGGGAGATTCCGTGTCACCGTGAGGCCATGCACGTCAGTGGTCTCAGAGCACACGGGAGATTCTGTGGGCCCCCGAGGCCATAGCACGTCAGTGGTCTCAGAGCACACAGGAGATTCCGTGGCACCCTGAGGCCATAGCACATCAGTGGTCTCAGAGCACATGGGAGATTCCGGGCCCCCTGAGGCCGTAGCACGTCAGTGGTCTCAGAGCACACGGGAGATTCCATGGCCCCCTGAGGCCATAGCACGTCAGTGGTCTCAGAGCACACGGGAGATTCCGTGTCACCGTGAGGCCATGCACGTCAGTGGTCTCAGAGCACACGGGAGATTCTGTGGGCCCCCGAGGCCATAGCACGTCAGTGGTCTCAGAGCACACGGGAGATTCCGTGGCACCCTGAGGCCATAGCACATCAGTGGTCTCAGAGCACATGGGAGATTCCGGGCCCCCTGAGGCCGTAGCACGTCAGTGGTCTCAGAGCACACGGGAGATTCCGTGGCACCCTGAGGCCATAGCACGTCAGTGGTCTCAGAGCACACGGGAGATTCCGTGGGCCCCCTGAGGCCAGAGCACGTCAGTGGTCTCAGAGCACACGGGAGATTCCGTGGCCCCCTGAGGCCAGAGCACGTCAGTGGTCTCAGAGCACACGGGAGATTCCGTGGCCCCCTGAGGCCATAGCACGTCAGCGGTCTCAGAGCACACGGGAGATTCTGTGGCCCCCTGGCTAGAACACTGGACCAGATGGTCTGCAGGTTCTCCTCTGAGTCTGATGGTCTTGTCTATGTTAAAATGTCTCGGCCGGGCACGGTGGCTCACGCCTGTAATCCCAGCACTTTGGGAGGCCGAGGCAGGTGGATCATGAGGTCAGGAGATCGAGAACATCCTGGCTAACAAGGTGAAACCCTGTCTCTACTAAAAATACAAAAAATTAGCCAGGCGCGGTGGCGGGCGCCTGTAGTCCCAGCTACTCGGGAAGCTGAGGCAGGAGAATGGCGTGAACCCGGGAAGCGGAGCTTGCAGTGAGCCGAGATTGCGCCACTGCAGTCCGCAGTCCGGCCTGGGCGACAGAGCGAGACTCCGTCTCAAAAAAAAAAAAAAAAAAGTCTCCAAAGAAGATAAGTTTTAACTCATTTAAATAAATATAAGCTACATAGCACTTTGAATAGAGGGAAGGGCTGCGTCCCCCAAACAGTCATCCAGCATAGACATACTGCAGCCCCAAAGCCATCGCCAGTCACCCCTTGGGCTTTATTTGCTGAAAAGCATTGGCATTTGCTGAGATGGTTGTGCACCCATCTGTACCCAGAGAAGCTTGTCAGCCACTCTGAGCCTTTCTGAAGCAACTCGGCCCCAAAGGGAAGACTCCTCCTGTGTTTGGTCGTGGGTCTTCTGAGGAGGCTGAGGAATAATGTGGGAGAAAGGAAAGAAGAAGCAACCTCCGATTCAGGGTTTCTGTTCATAACAACATTCTCCCCAGAAGAAGGAGGGGGAATTGGATAGCTTTGGGAACCAGTAATGGGATAGGGAATTTTTAAAACCTGTATAGACCACCTGTTTGAAACTGTCTCACAGGACACGGGGACCAAAAGCCACTGTCGCCTGACAGCTGCTTGGTGGGAGACACGAAATGAACAGGGTCTCATTTTAGTGCCCGGAGGGACCGGTGTGCCACGGTCAGAGCACACTCTCAGCTGGCACCTCTGTGGACAGAGTCCAGGGTGGCCATCCTTCACGCTATTTAATTCGTTTGCTTGTCACAGGAGTGGTTACGGAGCAAAGCTCACAGTAGGGTGCTGAGGGGTCGATGACAGCAGCTTCTGCAGTCTCAGCACAGGGTGCATCTGGATCAGAGCCTGGGCACATCTAAATTATGCCTGTTTTGGAAACTGGCTGCACTTTCTCCTCCTCCCTGTCTGTGGAGCGAGGCCCAGTTCTGGCGTGGGATGTAGGCAGATTCTTCTGCAGGGGGCACCTGCTCCATCTACAGCTAAAGGGTGGACCTACCTGAAAGTTTTGTCACTGTGACTCAGACCACTAAGATGCTGCTCTTCGATGTGCCAACACGAAGGGGTAAATGGTGTGGGTGTCAGTCAGTCAGGCTGTAAATGGTGTGGGTGTCAGTCAGTCAGGCTGTAAATGGTGTGTGTGTCAGTCAGTCAGGCTGTAAATGGTGTGGGTGTCAGTCAGGCTGTAAATGGTGTGGGTGTCAGTCAGTCAGGCTGTAAATGGTGTGGGTGTCAGTCAGGCTGTAAATGGTGTGGGTGTCAGTCAGTCAGGCTGTAAAGGGTGTGGGTGTCAGTCAGTCAGGCTGTAAATGGTGGGGGTGTCAGTCAGTCAGGCTGTAAAGGGTGTGGGTGTCAGTCAGTCAGGCTGTAAATGGTGTGGGTGTCAGTCAGGCTGTAAATGGTGTGGGTGTCAGTCAGTCAGGCTGTAAATGGTGTGGGTGTCAGTCAGCCTGTAAATGGTGTGGGTGTCAGTCAGTCAGGCTGTAAAGGGTGTGGGTGTCAGTCAGTCAGGCTGTAAATGGTGTGGGTGTCAGTCAGTCAGGCTGTAAAGGGTGTGGGTGTCAGTCAGGCTGTAAATGGTGTGGGTGTCAGTCAGCCTGTAAATGGTGTGGGTGTCAGTCAGTCAGGCTGTAAACGGTGTGGGTGTCAGTCAGTCAGGCTGTAAATGGTGTGGGTGTCAGTCAGTCAGGCTGTAAACGGTGTGGGTGTCAGTCAGTCAGGCTGTAAATGGTGTGGGTGTCAGTCAGGCTATAAATGGTGTGGGTGTCAGTCAGTCAGGCTGTAAACGGTGTGGGTGTCAGTCAGGCTGTAAATGGTGTGGGTGTCAGTCAGGCTGTAAATGGTGTGGGTGTCAGTCAGTCAGGCTGTAAATGGTGTGGGTGTCAGTCAGGCTATAAATGGTGTGGGTGTCAGTCAGGCTGTAAATGGTGTGGGTGTCAGTCAGTCAGGCTGTAAATGGTGTGGGTGTCAGTCAGTCAGGCTGTAAATGGTGTGGGTGTCAGTCAGGCTATAAATGGTGTGGGTGTCAGTCAGTCAGGCTGTAAATGGTGTGGGTGTCAGTCAGTCAGGCTGTAAATGGTGTGGGTGTCAGTCAGGCTGTAAATGGTGTGGGTGTCAGTCAGGCTATAAATGGTGTGGGTGTCAGTCAGTCAGGCTGTAAACGGTGTGGGTGTCAGTCAGTCAGGCTGTAAATGGTGTGGGTGTCAGTCAGGCTGTAAACGGTGTGGGTGTCAGTCAGGCTGTAAATGGTGTGGGTGTCAGTCAGGCTATAAATGGTGTGGGTGTCAGTCAGTCAGGCTGTAAATGGTGTGGGTGTCAGTCAGTCAGGCTGTAAAGGGTGTGGGTGTCAGTCAGGCTGTAAATGGTGTGGGTGTCAGTCAGCCTGTAAATGGTGTGGGTGTCAGTCAGTCAGGCTGTAAACGGTGTGGGTGTCAGTCAGTCAGGCTGTAAATGGTGTGGGTGTCAGTCAGTCAGGCTGTAAACGGTGTGGGTGTCAGTCAGTCAGGCTGTAAATGGTGTGGGTGTCAGTCAGGCTGTAAATGGTGTGGGTGTCAGTCAGTCAGGCTGTAAATGGTGTGGGTGTCAGTCAGTCAGGCTGTAAATGGTGTGGGTGTCAGTCAGTCAGGCTGTAAATGGTGTGGGTGTCAGTCAGTCTATAAATGGTGTGTGTGTCAGTCAGTCAGTCTGTAAACGGTGTGTGTGTCAGTCAGGCTGTAAATGGTGTGGGTGTCAGTCAGTCAGGCTGTAAATGGTGTGGGTGTCAGTCAGTCAGCCTGTAAATGGTGTGGGTGTCAGTCAGTCAGGCTGTAAACGGTGTGGGTGTCAGTCAGTCAGGCTGTAAATGGTGTAGGTGTCAGTCAGTCAGGCTGTAAATGGTGTGGGCGTCAGTCAGTCAGGCTGTAAATGGTGTATCAGTCAGGTTGTACATGGTGTGGGTATCAGGCTGTAGGAAAACTGTTAGGAAAGCGATGACTCCATTGCAATGCTGTGTACATAGTTTTCATGTTGGCAGATGTTTGAATAAAAATGGTCTATTCTAGGAAATATTTTTCTATTAACAACCATCTCATTACTTCACGGCATATACAAGCTATTATAGGGATAATTTCTTGTAGACAAAAACCCAGTTGTTCCTGAAATGGTATTTTATAGGGTTTAGGATGCAGGATTCAGGCAGCCCACCTGGAATATGCTGTGTGAGGAACAAAAGATCCAGCTGCTCAGACTTATTGCTGCAAAAACATTAACCAAAATGAGCAGAAACAGCTACCAAAACATCATTTGAAGAGTTTCAGGCAAAATATTGTTCTACAACAGTGGCTAAGTCACAGGCAATATTATATCAAGCATAAAATCTTTACTAGCCTCCTAATAACAGCCTCCAGCCACCATTTTAGAGATTTATCTGAGTGAATGCACTCATTTCACGTAGACGAGGGGCTAGAGATACCTGTGGGAATGGCCAGTGCAGTTGCTCTCGTTAAAGCAAAGTCAGTTTCACGGGAAAAGTTCAGGAAACTCGGCTGCCTATAGAAATCCCTGTGGATCCACTCCAGCTACTAGCTTCAGTTTCTCACATCTTGACGTATCCACCCATTCACAACAGCGTCCCCGTCTCCCTCTTTCTCCTTCAAGATGGCTCCGCCTGGTGAAGGCCTATCAGTCAGCCTCGGAATCTCGCTTGCAGCCTCACCCTCTGGCTGCAGAGCTGTGCTGGGAGCACATAATCGGGGAGTGGGTGAGAGAAGGGGGAGCTCCGGGCCCTTCTGGGGCCTTGGTGACACCCAGTCAGCTTGTGGAAAGCAGGATCAGAGGCCTCAAGCCAAGGAACTGTGAAAAAAGGACCCAGTGGGATGTGAATTCCACAAACGCCTTCTGTAATGTAGGAAGGGAGACACCTTTTGTCTTGTTACCCCTATGGTGGCTTGGGGCCACCTTGTGAAAGTTCAAGCTCACTCACCTTTGCAGATGATGCCGCAGCCAACACAGTCCTCCACACCTTGGGCCCCCTCCACCACCAGCAGGTGTGAATTCCCGTCCTCTGAGGGCAGTTATGGGGCTGAGCAGCAGAAGGCCAGGGCGCTGGCCCCTTTGATCTCTGACACTCCTCAGGGCCATTTGTGAGCAGAGTGGGAGGAAGGTGGAGAGGCCCTACTTCTCAGCCAGGTGTTGATGGCTTAGCTCCATGAATCCCTGAGTTCACAAAGGAGGAAGGCAGGAGCCAGCCCTGTGAAGCACAGACCGGCCTGCACGGTGTTGATGGTCTCTCAGGGCGTGGGCGGGGAAACCCCCTAACTCTCCCAGAGAGAGGAGGGGTGAGGGCCAAACCTCCTGTTTCACACTTTAACACTCTTGTTTTATGTGGGAACCTCTCTCTCTTACAGCTTTGTTTTTTAACCATTCATGGGCTCTCATGAGTACACTGGTGGGGATTTGTGAGGGAAGGAATCCAAAAAGGTCCTTCAATCCAGCCTGCTGCCTCTTGGCAGAACCACACTTCTCAGGGATCTGGGGCTGAGGCGAGTCAGACGGCGGGTGCAGAGCAGCACGGTGCCCCCTTCCTCAAGTGGGAGGCTTGAGAACCTGCTGGCTGCCCCAGTCGGCCGCACGGAGGGGAGAGGGCATGGGAACTGCACATAGCTATAGGATCAGGCTCAGGCATCTGGGGTGCGGGTGAACTGTGTGAACCCAGTGCTGCTCACAAGACACCCAGGGCTACCCTGTGAGGGGTTCAGAAAGACAGGCAGGCTGCTTTGGCCTGGGTGACAAAGAATTTGGGCCTCTAAGCAAAACGATAGGAAAAAGGCTGCTTTCCTCTTGCAGGCTGAAAAATACCATTGAAAAGGGGCCCCTTTTCTCCTCCTGCCCTGATAAGTTTTCCCACAGTCTACCATGGAGGGTCTCATGAGCCTGGCTGAGGTCCCCAGAAGCCTCCTCTCCTTGCACCCCTGACTGCCCCCTCCACTATAACTATATTTCCTGCAAAGCCCACCCCATGCTGATTTGTAACTTGCTTCCATTTCTATAAAAATCTGGGTGCAGGGGGCAGAGTGATTGGTACCTGTGCCAGCCCCCTCCTCCCAGTTGTCCCTAGAGCTAGACCCTCTTCAAGAAGAACACCTGAGTCCTTCTCCCAGGCTGGGCCGGGGCAGGCAGGTGCTGATCCAGGAAGACACCTGTGGTTGTCCTCGAAGCCACATTGCTCTGGCCAAGGCCACTGGTCACTGAGCTGGGCTTCCCCTTCAACCAGACAACCTCAGCACGGGGGCCAGCATGCAGCCAATGCCTCTCCTTACCGACTGGGTGTCACCCTCCCCTGGTCCCGACAAGCCTCCCCAGACCAGGCCCAGCCTCCACAGCCTCCCCAGACCAGGCCCAGCCTCCCCAGACCAGGCCCAGCCTCCGCAGCCTCCGCAGCCGCTTCTTCCCTCCGCTCTTCCACTTCTCACCAGTCCCTCCAGGTCCAGCTCAGGCACCGCTTCTGCCCCTCCCGCCCCTGCCTGCTGAGCACCTCCCCTGACTGCCCCAGGCAGGCCTTGTTCCCTGGCTCCTTTGGAGATGAGTTGTTGGTGAACGTTACAGCTAACGTCTGTGTGGCCATCACCACTTTATGCACCCAGATGATCTCACCATCCCCACACCAGAGTGTGTGCGTGGCTAGGTGCTTTGCAATGTTCGCTGATTGGAGGCCTCCGTTCCAAACACGCCCGATGTGGAGGTCACCGTTCCAAACACGCCCGATGTGGAGGTCACCGTTCCAAACCTGCCCGATGCTCCAGGTGGACCCCCTGGTTGTGAGGGGTGCCCGGCGAGCTCTGAGCCTGCCCACCAGGGCCAGTGAAGGTTATGGCACAGCACCAGCCCCCTCCCCATCACTTCCCCCTCGCTGGCTTCTGCCTCAGTTTTCTCCCACTTCTGTCCTCCTCAGAGCCTTGGTCTGGGCAGTGTTCTGTCAACACCTACATGAGCAGCTCCAGCCCAGCAGACATCCAGTCTCTCCATAAAAGGAGCTGGCACCTGCTCCTCACGATGGGCACGTGGCCCCCCCTATTTCAGAGACTATGAAGGTAGGCGGGAGTTGAATGGCTAGCTCTTGAGCAGCTCCTATGTGGTAGGCCCAGATCCCAGCCCAAGCAGCCCCAAGGCAGGAATGCAGGTCCCTTAGGGATCCAAGCTCCATTTCCCTTCCTGCTTTGACTCCAGGGCTTCCACTCCCAGGACCTCTCACTGCTGAGAATCTCATTTCAGAGTGACTGCTGGGTTGAGGGGCATTATGTAAATGCTTTGATAATAACATGTAAGGTGTGGGGGGGACGGAGGGAGGAGGAAGAGCTAAAGGGTGCTCTGTGGTGTCTGCACATCCTGGTGCTGCTGGTCTGTGCTTGTTACCCCCTCTCTTTGTAGGACTTCCTGGTTTGTATGATACACACAGCCTACTTTTAAAAAGCCACCCGAAGTCCTACAAACACCACGGTTGATGCTCATTGGTGGACTTACCTTGTGGCCACAACCAGCTGCAGGGAGGTGGAAGGTGGGGGCTGGCCTGGGCTCCTGGCCTTGACCGTCTTCAGGAGTCTCGGTGACTGGGGCTGTGGCCGGACCACCTGCTGGATGGTGGTTTCCATTTTGTCTGCCTGGTCCTCTCCACAGGGCAGCCGTCGGGTGACCAGCTTTGCTGTGCCAGCAGTGGTCAGGGCTGGTCCCAGGACCCAGGAGCCTGTGTCACCAAGCAGCCGGCCCTAGCCAGCCTGGGACTTTCTGGAGGATGTGTGCCAGCATCTCTCAGAGGACACTTTCTTCCTCTCCAGGAGCCTCAGCCCCTTCCCACTTCCTTCAGCTCCCAGACTCAGGTCCACCTCCACCCTGCTCTGCACCTGGGGAACAGCGAGGAGTGGGAGGCTGGGCCGGGCACCCCCAGCTCCGTTCCTGGGCCCCAGCCCCAAGCACCGCTTGGCTCCCATGGCCCTTGCTACTCACTCTGGGCCTGGCACCTCTACAGCCTCTTTTCCAAGCCCTCCCTCAGCCCCTGCCACCCGACGTGTGTCTGCTCCCCAGGACGGGACTTGGCTCTCACTTCTCTGCCTGCCGGCATCTCCCACCCTTCCCATGTCTCCGTCCTGAGCTGCCTCTTTCTCGTGCTCATCCTGGGCAGTGAGGTCATGGACCTGAGTGTGCCTGTCCTTTCTGCATTCCCTGCGGTGCAGCGCGGTGTGTGGCTTTTTATCCGAGTGCACCTGTTCCCCTGCATTCCTGGGTGGCGTTCTTCTCCTTTCCCTTCTTGGACCTTCAAAGCACGATTCTTCAGGTTCTTTCCAGGTCTTCGGGCCAGATCTGTGGAATCGTACTGTGATTTCTCAGAAGCTTTGTTTCATAAGACTGTTGGTTGTGTTAAAGGAGCATGATCTGTGAAGGTCGGTGACAAAAGAGGAAAGTGAAGGGAAGGGCACCCTGACACATGGCTCCTGAGAGGGGCATCCCCTCGGCAGCTGCAGAAGTGAGTGAGCGTAACTCCACTGCGAAGGGGTCTCAGCGTCTCTGAGCGGAGCTCCCCCAGCGCAGTTCCCCCAGCGCCACCTTGAAGGCGTGAGGGGCATGGGGTCAGGGGGTGAGGAGGGGCCCTTTGGCCTATTTGTGGGTGGACAGGAGCATGCTGAGAAGCCCCTTCCTGCATCTTTTTCTGTCTTCTGGTCATCACCAGGGGAGGGAGAGGGTGCTGGCCACAAACCACTTGATGCTGGGGGCTAACGGGAGCAGGTGTGGAGAGGGAAGCCCATTGAGCTCTTTGCCTGGTGGATGTTGCTATGAATTTTGGATTTTGATTATACGATGATAAAAATTACACAAAAATGCAAATGCTCTGCTATTCATTCAAATATGCAACAAATATTTGTGTACCCTCTATGTGCCAGATATTATGAATGTTGTATCTGCCATCATTTTTCTTAGAAAATTATTCAGCATTTCTTAGGCTACGCACGAGCTTAGTTATTCTTGACCTCCTAGGCATACCCAAACATTTAGTTAGTGCCTCAGGGCGCCTCATCTCCAGGCCTCTGATGTGCAGGCCCCCGGCCCCTGTGTTTTGTGGTCAGAGCACTCAGGAGCAGCCCCTTCGGTCTGAATGCATGCCATGTGAGTGTCTCATCTTTGCCATTAGGTACAAGGGATTCATACACATTTAACAGTTTATATATTTAATAGCTATTTTTCTAAGACGCTTAGCACAATGAACGCCAGCCACACAGGTCCCTGTGTGTTAAGGATGAGTGGAGGCCTCCATTTCCCACCCCCGTGCCCAAACCTGCAGTCATGATGCCTCTCTTGGGCGAGATCCGAACCCTAGGGGGCTTTTTGGGGTCCTCAGTGCTTCTCTGCTACCTCACTTGTTTCTGCTGAAATGGAAAACAAAGGAAGCTGTCTTCAGCAATAGGAGGGTACCAATTTGGTTTGAGGGCAAAGTGAAAGGTTCTTTGTGGCCCTAAAAACCACAGTAGGACCACTGAACTGTGGCTTTCCCAGGCCCCAGTGCATGCAAAGTCCTTGACACTCGAGTTGGAAAAAGTGGGGTATTAGGAGGAGGAAGTCTCAGCGCTCCTCTGTGGTCACTCACTGCTTCTCTCTCACTCCCTTTCTCCTTTTTCTCTCTCTGCGTCTCAGGCTTCAAGACCTCCGACATCTGGAGGCTCCATGCAAATCCCACCAAACGTGTGAAACTGCCTCAGTAGCCCACACGAAGTAGAATTGATAGGAAGTATGTGAGGGTTGAGGTGCACTGTGCTCATATGCATTGTGCTCATAGATGGGAAATTTTGTTTGTAAGCATTCAAATATCAATCGGATTTTTTACTTTCATATTTTGGAGAAAAGAATCTTTGCTCCAGTTCTTATGTATTTTTGGGAACCCTTGCAGAACTCATAGACCCCATAACCCTGGGGCACAGGGTTGGGGGTTAGACACCCCAAGGTCCTGTTTCCTGCTGAGGGACCTGGGCTAACGCCTCTGGCAACTCCTATTTCAAGCTTTAAATGAAGTGTTTCTTGGCTTCCCTTTCCTGCATTTGCTGTTCACAGAGTCCCCACCACCTTCAACTGTCACCTCATTTGCTCCACCAGGCACCGCTGAGATGGTCATCCTGCAAGAAAACTCTGATATTGTCACTCTTGTACATAAAGACTCCTGTGGCAGCACTTGCTTACTGTGAGGTCCAGCATGCGGCTGAGCCAGCAGGACTTTCACTTTCGGGTCTGACTCACATCCTCTCTTGTGTCCCCAGCCACCCCGACCCCCAGTGTGGGCATTCCCACTCATCGCTCTGTCCCCTTCACAACCTTGTGTCCCCGGCCACCCAGGATAGGGGCTCCTCCTGTGGGATAGGGGCTCCTCCTGTGGGATAGGGACTCCTCCTGTGGGATAGGGGCTCCTCCTGTGGCATAGGGACTCCTCCTGCAGGATATGAGCTCCTCTTACGGGATAGGGACTCCTCCTGTGGGATAGGGGCTCCTCCTGTGGGATAGGGGCTCCTCCTGTGGGATAGGGACTCCTATGGGATAGGGACTCCTCCTATGGGATAGTGGCTCCTCCTGTGGGATAGGGACTCCTCCTGTGGGATAGGGACTCCTCCTGCAGGATATGAGCTCCTCTTACGGGATAGGGACTCCTCCTGTGGGATAGGGGCTCCTCCTGTGGGATAGGGGCTCCTCCTGTGGGATAGGGACTCCTATGGGATAGGGACTCCTCCTATGGGATAGTGGCTCCTCCTGTGGGATAGGGACTCCTCCTGTGGGATAGGGGCTCCTCTTACGGGATAGGGACTCCTCCTGTGGGATAGGGGCTCCTCCTGTGGGATAGGGATTCCTCCTGTGGGATAGGGGCTCCTCCTGTGGGATAGGGGCTCCTCCTGTGGGATAGGGACTCCTCCTGTGGGATAGGGGCTCCTCCTGTGGCATAGGGACTCCTCCTGCAGGATATGAGCTCCTCTTACGGGATAAGGACTCCTCCTGTGGGATAGGGGCTCCTCCTGTGGGATAGGGGCTCCTCCTGTGGGATAGGGGCTCCTCCTGTGGGATAGGGGCTCCTCCTGTGGGATAGGGGCTCCTCCTGTGGGATAGGGATTCCTCCTGTGGGATAGGGGCTCCTCCTGTGGGATAGGGACTCCTCCTGTGGGATAGGGATTCCTCCTGTGGGATAGGGGCTCCTCCTGTGGGATAGGGACTCCTCCTGTGGGATAGGGGCTCCTCCTGTGGGATAGGGATTCCTCCTGTGGGATAGGGGCTCCTCCTGTGGGATAGGGGCTCCTCCTGCGGGATAGGGGCTCCTCCTGCGGGATAGGGACTCCTCCTGCGGGATAGGGACTCCTCCTGCGGGATAGGGGCTCCTCCTGCGGGATATGAGCTCCTCTTACGGGATAGGGGCTCCTCCTGCGGGATATGAGCTCCTCTTACGGGATAGGGGCTCCTCCTGTGGGATAGGGGCTCCTCCTGTGGGATAGGGATTCCTCCTGTGGGATAGGGGCTCCTCCTGTGGGATAGGGGCTCCTCCTGTGGGATAGGGGCTCCTCCTGTGGGATAGGGAGTCCTCCTGTGGGATAGGGGCTCCTCCTGTGGGATAGGGGCTCCTCCTGTGGGATAGGGACTCCTATGGGATAGGGACTCCTCCTATGGGATAGTGGCTCCTCCTGTGGGATAGGGACTCCTCCTGTGGGATAGGGGCTCCTCCTGTGGGATAGGGACTCCTCCTGTGGGATAGGGACTCCTCCTGTGGGATAGGGGCTCCTCCTGTGGGATAGGGGCTCCTCCTGTGGGATAGGGAGTCCTCCTGTGGGATAGGGGCTCCTCCTGTGTGATAGGGGCTCCTCCTGTGGGATAGGGGCTCCTCCTGTGGGATAGGGGCTCCTCCTGTGGGATAGGGACTCCTCCTGTGGGATAGGGACTCCTATGGGATAGGGACTCCTCCTATGGGATAGGGACTCCTCCTATGGGATAGGGACTCCTCCTGTGGGATAGGGACTCCTCCTGTGGGATAGGGGCTCCTCCTATGGGATAGGGACTCCTCCTGCAGGATATGAGCTCCTCTTACGGGATAGGGACTCCTCCTGCAGGATATGAGCTCCTCTTACGGGATAGGGACTCCTCCTGTGGGATAGTGGCTCCTCCTAAGGGATAGGGGCTCCTCCTGCCCCTATCCCCTTTGGGTCCTTGGCCCCAGCAGCCAGGCTGGCACTGCTACCATTTGGGATACTTCTTGTTCTTCCCACCTCCCAGTAGCTCTGCAAATCCTTTGGACGCCATCTCTGCAAACACGTCCCATCTCCATGGTACCGGGCTGGCCCCAGTTTAGGTGGAGCTGTCAGCAGCTGCTGGGTGTGGAGGGCCTGGAGACCCAGTGGGCAGCTGCTGGAACCAGGCAGGCCCCTCTGTGGGAAGACTGGGCAACACCAGCCTCTGAGGGCTTGAGGTGCCCAAGGGTATTCAGGCAGGGCCCTGGAGCCAGGAGACACTGGTGATAAAGAGGCTGAAAGGCATTTACTCAGGCAGGACACAGGGTCATGAAGCTGGTTTGCTCCAAAGTTCCTCTCGCACTACCCTGGGGCCTTGTACGTGCCCTGCAGCTAAGAGGGCCAGGCCTGCAGCTGAGGCGAGTGAGCCGTGCTGGAGAGGTGAGCTCTGTGTGAGCAGGTGTGCTGCTTTGGAGCCCCGGACGTCAGTGCCAGCTCCTGACTTTTAGGAAGGTCCCAGGGGCCAAGATCAGAGCAGCAGGCCCAGCAGGCAGGGAAAGGCAGGGAAGTTGTGTGTAGATCACAGAGAAGCCCAGAGAGCATGCTAACCATCCCAACTGTCAGAGGTCGTCCTGTGGAGAAGGCAGGCAGAAAGCCAGGCTTCTGTGCCAAATTGTTAAAATTCTAAGTGTTGGCTTGAATTAGAACAAAACAAACCTCCTGGCCAACATGGTGAAACCCTGTCTCTATTAAAAATACAAAAACTAGCCAGGTGTGGTGGTCGGAGGTGGGGGGATGCCTGTAGTCCCAGCTACTTGGGAGGCTGAGGCAGGAGAATCACTTGAACCCGGGAGGCGGAGGTTGCAGTGAGCCGAGATTGCACCACTGCACTCCAGCCTGGGCAACAGAGCGAGACTCTGTAAAAAAAAAAAACCAAGCAAACAACAAACAACAACAACAACAAAACAAACAACCAAACCAAACAAGACAAACAAGCAAAAACAACAAAGCACAAGACAGCCCATCCAGAACATGCCTGCAGGTGGGCATGATGGGCGGGATGGCCTGGTAGGGCGGGTGCCGAGGAGGCTGTGGTTGGGACGTGACTCACAGGGACTCCAGGAGGAAATGTGCCCCCGACATGGAGCTGGAGAGGGCGCTCCCAGAGGGCAGACATGCGGTGCCCTAATGGGAGTCCATTCACTGAGTGGATGGAGTCTGGAAAGCAGGGGCAGATATGGGCAGGGGACAGAGCGCAGGAAGGGCTCTGTGCTTTGGCTGGACTGAGGGGATGTGCCTGGCCATCCACAAGGAGCGATTCAGGCCATTCCCAGGAGGGTCTGTTGTGCACCCTGACTTGCTGGGTTGTTTTCCCCCCAAGACGGAGTCTTGCTCTGTCACCCAGGCTGGAGTGCAGCGGCGCAATCTCGGCTCACTGCAACATCCGTCTCCCAGGTTCAAATGATTATCTTTTCCCAGCCTCCTACGTAGCTGGGACTACGGGCAGCACCACCACACTCAGCAAATTTTTTGTATTTTTAGTAGCAATGAGGTTTCACCATGTTGGCCAGGCTGGTCTCGAACTTCTGGCCTCAGGTGATCCACCTGCCTCGGCCTCACAAAGTGTTGGGATTACAGGCGTGAGCCACTGCGTCTGGCCTGGCTTGCTGTTCTTATTTATGAAGCTCACAGTGGCACATCCATGTGACAGAAACCAAGTCATCTACACAGATTCTGTAGGGAACAGGTTCTTCTGCGCACAGTAGCGGGCAGCCATTTCATCAGCAAACGCAGCCTCCCACAGAGCTGATCTGGTGTGGACTGCCGGTGGGTTTGGAATCTGGGATGTGGGATGTGGGCTCGGGGTGTGGACATGGGGTCAGGTGGACCCTGCTTCCATGCAGACCCTGCCACCCACAAACTGCTCGGTGTTGGGCTTGGTGTTTCTCTTCTGTGAGTCTCCGCTTCCTCTTCTGTAAAGTGCCCACCTCTCGGCTGCGTGACTGACAGTTGCGTCAGTGGTGGGTGGAATGCACCGTGCGGCACTCAGCACCCACCGGGCACCGACAGGTGCAGTGTGGCAGGGGAGGCTGGAGCCGAGGCCAGCCCTGGGCTCTGTTTGGACTCGCACTTCCTCTCGTGCCCGTCCACCCAGGCCCGCTCTTGCCGGCACCTCCGTCCTGGGCCCAGGACCCTGCTTGGCCCCGGAATGCGGCCTGAGACTCCGAGGCACGGGGAGCACTCCATGGCCACAACGAGCAGGAAGCTCATTTTAAAAATGGTGCCACCTCCACCTTGTTTTTTTCATTTTTTCCACAGATCTAAGGTCACACATTGCCTCCTTGCATTAAGGAGAAAACGAGAATGCTCTAATGGCCTTTGAGTTAAGGAAAGTTGGCGGATGACAAATGTGATTCCTCTGCACTCTCTGAGACCCAAGTCTGCTCCCCGGTGCCTCACAGAGGACATGCCCCAGGGCCCGCGGGGCCTGCATCCAGCAGTGCCCATGGCACAAGGCCAGGCTGTCCGAGAGGCCTTGCTGGGTCCTGCGGCTGCGTTCAGGACCCAGGCTCCAGCACAGCCGAGACTCTCCTCTCTGGCAAACCCGGGCCAGGCTGCCCCTTCTCCCCCCGCAGGGCCCTCCGTCCGCCTGCATCACCTGCTCGTATGCATCCACCTCTCTCCTCTTCTCTTTATCCTGGAGAGCCCTTGGGAGACTTTTCAGGTCCTTATTAAATGCAACCAGCCACAAAGCCAGCCCTGGGCCTTGGTCATTCACTGTCGTGGTGTAAAATGGAATTACATTACAAAGTGAGGGCTTTCCCACACCTAGCAGAGGGGGTGATGGAAAGTAAACGAAGTGTTGGGGAAGATTGGAACTTTGATAGAAGAGAAAAGAGGCTGAGGTGGGAGCAGGTTACCACTTCTGTCTGGGACAGAAGGACGGAGGATGTGGGTGGCACAAGGGGGCCAAAGGCCTGCCCTTCCCAGAAGCTACCCCCAGGTGGGAGGGCCTGTGGTAGGAGGAGGATGGCTGGGTGAAACACAGATGTCCAGTTGCATCTGAATTTCAGGTAGGATAAACACGTCCCAGATACAGCATGGCAATACGTATACTGAGCATGAGCTCTTCTTTATCTGAAATTCAAACTGTAACAACTGGCCATCCTGCTGAATGTTTTCTGTTCATGTTTGGCTGTTTTGCTAAATTTCTGGCAACCGTAGGTGAGGCTGCCTAGGGGGTGTGTGAGGTCACCTGACCTATGGGAATCACGGAACCTCCCTCTGGGTGGCTCCGTGAGTGTTTCAGGGCACCATGGCCAGGCGCAGGGTGGTTCACTCTTGCCTCTTTCTCCCTGCACTCCGAGTGCCCTCAGTGGGGACTGTTTTCGAGGTTTGTTTAAGAGAGAGGCTCAGGACTTCGAAGAGAGGTTTCCTCGGCTCAGAGTGCAGAGAGGGAGGGTTTGAATTGTGATGTCTGTGGTGAGGGTGGCTAGGCAGACAGTGCATGAGGACCTGGTGTCCTCCTGGAAAGGACACGCCGGCCATCTCGGGGTCTTTCTGCTTCTGAGTGTCTGGGAGGTGCGCTGGGAGGAAGGAGGTGACTTTCCTCAGTGCCTGGCTGGTGGGAACACAGGACCAACACCTCCCGCCTACCGTGCAGCAGGCCCTTTCAGACACACAGTTCAGTTACTTGGCTCGCTGTGCCCTTCCCCTCCCCAGCAGCCTTCTGGTGGGTACTGTTCAAATTCAGCAGCCACAGGGACATGGGGGCCCCCACGCAGCACTGGGGGCTGAGCCCAGGTGGGCCGGCCCTGAGATCCTCGACTGGGGCTGCCTGGGATAGAGCAGCTCCAGACACTTGGGGACACGAGATTGATTCCCATATTGCAGGGGACATGGGAGGGGCCCCTGGAATGTGACCTTTCCCATGGGGCGGGACAGGCGGTGCCTTCACCGGGGGAAGGCCGGCGGATGAGGCAGCAGAAGCCTTTCAAGTTTCTTCTCGGCTGTCTGCATCTGCCGCTCACAGAGAAAAATGACTGTCTTCCTGCTCTGGATTTGGCTGTGGTACCTGATCAAATATTTTGGTACCATTTTCAGGAAGATGAGATGCTATCTGGGGCACAAAGGAGTTAATATTCAAAGGGCTATTGTGAGGGTGTCCACGGACTAAAGAAGGAGCTGGGGAGGCTGCTTCCTCCGCCACTCGGGCCCCTTGGAAGCTGCTCCCAGGTGCCAGGGACAGAGAGGCTGCTCCAATTGGCAGCTGGGGCCACCATTTCCCCGTTCCTGAGGCCTTGGGTTTGGGAGCTGTCCCCACTCTGTCCTTAAAGATTGGGATGAGAAGGTGAGAAAGGGCACAGGCAGGAGCCCTTTCCCCTCAGGAGCCGTAGGAGGCCAGGGAGACCCAAGCAGCCGGGATCCTGGGCTCCTCACTCACACATGTGTACACGCATGCACACTCACACCTCACACACACATACACTCACACTCACACCTCACACACATACACTCACACACACTCACACACATACACTCACACTCACACCTCACACACACATACACTCACACACTCACACCTCACACCCTCACACACACTCACACACATACACTCACACTCACACCTCACACCCTCACACACATACACACACACTCACACCCTCACTCCCACATACACTCACACTAACACACACACCCTCTCTCCTACTCACACACTCACACCCTCACACCCACATACACTCACACTAACACACACCCTCACTCTTACACACACTCTTCCATACTCTTACACACACTCACACACTCACTCCCACGTACACTCACACTAACACACACACTCTCACTGTTCCACTCACTCTCACACACAGCCTCACCCCACACTGACACTCTCACACACTCTTCCAGGCCCCATCAAGGAAGAGCCTTCGCAGGTGTCAGACTTTGCCTAAATCTGCCGCCAACTCTGTCAGGCTGCGTCTGCTCTTGGCCCCGGGGGACTGGGCATTCTCAGTGAGAGTGGGGGTGACACTGACTCGGGGCTGGGACCCCTTGCCCTGGTCCTGCTGGGTGCACCCGTGGATGTGGTTCCAGTAGCTTTTTAAACATTCACTGAAGACAGAAACAGGCACAGGATGCTGCCGTCCACCTGCTACCAGGGTGCAGGGCCCAGGTGCCTACTGAGGGGGTCCCAGGCATTGAGGTGGCAGGGGGGATGTGACCGGGCTCCTGCCCATCCCAGGCCCTGTCCTGCAGGGTTTCTGGGGAGGGTGGGTGCATGTGGAGGGTCCCAGCACAGCCCACGCGCAGGCCCAGGCAGGGGACAGTGCCTCCGGGGGGGATGGCGAGGCTTCAGCAGCACCCTCCTGGTGGACTGAGCCCTGCAGGTTCTGGAGGGTGGACTCCACTGTTTTAATGCGGCTTGTTCTGGCAGCTCAGCATCGCCATGTTCCATCAGTGCTGGTTGGTGACGGAACCCACAAGGGGCCGGCATCTCTGGCTCTGGCCTTTGAACCAGGGCACAGTGGCTGGTGCGGGAGGGGCCGGCAGCCTTCTTGGGGGGTTGGAGGCACCGTGGGCCAGAGGCACTCTGCATCCTGCAGACAGCTTCAGTTTGTTCTTGTAATTGAAGCTTTGAATGTCATCAGCAATCAAGTCCAAAGTTCTCAAACTGTGGTCCCCACACCAGCGGCATCGCAGGGCTTGTGAGAAATGCCAGTCTCAAGCTTCACCTGGATCACGAATTCTGGAGTGGGGCCAAAGACCTGTGTTCAGCAAGGCCCTCCAGGTTCAGATGGACAGCAGAGCTTGAGAGCCGCCACCATGTCGTGAGTTGCTTTAGTTTAGTCCTATTAAAACTGCTTAAGAAACAGGGCTCTGGGGCTGGGTGGGGGCTGGACAGAGCAATAGAGGAAACCCCTTGACCCACGTTTGGGTCACAGGTGCTGCTGCTGCTCCAGGCAAGGGATGTCTGGCTGGGTCTTGCTAAAGCAAAGTGAGCAGCCGGTGCACAGCAGAGCCCATGGGAAAGGCCCCGTCTCAGCTTCGCCAGCTCAGGCCGGGAGGGCTCTCATGTCCCTCGCGGGACGAGCGATGATGTGGCCATACTCAGCCCTGGGCACGGCCTGCCTGGAGCTGTTGCTGAGCGGATGCCTGGGCTCTCCCTGAGGTTTAGGCAGATCTTGCTTTCCAGGGTCTTGTTTGGCTCATTTACAAACGAGGTGGAGGAGCTCCCATGGGTCCTAAAAGGCTCCACACAGGGTCACCTGGCCTTTGCCCCTACCATCCTCTGCCAGGCACGAGCTGAGCTGGCCAGTGGCCATGGGTGGTGATGGGCCTGAGGGATACCGGGCCCACGCCCCTCCCTGCCCTCGGCCTCCTCCCCAGACCACAGTCATCACAGTCCCTTGCAGCAGAGGATCAGGGATGGGACCTGACCCAGAAAGTCCCAGGGAATCCCCAGTGGGAATGCTCACAGTGAGTTCCCTAGAGCTTAGCTCTGCCTGAGCAGAAAGGAGGCAAGAGTGAGGCGGCTGCTGGCTGTGCAGTGACCCCAGGGCCTGGCCTGGGAAAACTCCAAATGGACACTCACAAACTTCTGCCGCATCTTTGTGACAGCTAGTCCGTGTCTCCTGGGAGGAGAAGGAAGAAAAACACTGGCTCATCTTGCCTCAGCAGCTGCTGTTGAGTATGTAATTAACACACACACACACACACACACACACACACACAAAATGAGACCCAAGCACCGCAGCATTGCAATTGCCCCTTCAACAGTTTCCCAAAATAGTGTTGAAATCTATTCAATTTACTAATTACACATTCTCACCATAAAGAAAGGGCTGCAATTCCTGAGCCTCAGCAGATCCCTTAGAATATTTAGAACGCCACTGTAATGTCTATTGTCAAAGTGGGCGGGTGTCGAAGACAATCACCCGAGGTATTGAGTCAACATATTTTAAGATTCTTTTATGGAACGCGTGTTTTCTTGACACAAATTCAGTAATTGCTAAATTGCCAAGTGGTGAGAACGTGATATTGATCCTGGCTGTGATTGCAAAGCTGTCACAGGTGGTCTTCTGCAGAAGGACTGTGTCCTGTGCTCTGAACTCCACCTTTCGGGGGGGCTTCCAGAGCTCCCAGTGTGAAGCTGGGTGAGGCTTCTCTGCTAATGGAAGCCCCTGGAGGAGTGTGGGGAGGGGCACCCCTCAGGCCTCCTCTCCTCACACTCATCCTCTGAGGGGCTCCGCTCCTATCTTCAGTGTCACGGGAGCGGGAGTGAGGTAGCAGATTTGCTAAGAAAAGTGGTAATTATCAGCCATGTGGTGTCTAGCTTAGGTCCCATATGCCTCAAGGGTTCACATGGGTTCCTGCAGAAAGAGGGAGGAACAGGCATGGTTGAGTGCTTTCTGTGCCCTAGGGCCTGCGGTAACATTTTCATGAGCGTTAGCTCGATCCACCTGCCACCCCAATCCTATTGTAAGCTCTTCTTGCTGGCTGAAGAAACTGAGGCTCAGAGAGTGACTTGCTGAAGAGCACCGAGCTGGAATTAGAGCCCGAGCCGGTCCGCAGGCCGGCCCTGACCACGAGCGACCCCGATCCGGTCCGCAGGCCGGCCCTGACCACGAGCGACCCCGAGCCGGTCCGCAGGCCGGCCCTGACCACGAGCGACCCTGAGCGGAGGCCCTTCCCCACCATGGCCCTGCTTGGCTCCCAAGCCACCCATCATTTCCATGGTTTTGATGCTAATGCTTATCCTTTATTATTTTTTGTATTTGAAAAGTTATTTGTTTTTAGTTGTGCAAATTTATGGAGTACATGAGAAATGTTGTTACGTGTGTCTAATGTGTAGTGGTCAAGTCAGGGTATTTAGTGTGATCAAAAGCTCAGGTAACAAAAACAAAAACAGGCATAGGAGGCTACGTCAAACCAAGGGGCTTCTGCACAAGGGAGCAATAGGGTGAAGAGAGAGCTGGTTGAATGGGAGAAAATTATTTGCAAACTATTTATCTGACTGGGGACTAATGTCCTGAATGTACAAGGAAATCAAACAACAGGAAAAAAAATCCCACTAAAAAGTGGACAAAAAGCCTGAACAGACATTTCTCAAAAGAAGACACACATGTGGCCAACAGGTCTATGAAAAAATTCTCATCATTACTAAGTATCAGAGAAATGCAAATCAAAACCACAATGAGATACCATCTTACCCCAGTCAGAATGGCCATTACTAAAAAGACAAAAAATTACAGATGTTAGCGAGGATTTGGAGAAAAGGGAACTCTTAGACGCTGCTGGTGGGAATGTAAGTACAACCTCGATGGAAAGCAGCGTGGAGAGCTCCCCAACACTAAAGCCAGAGCTTCCATTAGATCCAGCAATCCCACTCTTGTAGATCCACCCAGAGGAAAAGGAATCAACATATCAAAGGGATTTCTGCACAGGCGTGTCCACTGCAGCCCTGTTCACAATAGCAAAGACGTAGAATCCACCAGCACTCATTCTCAGGGACGCTGTGCCTGCCTGCTGGCTTGCTGGGGCCCTGGCTCAGAGAGAGCCACGTGAGGAGCTCAGAGAAAGGAAATTATGGGCCCAGGGAGGTGGGGGGCTCAGTATGGCAGGCTGCAGAGACCTGTGGTTCAGTCCCAGCCTTTCCCGTCCTCTGCGCTGGGCAGCATCCATCCTTCCCCTGCCCTGGGAGGCGCCCCAGCCTGACTCTTCTCTTCCTGCTTTTACACCTCCTGTGTGCTGTTCGTCGGCTGACTCTCCTTGGAGAAGGGGTCTGAGACCACCCTGTCCCTGGCCCCCAGCAACTGGCACGGTTCCCAGTGCGTAAGAGCTGCCACACTCATCTGCTGGGCGAGAGCAGAGGACGCAGCGATCAGAGAGCGAACAGGCAAATGGAACGGAAGCTTCAAGGGTACTCACTGCATGTGCCTTTGGAGGCTGCGATCTCAGTCTTTCTGAACTCATTGAGAGAACAGTTGAGGGAATTAGCGTTAAGGAATAACTGCATTTCAAAACTGCATCAACTTTTGAGATACCACAAGATTCTACCTCCATAGCCAGGCCCACGCCTGCCAGGGCCTGGGGCGCCGAGGAGATCCTGGCCCCTTTGCCTCCATCCACCACCCGGGAGGCAGTGCCTAGAGCTCCATCTCAGATGGAGGCGCTTCAGGCCTCCGCGTCTGCTGATCTGCCCTGGGTGTGATTCCACCAGCCCACAGTGCTCATCTCTGCCTTCGTATTCTGTCGACGGTCTGGCCCTCACCACCAGGCTTTCCACGGGGCAGGCCCTCACCACCAGGCTTTCCACAGGGCAAGCCCTCATCTCTGAAGTTTTTGCAGGAAGATCCCAGTTTTCAGAGTCAGAGGTCAAATCACAGGCAGGAGTTAGGCAGAATCAGGTCCTTTTTTTCTTTTTGACAGAGTTTCGCTCTTGTTGCCTAGGCTGGAGGGCAGTGGTGCGATCTTGGCTCATCACAACCTCCACCTCCCAGGTTCGAGTGATTCTCCTGCTTCAGCCTCCCGAGTAGCTGGGACTACAGGCATGCACCACCATGCCCGGCTAATTTTGTATTTTTAGTAGAGATGGGGTTTCTCCATGTTGGTCAGGATGGTCTCGAACTCCCGACCTCAGGTGATCCATCTGCCTCAGCCTCCCAAAGTGCTGGGATTACAGGTGTGAGCCACCATGCCCGGCCAAGTCTGTCTTTTAATTACGAGCGCCACACAAGCTTGTAACACATTTAAACAATAAAAAGGTAAAGGACACGGAGAGTGGTGGTTCCTGTCCTGGTCCCTGCCACTCACACGTACAAACGCCCTCCCGGGACAGTGCTGTCACCCTCTGCCAATGCTCTCGGTTGGCTCCACTGCCCATTTTCTAAAAGCCCCTCCACTGCCCTCTCCCTCAGCGTCCTTTGAGCTCGTGCTCCTGGCTCACGGCTGCACGGGGTGACATGCGTGGCCCTCACCACTCTCTCATGCGTTAGGCACCATCTATCTACTCACAATTCTTCGCTGAGTCCTTGTGGAGTCAGTGTGGAGGTGCCTCAGCCTGCACGAGCGCAGAGCTGCCTGGAGGACTCATGGTTGTGACTGAGACCATCAGAATGGGCGGGAGGCAGATGGCGACCTTCGCCATACCATGAACATGGCCTTGCTGAGCTGGTGAGCTCTCTGCCCTGTGAGCCCCCATCTGGTGCAGGGATGTGGAGCTGAGAGGCTCTTGGTGATGCATCAGGAGCTGGTGCTGGGTCCATGAGTGCCCTCTCCACACCTGGGCCGGCAGGGCCCGCACCAGCAGCTGGCATCCATTCTGACGAGAGAGTTGCTAAGCACGCTGGATACCAGCCACACAGCCACAGAGGCTCTGCAGAGATGACACACAGCCGTGAAGGGCTCCAGAGAGCTTTTATGGAGCTGGCCTTGGGGAAGGAGCAGAGAGGAAGGGTGCGACCCGTGGGGTGCTGGCTCATGGCCCGCCAGGCTGGTGCTGCTTGCTGCAGTGGTGTCCTTCAAGGTCAAACCCCCACCCCATGGTAAGAGCTCCCCGGGGGAAAGGCCACAGGGACATGGATATGGGGAAGCACATGTGGTGTCAGTGGTCAGAGGGCTCTGGCCACAGGGTTCATGTTGGCAAGTTGTGACAGCCTGGGTCAGAGCCGCACTGAGGGCTTTGAACTCCCACTGGAGCTTCTGGTGTCGGACGGTTGTGGTGAGGTGTGGTTAGGAAGATTGGGAGGCCAGGAATTGGAAGAGCAGCTTGAAGGGAAGAAATGTGGCCACAGCCCCTTGCTGTGTGTCCTGAGGGAGGCACTGCCTGGTGCCCATGTGTCAGGAAACACTCAGTCAGGAGAATCCGATCAGGAGAACTCGCGTGATCCGGGAGGGGGTCGTTCACTCGGTCAGGAGAATCTGATCAGGAGAACTCGCGTGATTCGGGAGGGGGACGTTCACTCGGTCAGGAGAATCCGATCAGGAGAACTCGCGTGATCCGGGAGGGGGACGTTCACTCGGTCAGGAGAATCCGATCAGGAGAACTCGCGTGATCCGGGAGGGGGACGTTCACTCGGTCAGGAGAATCCGATCAGGAGAACTCGCGTGATTTGGGGGGAGGATGTTCCTTTCACCAGAGTTTGCATCAGGTGGGTTCTCAGAATCAGAGACCCCAACAGTAAACCCACATCCCTAGTTCCAGGGCCCTTAAACTCACTTCACGTTGAAGCCATTCTATAGTAGATAACTCCCATAGTGGATAACTTCTGTAATAGATAACTTTCATGTCTCTCCCCAGTGAATGTAGCCTACACGACCCACTGGTTCTATCCTACTGATGTGGATTGTGTTGTGGGAAGAATGTTGACTGGCAGCAGGTAACTCTAATAGGCGAGTCCTCTCCAGGCTGGAGCAGAGTGAGACACCCTTGGTCACACACCCAAATTTAAGTCATGCCGTGCACTCCGAGCTGGAGGAGACACAGCCCTCAGCTCCAGTCGGCAGGACTAAGCCATGCTCTGTTGGGCTGAGGCATCCGTCACGTCATTAAGTAAGCTACTGGGAAATCCAGTAAGGATGTTTCTCTGCCTTTTAAATTTTTAAATATGAACAAGGGACATAAAGCCTGCGTTTGTTTCTGAATTGTAGTGTGTTTTCTCCAGGAATTAATTCAAGGAGTAAAAATCTTCCACCGAGACATACGTCAAAATACCAGTAAGGAAGGAATGCTCATATTCTACTTCAGGAACTTTGAAAATGCGTCCCAAACGATAGCTTAACAGGCTTCAGAGTGCAGCGGCTCAGCCTGGACTCCGCAGATCACCCTTGGGTCTGGCTGAGGATGTGTGGGGTAGCTGACGCAACGCCGTTATTCCGGCAATTACAAATCCATCTGCTCCTGGGGCAGCTGTGTGCTGGCTTGGCTGAATTGTTTGCATGAAACCAAACAGAAAAAGTGTTACAGTTGAGTCCAACTTGCAGGCGTGACAGTGACTTCGCTAGCACCCTCCCGGAAGGCATTTCCACACTTCTGTTCAGGGCCTGTCAGAGAGGGCGCAGAATAGCGGGCAGGCCATTTCCACCGGGAGCTTTGCCTTTGCAGTTCAGCACCGCGCCCGCGTAGGACGGAGGGTGGGACAGAGGCTGTCTTCACTCCAGGCTCTGACTTCCATTAAAAAAAAAACAAAAAACAAAAAACACTCACAGGTTTCCTTTCTTAGAAGCAAAGTCCTGATACACAAGTGTCTATCCTGGTCTGTGTTCCTCGAGGCCTCAGCAGCTGGCCCCAATTCTCCTTCTCAGAAGGGACTTCTGGGCCCAGCAGAGGCTTCACCTCAGCCCACAAAACCCACCCTTGTTTTCAGAAGCACCAAGGGTCCCGCAGAGCGCAGTGCAGCAGGTGGGCAGAGCGAGGGGCTCACCCTCCCACCGCCGGGCTGCAGTGGCTTCGCAGCAGAGCGCCAAGCAGCAGGAACCTCTGGAGCTGAATGAACGGTACAGCACAGGCGCTGCCTGGGACCCTGAATGCCGTCCAGAGGGGCTGCTGTCTCAGGATCCCACAGCTGCAGGTCTGGGCCCGGCTCAAAGGGCTTTCCATCAGGAACAGCCCAAGTGGGCTGCAGCCTCTCTGTGGCAGGGAGGGCGTGAGGCCGTCGGGGTCAAGGAGGATGTGGTGTGAGGTGTCTGACTCAGCCCTGAGCTGCCCCCAGGAAGGCACACGGCAGCCAGGCCTGAGGGGACAGAGTCGAGGGCGGACTGTGGGCAAACCTGGCACGGATGGCAACAATGGTAGGCGTCGTGAGGCAGGGCCATGCCAGGAGAAAAACCAGGGAGCCAGGGAGACCTCGTCTGAAGAAGCTGCCAGGGAAGGTAGACTTGAAACTTTGCATTTTCCCTTTGGCTTTGATGACAGGAAACAACTTTACCTGTTGAGCTGGTGCCTTTTCTGTAAGCAAGTTCTCAAAGCCCTTCCAAGTGTTTTCCGCCACCTGGACTGAGGCTTCTGCCCCAGCTTTGACAGCCAGGCATCATTAGCAGGGATATTAATGTTTTGTCAGGGCTGTTCTATGAGATTCCGGGTGCCGGGTGTCCTCCAGACCAGACCCACCTGTGGGACTCAGCGCTGTAGCCCCTACTCCTAAGAAGCAAGTCTGAAGAGGGCCGTTCTGCCAGGCAGTGGCAGAAGCCTTGGCAGGTGCCTCTGCACCTGCCCAGTGGAGAGGCTGAGCTATGTCAAGAGGGTGGCAGGGCTGCTCCTCCACTGTGCGTCCTCGCTGACCGAGGGTGTGTTTCACAGCGGTGATGGGTGCTGACTGAGGATGTTTCACAGCGGTGACGGGTGCCAACTGACTGAGGGTGTTTCACAGGGGTGATGGGTGAGACTGACTGAGGGTGTGTTTCACAGCGGTGATGGGTGAGACTGACTGAGGGTGTGTTTCGCAGCGGTGACAGGTGCCGACTGACTGAGAAGTCCTACAAGCCTTCTGCTCTGAGCCCAGGCCTAGCTGCCAGGTGTCAAATCAGCTCATACTCGGGGCGTTTCTGAGCTGCTCCTTGGCCAGGCAGAGCTGCGGGCCCGTCAGCATTCACAGGGCACCCCAGAGGCGCCAGGCACAGCCTTATGACCCAGCATTTTGTTCAACATGGCTCTCTTCTTGCTTCTCACTCTATCTGGCTCTGGAAGGGAATTCTACATGAAGAAGAAAGCATAGGTGGTTGTGCAAGTCAGGTGATGACTTCTGTTGTCCGTTCTCCATCCCAGCCCTGCAGCTCATCAGCGTGCTCTTCTCTCTAGGCTGACAGCCTCTCGGATCCAAGGTACGTACAAATGCAAGGCCCGATTCAGGACCAAAAAGCACTCTGATGGCTTGGAAGAGTGGCTCGTTTCTGAGGTGGAGGCACAGAAGTCTGGAGGGACTCTGTGTGTGGAAACTCCTGTCAGGGCAGCTGCCCGTGTTCCCCAAGCACACGTTGTACACAGAGAAAGCCGTGTGGGCTCTGAGGCCCTCCAGACAACAGAACAGGTTGCCTGCCCAGTTTTGTCATTTGGTGGCTCCTGCCAGGCCACAGGGCCCAGGGGGAGCCCAAGAGCCCTCTTCCCACAGTGTAGGGCCTGGCAGCTACCCCTTCCCAGGGACTGCGCTATCTTGGTGGTTTTCTCCTGGCCCCGCTGGACTGTGCTGAGGTGACAGTGAGGCAGGGAGGCACACCTGGGACGGGGGCCTTCTAGCAAAGAGACAACTGGTGTCCCATACTTCTAGCAGGTCCGCATCCTGGCAGAATGTCCTGAAGACAGGAATGGAAATTCCCTCAGAACATCTCCGTTGTCTGGGCTCTCCCATCTCCACGGTAACACTCCAGGATGGTCTGTAATCAGGAGGGGGCTGGGTTGCCATGATTCAGGTCTGAAGCCACTCCCAGAGCGGGAAAAGCCTCTGAGGATTCTGGAGGTCACACCTGCCCAAGCCCGTTCCTCCACTCTGACAATGGGGTCCCTGGGAGGTGGCCCTGGGAGCCAGATTCTTAAGGGAAGAGCCAGGGTGAGAAGCTCTGAACTCTTGAGGGAGAATCTGTGCCTGCTCTGCTTGGCAGGGCTGAGTACACCCCCAGGGCCTAATGAGAAACGCCCTTGACGGATGAATGATGAAGGAGGAATCACAAACCAGCTAATGGCCATGTGCTGTGTGAGCCTTTTCCAAATTCTAGACTTGCTCTACCATTGACGGCCACTTCCAAGCTTATAGGGCCCTGCCTTTGCGAGTAACCACACATGCGTTGTTTCACGTCTGCATGATTGTATCCATAGAATAAATTCATAGGAATAGAATTGTTAATAGAATTGCTCGACCAGGTTTCACATGCATTTGCCATGCGATGGATGTGGCCAGTTTTCTGTTCTTCGAAGAGATGGGCTTTATGTAGCCTTCACAACACACAAGAACTGACTGCCCACACCCTGGCCCTGAGCAGGGCTTTGTGAGCAGGTTGAGCATTTTCTTCATGCGGTTAAGAGTGCCTTATATTTTGTTTTCTGTGAACTCAGTTGAAATCCTTTGCTTCTTTTTACTTATTGACTTACTGGTCTCTTTCTTATTGATTTAAATATTTGGAAATGACTGTTTCTGGTATTAATTGCAAATTTCTTTTTCAGCTTGTTATTATCTTTCAATTGACTCGTGGTGGTGTTTCATTCTAGGCAGAAGGTTTTATTTTTGTGTCATCATATTTCTTAGCATTATTATGGCTTCTGGATTTTGTCTTGTGTTTAGATCTTCCCTACTCCAATGTCATAAAAAATTCTCCCATGGTCTCCTCTTTGCTTCTTTTCTTCCTTTTTTTTTTTTCTTTCTGGGAGTTACACCTTTGCTCTATTTGGAATTAATTTTGGTGAAGTATAGAACCAACTTCATAGTTTTTCCAGGAGACTACCTAGTCAACATCATTATATGAATATCCTGTTTCCCCTCATGATTTGAATGTCTTTGTCTTATAATTTGCAGTATTTTGAGGTCTATTTCTATGCTTTCTAATTATTTATTTGCCAGTAACATATTTTTAAATGGACATAGCTTTAAATGGAATTTTATAATATGTTTTGAGATCTGATAGTAATAGTTTCTCTATTATTTGTTTTTTCTTTTAGGTTTGTCTTATGTATTCTTAAATATTTCCTTACACAAATTTAGATTTAGCCTGTCTGGTTTTTAAAAAGTTAGCCTTTTAACTGGGATTGTATCATATGTGCAGAGACTAACTTTGCAAAAATTGAAAGTCTGTATACCTGCTTGGCTTCTGCCCCGTCTGTGCACATCCCTCCGAGGCAGGGCCGTTTTCACATTTCTTGCTAACCTTGTTGAATTATATTTTTGCATATTTGTTTGCAATTGCTCCTTCAGGGTTATCCAGATGCACAATAAAATAATCTATAAGTAATCATCACTTTCTCTGCTCCTTTCTCATTTTTGCACTCCCAGTTTCTGTGCCTTAATTGCATGAGATGTGCCTGCAAAGCAGTGAGAGAATGCAGCCTGGAAACTCTGAGTGTCTTGGCCTCCTCATGGCTGTAGGGAATGGTCAGGATGAGGCAGAGGTCATTTATCCTGTAAAAGAACTATTCATTCCTTCCCATTTTATCATGAACATTTCAGTCTCTACTTCAAAACACAGAGGAGGATGTTGACTTCCATCCACTGTTTGCCAGCATTTCTAGGGCTGGTCATACTGTTTTTCTCTTTTGCTCTATTAAATGGTGATTTATATTAATAGACCCAATACTGAGTCATTGCTACTTGCACTGGGCAGAACAACCCACCCTTAGTCGTGGTGTGTAATTCTCAACATGCCGCTGCGTTTCATTTGCTCATATTTTATTGGGCCTCTTTATATTGTTATTGACACATTAGGTTGGTTGGTAGTTGTTTTTTTTTTTTTTTTTTTTTTAAGCTGGTCTCTTTGGTGGCAATGTCATGCTGGCCTGACAAAAAAATGTGGAAGCTTTCCTTCTATTTTTGTTTGGAGAAGCTTAAATACTGTTGGACTAGATGGGAAATGGTACAGCTGAAAACTGACATTTTCCATTCTTTAGCCAAGTAACCTTGAAACAGGTCTTTTAATGTATCTCTGCCAGAAATTAAAATATATATCAGACATTATGAAGAAATTTCAATTTTATTTCAGGTGAGATAATAAAGTGTAAGAGCTGGAGTTTGGTAAAAGCCCAGGGCAGACGTCCCTAAATCCGTTTCGTGCCCAACATACATTTGTCAGTTAATTCAAAAGCTGTCTGAAGGCCAGATTTTAATCATATTTAGGAAACACTCTTGATGCTTCAAAGCTGCAATGACGAATGATACAGAAAACTACAATTCAGTGAGGGACAAAGTCCCTGTTTTTAAGGAGAGTAGCGTCCTATAGAACAAGGGGTCTCATGGGCCTGACCGTGCCCTGGACAGACCTGTGGTGACCCCGCAGCGCGCCTTGCAGGGGCCGGTGGGAGCTGGACTTTTGAAAGGGTAGAATCAAGGCCACGAGGGGTCGCCAGCCTGGGAGGACCCAGGAAGGGGAAGGACAGTGCCACCCGTGCTCACTGTGACGGAGGGATTCTGCTGAGCTCGGGAAGGCTGCACTCCTAAAATGGCCAGTGAGACCCAGGCTCCTGACGGAGGACGGGTCACTTTTACAAGGAAACTTTTAAAACAGATTTTGCAAAATTCTGGGGGCCATGAGCAGAGAGAGTGATGACACCTGGGTCCAGGCCGTCTCCATTCCAGGCAGAGCCGTGATGGGCGGACTCTAACCAAGTGATGGCTTCTGTTTGTCCCAGATGGAATCTTTCAGAGACACTGACTTCCCAGGGAGTTTGTGGGGTGTGGGCATTCTGTGTCACCCCACTTCTGCTCAGCATCCGGTGACAAGAAGGCCCCAGAGAGCCTGGAGCAGAGCCTGGCCTCCGTGTCTGACCCCAGCTGTGCGGCAGGGCCAGTGACTCAATCATCTCAGCCAACAGCAGACAGCCTGGGGCCTCTCTTCCTGGGAGAGAGGACGCTGGCGTGCTGTGCCCCTTGTGATAAAATGTCGTGGTCCCTGTGGACACAGAGCTCCCTCACCTGTGCTGTCTGAGACCCCACGTGGCCTCCACATGCCATGAATGTGCAATCCACATGCCCTGAGACTCAGCATTCTGGCACTCACACCAGTCCTGTGCAGAGCAGGGCCACGCTGCTATTCTTAGTCCCAGGATTCCAAGCTCAGACAGGAGTGAGGAGGGCTCCCCACAGACATGTGCTACCAGACTGTGAGACGGTGGAATAAATAGAATCTAGACTTTGTGACGCTCAATCCCAGGTCTCGCTAAAGAAAAGAACGAAGGCTCAGTTTGGCACTAGTGTTGTGCCTCAGCCTGTCCATCTCACACTAGGGTTCATCTGCAGGCCTTTGGCCTCAGCACTTGGCCGATGTCCTTAGCGGAGAGGAGGTGGTTTGCCTCCTTTTGGGACTGCCATGAACGGGCTGCTGCAGCTTCCATTATCAGCTCCTCAACTCAAGCTAAAAACTCAGGAACTCCCTCTGGGGTCTGGGATCAGCAGCAACCACCCCTCCGCAATTGCAGTGCACCCTAGGTCCCTTCCGGAGCAACTGAGCAGAACGTCTTCCTGGGACTGTGGTCCATGGACGGCCCTGCTAACAGCTAATTGCAGCCCATGTGTCCTCATCACACCAGGTCTCCAAAACGGGGGCACAGATGTCCACTGCCGTGAGGTGGCTTCTGGGCAGCTGCTGCCCTGGACTGGGAGGCTGAGAATCCTCAGCCCTTAGACTCCAGCCTGCAATTTGGGAAAAAGGTAGTGGCACCAGGTGAACAAGAACGTGGCACCAGGTGAACAAGAACAAGCCCCCACCCAGCTCTCAGACTGGTCAGCCATATTCCCAGCTCTACCTGCTCTGAACTTTGGGGAGAAGGGCTGGACTGGAGGTGGGTGAGTGCTGAGGGAAAGGAGGTGGGAGAGAGGTGAGAAAGGAAAATGGAGAAGGGGAGCCTGGCCTCCCAGCTGCAGAACCCCCAGGCCCAGCCTGCTCCCCACAGCCTGCTCCCCCAGCCCCAGACCATCCCTCAGCCTTCTGTCCCCCCAGGTCCTTAGACCACCTCCCAGCCTGCTGACCCCCCAGCCCCCAGATCATTCCCAGCCTGCTCCCCCAGCCCCAGACCACCCCCTAGCCTGCTGACCCCTAGGCCCTCAGACCACCCCCAGCCTGCTCCTCCAGCCCCAGACCACCCCCCAGCCTGCTGACCCCCAGTACCCAGCCCATCCCCCAGCCTTCTGACCTCCCAGCCTCAGCCCACCACCCCAGCCTGCTTCCCCAGCCTCCAGCCCACCCCCCAGCCTGCTGATCCCCAGCCCCCAGGCCTCAGCATCCCCCACCCAGCCCCATTCCAGAGCACAGATAAAAGTGAAACCTGAGCAGCAAATGTTTGTGGAGCCGCCGCCAATCAAGGGCTTCGTTGCCAGGGTAACCGGGACACTTCATCAGCTCTGTGAACAGATGGTCAGTGAGTAACAGGCAGCATATGTTCCCGTAAGCCCTGACACGGGCACAGATGGAGGGTGGGCGGGAGCTTCTCCTCCCTTCCCATGGGTGCGGCATTGCCGAGAGGCACAGAGGCCGGGGAGCCCGCGTGGTGCTGGTGAGTGCGGATTACTAACACGCCAGTGCCACTCCCAGCCTCGCTTAACCAGAGCACTGCACAGTTAACAACAGCCAGGCACACAGAGCTGCGTGCTGAGGCTGAATCGCAGCCAGGAATCCTCATTAGCAGCCTGCCCACCTTCCAGTGTCACTATCTCAGGCCTCCGGTTTCTGTGGATGTTTACAGGAGAAATCAAACTGCCCTTTACAGGATCAAAGGAGAATTAGATGCCTTTCGGCCATGGAGGTGGGATCCCAGAAGGTTCGGCCTCAAAGCCGATCAAAGTCAATATACACAGGTTCGCGTGCACTGGCCACTGGCTACCGTGACATGTGGTTCGTCTCTCAGACCTTGTATTCCCTGCATTTGGTTTGGCCCCTCAGAATGAGGTCCCCAATCTCTCCACCATCACCAGCATGAGGATAGCTCAGGGAGAAAGGATATTGGTGATTACATCGTTGATTGCCAGCATGATTGCAGCAACTGCCTTTCACTGAACATCTACTATGCCCAGACCCTGGATACACCTCTAGGATCCCATCTCTGCCAGCCAGCAAGGGTGGAGGAGGTGTCTAGCCTGGCTCTGAGTTCCAGGCCCAGCTGGGCTCCAGGAAGGCCGTCTTGTGGTCACAAGCCACAGGGCAGGCCTGGCTGTGTCTGCACTGGGGCTATGTTGTGGCCAGGAGAAGCCAGGCACCCTTTCTCTTGGGGACAGTCTTGTCAGCTTCAGAGAAGCCCTGGGCTCCTTTCTTCAGTGTCTGCTGGTCCTGGGTGCAGCTCTGTCCAGAGTGGGCACAACTTCCCAGCTCCCATTATATCTCTGGTCTGTATTCTCAGGCTTGTCTGTGCTCTACACGAGTCTGCCTGGTTCACCAGGCCTCACAAATTCACTGCTCACTGGTACCCAATACCAGCACAGAGCTAACCCTCTGGGGTCCTGTAACAATCTTCAATTGGATCCTATCCCATCCCAGGAATGTCCACAGCAGATTTCTGCTTGGGCTGGATGCGTTCCAGTCCTGAGCAGGACCCTGCCCTGTGGAGAGGCCTTCAATATTCCGCCTCTAGGTCAAATGCGGTGGAAATCCACCTGCAAGCTCAGAAGTTATTGGGAAGAGGCCAGCAGGGGCAGCCGCTCGACAGTTCTCCTTTCCATAACAAATCAGGTTAAAATCTGAAGGAGTAGGCTTGACTGACCAGAGGGATAAATCCAGTTTGTATAGAAACAAACACCCTGGTGTGCTTTGCAGAGAGCCTGGGGGCAGAGACAACGTTTGCATGAATGGGACCTGCTAGGTCCGCTGGTGCCAGTGAACAAACTACCATGAAGTGCCCAGACAGACAAGCTGCCAGGAAAGCCAGGAATTTCCTTCCACCTCCTTTCTGCTTGACTTGGTTTACCAACGCTGTACATCCAAGAGAAAAAAAAATTAATGTGCATTTTCTCTTCAGGCACTTGTGTGAAAAACATCCGTCTTCCTGTCGTCATCACTGAGTGAGCCCACGGTCACCAATCCCTGGGTCACAGCTCCCCAAAACCAAGAGAAACAGCCAGCGGGACAAGGCCAGGGCAGCCCTAAACATGCCACATCACCCCAGTGCTATGCGAAGGAAGCTTCAGGGGCATCTTCAAGGAAATGTGTGAATCTGAATAAATTTTACAGATTAAAACTTTTACAAAATTTATAAAATTTTAATCATTCCAATTAAGCATTTAGAACACTACTTGGTTAGTGGGAAATTTATAGCTCTAAATGCCCATCCTCAAAAGAAGAAATGCTTAAAATCAACGACCTGAAGTTCCACCTTAAAATGCTAGAAAAAGAAGAGCAAAAGTAACACAAAGTAAGTGTTAACAAAAAATAAAGAACAGAAATCAATGAAATAAAGAGCAGATGACAGAGAAATTTAGCAAAACCAAAAGTTGGTTCTTTGAAGGGACTGGCAAACTTGATAAACTCCAACCTAGACTGATCAAGAAGAGAGAGAGCACATGTTAGCAAGACCAGGAATGGAGGAGGGTCATCATAACAGACCCTACAGGCATCAAGAGAATCAGCAGCAGATGGTCGTTGTCTGGGCCCCAGCTCAGACTAAAGAGAGCTTTTTGGACAGAAACCTGTGTATCAATTGTGATAGTTACACGAGTATTTCCATGGTATTTCCATTTGTTAAAGATGCAAAATTTTGTTGGATGTATGTTATACTTCAATGAACTTGATATCAACAGTAAAAAGGTTTTCCTGCCTTCTTAAACAGAGACAATTTTTCATGTTCCTCTGCTATAAATTCAGACATTCATTACACTTCGTTCTATTTCCACACACTGTGGAGGCCCTTGGGAGGTGAGTGCTGGTTGCTTCTGTCACAGTGAATGCCCATAGCAGGGGGCAGCTGGGCCCATCCTCTCCCTGGGGTCAACCCACACTTTTCCTTGGTGCCAGCCCTCACCCTCCAAGCCTCTGGTATGTGGCTCCCACCAGCTCCAGCCTGGGAAGCCATGATATTGACAGGGTTGGCTCTGGGGCTGCACAGGCCTCTGAAGGAGATGGGTGTCCCTGTGCTGTCGGGATCAGGTGCTCTGAGTGGGCCTTGGAGTCACTTGTGCTTTCCTCAGGAAGTAGCCACACTTAGGAGGAAATGGAGGTTGTCAGATGAATGACTGAGGTGCCCTTTGGGGTCCACTAGGCTCTGGGATCTCTCATGACCAGACACATATTTTTGCCTTTGTTTAGGCAAATAGAGCCATACACATAATTATTTCAGTTGGGCCAAATCTGTAAAAGGAAAAAAGAAAGATTTAAAAACTCTCTCAGAATGATGCATTTTGGGAACTGGAATTTTACAAAACCCAATCAAATATTTGTTGGATACCCACTGTGTGGAAGTCACTGTCTCAAGCCTTGTGGGGGACACGAAAATGAGCAAGGCAATCCCCTGCCCTCAGGGTCTCACAACAGCCCAGCCAAGGCTGTGAATCTCCCGTGCTGACAGCCGGGCCTGAGCCTGGCGTGGGGGAGACCTGGGGATGTTCCTGGGGAAAGGCGGCATCACCTGTCAATCTCCCGTGCTGACAGCCGGGCCTGAGCCTCGCGTGGGGGAGACCTGGGGATGTTCCTGGGGAAAGGCGGCATCACCTGTCAATCTCCCGTGCTGACAGCCGGGCCTGAGCCTCGCGTGGGGGAGACCTGGGGATGTTCCTGGGGAAAGGCCGCTTCACGCTGAGGCCTTTAGTGGGCAGGGAAAAAAATCTAAAGATATCTACCCAGCTTTCAACTCAACGTCCAAAAGTACTAAGGCTCGTTTCAAGTTAGTTTTTTCTTCCTAATCAGGCTTGTGTTGTTCGCAGTTTCTCCGCCCCTGGGAAGTTCACCTCAGTAGATGCTCAGCTGTGCTGATGCCAGGCAGCCCTCGTCCACCCAGAGGCGGCTGGGGGCGTCGACTTTTGCCCACCGTGAAACCTGCGCTCTGCCCACAGGGCTGGCTGTCCTGCGTGCCCGCTGCGGTGGGTTCCAAGCTGCAGGAATGACGACCGGAGTCTGGTTCTCGGGACCTGCCCCTGTCTTCACCGCAAAGATCCGCTTCAGGTGGAGGGAATGCAGGGCTGCTGTGAGCCCGTGGGTTTCTCCAGAGGACTCTGAAGTCCTCCTGGTTCCCCAGGGTAAGCACTTCTTTCAGACACGCGCACAGCCAAATAGGGTGGTCAAGGTCATGGTGCTGCGAGTCACTGCGGCCTGCCCCACCCCCTGCAAAGTGCTGTCTGAAGCAAACCCCAGCCTTCCCTCATTGACGTGGCCCCAGGTACTGTCCCCCAAGCTGTGCTGCCTTCCTGGAGGCTCAACCTGGAGCTTCTAGAGGCTCTGGGAACCTGATGAGGTTGCTATGTGGGAATGCAGATGCTAAATTTAGCCCTTCCCGTCTCAATCCCGAATTCCAAAGCAAAGATCGACAAGTATTGCCAGTAGATCATGACTCCAGAGCATGTGGTCCAGGCATCCGTGAATCCTCAGCCACAGGATGGAGGGCAGCAGTGACCAACGGTTGCATGGACAAAGTCGGGACATGGAGGGTGTTGGGGGAGGGGAAGCTGCGGGAAGACCTGCTGCACCCACAGACCTCACAGACGGCTGGGGTGCCAGCTCTGCACGGCACCGATCGACATGGACTTCCAGTCCAGCCACCCTTGTCTGTGTTTCCCCAGACCTGAGCCTGCAAGGACAGAGCACACTCATCTCCTCCCTGCTGTAACCTGAGCTCCCCATCAGCTGAGGTCCAGGCCGGGACCAGCATGTCAGGCTGAGTGGCTAAGAAACGGGAGCCCAATTCCACACTCAGGGTCTGCGACCGGAACTAAGACAAGGGGAGTGTTTGCAGAGAGGTGCCTTATTTACCTGCAGAGGGGCCACTTGTCTGGTCTCTGCAGCCACCTGTGATTTCTGGACCCTATTGGACAGTATTTTTGCTATGGCTGCTGTAATACATTACTACATACCTCGTGGCTTAAAGCAACACAAGTTTATTACCATACAGTTCAGGAGGTCAGGAGTCCAAAATGGGTCTCACTGGGCTAAAATCAAGGTGTCGGCAGGGCTGGTTCCTTCTGGAGTGTCCAGAGGAGAACTGTTCCTGTCTTTTCCAGCTTCTAGAGGCAGCCGGCCTTCCTTGGCTCATGGCTGCATCACTCCAACCTCTGTTTCTGTCTGGCCCTCCTGCCTCCCTGTTATGAGAACCCTTGAGATGCATCAGGGCCCAGCTGGATAACTCAGGACCATCCGATCCTCAATTTAATCACACTTGCAGGGTCCCTTTGCAGTCCCCAGTCTGGTGGGGACAGCACCAGGGCCCACCACTTGCCCCATGTGCCCCACCGGCTGCCCCATGAGCTTGCCATGCTCCATGCTCTGAGCTGTGTGTAGCGTTGAGGCAGGCAGAGCTTGGCGACCAGTGGCAAAGACAATGGGGATGACACCATGGACAGCAAGTAGCAAGGTACTGGGACCACACCCCGGTGCCTCTTCTCTTCCCTTTGCCGGCTCCTTGTCAGAGCCTTCCTGCTGCTCAGTGAGTGGGACAGGGAGGGAAGAGGCTTTCACCTGTCAACAGCAATCAGCCTCACGGGGCCTTGGAGGGCTAATTCCTCTGCAGTTTGCGAGTGTCTGAGAAGACTGAGTGCTGAGTGAGTGGAGAGAAGGCCTGGATATCCCACGCGGCCAGTGCCTCCGCACACCTGGCCCGAGCCACTGTGAATTATTTTATCCTGCTGTTGTCCCCTCGGCACGGATAGTAACTTATTAACTGGCTCCCCATTGTTGCATATATATGCACATAGTTTACTATGGCACATGTATTCCCATTGCAATGCCTACTTCCAAATAAATATCAGTTTCTGTTAGAGAGCCTGTCTCTGTTTGTGGTTTAGGTTTACATAAGTGGTGTCTAGAACAGAACCTGAAGAAAGATTGTGATTGGAAGGAACTGGTGATTCTTAGAGCTGGTGTGTAGTTCTCACTTGAGCCCTCTGAGCTCTCTGCATCTGCCACTTGCTTTTCTACCCTGGTGAGTCTTCTCTCAGGCAGAGCCTCACTGCTTTTTGGTAGTCTTTTTGATTTCATAGGAGTTTGTTTTGGTGATAAGGCCACCTTTAATAACGGACCTTACATCCCTGCTGGGGTGATAAAAGACCTTTTGTCTTTTCCAGCAAGTCCTTTCTGGTATAAAGTGCAGAATCTCCATTCCGTCTCTGAGGCATGTCTTTTCTAGTGAATTTGCTTTTGATTCTTTCTGTGCACCTAATTTAATATTTTGTTTGATGTGGCTCTTTTCTCTTGCTTATTTCTGGAAATCTTCTAAGAGCAAAAACAAGCATTCTAAATGCTGGACCCAGGATGGCTCATTAAAAGCCACTAGAGTGGTTGCCACTATCTAAAACGCTGGTCCAGACTCCCGACAGTCTCTCTAAAACGCTGGTCCAGACTCCCGACAGTCTCTCTAAAACGCTGGTCCAGACTCCCGACAGTCTCTCTAAAACGCTGGTCCAGACTCCCGACAGTCTCTCTAAAATGCTGGTCCAGACTCCCAACATTCTCTTGAGAGGATTTATAGGATTTTCTTTGCTCTCAAGAGATTAATAAGAAACGGAATGGGATTCTCAAACATGAGGATGTGCCAGGTATTCTGGGACTCCAGCTGGCTGTATTATGGCCCGTTCTCATTACATTTTTAAACTGATGGGCAAATTACACCAAGGAAAATTCAGAGCTGAGTGGTCATTATCTGAACTTTCTAAAACAAATCTACAACTATAGAGTTAGCATTCTAAGTCCTCTATTTTTTTTCTGCTTATGTCCAATCTGCTGACCCTTCTGCTGGTATTGAGATAAAACTCACTGCTTATGATATTCCAGCCAAGGTTCTTTTAAAAAAGTCTTAAAGGGCTTTCAAATTACTGGTTTTACAAATTATAACAGCTCCATGGTAGCCAACAACATAGACACTTTTTGAAAATGTAAATTTAGATTTGCCTAACAGTTGCTTAGGGTGATGGAACAGTTAATTGAAAGACTGATAGTCTAAAAGGAAAGACCTAGATAAATGTTTATAAAAATTAGGATCTGAGATCAAACAGGTCAAAATCTTGAGCTCAGAGCAGTAATATAATTTTTTATATCTCTGGCATAAACATTGCTTTTTCTGTCATGCAGGAGCCAAGGGAAAAAAGCCCCCCAAAACCTGCTAAAATGTTTCCCCACCTGCATTGACCAGTCAGGTGCAAGGGAACCAGACTGCAAACACAAGACAGATTTTTTACTAATGCAAGGCTACTTGGATTTTTTTTTCTTGTATAATTCAGCCAGTTCAAGCTAAAACATAAACATTAAAAATTTAACATTAAACTCATTTGGAACAAACAAACAAAAATGTCTTTTAAAACCAAACTGCTTAACCCAACATTTTGGTCCACAGCTTTCATTAGACTATCAGGGCAAATAGTTTTTGCCATGTGAACAGTTCCCATTTTGTCAGAAATGTAATTTGGAGCCAACTATATTTTATAAACTAGTGAGTTTGTATATTTTACTGTCTCATGACTAAAATTCTAAAATGAAAGCTATAAGAGCTTTGTGTATGTATATACCTTTAGGTGTGTTTATGCACATGTACATGTATTATGTTGTACGTTGTATCTACGTGGTAGTCTGGCATAGTGGGCCAGAAATCCCTAAGAAATTCTATTCAGATTTGCTTAAACAAGTGCTCATATAAAGTACACAGCTATTAACCTAAATGTCTTCTATTTCATGTGACCTAAGTAGATCTTTGATAAATAAGCTGGTTTAAAAATCATTGGTAAAATAAAACTAGTAATATCTTCAAAATTGTGAGTACACATTTTTGCCTGGGTTGACTGGTGCAATAGTTTTATATTTGTCTCTGCTAGCCTGAAACAGAGTGATCTTTGTGCAATTCTTTGATAAATAAGACTAATTTAATATTGTGGTTTAATAAGACAGCTGTATCTTCAAGGTTATTGACAAAATACCCATATATTTAACTTTAAGGTTCTTACTTAGATGAATGCCTGATATTCACAGGCTATAAAAATGGTTAACAGGAAATAACTTGAAATGATGACAAGCTTTGTCTAGTATCTCAGTTTTCATAACTAATCTAGGTAAATTGTTAAAAACAAACTAGGTAAATGTAAATGGAATAAATGCTTATAAATAAGCTTTTCTTGTAATTTGAAATCTTCATATTATGTTAAGTTAAACAACAGATATTCATTAAATGTCTAGGTCATTTCTAAATAAGATTTAAAAACCTGAAACATCAATTGCTAAACATAAATATACATTTGTTCTTGTCTTCTTACATTTTATAGAAAGACTAAATATATTTGGGTTTATTAATATACATAAAATATTATGTTGTATGGAGAAACATATTTTTAAGAATTATAAAATTGTTCTCATCTATAAAATACCAATATGTGACAAATAGTTCAAAATTGCTTGCCAGAAATTAAGGTTACTAAGAGTTAAAATTCTAATTAATATATATATAATTCTGCATATAAAATATACAAAAAAGGAAAATGTTTTTGATTAGAAAAATGATAAAGGCATAAAATGGGTTCTTTATTGAGAGAAAGAATAATTCTGTCTAATTGCCAGGTTATTTAAAGGTTGTTTCCAAATATGGATTTAGGAAGGAAACAGAGGCAAGACAGAAAGTAGGAAACAGAGGCAAGACAGTAAGTAGGAGAGAGAGATACGAGGAATGTTATGGGTTTGAAGATGCATTCTTGGTGAGGAAGGCTATTAAAAAGAAAAGAATAATTTTATGTAAGAAAAAATCTTGAGTAGAAATTTTTGTCTTAAAACAGCTGGTTATTTAAGAAACAGTAAATAGGGGACAAAGCAGAAATTCTAAGTATGTTGTCAAACGTTGGAATAAGTTGTGATGAGGTTTGTGAAGGATGAATTTATAAAAGGAATTAAGTTGGCTATAATTAGAAGGAAATTATTTATAAGTCTTTCTGAAGATTGAGCTTCAATATTAAAAATACACTAATACAAAACTAAAAACTTGGTACTCTATGTTAGAACAAGGTTTTTTTGAAATTTTGATCTGGTCTTAACAGCAGCTTCTCTCTTTTCTGTTTTACAGTCTCCATTGTTTCCCTAGTTTCAGATTAGACCTGCTTTTTTCATTCAGAACAGTAGTTTCATTTCTCAAGGCAGCGTTTTCCTCTTGAAGCCTCTCAGGTTCGTATCTCACAGGCTCTTTTGCTGGATCTCACTGCACGTGACTTGCCGGCCAGGCATCATCAACCTCTGCTCTTCCTTTCCTCCCCGCGAGGAGGCCTGGGATGACAACTCTCTCCAACTTCATCAGCTCCTGTAAAGTTTTTCTCCAGCTCTAATTCTGTTGTGAGGGCCTGAAGCAGAAATGTTTACCTTGGAGGCCTGGAAAAGCAATGCTTTCCCCCGTATAACTTGAGTCTGTACTCTTGGCTTTCCTTGATGAGTCTGAATTGTTCCATGTAACCAGGAAATCTCATATACTGACACTAAGAGCCGTGCACTCTGACTTGCTGAAGGTACTGGTTTTCTTATTTATACTCCTTTACAATATGGGACACATTCATAAGTTTGGACACACATTTTTTTTTTCTGTGTTTAATTAAATTCAAGTACCTTTCATCAGATTCAATTTCCAAGATATCTAAATGGGCTTCCCAGAAGGAAGAGCAATCGCAGTGCAGGAGGGTTTCTCCACCTTCTTGGTAACTGGCCCTTTAAAAAGCCCAGTGGATTTACCTTTTACCAAGACAATTTCCTGTGTTGTCTCTATTACGTTTTTGGTTACTTAGGAAAACAGCTTGAAAAGGGTTAAGGTTTTAACATCCATGTACTTTTCTGTATTGCTTTGAAGTCTTTTGATTACTACTCTGGTTAAATGACTTTATTCTGGTTAAATGAAGTTATTTCACTGTGACCTGTGGTTCTGTTTTGGTCGAGTGTTTTGAACCTTTTTGTATCCTTGGCAGGCTTCCCCAGGATTGAAATTCTAAATTAAGTCTTTTTGGTCTAGAATTAACTTTGAAATTTTCTAGTTGGGCCCCTGGAGAGCCTCACACAATGTTATCTCTCATCTTGTAGAGATATTAAATAATTAGGCTTATTCGATAAATTATATGGAAAGCATCGTGAAATGATAAGTGACACTAGATCATTCAGTTACATTTATGGGAATGTTATGGATGTGAATGTTTCAAAAATTATATAAATTCATAGAACTCTAATATGTCATCAGTCCTAATTCTGGATATTATGTCATGTGCTATAAAAATAACTCTATTTCCTTGTTACTTACTGATTATAATAAACTTCCATCAGAGTTTTAACCATGGCTATTCTAAGTGTCATCTACAGTTATTGTTTTACATTCTCCCCTAAAAGCATCTGCAATCAGACTCATGGAAAAGATTTCAACAAGTGCTCTTACATATAGATTCTTATAACTTTAACATCAATGGAATAAATACAATATTTAAAAAACTCTAATGAAGAAACTGGTGGGCTCATGAAACTGCTCCAGGTCAAGCAGAACAAAGATTAATCACATGAGATTAAATAATTGATAATGTTTTTGTTATTTTTATTTAAAACATTATTAGTTCTTTACTTAAATGTCTTGCTTTCCAGCTGTAATGACATTTTCTCTCTTAAACTATCTGTAATTTACAGCAATTTGGCAAAGCATACTTTTGTAATGGAAGCATTTGTTTTTTTTCTCCCTTCCTGATTTCTCCAAAATTTGAAAATCATTCATGAGTATTTTTATGGCAATAAAGTGATTTGCTAAGTTCAATAAAAATCAGCTCTCTCTTTACAACAGAACATAATTTAAAACACTGCTTATGTCATACTCGTGAATGTGCACAGAGTGCCTGGTTTCAAGGGTTCCTGGATTTACAGTGAGTAGGTAAAAATGGTCACTTCCCGGCAGGCCCAGGAACTTTAAGACTATAAGTAAAATCTAAAGTCTGCTTTGGTTTGGCTTCCTAGCCCCCAGAAGTTTTTAAATCTGAGAATCCTGTGCGACAAATGTAGGGAGAAAATGTTTCTGAAGAAAAGCTGTAATACACCTCTTATTAGATTGTAGCTCTATGCATTGTTTTCCAGCTCTTGTTATCTACCTACAGACTAGACTTGAATTATCCTAATTCCTCCAATCCAACTTTCTTCCAGAGTTACTAAAATTGAATACTGCTCTCTTCCTGAAGCCCTGTAAGCTGAAATTATATAAATTTTAAGGAACAAGTCATATGTCTGATGTTTGAGGAACACCCAGTACCACAACCAGAGACATTCAAACTGCAAACCAGGCTGAGAAGTGGATGGTTCCATGCTGTAGACAGATTTTTCCGACATTAGAACAGAACTCTGTATCATAATAAGACTTTTAACCCTCTTAAAGCTCACCTATTTCACTTGACGGGATCATGGTCAATTGATTTATCCAGTTGGCTGCCTTTAAGGTTCATGGCTCAAAACCATTATGCAGACTAGGATAGTCACATTACTAATAATTTTACTTTGAATCTCCCCTTTTAAAACTTTGTATTTGTTACTTGTTAAATTTTTGTAGAAGTACAACTCCTAACAGAATAATGCTGGCCCAGCACTTTGAGATGATAACAGAAGACTATGGAAAAAGACAAAATTGAATGTAATACTAGACTCCAGGTAGACTTAGCCTGACAGCCACTCCCTTCAAACCTCCCTTGTTGCTCAAATGTGGCTAAAGGGTTTTGACAATGACTCCTACTCACCAATCACTACCCCTAGTGTGGAACCAGACCAGCAGCCCAGGACAGGTCCATCTTGGCATCAGGGGACATCAGACCTCACTACGGCGGGATTGATTTGTGATACTTTTGGAGAAAGACCTTGATCAAAAGCGGAAAATGTGGAAGTTGTCAGATTCAAAATCAAAATGGAGTCACTTGTGTTAAGAAATGCTCTGACAAATAGAGCTGGGAAAGACCATAAAGGGAGGGTGGTCATGCGCCACTGCACAAGAACAATCACAAAAGACTGAAAAAAATCATGACCCTGCACAAACGCCATTGCAACCTTACACAAAAAATTCTTCTACATCTGTCCAGCAAGTGCCTGTCCAGCACTGAACTGCAATCTCCCTTGTTATTCATCTTTGTAGCCAAGGATACTTATCTCAAAACAATCCTGGGTTCCTCCTCACTCTTCCCTTAAAAACCTTTGTCTTCTTTGCTTCCCTGAATGTGCACATAATCTACAATGGCACGTGTATTCTCATTGCAATGTCCTATTTCCCAAATCAATGTCATTTTCTCTTAGAGCCTCCCTCTGTTTATTTCTGTTGACAGCCTATTACCCCAACCCCAGTTGCACTCACTCTGGACATTTGGACAACAATGTGGATGGACATCATGGCTCTCTCCCCACTCCTGAAATTGATGCTGCAGGCAGGGGGCTAGTGTGACAGGAGGCCCTGAGGACCTGTTCAAGTTGCAGCTTCTCTTCCATGGAGGGCATAGGAAACATGTTTTGAGGCATTTACTATGGCTTGTTTTAGATTAACTTGGAAAAGGGAGAAAACACCAAATATTTTCCATCAATGTTCTAAATGTTAATTATTTAATAGTCTCTTTGCTGCTCAGAACTGAGAACACTTTTATCTGATAGTTTTTCGTTTCTTTCCAGTATTTTCAGTAACAATGAAGTCAACACTGTTATGAATTTAGATGTGGAGTGAATGAAGTGTCCTGCCTTCGTTAGATACTCAAGAAATACTGACGGAGCAGATGTCCTTGCACATAATTCACACCTTAAGACCAAATATAATGCAATGAGTTTTTATTTTGTTTCAAAGCATCAATGTGTGCTCTTTTTCTGTGTGTTCCTTAACAAATGTTACAGCTCTAAATTTCTAGGTGACTGTTTGCTAATGAATTTTTTCTATACCACATCATCCTGAGGCCAAAAGGCGAGTTCAGGAAGATCTCTGTTTGTAGCTCTTGGGTAGCAGAGCCAGCCTGGGAGCAACTTGAAGGTGAGAACTGTCTCTTGCCTTTGTTGCCCCAGCACTGGGCACAGTAATTGCTCCAAAAACCATGAATGAGTGAATAAACACCTGAACAAGCTCCTGGCCATCCAGGAGTGTAACTGCTTAGCATGTGCGATGGGTTCGTGGATTTTGTTTTTAAAAGCAAGCTTCAGGTTAAGAGAACGGAATAAAACTTGTGTAGACAACTTAATGAAGGATGACGTTGAAATGAAAATGGCGATCATCAGGTGATATGTTTTGTGACTTTATTCACTTATGGAAAGTAGACATTCTTTATGGGGGGTTTCTGTTTGTTGTGGCCCTCCTCGTTTGATGGGATCACGTCTGATATGCAGGTAGATGAGTTGGTGCATTTATTTTCTTTCCTGTAAAAAGTTCTTTGACTTTTGCTGATAGTTTTCATCAAGGTATTTTCCATGAAACCACATGAAAAGAAAAACAGAACCACGTCTCCCTGAGGAGCTGACACACCCCTTGTGGATTCCTTGCCCCAGCTTCCCCCATGACCCCGGCTCTCATGGGCCTCTGTCCTTCCTGCTGAAACACAGACCCAGCTCTCATGAGCCTCTGTCCTTCCTGCTGAGACACAGACCCGGCTCTCATGAGCCTCTATCCTTCCTGTTGAAACACAGAGCAGCTGGGATCACCGTGTTTCTAGATGTTTGGGAGCATCTGGGCTGGGGGCGGGGGGTCCCTGTGTGCCTGGGGACACTGCCCACTGAGTTGTTCTGTGCTTCCAGGCAAGGGCAGTCTTAGAATGGCCATCTGTGGTGACCCACAGCTCCTGCTCCTTCCAAGGTGAATCCACATACCTCATGGGCTCCTTCATTCAATAGCTTTTCAAATGACTAAGAATGTGCCAGAAGCTCCACAAGGCAGCGGAGACTCAGCCGTGCACAGGACAGAACCCTGCCCTTGGGGAATCTGTGCCAAGCAGGGCAGTACAGACCTGAGCCGGTAGGTCTAAGTGCTCAGGGGCCAGGTACATTGTCGCTGCCTGCCCTCTAGCCTGAGCTGGTGTCTGAAGAGGGCAACCTGCGGGTGGAGGTGCGGTCTGTGCTCGACACCTCCATGGTTCAGAATGTGTGATTTCTGGGAGGCAGCCACACTGGAGGGGACAGCTTCTAATCCATCACCCTTTATTTGACTTTGGAATGTATACCCTTACTCAGTGGAAGATTTACTTCCTCAACTGTGTTTTTCTAGGCTAACTCTAAGCCAGCTGGGCACAAGAGGATGCTGAACTGGAGCAGCCAGGAACCACGGGGGGGCGAAACTCATCCAGGAATATGCAGGAGCTGGAGCACTTTCCTGGGCTCCCCCAGCCCAGGCCTGTGTGCATTTCAACGCATATTTCCTCAGGCCTTAAGAATGCCACCACAGCAGCCATGCAACCACACAACCGGCGGCTTGGGACGGAGGCCTTTGGGAGAAGCCACAGCTGCTGGGTGGTTTCTCAGGACACAGGTCCTGCTCTGGGTGGGGCAGAGCTCTCTGGTACACGGGAGTGTAGAGTGGCTGCGTGAAAGGTTGCTCAGGGGACGTGGATTACGGCCTCCACTGTCCTGTGTCCTCACACCGCCATTGCACCCATCCAGCCCACTGACGACCAGCCAGAGATTGTGAGGCAGCCTGGCCGCCCTCCTCACGTGCCTAGGCAGCTGGCACAGCTGCAGACATTCAGCCAGGGCAGCTCCACCCAGACCATTCCCTCACATCCACCTGTGTCCTGTGCAGGAGGTAGGCTTCTTGGATTTAAATTCCTGTTCCAGCTAGTAGGCAAAAGAGGAAGAGAAGAGCAGCCATTGGGGGCCTGAGTGCAGTAGGAAAAAAAACAGAGAGACTTTAGGTCAAGGCCAGGCCTGTTTGTGCTCCCGGGCCGGGGAGGGGTGTGGAGAAAACACTCACTGAAAACAGGACAAGGGACTCGTGGCTCTCGAGCTCCCATCAGACATGTTTTTGTAACACATCTCAAAGGGATGAGGATAACATTAAACTACGTTATGCTTAGTAAATTCTTGATTTTATTTATTTGTTATTTTTTAGAGACAGAGTCTCACTTTGTCACCCAGGCTGGTGTACAGTGGATTCATTTCGGCTCACTGCAGCCTCCGTCCTCCTCCTGAGTTCAAGCGACTCTCCTGCCTCAGCCTCCGGAGTAGCTGGGATTACAGGCGCCCGCCACCATGCTCGGCTAATTTTTGTATTTTTAGTAGAGACTGGGTTTTGCCATGTTGGCCAGGCTGGTCTCGAACTCCTGGCCTCAAGTGATCCCCCCACCTCAGTGTCCCAAAGTGCTGGGATTATAGGTGTGAGATACTGAGCCAGGTCAAATTCTTGATTTTAAAAACATCTCATTCTTCTTTATTGGCTTGTTTTAAGCGGTTATTAAACTTTGTATTAGAAAAAACCTGTCAGTGCACCAGTATTAATTCCTCAACATGATTTAAATAAGAGCTGCGTTCAGCTGCACACAGGGCCAGAGGCAGCAGCGAGGGAGGGCCAGGGTTTCGCCGGGCGCGGGGCTTATCTTCCTTTGCCTGTTATGAAAAACAATCTCACCTTCCGAAAGGGGATCTGAAAACCAGAGCGTCCCCGGCGCTCCCTTCTGTGCCGCCCGCTTAGGCAGGTTCCCTTGGTAGCTGCGGCCTGAGCTTGCGTTTGGCCTCAGGTCCCGGGCTGCCTTTCACCGACAGCAGCGCAGTGGCTGTGACCGGCTATTCCGAGGCTGCAGCCGCCTCCGAAACCTCCGCTTCTGACACCGGCAGCGCCCTCCAGGCTGGGGAAGGGTCTGCGCCCGCGCCAGAAACCCAGGAAGGGAAGGCGTCTCCACGCCTCAGGGGCTGACTGTCTGGTTTGTGGATTTTCCAGGCTCTTCATAATTTCTTTTTCTAACCATCTTTCAGCCGGGTGATTGCGTGTGAGTGTTCCAAAAAAAAAAAAGAAGGGGATAGACCAACGGTGCAGAAAACAGCAATGGGATTAAAGGGTCAGATCGTGAATGCACCGACCCTCTTTTATTTTATTTTATTTTTTGAGACGGAGTCTCGCTCTGTCGCCCAGGCTGGAGTGCGGTGGCGCGATCTCGGCTCACTGCAAGCTCCGCCTCCCGGGTTCACGCCATTCTCCTGCCTCAGCCTCCCAAGTAGCTGGGACTACAGGATCCCGCCACCACGACCAGCTAATTTTTTTTTTTGTATTTTTTAGTAGAGACGGGGTTTCACCGTGTTAGCCAGGATGGTTTCGATCTCCCGACCTCGTGATGTGCCCGCCTCGGCCTCCCAAAGTGCTGGGATTACAGGCGTGAGCCACCGCGCCCGGCCCTGACCCTCTTTTGTAACAACGAATTTCTCTGCATAAATGTTTCAAAGTAGGTTGTAGTTTTGAATTAATTACTTCTGAATCCTTTATATTCTCTGTATTTCATTTGGCCATTTTTAAAGTCTATCAAAGGCCTACTATGATTTGTAGCCAGGGCATGTTCCAACCCAGCATAACCATGAAAGCAAAGAAAACGAAGAAAAGGAAATGTTGCAGGAGGGTTATCTTGTGAGAAAAAGGTTAAAATTCATTTGTTTCTGTGACTTTTAAAACGAGATTCCTGCCCTCTTTGTCTCATTACAGTTCACGTGGAGCTGCCTTCTCCCCTGCTCCTGCCTACCTGATGTGCTTTTCTCTCCCTTCCTGTCACCCCAGGGAACCGAGGGCCACGGCTGGTTGGGCCTGGCACGCACTCTGAGTGGCAGAGGCACGTCTGGACTGAGGAAGGTGACCGGGAAGGGCCACACCCTTTGAGCACCCTGCAGTCTCACACCCAGAGTGTGGCCAATGCCACGGCTCTAAGAACACGTTTTTAACAAAATTTGACTTATCAGGACAACCCCACAGCCCTCCTAAATCAGATCAGACCTGGTGGTGAAACACTCGTGGGCCAGGTTCTGTTTGGTGGGTGGGGAAGGCTTGCTGCTGCCCAGGGCGGGCGCCCTCCTGTGTGGGTTCATCTCTGTCTCCCGCACACTGGACACAGGTCCTCAAGGGCAGGCGCCCTGCTCTGTGGGTTCATCTCCGCCTCCCGCACACTGGACGCAGGTCCTCAAGGGCAGGCGCCCTGCTCTGTGGGTTCACCTCCGCCTCCCGCACACTGGACGCAGGTCCTCAAGGGCAGGCGCCCTGCTCTGTGGGTTCACCTCCGCCTCCCGCACACTGGACGCAGGTCCTCAAGGGCAGGCGCCCTGCTCTGTGGGTTCATCTCCGCCTCCCGCACACTGGACGCAGGTCCTCAATAGCACACGCACGTGCGGATCCTGCCCACCCTGCTCACAGCGCACGCGCGGATCCCGCCCACCCGGTTCACAGCGCACGCGCGGATCCCGCCCACCCGGCTCACAGCGCACGTGCGGATCCCGCCCACCCGGCTCACAGCGCACGCGCGGATCCCGCCCACCCGGCTCACAGCGCACGCGCGGATCCCGCCCACCCGGCTCACAGCGCACGCCACCGTCTTCTTTTTTCCGGTTACCTGAGTCCGTGCTGTCACCTCGCCCACATGGGTCGCCCGTCTTACTGTCTGCCCTGCCCAAGAATGAGCTTCTGGTGGGCAGGCCCAGGTAGACTCATCTTTGGGCCCTGGCATCCGGCACAGGCAGCACGCTTGTGGACACAACCGGTCTGCAACGTACGAGGCCCTGTACGTTGTACACGTGATTTTAAAAATACCATCTGTTGAACTGTGTCAGCATTTGGAAAATCTCCGTAACTCAGTGAACCAGTATTTTCCACATGACCCAAACATGATGTTCACAGGAAAAAGATTCATTCAAAGTGCAGGACAGACCAACGTGTTGTGATACAGCAGCAGGCACGCGGTCACCGACCGGCTTCAGATTCTACACCGTGGTCTTTAGAGGATGACGGCTTGTTGAGTTTTGATGTGGTATCAAGGAAGAGTCCGCAGTTGCCTGAAAAGGCGACTAACAAGGACCTCCCTGACTTTTCTTTTTGACTTCAACAGCAGAACAACACATTGCCGTGGCCTGACTGCAGGAGTCTGCATGTGGCCCAGCCCTCTTTCATGGGATTCAGATATTATGCAGATTTGCAAAAGTGTAAAAGAATGCTGCTCTTTTAATTTTTTTTTTGGAAAACATAGAGTCTTTTTGCAAAAACAACATTAACATGTAGTTGCTGTACTGATATTTTGAAATGAATAAATACATATTTTAAAATTTTTCTGGTAGACCTGTAATCTGCAATAACTTTTAAGTGTAAAGGGGTCTGAGACCAAGGAGAATGAGACCTGCTGCTGGAGGGTAACTGGGTTGGACAGAAGCTGTGTTGTCTGTGACCGTCTGATTTCTGTCTTTGGTCACTTACCCACAGCACCCTGGCAACCCTCATGGCTCAATGAGTGCCTGCTGCTTTTTCGTAAGAGAAAAAAGTCTTCCAGTATCCAAACATAACAGGAAAGCAATATATAAACGCAGAAATATTTAGTTTAGGAGTCAGCCGATTCTGTGCTGGGAGAACTTTTATGAAAAGCTGACAGCTCGGTCTCACTTCATGCCAACCGATGGTGAACGCTCCTTTAAACCAGCTTTGAGATGGAAGGGTCAAATTGTTGCCAGGAAATGTACAAAACCCCAGAATATTGTAAAGTAGCAAAGATAGAGGAGGATTTCTGAGGAAAAAAAGAGCATCTGACTGTTAAACCCTTTCAGATAGAAATACAGTTCTAGAACTGTAAATTTGTGCTGCCACCTTAGAACCCAGACAGCCTCCCGAGGGGTGGCACCTCCAGCACCGACACCACCATCTCAGAACCAGCTTCCCGACAGCCAACTCCAACCCCAAGTTAGAAAACATACTCCCTTTCACATGGAATTCACGTTTCTCCGTCACAAACACACGCTGCTTCCTGCCCATCTCTCATCCCCAGAGGAGCTTCTGGAAGAGACAGGTTCAGCTGCCTCCTCACACTCCACAGACTTTTTTTTGTCTTGATTTGAATAACAAGGGCTGTGGCTGGAAGCAATTGATTTAATAGACGAATTGGTATCTTAATTTAACAGAATTATCTGCATTGTCCATATTTTTATAGCTACAGGGACTGCATCAAGGGAGAGCCTGTCTCCCACCATTTCATAAAAACGTATAAACCTGATGCTCACAAAGGGGCAGAGGGCTGAGTGGACACCGAGAAACACACCCAGGGCCCCTTTCACTCTTGGTATTAAATGTGTCTCATATAAGATGGGATCAGAAGACAGTGAAATCGTAGAGAGAGCCAGTGGGGAAACATATGACCCGCATGACCTTCCTGACTACTTTATCTGGTTTTATTGAAAACGTGATTAAAGTTCAGTGGCCCCCGTGGGGAAACGCAAAGCTGTAATCAGTGAAGAGCCGGTGCTCTCCTGATGTCCACGGTCACACGTGGACGCAGTGCCCTGGGTTCTCAGGTTGTCTCCTGGTTAGGGTGAGGCCTGAGGGACCCCAACCCAGGGTGTGGGTGCTGCCAACAGAAATCACCTCAGTCTCTCATAATGTGTCTTATGGGGTTTATTCTTACTCCAGCTTCCACAGATAAAAGAGACTTTTTGGGAAGCCATAAAGAAATAAAGATAAATCTATTTTTGAAGGGCTGCTGCTTCTCTTTCTTTTTAGTTCAGATAACGTGCCAGGTAGAAAAGGTTGAAATTAACTGTTTTTTATCTAACATCTAATAATGCTGGCAATAATGAGATGAATCAGATTCTTAGAAAGGCTGATTTCACCCTTCAATTTCCTCCTTCAGAAAAATGAACAGCTTGCAAGCCAAGGGCTGTTTCTTTTCTTTTCTTTCTTTTTTTTTTTTTCAGACGGAGTCTCGCTCCGTCGCCCAGGCTGGGGTGCAGTGGTGCATCTTGGCTCACTGCAGGCTCCACCTCCTGGATTCACGCCATTCTCCCGCCTCAGCCTCCTGAGTAGCTGGGACTACAGGTGCCCGCCACCACGCCCATGTAATTTTTTTTATTTTTAGTAGAGACGGGGTTTCACCGTGTTAGCCAGGATGGTCTCCATCTCCTGACCTCGTGATCCGCCAGCCTCGGCCTCCCAAAGTGCTGGGATTACAGGCGTGAGCTACCGCGCCCGGCCGCCGAGGGCTGTTTCTACAGGCTGAGGGGCTTTCCCACTGCGCTTCGTTACTGCAGCAATGGCAGGAGCAAAATCAGCCATGCAGGCAGCAAGGGCCGTCAGGGAAATGGGGGCTGGAGCAGGAGCACAGGCCACGGGGCCCGAGGACGGCACGGGAGGCTGCAGAGGCACATGGCCAGCAGCCTTCCAGGCAGCCAGGACCAGCTCGTGCACTTGGCTCAACGTGAGGGAAAAGGAAGAAATCAGGGCATTTCCAATGACTGGCTGGTTTCAAGACAGTTTGACTAAATTTCATCACCGTTTGACTAAATCTCATCACTGACTAAATCTCATCAACATTTGACTAAATTTCATCACCGTTTGACTAAATTTCATGGTCAATTTTGTGTTTGCTTCCAGCCTCTGGGCTCTTCTAATGCTTTACTAAGTCCCTCTGGGACCATTTGGAAAATGGGAACCAAGATGGAAAAGGCACCCAGCAGCTCTTGCTTGTGTGACAGGAAGCAGATGGTGAGAACGAGGCTGTACCCTGGGGGTTCAATGTAGCATCAAACAGGAGGAAGTTCAATGCTCCAGAACCCCAAGAGCCGCCGACTTCTGGGAAGATGACCCGCATGTGCTGCTGCCTCTCCCTATAGCAGGGGCATCCGGAGGACACAGAAGTGGCCAGTGCCTCCTCTGCTGAGTGAGCACGTGACCCAGCCATGCGCCTTCTCCTCCTGAAGCCAAAAATGAGGATGCGTGTAAGGAGCCTTGGCACGGTGGAAAGCTGGGGCCACAGTGCAGCTCTTTCTGAGAAGATGGAAGTAAGTGAAAGCTACACCACATGCCACATGTGTGTGCAGCCAGCTCACGGTCACAGGTCTTACTTCCATACCATGGGAGCAGAGATGGACCCACCACACACAGAAGGTAGGCATTTGTGTGGCAGTCAGGAAATGCCAGGGCCTACTTAGTTTTCTTTCTGAGAGCTTGAAAGTTTAAACAAAAAGTTCAATGGATGAAAAAAGTTAACATACACGTCCCTAGGGTGCTGAAACTTAAAGAAAAAAAAGTCCGATTAATTAAATCCAAGCAATGAGTACTTTAAAAATTGACACTTTATCTGAGGCTTACAAACGGTTGCTGGCCATCCTCTTTTTCTGTATCTTCAATCACATGATGCATGAAGTCATTCTTGCTGCAGACATTTAAACAATGTAGATGAAGCAGGGTCCCCCTCGCAATCCTGTCCCCGGTACCACCGACCTTAGTCAACACTTGGCGTGCAGCTGGGTGGCACGTCGGGGGGTGCTCTGGCTCAGGTGAGGCTCACATCGCAGGTACGTGGGGAAGGAGGGGTAGGAAGGAACAGGGCCCAGACGGTGGTATGGTGGGTGCCCTGGGCACAGTCTTAAGCTTCTGCAGCTCCTGACACCTGGCCCCTCCCTGGGCCTCTCTGCTCTGCTGTCCCCTGCCCTGCAGCCCCCAGAAGGAGGTTCCAGTCAACCATCATGGGGTGTGAAGCCCTCTTCCTGGGTGAAGCTCATGGGTTGGCCTCAGAAGCCACTGGCTGGCCCGGAGAGCTACTGGGGGTTGTGGCAACAACAGTGTGTGTTTATAATTTTGTTTTCATTTCACTTCTGTGATGCCTTAGATTGAAAGTTGTATTAAGAAAGAACCCTAAGCATAAGGAATCTAATTTATGTTTGCACATATTTAAATAACATTAGGTTAGCAATCACAAATCAACACAGGACTCCACACTTTTTCTTCTTTCCAAGGGAATGTACACATGAGTTGAATTGGAGAAATCCTGAACTGCAGCAAACCCACTTCCCTGAGGATGATGACACTGTCTTAGGGAGTCAAAAACCAAGGGTGGCCGAGTGCAGAGCTGAGCCAGGTGATGACGCTGTCACAATACCCCATGCAAACCTCACTGGACTCCGCTTGTCACCTGGGAGGGCTGTCTTAGAAGCCCTACAGCCTTACCAACTCTCGAACTTTAGTAACAGGTCTTGATGAAAACCAAAAGCAAACAGTTATGTTTTCTTGCGAGTAATAGCAGACCATTTGTAGAAGAAGAAGTCACAAGGCTGCATTATTGGACATTGCCACACACCCAGGAGAGCCGCCAAGCCCTCAGTCTGTGAGGCTGTAGTGCTTCCTCTGTGTGGTGGCCTCGTCCGAGGCGCTGGCAGATGAAATGCTGGAATGGAGGAGGGGCCTCGGGCACACTCCTGCCCACCCCTGTGTGTGCCACCAGGTCATCTTCTATGAGCCCCGAGTCAGGCCAGTCACTTCCTCTCTCCAATAGAGAGCTCATGAGCTAATGACAAGGGCATTTCTAAGAAGACAAACTTAAACAAGAAGTCACAGCATATGCACTGATGTGCACATCTCCATAAACTTGCACCAGACACGTATGTATCAAGCCAGCCAGTGTGACAATGACTTGCATGAAATCGCATCCTAACCCAAGGGTGACGGGTTTGAGGGCAGCTGTCAGAGGACACCGCATGCTGAGCTGGTGCTGCAAATGTGGCCAGGGCACATGTGGAATGGAGGAGAGGTGTTCCTGCTGTTTTCCACCTTTCCAAAGGAGAGAGCTCACAGAGGCTGCTCTCAGCTACTTAGTAGAGCACAAACCTCTGCTGACCACAGGAAGATGGTTCTTCCTTTCTTTATTCTTTTCTGAAAACACATTCACCATGTTTATGTAAAAATTTACAAATATTTAAGTTAAACACAATCATTGTATTTAAGGGTGAAGATCAGTGAGACTGTTATGTGGCCAGCAGGTTGTTTTTGATGAAGTGTCTGCCAGAAGGTCCTTTGAAGCCCCCTGAGCTGTGTCTCCACTCTGCTTCAACTCCTTGTTGTTCTAAGAGTCAGCCCCACTCTAACTGCTGCATGTAGGATGCACAGCACAGCAGAGCAGCTTAAGCCACGTCCACGTGATGCCACGCAACACATCTGTACTGGGCATCTGTGTAAAATGCACGGTGAATTTCATCATATGCCTTGATTGTAGAATAAGCAAGATGTATTGACTTTATGTTCAATGTCCAAGTTTTTAAACAATGCTTTCTTCAGCCCTGAAAGGGTTCTGTCCTATTCCGGCAAGTAGGTATCAGCTGGGCCACCTAAAACACCAGCAATCATGTGATAGTCCAAGCTGACTCCTGGGATGGGTGACAGAATCAACCTCTCCCTCATCCTGTAGAGAGTGAGGCTGCAACAGGAGGGTCTGGGGCGTGGGACGCAGCCCCAGGAAAGGCAAGTGGCTGAGGCTGAGCATCTGTCGACTGTGGACTTGTGGATCTGTCACTTGTAGTTCCCTTTCTGAGTACACTGGCTGAACTCCAGGTGTGTGTAAATGTGGCAAAGTGACCAATCTGTGGATTTGTAAGAAATGTTAAGATTGGTTGGGAAAACTGTTCTATTTTTTATGTACATATCTGACCTAATTCTAGAATGCCCTTCAGACCTGCTCCCTCCCTTCCTGAAAGGAAGATCGAAGCCATCACTATGGATCTCCTAATTGCTGAAACCAAAGATCACATTTTCAGCCATTTTAACCTATGACTAATTATGGATCACTGGCATCTCAGGGACACCGCATGTCTTTCCTTGGGATGTGCCCTTTCTAATGGCCTGTGGTGCTGTGTGATCAGTTTTCTCCCTGCCCCTCTTTGTAGACTCACCCTTTCCAATAGACCCATGAGTGCTGGTGTTCCCAGGTTCTATTCTTGGGTCTCTACAAGATTCCTGAGTGGTGCCAGTCCCTGCCATGCCTGTGTCCAGCCTGACGGGCCTGCGCGCCTCTAGTGTTGGAAAGAAGCTGTGCCACTGCGAATACGGTGGTGTTTGCTCACCGTGCTGTGTAAGGCTAGATGCTTTATGGATACACATTCTCTTGTTTAATCCTGGGGGAGGTGTTATCCTCTCAGACACACGTGCAGATTCAAGGTGGCTGTCCTGCCCACGCCCTGTGCTAACAGGCGGCAGACACTGAGCCAAGACCTCTGGCCCTACACCAGCTGCCCAGCCATAGGGGTCCTCAAAGCTGTGTCTTTCTCCTCTGCTTGTGTCCTCCTCCCCTGCGTTTCCTAAGGTCATGCGGGAGGGTGGGGGGGGGGAGCGGAATCTGAGCCCAACTCAAGTCAGAAGCCTAGAGATCGTCCCAAGGCCCTCCTCTGTCACCTCCTATCCTCCCCTAGTTTCAAAGGCTCAGAGCTTCTCTAGAATTTCTAAACTGTATCATTCTCTTTGTGTCTCCAAGAACAGACCAGAGGACTCTTATCTAAGGAAACTGACAGCCCACCATGAAAGAGCTAAGAATTCTAGGATCAGGACTTCCCCAAGGACCCCATGACTGACAAGACAGCTGAAGGCCCAACCAGGCAGGCAGGTTTTTGGCCACCTTTTTAAAGCCCAGCTCCTACACAACACAAGACATTCAAGAATCACCAGGCATTGGAGGAAAAAACTGAAAATGAAAACAGACCGAAACAACCAAATAAACAGAAAAAGAAACTTGGTAAAAATAGTATCTACAAAGGACACTATGAAATAACAAAATAAAACTACTGACACAATTTCCTCAGAGATAGAAGACAAAGTGCTGCGGCCATGAAACAAAGACTTTCCAACAAAAAAGGAAGAGTCTGGGCTTTCACAATTTAGAAACAGTAAAATTAAAGAATTAATAGAAGGGATGAACGATAAAGTTGAGAAACCTTCCCAGAAAGTAGGGCAAAATGACAGATATTAAGAGAGAAAATATAAGATCATTACAGAACTATGATATAGTGTCTGACCTCTGAGAAGGGGAACAGAACAGATAAAATGGAGGGCAGAAAATCATCAAAGAAATCATTCAAGAAAACTTTTCCAGATCTGAAAGAAATAAATTAGCTTTATGTCACTGCTACCTTTGCAGACAGGAGCACTGGCAATGGGAGGTGGGGCTTGAGGGCTCTAGGGGCTGGGCCTCTCCCATGGGATCCTCTACTGGAAGCACCAAGAGGCTGGACTGCCAGGTGCCCCAGGACCACAGGGCAGCCACACTTGGGTCCTTTCAAAAGGAAGCTCACCCACCCCAACCTCCTTAAGAGTGGGGGAGAACACTTTCCTCACCACAGGTCAGAGTCACATACTCAAGCCTGTAGAGGGGAAATGACAGAGATGAGTTGGCAAATAAAAGACATGGAAAGTTGAAGTAAATGCAGTGAAATCTCAGTAATGCAAAATCTTGAACATTGGTTCTGAAGCGGAAGCTTCCAATATTGGGAAAAGATGGAAAGAGCTGTGTCTTTTAAGTGGAGAATTGGATGACAGGGGTAGGAAGCTCACTGACATAGAGGCAGCACACCAAAACCAGCTTCTACTGTGAAGGGAGGCTTAGCAGAAAGAGGCAAGACAGAAGGATTCTGGAAGAAGTTTCCAGAAAATTATAACAAGGCCACCTGGGAAGAAGTCAGACACCCTCCCACCCATTTTCCTCCTCCCAAGGATGCTAAGGATGGGACAGAAACTGTGGCGAAGACACCACTTGCACTTTCTGCTCAGGTAGGACGGTTTGATTGGACACTCTCTACAATAATGAGGCTAACAGTCAAAGATGAACTGAGGCAATCACACCGCCATCTGGTCAGGCCAATTTAAGTTGCTAGGATATGTGTTCTGTGATGGAAGGACTGAGGGGCCAAACTGAAAATTCTACAGAGTGCCCAGCATGGTAGGTAGAAACAAACCCACACTAAGGCCTCTCATCACAAAATTTCACACAAATAGGGACAAACAGAGGACCTTATAAACATCCAGGGAGAAAATATTGGTACAGAAAAGCATCGACAACCTGAAAAGCATCAGATGCCTGCCTGTAACAGTGGAAGCAGGGAGACAATGAGGCAATGCCTTCAAAATTCTAAGAAATTATTTCCAACCTAGAATTCTACAACCAGGTAAACTTTCAATTAAATATGAAAGTGTAATAAAGACATTTTCAGACCTGCAAGGCCTCAAAAACATATTCCCTATTCTCCTCTTTTCTCAGGAGAAGGAAATAAATCAAGAAAGAGGATTGTATGGGACTCAGGGCCCCAACTCCAGAGAGAGGGATAACAGCCACAGCTCACAAGGCAGGGTTGGGCCAGTGAGCAGAAGATATGTCGAGAAGATGAAATTGACAGGATACCTAATGTATAGGTATACTGAAATGAGATTTCTATAACTGAGAACTGAAATTATGATAAATGTATAGAAAACTAAATAAACCCACAGAAAAAAAAACAAGAATCTCGGGAAAAACAAATGATAAGTGAAAAAGTAAAAGTAATTATAATTATTTAGTTTAGCTGTGAACAGTGATTTCATGGAAATAGTACTATAAACTAAGTAAAATTAAAACCATTCGGGAGAACTGGGAAACGCAGTGAGATGAGAGGCAAGAGAGGAAATCCTTTGATGTCTATAGTGAGCACTAGAGGTAATTCCTAAAACAGAAAATAAAGACATAGCAATAGGAATATTATTTAGAAATACACAGATTATTAGGAAACAATCATCTGAAAAGCTGAAAGTATAAGTAGGTGTTTCTGGGAAACACAGAAAGGGACTGATGTGTTTTAAAAACAGCCTATAGAACTATTTGACTCTCTAAACTATGTGAATGTTTTACTTTGAAAAAATTAAACCTCAAATTAAAAAAGAGTAAGTAGGCTGGGAAATCAAGCTAATGAATTCTTGTAGGAGACAATGTTGAAACAGATGACATCTTTATACACTGTGAACCCAATAATGTAGATTAGTCAGTTGTTTCTTATGCATTTGTCTTTCAAATCATGTAGAAAATAAAAAGTGCAGTTACAAACCAAAATTATAATAATGCTAGCTTTTATAATTGCCCATATATTTATCTCTACTGGAGATTTTTTACTGCTTCATGTGGCTTCAAGTTACTGTCTAGGGCCCTTTCATTTCAACCTGAGCGATTTCCCTTTGGCATTTCTTGCACAGCAAGTCTAGTGGTAATGAACTCCCTCAGCTTATGTTTATTTGGGAGTGTCTCCTTCATTTTTGAAGGATAGTCTTGTCAGATAGATGATTCTCAGTTGACAGTGTTTTTTTTCTTTTGGCATTTTAAATGTATCTACCTATTGCTCTCTGTCCTCCAAGGTTGCTGATAAACTGGCAATAATTCTATTGAAGGTCCCTTGTAATCTCTCTGAGGAGTAACTTCTCACTCTCAGGATTGCCTTTGGTCCTCAATGGTTTGGCTATAATGTGTCTTGGTATGAGTCTCTTTCTAAGTTTATCCTAGTTGGAGTTTGTTGAGTTTCTTGGATTTGAAGATTTATATGTCTTTTATAAAATATGAGAAGTTTTCAGAATTATTTATTCTATTTCTCTCTCTCTTTCCCTTCTGAGACCCCTGAAATGTGTGTTGGTCCACTTGCTGTTCCCCAGGTTCCTTAAGCTCTGTTCACGTTTCTTCATTCTTCATTCCATTTCTCAGGCTCAATAATTTTCCTATTTTCAAGTTTGTTCATTCTTTATTGCCTGCTCAATACTTTATTGTTCTGCTTTTGAATTCCTCTGGTGAATTTTCATTTCAGTTACTGTTCTTTTCAGATCCAGAATTTCTTTTTGGATCCTATTTGTAATTTCTATCTCTTTATTGAGTTATTCTCATTTTGTTCATACATTTTCAATGGACTTTGTCCATGTTTTCTTTGAGCATCTTTAAGACAGCTGTTTTAAAGTCTTGTCTAGTAAGCCTGATGTCTAGGCTTCTTCAGAAATACTTTCTGCCATTTATTTTTCTTTGTTTGAATGGGCCATACTTTCCTGTTTCTTGTAGCCATGTGATTTTATTGTTGAAAAACAGACATTTGAATCTTATAACGTTGTACCTCTGGAAATCAGATAATCCTTCTCCCCTTGGGTTTGCTTTTTGATTGTTAAAGGGTGCCTCTGTGGTGAAGACCAGCCTGAGGGAAAAACTTCTCAGTTCTCTTAGGTCTTTTCTGAGCCTGTCACTGCCCTGGCCATGTGCTGTGGCTTTCTAAATTTTCCCTTATATATGGTTGCTCTTGAATGTCCTAATCCTTAAATGCCTGACTCCCAAAAAAGCGAAAACAAATCCACAGAAACCCACAGGTATTACTCCTTTAGATCCCATGGAAGGTGCTTTAGCCAGTGTGGGCAGAACCAATGGTGCCCAGTCTCTGTTCGAACTCAGTGATCCAAAGCAGCAATCACAACACGGAGCCCTGGTATTTGGAGAACAAGGTCCTTAGTGCTCATCCTGGCTCCAGCAAACTGCACCAGGAATGCGTGCATGGCTGTCTACCATGCACTTGGGAACCAGGCATCCAAAACTGATGGAAACTAACCATAACTTACCAGGCAAGCTTCCCCTTAGAAGCTGCAAGTTGTCAAGTAGACTCCCGAGTTCCAAAATAGTTACTTTGGATAGTTTCTGCCATTTTGTGCCATTTTTGTCTAGGTGGGGATATGGATCTCTGGTGCTTCCTGCTCTGCCATCTTCTCTGATATCATTCCCCTCCCATGAATTTCTTAAGGTAACACTTCTATTTCTAAAAGTAATTTTGGTTTAGATTTCCTCAGTAAATATTTTTAAATGGTGAGTCAATTTCTAAGTGGAAAAATGTTTGCTTTTTATCCTTTTGTTGTTGATTTATCATTGTATTTTTTTTTTTTTTGAAACAGAGTCTTGCTCTGTCACCCAGGCTGGAGTGCAGTAGCGCAATCTTGGCTGACTACAACCTCCGCCTCCCGTGTTCAAGCAATTCTCCTGCCTCAGCCTTCCGAGTAGCTGGGACAACAGGCGCCTGCCACCACGTCCAGCTAATTTTTGTATTTTTAGTAGAGACAGGCTTTCTCCATGTTGGCCAGGCTGGTCTCAAACTCCTGACCTCAGGTGATCCACCCACCTCGGCCTCCCAAAGTGCTGGGATTACAGACGTGAGCCACCGCTCCTGGCCTCTATTGTCTTAAGGGCAGAAAATAGGCTTGTGTGATTTCAGTAAATTGGCTTTTCAGTATTTTGATTGAGGTTTACTTTGGGGTCTACTACATGGTTAAATTTTGTGAACTGTCCATTTGTGTTTGAGAATATTAATAAAAAGGCATCTATTTGTTCTGTATATTTCTATTAGAATAAGCTTGTTTACTGACTTACTCAAATGTATGTCATTTCTTTTGGTTTACAAAATCTTTTGATTTCTGAGAGTGAAATGCATGTTAAGTGTCCTATTACTGGGTCTATTTCTCCTTGTATTTTGCTTGTAATTTTCATTTATTATGCCAGATGCATGAACGTTATGATAAAGACCTTCCTTTTATTATTTACTTTTCTTCTTTTAATGTGCATGCTTAACATTTTAGCATACATACATAAACTTACATTTTTCCAAAAACATCCAGATTTAATAAAAATTTGTATCCTTTCTAAGCAAGGTAAGAAATTTAGTATGCTTTTATTTTTCTTTTTACCTCATTGCCCTCATTCATCTCTTTCCTTGAAATAATATGGAAATTTAGTCTCCAATTGTTTGGCTTCTTCACTTTGGGTTAATAGTTGTTTAGCAATGACTGAAATTTTACTAATTTCTTTACTCAACATTGTTTCTCATTGTCCATGTATTCCCGTTAGATGTGCTCATTTTGCTATCCACTTTCTCTTGGAAAGGCTCTATGGGTCAAAGAATTTCTGATTCCTGAAAATGTGTTAATTTTTCCTTAGTGTAGAATGCTAATTTGGCTGACCTTAGGATTCTGGGCTCAGCATTATTTTTCTATAAAGGTAAAGAAACATGATGTGGCTGCTGGAGTGAGAAGCAGGTTGCAGAGGTTTTCTGTAAGATGGGGGGGACAGCATGGAGAGGACACCGCTGATGACTCAGGGGCAAGGGGCTGTCTGGGGCTGTCTGAGCAGCTGAGGGACCCTGGGTTCACAGCTGGAGAGACGGCCTTAGGTAGGGGCAGAGTCAGCTCATCCATGTGGTAGGTTAAAAAGTAGATACTCCCTCTGTTGTGGATTTGTCTGTTTCTACTGGTATTCTGTTTATGAATTCTGACTTGATGATGCAGATGCTTGAAGGCTAGCAAACAGGGCTGTGAGAACTTACAGAAAGCAAAGTTGTCACCTGTGACTGAGGACAGGAGTAGTGCTGGAAGGCTGAGCAGAGGACACGAACCAAGTATCTGAAGAGCGCAGGGGGAAGTGGGGAATGGCCACCGGGCAGTACCCAGGGCTCACTGGATTTAAGGTGGGACCAGTAAGGATGACTGTGGGATTTTCTCTAGCCACATTCTAAAAGCAGAGTTGGATTTAACCTAGGTGTGTGGTTTTACCACATAGATACAGTAAAATGAGAGAGGCAATGTAGTGTATATAAGAAAGTCACTTCCATTGACCACGGAAGTCAGCAGATAGGGTAGAACAGGTGAGGAAGGGACCAGGAATGATGACAGGCACTCGGCTGCAGTGTGCTGGGTCAATGCACCAGCTCCTGTCTGACGGAGGAATCACCATGTGCCAGAGGTAATGACCTGTGTGGCTGGAGAGTGAGTATTGGGGACTGAGATTGCGAAGGAGTTGAGTAACTGGTAATTACAAGGCCAAAGGTGGAGAACAAGATCACTGGGAGGGGACATCAAGGAACTGAGAGCAGGGCACCAGAAGGATTAGCTGCAGGATACTAAGGCTGCCAGAAATTATTACAAGAGTCATACTGGGAAGAGTGACAGCCAGGAACCCAAAGGCCAACAGGGAGGACTGGTGGGTGGCAAGGTTGGATGATGAGATTCCAAGTTTGTGGCTTTTATGGAGAAGGGGAAATGGTGTGTGCAGCAGACCATATTTTCCAAAAATGGCCATAGTAATACTTCTGGTCTCACATGATTTCCTGGGACTCTGTCCTGCTTGGCCAAGAGGAAGCAGCTACTTCATCTCTGAATTTGGACTGGTTTTTTTTTTTTTTTTTTGTTTGCCTTGATGAACAGGATATGGCAGAAGAGATGCTGGATGCTGTGACTTCGGAGGCTGGGCTATAAAGAGTAACATGGCTTCTACCTGGCTCTTTAGCCTTTGGAAAGCTTGTGTTCAGAATCCAGTTACCATCCAGTTATCAGTTAACTAGTCTTCAGGACCAATGAGAGGCTCACATGGAGAGACACAAGCCCCATCTAAGAGCCAGCATGAGCCAGATACAGGCGAGAACGAAGACTCGTCTGACTCCAGGTCTTCCAGCCAAGCCCAGACGTGGGAGCCGGGACAGGTGGTGCCTGCCATGCCTTGCCTGGACTCAACGCCCAGAATCTATGAGCACGATCGAATGGGTGTTGTGCACCACCACGTGCTGAAGCAACTACAACAGCCTGGAAACAGGCCAAGAATGTGAGGGGTGTCGGCTCTATGCACCGAGGAATGGGGGAAACACCAGCTTTCTGTGAGCAAGAAGGTGCAGGGAACGGTCAAAGAAGGGGTGGGTGATGGTAGATTTACGTGGAGTTTCAGGAGTCAGTGAAGGGAGACTGCCGAGCCGTGGCCATGGTGGCAGCAGGGAGATGTTTCTGGGGCAGGCTCACCCTTCCCCACATCCACATGCTGAAATGTCTTACAAATAATCAGAGAAATGTGAAAGTATATTAGTTATGAGTAATAAATATATTTTGCTTTATTTTCAATTTGATATATGGAAATTTCATCAGAAGACTTGACTGCAGTGTTACTTACAACTTAGAATGACAAAAAATTCAGCTCTCTGGTTTTTCAAAGGTAATAAAGATTATACTAACTCAATGGCTTAAATAAGAGCTTGTTAACCAAACACAAATATTTTACTGACAAACTAGAATTTAGGTATTATGAAGGAGAAAACAATTTTCACAGACACCCACTCTCTTAGTCTAAGGGATGAGGAATTTATTTCAAAGTTATACAAGTGCAAAGAAATAGATCTAGAAGCAGCAGGGGTTTCAAATGAGCAAAAATGGAAGAAATAGAAAGTTAATGTTTACTGACATAGGGAAATCCTCATAAGAGGAATGAAAAAAATCGATTTCCAAAGCTAGGAAAACATGTGGGTCCTACAAGACTTGCACGAAAAATAATTAGATGTAAATGTTCTTAAGAAGAAACCGAAGGGAGCGGTTAGGATATTTCAAATGTAAGAAATACAAATGTAATAAGATACCTAGAGACCATGTCCCTTTTTAATAAACACTCAGGATTTTAAGGAAAGATGATGCCTTGGAGCTCTGTGCCTTTGGCCCGTTGGTCAAGGTAATTCGTCAAGTGCAGGCACACAAACTGGCCTGCAAGCACGTTCAGGGGCTTATTTTGTTTTTAAAGAGCAACAACCAGAAGGAAATGTCTTTAGGTGCCAGGGGTGAGCACCTCCTAAGAACACGGGGCATCTTCAGAGCCATGGCATGGCCCAGCAGGAGCAGGGGTCACCACCAGCTTTTCTTCTCCTTTCTCAGGTGGAGACAGACATAAGTTCGAGGTTTCTGGAAGACGGCTGCCCACAGAGGGCTTGCCTTCTAACTCCTCATTTGAATCTTTTCCATCATCAATACCCTGGCCATTCCTTTTCCCACAGGTACAGCTCAGTACAATCTGGGGCTTAAAATTTCAATTCTTTGGTGACCTGAAGATTCTTCCATGAAAAGGATTACTCTGAACTTAATTTTTTTTTTTAACCAAAAGTCCTTCAATGCTCAGAGATAAAGAGGAACAAACGTGCCATTCACTTGTGGCATCATAAACCAGGCCTGATGGCAGCCCAGCCGCTGGCTGCTCTCAGCATGCTCTCTGTGGATTTCCTGTGTGACTGGATGGAGGGCCAGGCTTGTCTTCACAGGCACTGCCATAAAAAATCCTGAGCCAGGCCCTGGCAAAATGAAACGAAAGGGATGACCCCACAGAAACAGACACAGGAGTCACACACATGCTGTCATGTCTCCCAGGCAGAACCCTCCAGGCAGAATTAACTCTTCCACCAGAAAGATGGGAAGTTAGTTGTTACTTTTCTATTCAAACACTTCTGAGGACCAAGAGAACACATAGTTGGAAACTTATGTTTGATTAGAATTTCTGATTAGAAAAGAATTTCTGAAATATCCCCAGCTTCACTTTCTGTGGTTTCGGTTACTCATGGTCAACTGAAGTCTGAAAATTAAATTAAATGGGAAATCCGTTTTAACTTGCTCGCCATTGTGAATAGTGTGATGAAACCTTGTGCCTCCCGCTCTGTCATGCCCAGGACATGAATCAGCCCCTCATCCAGCTTCTCTGACCATTAGTCACTTAGTGGTCTTCTTGGTTTTCAGATAGCAAGAAGGGTGATTACAGCACGATATTTTGACAGAGACCACATTCACATAGCTTTTATTAGTTATTGGTTGCTGTTAATCTCTCACTGTTCTTTGTTAAGCTTTATCATGGTATGTACGTAGAGGAAAAAGCCAAGGTATAGATATGTAGGATTCCATACTATCCAGTCTCAGGCATCCACTGAGGGTCTTGGGATGTCTCCCCCGCAGATAAGGGAGGACTACTGTATAGTGTTTTCTGACTTTTTAATAACAGGAGATAACCCCTCATAATCTAGTGTTGCTAATAAAAAATCAGAATACAACAGATTCCCATTTATTTTAAAATGAAATTAGCTAGGCATCATATATATGAATGAAAGATCAGAATGAAACACATGAAGATGTTAACAATGATTGTTTTGGGCCACAGAATCAGGCACAAGCTCGGGAGAGAAGCCAACAAAAGCTCTTCTGCACAATGGGAGGGAGACACCATTGAAAAAGGCATCGTTCCTTCTTCATGCAAGCGAGGCCTGGCTCCCACAGGCATGGTCTCCTTGCAGCTGCAACAGCAGAGGAGGGCGCTGGCAGGGCTCTGCGTCCAGGTGTGCCTCTTTTTCTCTCCATACTCTTTCTGGAGGAAGCAAGAGTGTTTTGAAACCAAGTTAACTCGGCACCAGGTCAGCAGGATTCAATATCTGAGTTCTGTTTACTTTGGTACTTGATATGGAAGATTTATGTTATTAAGACAGACATGTGACTGATTTCTTCTGGAGATGCAGGTGATGAACTTACCTGGAGGTTGACTAGTACCTTCTCCACTGGTCATGCTCATACTGTCTGCTTCCTGCAGTAAACAGACATGAAAACCAAAGTAAGAATTAAATCTCTCTCAATACACAAACAAGAATGCTGCACATTTCTAAGTATGAACAAAGATGCTGAGCTGTATTTGGAGGACACAGCTTTATCCTCTTTACAGTTGTGGCCACATGCCATTAAAACTGTGTTCCATAATTATTCCATTAAAGTGGAAGCAATTAATTAAGAGGTTCGTGGAAGGAAACAATGTCAAAGTTGTTCCTCTTCACACCAGCTCCATCCATCTGCGTGATTTCTAGGCATTTACTATTGCTGACGACTTTTGGAAATGGAAATTCACATGCAGATGGCTCACCATGGACGTTCTGCCAACACAGAAAAGCCCACGTGCAGCTCTTTCTGCGGCTGGCCCAGCCTGGGTGGCTACTGTCTGCCTTTCTGATAGACAGGGAACGTTGGGAAGAGACTCGGGGCAGAACCTCCCTACTAGTAGCAAAAACGGTGACAGTTTTTCACATTTTAAAAATAACACTTTTCTTCCAGAGTTCCCTGCTCTGAGTTATCTTCTGGTGTATGACGGCAAGAGCCTTCACTTGCCGTGACTGGGGATGGTCTCCATGCCTCTCCTCTGACCCACTCCTGCCGTGGGCAGCCTGGGTCTCTCCCCTCCCCCAAAAGTGTGGGCTCCGGCAGAAGGTGTGAAAGGAGAGGGCTACAGCCAAAGTGAGGTTTCCAGACCCTTGTTACTCTGCCCCCACCCTTGTTACCACAGATGATCACAGCAGTTTTATGGCAGGCCTCCTACAGAATCACCACAGAGAAGTGACAATCTGGAAAATCACAGGCAAATTGTAGCTATGGACTGTGGAATTTAACACGTCATCTCTTTCCAGCGGGGCTGAGCAACAGCAAGGAAGAGGTTAAAGCCTTCTCACTTGAGCAGCCTTTGTTCTCGGGGCAGCTGCCTGCACTGAGCTCTGAGGCCTTTGAAGTGGACCAGAGAGTTCAGGCCAGGCTCCCCAGGACCCCCTACCTGTCCACACACTCAGGCTCCAGAAACTTGACAACTTTTGGCAGTGACTGAATACTTTCATGAAGAGGCATTTTTAGTTTTTTTACTAACACAAGAAATTTTACCTATCAATTGCCCTGGAAATAGTGACAACTTTCTACTTGAACTACTTTAATATCTTCAAGAAATACCAAAAGAGGAGTTGAAGGTAGGCAAAACCCAGGAGAAATGTGCTGCCCCAAACTCCCTCACAGTAATTACAACTGAAAAGGTGGATTACTTGGTCTGAAAAGCAGATTCCAGTCCTGATGAGAGCAGTGTGTGTGCATGTGTGTATAACATACACTTTATACTGGAATCTCTGAAATTAGAATACACACAGGCACCACTAATATCACTTTTGTAACTACTTCCGCATGGAAGGCAGAATGCAAATGAAATATAGCATCCTTGCTTCTGTCTTGCAAGAACGGCTTAATTTCTCCCACTCTCATTCCTAAACTCTTAAATCTGACACAAACTCAGCATTTAACATCTCAATTTTGCCTTTAACCTAAGAGTCTCCCAGAGCTACTTTCTGGCCCCAAACCCACACGCATCACCACTCTTTGATTTCTGTGTTACTGTTATGATCTACTCCAATAAAGCAGGGATCTTCTTCAAAGACCTATTTATGAAACTAGGGCACAGCCTTGAAGTGGTGTTAGGCTCCAGCTGCTGAGGTCATTACAGTTTTATTGTTTCTAAGTGACCAGAACAGAAGTGGTAAAACATGCTCCCTTAGGCCTTGCACCCAGACTGACAAACATTCCTTCGAGTTCCAAATCATTCCTGAAATTCAAAGTGGTCCTGTAGGTGGTGAGAAGGGAACCCTACACCTGGAGTTCACGCCATGTAGCCCAACTGTCTCCTCCTTTTTCTGGAGGGCTGTGGGCTCCGCAGAGCCCGGGAGAGCCCACTTCACTTAATAGTGACTTAGGAACGAGGCGACAGAGACAGGTGTGGAGCTGCTCTCCTGGTCACGCGTGCTTCACTCAGCAGGGCCAGCGTGCCCGCACTGCTCCTGTGCCCACTGCTCACATCTCCTCCGTGCTCCTTTCTGGGTCAGGAAGAGCTACTAACTCACTTTGGTTACTTGGCTTTTTATTTATATTTGTCAATGACATCCTAAAGAAATGTATGTCAGAAATGAAGCTTGTGCTAAAGTGGTACTTACAGGTGTGCGTACTAGATTTAAAAGCAAATTACTGGGCATGCTATGGAAAGCTTGGCAAAATGCAGAGTCTAGGGAGGACCTCTGCCACCCCCACAGCCTTGCGGACCAGCTCAGGGATTCGGGAATCTACAGGAAGCAAATATTAAAGCAAGACTAGATTTAATATTTAATATTTAAGAGGGCGCACAAACAGGGGCCTTCGTCTGCTGAGCCTGCCTCCTTAGGTCCATCCTGGGACGTGCACAGCACCCTCAGCAGTGGGAACACAGCAAAGATGATGAGGGACTGAAGCGTGGGACACGCAGGGTGCAGGGCCCACAGAGCCCAGGGCGCAGGGAGTCCTGAGGGAGGATGGCATGTTCGGGGAAGAGAGAGTGCCTCTTGGGGAGGCCTGTGGCCACTCATGCATCCAAAGCCACACAGATGCAGGCTGCGGAGGCAGCCCTGGGTTGTTTACTACAGGCTGAGTAACCCCTTTCTGAAATGCTTGGAACCAGAAGTAGTTCAGGTTTCAGATTTTTTTCAGATTTTGGAATATCTGCATTATACTTACCGGGGTTCAGCAACCCTAATCTGAATATCCGAAATTCCAAAATGCTTCAAGGAGCATTTCCTTTGAGTGTCCTGTTGGTGGGCAAAAATTCTGGACTGTGGAGCATTCTGGATCTCAGACTTGGGATACTCAGCCTGTATAAATTTTCTGCTTCCTATCAGTAGCTTATACTATTACAGGCAGAAAGAAGTAAGAAATAAGCACTCCTGGAGATACTGGCGGTGCCTGTCCTGGCTCCTGCAGGGGACAGCGGCCTTTGCTCCCTCCCTCCCTGCTCCCTGGCCCTTTCTGTCAGCTTCTATCCTCAGAGCCTCTCTTCTCTGCCAGCTTCTGGACGGCCTCCTTCTCCAGCTCAGTCCTGATGGGACACTGCCTCTGTCTGTCTCCTGCCAGCCCCCCATGTCCTGTCACCCCCAAACCTGTGTCCATCTGAGGGCTCTCTCCTCACCCACACACCAGCTGCTGAATGCCACTTGGAGACCCCTCAGGCTTAGCTCAGCCTGCCCCAAGGAGCTGCCATCAGGCAGGACGAGGAAACCATGGTGGCCTCTGGACTTCTGGCAAGACCGGGGCGACTGGGGGGTTCCTGTTACTGGATGGCCGAGGGATCTGCTGCAGAGGCACACAGGGTTCCAAGAGTGAGACTTTCCCCTGGCAGGGACCCAGGGCTGAGGATGACTAGCTACAATTCCGCCTATGGAAAGTCATTATGCTGTTTTAATTTGCATGAGGATGAGAAATTTCTGGACACTGTTCTCTGCTAACAGAATCGGAAGAAAGCTGCTTCCTGTCAATCCAAGGAAGGGGGTTCTTTTGGTCTAGTTTAAAGATGCTCCTGTAGTCTCTGTCGTCACATGAAAGAAAGAAGCCAATGTGCATGGCATCCTTCCTGGCACTTGACCTGGGGGCCATGCTCTGGGGGAGCCCTGGGAGAAGCAGATGGCTCTGCTCCCGCCAGGCCACACCTGCAGGCTTTGGTGATGTTCCTGCTTCACTTCATTCTGCAAGAACAGCGATACTGAGGTAGGACGGACATTGCTTTATTTTTAACAGAAAAAACTCTTTAACAAAATAGTTTGACATAAATATTAAGAGAAATGTTAGAATTAATGCCAGGAAAGGAAAAACTTGGTTTTGGAAGAAGTGGCCACGATCCCCTCTGCCTGGATGCTGGTGCTGTGGAGGTGCCGTCCCTGCAGCCGGTCAGGCCACACTGATCAGAAGCCAGGGAGCAGCCCAGTGGTCCAGGGATCCCCTAAGGGCAGGCCACTGGGAAGGGGCAGAACCAGCGCTTGAGACAAAGTCAGCCTGTCTGAAGCTACCACAGCAGGCCGCCTCTGGAAGAAAATGAAAGAAATAAAGAAAAGCCTGTGACTCTTATCATTCCCAGAGGAGTCAGTACCAAACAGGTCCCACTCCACCTGCCTTCTGAGATCAGGGCAGGATGGGGCATGTTCTTGATGATACATCTGTAAATGACATAGTTCTACCTTCCCCACTCACTCCTAAGGCTTATGACATAGTTCTACCTTCCCCACTCACTCCTAAGAGTTATGACATAGTTCTACCTTCCCCACTCACTCCTAAGGGTTATGACATAGTTCTACCTTCCTCACTCACTCCTAAGGGTTATGACATAGTTCTACCTTCCCCACTCACTCCTAAGGGTTATGACATAGTTCTACCTTTCTCACTCACTCCTAAGGCTTATGACATAGTTCTACCTTCCCCACTCACTCCTAAGAGTTATGACATAGTTCTACCTTCCCCACTCACTCCTAAGAGTTATGACATAGTTCTACCTTCCTCACTCACTCCTAAGAGTTATGACATAGTTCTACCTTCCCCACTCACTCCTAAGAGTTATGACATAGTTCTACCTTTCCCACTCACTTCTAAGAGTTATGACATAGTTCTACCTTCCCCACTCACTCCTAAGTTATGACATAGTTCTACCTTCCCCACTCACTCCTAAGGCTTATGACATAGTTCTACCTTCCTCACTCACTCCTAAGGGTTATGACATAGTTCTACCTTCCTCACTCACTCCTAAGAGTTATGACATAGTTCTACCTTTCCCACTCACTTCTAAGAGTTATGACATAGTTCTACCTTCCCCACTCACTCCTAAGTTATGACATAGTTCTACCTTCCCCACTCACTCCTAAGGCTTATGACATAGTTCTACCTTCCTCACTCACTCCTAAGGGTTATGACATAGTTCTACCTTTCTCACTCACTCCTAAGGGTTATGACATAGTTCTACCTTCCCCACTCACTCCTAAGAGTTATGACATAGTTCTACCTTTCTCACTCACTCCTAAGAGTTATGACATAGTTCTACCTTCCCCACTCACTCCTAAGAGTTATGACATAGTTCTACCTTTCTCACTCACTCCTAAGAGTTATGACATAGTTCTACCTTCCCCACTCACTCCTAAGGGTTATGACATAGTTCTACCTTTCTCACTCACTCCTAAGAGTTATGACATAGTTCTACCTTCCCCACTCACTACTAAGAGTTATGACATAGTTCTACCTTTCTCACTCACTCCTAAGAGTTATGACATAGTTCTACCTTTCCCACTCACTTCTAAGAGTTATGACATAGTTCTACCTTCCCCACTCACTCCTAAGTTATGACATAGTTCTACCTTTCTCACTCACTCCTAAGAGTTATGACATAGTTCTACCTTCCCCACTCACTCCTAAGAGTTATGACATAGTTCTACCTTCCCCACTCACTCCTAAGAGTTATGACATAGTTCTACCTTTCCCACTCACTCCTAAGAGTTATGACATAGTTCTACCTTTCCCACTCACTCCTAAGAGTTATGACATAGTTCTACCTTTCTCACTCACTCCTAAGGGTTATGACATAGTTCTACCTTTCCCACTCACTCCTAAGTTATGACATAGTTCTACCTTTCCCACTCACTTCTAAGAGTTATGACATAGTTCTACCTTCCCCACTCACTCCTAAGAGTTATGACATAGTTCTACCTTCCCCACTCACTCCTAAGGCTTATGACGTAGTTCTACCTTTCTCACTCACTCCTAAGAGTTATGACATAGTTCTACCTTCCCCACTCACTCCTAAGAGTTATGACATAGTTCTACCTTCCCCACTCACTCCTAAGAGTTATGACATAGTTCTACCTTTCCCACTCACTCCGAAGAGTTAAGACATAGTTCTACCTTCCCCACTCACTCCTAAGGCTTATGACATAGTTCTACCTTTCTCACTCACTCCTAAGAGTTATGACATAGTTCTACCTTCCCCACTCACTCCTAAGAGTTATGACATAGTTCTACCTTCCCCACTCACTCCTAAGGCTTATGACATAGTTCTACCTTTCTCACTCACTCCTAAGAGTTATGACATAGTTCTACCTTCCCCACTCACTCCTAAGAGTTATGACATAGTTCTACCTTTCCCACTCACTCCTAAGAGTTATGACATAGTTCTACCTTCCTTATTGACTCCTAAGAGTTACACTTTACTAATGTCTCACCCACCATTCAATAAATAGAATAGAAAGTCACAGAATTCCAGAGCTAGAAAGGACACTCAAGGTTATCCAGGCCAGATGCCTGATGGAAAGGTTTCAGTGCGTTGCCTGTGGCGATGAGTCCCATCAGTGGGAGGCCTGATGGCACACTCTTTACAGTTTCCTCTGTGACAGGCAGGCACACCTGTCTGCAGAACCCGTAGCCTCTTTCCCATCCTCCCATCTGGACTGTGGACTCTCTTGACTATCCCCTCTCCACCTTCCTGAGGCCCAGGGGGAAGAAAGGGGGCAACCCCAAGCCAAAGAGGGTAAGCAGAAGGTCTCCTTTCTTACCACGAGGCTAGGAGTAGGGGACATGACAGCACGCCCTGCCCAGTCAGTCTGCCCGAAAGAGAGGCTGTGGCTCTTCCCTCCCCTGCCAGCCTGCCTTACTGGGTCAGGTGGGTTCTGCTGAATCCTCACCTAGAGGGGCCAACAGCTTTCATGTCATCAAGGTTGGCCTGGCATTTACGGCCAGGCTGGTCACGGATCTCCAGGGTGGGAAGGTGTGGATGGATGAGGCTGGGATGCCCGCTTCACCCAGTAGCTTTACTCCACATCAGTCAACACCAATATTTCCGACATTACTAAACCCTAGATCTAGACCAAGCTGTGTGCCATCATCAGCTGGATGTGGTCGGTCTGCAGACCTTGAGCATTTCTGCGGGATGTGGTCAATGAGGTCTCACCACCTGCTGCAATCACCTGGGTCAAGCTTCTCGGTCGGGGTGGACTCCAGATTCACACAGAGCTGCAGGGCCCTCCAAGTCTAGCCCACCTGACCTCGTGACAGCTCCGACTGGCCCCTCTGCCCCCAAATCTGGCCCACAGGCATCTGGCATCAGCTCCCACCCTCTCATCAGGCCTTTGCTTAAATATCACCTTGTCAAGGAGATCTCAGATTTGCTATTTCAAGCAGCAGAGAGAGTGAGGGAGGGATGGAGGGGGAACATAAGCTCTACCCACCCATTTGGACCTAAGTGCTCTGCACACGCTCACCTTCCTCTTGGGAGCACCCTCACCATGGCTCATGTGAGGAAGGCCTCTCATCCCAAAGACTCAGAAGCCCAGACCCTGCACTCTTCCCAAGCAGCCCTAATGTGCACGGCCAGCTGCAGACAGATCCGCCAAGTCAGGGCTGTAGGCCCCCAGCCCACGGGGAGCCCCCAGGACAGGCATTGAGCTCTCTACACACACACGACCTCAGGGCTGCAGTCTCTGACCTGAAAGCAGACTCTTAACCAGGGTGGAGAAGCTAACTGGAAAGCCACAGCACATGCATCACACAGGACTGCACCCCAAGGCCAGAGTCGCCTAGGGCAGCGGCAATGGCCCAAAGCACCAGGCTTCAGTCTGAGTCTACGTAAGTTTACAAAACCCCTCCCATTGTTTTTGGGTTCCCTGTTTGTGGTTTACTCCAATCAACTGCAGCACCTTCTAAGTTAAAAGCAATCTCAAATATCCTTGCACAAATGGAAGGTCTTTTGCCCAGATCTCAGTTGCCCTGCACTGGTATAAATACTCGGATGATTTAGTTAGTGACGAAGTGGAAGTGACCCTTATGTTTACACTGTAGTAGAGACCATGAAAGGATGGACTGCACGTGTTCAGTGGGGCCATCTGGAAGCTCCACATGACAGTGACTGCACGACTCGGTGGGGTTGAGTTTCTGCAGGTTAAGCTCATTCAAGGAAACATCTCAAGCAAATGTAAATCTAAATTCCTGGAGCTCTCTCAAAGATGGGCATTAAATTCATGGAGCTCTCTCTCAAGGATGGGCATTTCAAAAACATTCACCATCAATTCTCATCTACAGTCAGCAATACAGTGGACTCGCAATGTTTGCTGACTGTACAGACCCAAGAGGAAAGGACACGGTACTCAACAGATGTGCGGCCCCGCAGCCTCCATGCAGACTCCACCCGAGACAGACCCCAAAGGTCAACTGGATTCACACTGAAGACTTGCTGTGTTTTAGGGAATAATTTGAGCAGCTTGCGAAGTCTCTACACATTTTAGACGTTGTGAAAGTCACAGATATCATAAATCAAAGGCTGATTTGGATTTTAAGGGATTAAATGATAAATATTAGGTAATTTCAAAGTTTATAAAGTTTGGCTCTCAAAACTATACGGAATTTGAGCTCAAATACTGATGTGAAGTTCTCGATGTATTTAAATTCAGCACGATACATGCATTAAAACAGCATCTGTACAACATATGTAAAAAACAAAGGGTTGGGGCTATTTCCTACCTCACACTGTAATCCAAGTCACGGAAAATATCAGAATCCTATTACCTGAATGCAGCTATTGGTGAAACACTATAACCTGTCCTTTTTTCATGAGAACAATGGATCTTCCACATGTAAACTTTACAAGTACCTTCTAGCAAGTAAATTACAAAAACTGGATCTTGAGCAGAATGAACTGATAGAAAATGAATAAAGTGGCCAGATGCAGACAGGGCTAGCATCAACCATGGAAATTATTTGTCTTTATTTCACTAAATGATAAAAATTAGATGCATTGGTATATTTATCTGTTTATTTACTGGAACTATACAACCTTTCTGAAACAGAGGAAGGCAGTTATCAGCAAAAGCACAAGGTGAGAGGCAGTGCCATGCAGGTGGCCCAGCAGAGTGACCACTGGCCTTCTTACCTGGTCCCTGGTCTCTCCACGGCTGTCCCTGACTGGAACGGCTATACCCAGAGCCCGTCCTGTGGTAGCTGGAGCCCTGTCTTCCCCACCTCCCTGTGGGAACACATAGTCAGAAGATTAGTAAGTTGTCAAATGTCTTAACCCAAATGACACAGCATGTAAAGGGTGGCAAGGCAGCACCAGGTCAGCAGTATCCCCGTACTTAAATCAGAGGGAGGGTCATGAAAAAACGCAAATTTAAGGGTTGCATCCCCAGAGAACCCGGCTCAGGAGTGGAGTCACAGATCTGCGTGTTAAACCCTACCCCAGGAGAATCTGGTATTGGTGGTGAGAGGTCGGACTCTGCAAACAAAGACTTGAGCAGCCCAACCACTCCTCTTCCCTGGGGCCCCCTGGACCCATGCAGGCCATGGCGCCCATGACCAAGCCCATCCCTCTAGGGCCCTGGTTGAGGCATGGAGCAGCACTTCTGGGACTTGTGAGCTTCTCCCCATTCTCCACAAACTTCACTCACACACACTTTTCGTGCTTTAAAATTTCCATAACTTCCCAGTCCATGACACCTTGTCCTGTTTGTCTCTACTAGAAGGCCTGATTACATACAAACTCATGTGATTTTTTAAAGGTATCGTGATAGTCCATGGTGCTCCACAAAGAAGGCCCAGGCCGTCCAGCCCTGCCATGGGTACTGTCCCTGCTCCACAGGTGCACTGGAAGCATCCGCGAGGTGGGCCACACTGTGACCAGGACTCCCAGTGCGTGACCACACATGCAGTGTGCAGGCCACCTGGGGCTTTAGCTATGAGGGAAGAGTGGCCTTGCAGGGTGTGCCTCCACCAGGCTGGTCCTCCCTGGACATGCTGCGGTGTCCACGGAGGCATGGCCTTGTGCTGACATGCTGCGGTGTCCACGGAGGCGTGGCCTCGTGCTGGCATGCTGCGGTGTCCACGGAGGCGTGGCCTCGTGCTGGCATGCTGCGGTGTCCACGGAGGCGTGGCCTTGTGCTGGCATGCTGCGGTGTCCACGGAGGCGTGGCCTTGTGCTGGCATGCTGCGGTGTCCACGGAGGCGTGGCCTTGTGCTGGCATGCTGCGGTGTCCACGGAGGCGTGGCCTTGTGCTGGCATGCTGCGGTGTCCACGGAGGCGTGGCCTTGTGCTGGCACATGCTCCTGGGCTGCCCTCAGGACCAACCCCCTTGTCTGGGGCCCAGATACAGGTCCTGAACTAACAGATTTCTCATCACATCACCTCAAAAAACTTCAAAACCTCCCCAGTATGAGGTGGGTAGAAAAGCCACGACTTGCCTGGCATTCAGCAGCCTCTGTGGTCTCTAAGGCTGACTCACCTTCCCCAGTGTCCTCCCATTGTGGTGTTTTACCCCAGTCTAGCTACTGAAAGTCCCCCAAGACCCACCTTCCTGCCGTGATGTCATCCCTTTGTGACTGCTGCCCTTGTCTCTGAGCTACTGGTCTGCAGGACTGGTGACATGCTCCTCACATCTGGCCAGGGTCAGCCCGTGTGTGCTCATCTTACACACGTGGTCTCCAGCTCACCTCCAGCATGAGCACTTGTGACCACACACTGAGAATAACAGGTGACTCCAAGCTTGGAGCAGTTGTGAGCTCACAGCTGTCAGCTTGGGTCCAGAGGCCAACACACCGAGTAGCTTGGTGTTGCAGTGGCCTGGCTGTGCGGCCCGTGGAAGCAGACAACGGCAGTCAGGACTGCAGGGCCCTACCACGTCCCTACAGCCCTTCCCCAACACAGGAGGTGCAAGCTCAGCATTACCCAAGAACATGGGGCTGGGGCCAAGCGGTGGAGGCTTCAGTCTAAGTTCTGCAACGAAGAATCAGCTTGGTTTTGGGTGAGCCATGTGGGGCATAAGGTTCTTCAGCAAAATGAGGGACTGAACCATAGAACCTTAAGTTGGATTTGTGAAGAAAATTACTTTGAGAACAAAAAAGGGAACAGTTTCCAAATCACGAAATGATCTTACTAATCTATCATAGCTCTTAAAATGTAGTTCGCCTCATTAATGGAATAATACAAAAGGAAAATGTAGTTTGCCTCATTAACTTGGAATAATATGACAGGACACTGATTTCTGCCCATTTGTATGCAGACTTCATTAGAAAATAGTCAAAATTTAGTTTCTATAAAAATTGTAAGTACCACTGTACCACACTGCATTAGACTAACAGGTCATCTTTAGTGCTCAAAATAAACTTGTCCTGCAGGACCTCATGGCCTCTGAAATGAAAGAGGAGTTTGGCCTGACAACCGCCACGCCTACTGCCACCTAAGCAGCAGCGTCCAGCATCTGCAGGTCTCTCAGCCGCTTGTCATGGCTTCGCTGACAACCTCAGTCTGGAGAGGAGAGGGAACCCTGCAGGACTGTGTATGCAGTGCAGACTTTTTTTTTTTTTTTTTTGTAAAGACAGGGTCTCGCTATGTTTCTCAGGCCAGTGTCAAACTCCTGGCCTTAAGTGATTCTCCCACCTCAGCCTGCCAAAGTGCTCAGATTACAGGTGTGTGCCCAGCCACGGCGCAAACTTCTGAGGACCTACTGCCAACCAGGTAAGGAAACAGGCAATGTGAGAGAGTATCACACATTTATTTTGCAATAAATCAACTTTGTTTTGGGGGTCTCAATCTCTGTCTATCTATAGTTGGTGGCAGAAAGTCAAAAGATGGAGAAAAGGATTGGGAACAGTAGAAAAAGCAGCCTTCCCTCTCATGGTTGGACATGGCTCCACACACCCTGGCTGCTCTCCCTTCATGGGGTGCTACGCACGACACCTGGTGGGATCTGGGTGCATCTGAGGCGGCTACTCCCCCCATGACACGAAACCTCTGAGAATGGTATTTGCAAGGCTGACACCAAGTAGTTCTCCTAGAGATAGTCTGGGTGGATAAGAATCTGGGCTGAGTTCTCCTATTCCATCAAGAAAAATAATGGGACTGCAGTAGTTACAGGTGTAAACATGAACTGAAGGAGGGCATGAAAGAATAATTAAAAAGTCTCATTAACAAAATAAACTAATAAGATATCTAACTTCACTGACAGACAAAGCAGCATTCAATCAATGAGATAGATTTTTCATCTACCAAATTGGTTTTTGAAAACCAGCGGATCACGAGGTCAAGAGATTGAGACAATCCTGGCCAACATGGTGAAACCCCTTCTGTACTAAAAATACAAAAATTAGCCGGGCGTGGTGGCACAAGCCTGTAGTCCCAGCTGCTCGGGAGGCTGAGGCAAGAGAATCGCTTGAACTCGGGAGGCGGAGGTTGCAGTGAGCCGAGATCGAGCCACTGCACTCCAGCCTGGGCAACAAGAGTGAAACTCCATCTCAAAAAAACAAAAAGCAAAAAACCCCCAGACTTTTAGAAGTGTCAAGGGTACCCTGAAACGGAAACTCTTGCTCACTGCTGGAGAAGGTATTCAGTGATCATTTACCTAAAATTGATTATATTTCAATCTATGATTCCACAGACAATGATATTCTGTTTGAAGAAAATAATAATAATACACATACAAGCATTAGGAGTAATGAGAAAAAAATGGAAATACCCTCAGAGCTCCAAACAGGGGAACAAGCTATGTAGTAGTGGAAGATTCTGTGGCCGTTGTTTAAGAAGAACGGTGTTAACGCCCTAAGTTAAGTGCTAAGTGGGAAAGCAGGATGCAAACTGCATGGAGTGTACTCACAATGAGATGCAAACACAGAAAACCTTGGCAGAAGCTCGTTGTCTTTATGTGATAGAATTAAAGGCCATGTATATTTCCTTTTTAATTACTTTCTTTATACTCATTTTTTATAATATACTTTTATCATAAGAAAAAATAAACCTAAACTCTTGTCAAATAAACAAACATTACCTAAGCAGCTGTTCCACTTTGGGGAACCCTAGAAAGGAGGTTACACATGCAGAGAAAGAGTTCTTCATTATTTAATTAATGAGCGAATCCTTTCTGAGAAATTTTCCTGCTGGGACCAGAATTTAAACCACTGGGTAGAGATTTTAATACTTTTTTTTTTTTGAGATGGAGTCTCGATCTGTCACCTAGACTGGAGTGCAGTGACGTGATCTTGGCTCACTGCAACCTCCACCTCCCAGGTTCAAGTGATCCTCCTTCCTCAGCCTCCCAAGTAGCTGGGATTACAGGCGCCCGCCAACACGCCCGGTTCATTTTTGTATTTTTAGTAGAGACGGGGTTTCACCATGTGGGCCAGGCTGGTCTTGAATTCCTGACCTCAAGTGATCTGCCTGCCTCGGCCTCCCAAAGTGCTGAGATTACAGGCGTGAGCCACCGCACCCGGCCCTATCATTTAAATTCTATTCTGTTCATCCAATTATATCAGCCTCTTCTTAGAATTCATTTATCAACAAAACTCAGGAAGCAGTTAGGGTCTACGCTTGTGGGGCTTCTAGAGGCACCTGGCCCTTTCCCACCTGCGTGGTGTGAGCCCCAGTGGGCTCGGCCAGTGATGCGTCTGTTCTCCTTCATGCAGGCCTTGCAGACGACTGCCTTCAGGTTGTGGAATTTGGTGAGCCGAGATCTCTGCAAACAGACCAGATGCAAATGAGATGTGAGGGGCCAGATGTGGCAAAGTAGGGCCAGATGTGGCTGGAAGGAAGCTTAGGGGACACCCTTCCACACTGTTCCCAAGGCGAGGCAGCAATGGTGGCTGCACCCTCCTCCCAGACATGAACCGCAGCACAGTTCTCCTTCAGCATGACCACATCCCAAGAGGTTCTTCGAGAACATATTCTCCTAAATCCCCCAGAAAAAGAACACCAAGCAGCTTCTGTAGGTTAAACAATCATTTCTAAAAAAGAATCTTCAAGTCCTATTACGACAATTTAGGTGATTACCACACAATCTTACCTTAAAAAGTGTTTGGATTTAATATATCTTAATCTTTCGATTCTTAATTATAAGAACATTCAGCAGAAATGCCAACGTCAGAAAAAAAACAAAAAACAAAAAACAAAACAACATCAGCAGATCAAGAAATGGAACATGGAACATTCAACCTTTCCTTCAAGCTTCCTGTTTTATTGTTGAATATTCTATCCTATACTTTTTTTTTTTCCCAAACTAGAACGTATAATCACTTGGAACTTGGTCAAGAGATTGGATAAAGAAAGGAAAAGATCCTTGATGGAATGACTTACAGGCTACACTAAGGCTACTTTACCTTTCATTTCTACAGTCTACTTTCCAATACTTATTGGCTTATTAGAAGCACATTTCTCCTCTTGTTCTGCTTTTGCTCTCTATAAAATTCAGGCTGCTTCTAAGTTCTAAATACTTGCAGTCCTATGCCACTCTGGAATCTGTGTGTGTGTATGTGAGGAACAGTGATGGCAACACATTACCAAATGTGTTCTCTCCGCTATGAAAGCTTGGAGTGCTTTATCGTGACAGACCGGTATGCTCTCTCACGGATCACACCGCTTTTCTCATCCCTGCGGGTATTAAAACACATTCCAAATGAGCTTGGCTTGAGGCCTTACTTGGAAATCTTCCAGGAGTCATGTAGCGATTGTATTTATTAAGCTGGACAGCAGCCAGCGTCCCCAACTAAATTGGCAGCCTTTGGGGAGTATTTTCAAGTAATAAATCATAACTACACCTATCAGATTAGTCTGATATCTGTGGGGCACTTTTGCAGGGAGTATTAGTTCCTCATTAAAAAATAGGGAGAGGGGCTGGTCGCGGTGGCTCACACCTGTAATCCCAGCACTTTGGGAGGCTGAGGCAGACGGATCACTTTGAGCCCAGGAGTTCAAGACCAGCCTGGGCAACGTGGAAAAACCTCACCTCTACAGAAAATACAAAAATTAGCTGGGCATGGTGATGCGCGCCTGCAGTCCTGGCTACTCAGAAGGCTGAGGAGGGAGGATCACTTGAGCCCAGGAGGTGGAAGTTTGCAGTTAGTGGAGATTGCACCACTGCATTCCAGGCTGGGCAACAGAGCAAGACCCTGTTTCAAAAAAAAAAAGTATGTGTATTACATATATGTGTGCGTGTGTGTGTGTGAGAAATGGGGAGAGGAGTGAAAAGCACTTCAAAAATTAAAAATGTGTCAGACTGGGTGTGATACTGCTCGCCCTACCTAACCATAAGTTTGGGAGTCCTGAATCCTATTTAAGAATTCTGGAAGAAGCTACAGGTTGAGCACTCCTAATCTGAAAATCCAAAATCTAAAACTGCTATAAGTGGAAAATTCCACACCTGGTCTCATGTGATGGATGCAGTGAAAACACTGTTCCATGCACGTCATTAATAATACTGTATAAAATTACTTTCGGGCTATTGTATAAGGAGTATATGAGACATACATGAACTTTGTGTTTAGATTTGGGTCTCAGCCCCAAGATATCTCATTATGTATGTACAGCTGACCCTTGAACAACATGGGTTTGAACTGCATAGATCACTTACACTCGAATCTTCTTCTGCCTCTGCCACGCCTGAGGCAGCAAGACCCACCCCTCTTCCTCCTTCTCAGCCCACTCAATGTGAGGATGATCACCTCCATTTAATGGACAGTAAATATAGTTCTCTCTTATGATTTTCTTAATCACATTTTCTTTTCTCTAGCTCACTTACTTTATTGTAAGAATACAGTATATAATACATATATAATACAAATGATGTGTTAATTGACGGCTTATGTTATTGGTTAAGGCTTCTGGTCAACAGTAGGCTCTTTGTAGTAACGTTTTGGGGGAGTCAAAAATTATATACAGGTTTTCCACTGCAGAAGGATTTGGAGCCCTTAACCCTTGCATTGTTCAAGGATCAACTGTATATGCAAACATTCCAAAATTCCAAAAACATTCAAAATCCAAAACACTTCTGGTCCTAAGTATTTCAGATAAGGGATATTCAGCCTGTATTAGTTATGTTGATGCAGAAGCCTAATGCTTCAAATCATGTGTTCCTGGTTTAACGGAATCCTTTATTTGGAAAGCATTAATTTGAAAAATGCAACAGCCGACTTCATGTTTTTTGTGCAGCCTGGAGCTACAGGGATGTTTCTGGTGAAAGGTAGGTGTCTGTGAACTCACATTTTGTTCTAAAAGAACCTCCACAGCATAACCCTTTTCAGATTGCAAGTACTTCTGATGAAAAAGCTTCCCGTCAAATACATTCCAGGGCATGAAATCACTCGTCTTCCAGGGGAAGCCACATGCGCTGTTGACTAAAACCAGAGTGGTGAGGCCGCGGACGAGAAGGGAGCCCAGCTGCACGGCTCTGGGGTTGATGTAATCAGGCTGTGGAGACCAGAACACACACCAAAAATGTAAGACAGGAGTCACACATGCAGGAAACAGATCTCAGCTCTGCAAAGTTACTCTGCTCAGAACGGATGCTCACTCAGTAACTGGACAGCATCACCATAGCTGCATCCTCAAAGCTGAGCTTCACCAGCTCTACTGATTACAGAGGCCTTGGAAACAACCTCAGCTGACAGAAATGAGGGTGCCTCTACAGTCAGAGTGTGTCTTCATCCATCCACCCATCCATTCAAACCTCAGACACTTACTCAGGCCTGCTCCACATACAGAGGCAGTGAGCACAGTGTCTCTTGCCTCCCAGGAACCTCTAGGCCGAGAACAGAAATGGTGAAAACTGTGGTCCACTAGGAAAAAGCTCACATGATCATTCACTTCTGGGTGCATTCTTTCCTGAACAACTTTCTTCAAAGGCAAAGGGACAGACAGGGAAGCCAAAAGAGTATCATTTTAGACACTATTAAGTTTATTGTATTTAAAAATCATAATTGTTGTAATTATGAGTATTTGTTATGAAAGATCTAACTTTAAATGAACACTTATCATTTAAGAATAAAATGGCTTATGTATCTCACTAGGTTGATAGGCTGATAATCTTTGCAAATTAAGACCATACCAATATGAAATATTTCTTTTCACTGTCAAATTTACCTTGATGTCCAACATTCTGTTCTCAAACGGGGAAGCTATCCTAAGATGCTGCAGAGGGTTCCTGCATTTAGCGAGGATGCTGCATGAGATACTCTCTACCTCCTGGCTGACACTGGCCCCATGGAAAGTGATACCGATATCTAGCGAGTGTCCACATGAGTCCGTAAATGAGGTAAGTGAAACTGAATCCGTCATTGTCTGGCTTATCTATGTAGCTCAAATTAACCAAGAGTTATTTTAAATAAAACTAAAATAAATTAGGAAAAAAGTAACAGATATTTTAGCTCCTTTAGAAGTTAAGGCTTCACTTACTAAAATAGAAGAACCTTGCTCACCACTGTAAGAAACGTATCATGAACTGAGATTATCCGAGAGTTAATCTAGGTTTAATCAAAATGATTTTTGTTGCACAGCACTACTATACCCTAAAATAGTGCTGTGCGACACTTTTTATTCTACAAAATTATCCAAAACAACACTCGTTTTTAAAAAGAGCAACCATTACACACGTACACAGGGCTGAGCAGATGCTAACAGGACGTGTTAGTGAGAAGTGTATTTCCTACAGAAGCCTGAAGGTGACTGCCATGAACAGGTACTGAATTTAATCAAGTATTTTTTTAGCATCCATTATATCCTTTTTCTTATTCATTGTTATTTACAATGGTTTTCAAATGTTAAATCAATATTGCATTCCAAAAATAAACCCAACTTGGTCATCATGTATTATTGGTTTTACATATTGCTGGATTTGATTTGTTAGTATTTTGTTTGGAAGCTTTATTTTCATGAAACAGAATGGCCTAAATTTCTATTTCTTGTGATGTCTTTGTTAGATTTTTGCATCAGGATTTTGCTGGACTTAGAGAAACAGTTGGAAAGCCTTCCTTCTTCTTCTGCTCTCTGGAAGAAAGGGCGTAGCACAGCTGCTGGTTCCTCCTTCGGTGTCTGGAAAAACTCACAGGGAAGCCCTCTGATCCTGAGGTTTCCTTGTGGGCAGAGTTTTCATTTCAGATTCAATGTCTTCAGTAGACATGGAACCATTCAAGGTTTCTAGTTTTCTATTTCTTCATACTTCAGTCTTATTAGGTTGTATTTTTCAAGGAATGTGTTCATTTTACCTGAAATTTTCATGGCACGCATTTTACTTGAAGTTTCAAATGTATTGGTATAAATATTCCCTCATCTCTTTAGTCTGCATTATCTATGTATACAGATGTCCCTTTTTCATGCTGTATACTGGCAATTTGTGCTTTCTGCTTTTCTTCATCAATTTAGTAACAGGTTTATCAGTTTTATTCATCTTTTCAAATTAACTTAAAAAAAAGGACTTTATGTTTTTAGAACAGTTTTAGGTTCACAGCAAAATTGAGAGGAAGGTACAGAGATTTCCCACATACCCTCTGCTTCTCTACAGATCAGTGCCTCCACCCGCCAATCCCTGGAGGACACATTTGTTACAATCGGCAAACCCACACTGACATGTCCCTCAAGTCCACAGTTGACACGAGGGTTCACTCTTGGTGGTGTACATTCTGCGAGTTTGGACAAATGTGTAATGACCTGGAGCCACCATGAGAGCATCATCTGGAGCAGGCACACTGCCCTAAAGCCCTCCCGCCTGCCTGCTCAGCCTCCCTCCCCTGAGCCCCTGGCAATCACTCATCTTTCTACTGTTTCCATAGTTCTCCCTTTTCCAGTCTTCCTATAGCTGGAATCAGACAGTAGGCAGCTTTTTCAGATTGGCTTCTGTCACTTAGTAACATGCATTTAAGTTTCCTCCATGTCTTTTCATAGCTTGATAGACGTATTTTTAGTACTGAATAACATTCCACTGTCTGGATGGACCACAGTTCGTTCATCTAATCACCCACTGAAGGACATCTTGGCTGCTTCCAAGTTTTGGTAGTTATGAATAGGGTTGCCGAAACTTCTATGTACAGGTTGTGGTGTGGCTGCAGCAAGGGGCGCAGCTACTGGACTGTGTGTTAAGACCTGTTTAGCTTTGTTAAGAAACCACCTCATGGCCATCCAGAGTGGCTTCACCACTTTGAATTCCCACCAGCAAGGAGGGAGAACTCCTGCGAATGACATAAAAAAAACCTTTCTCTATTCTCCATTTGTTTCCTATTTCACTAGTTCCTGCTTTTACTATTTCCTTCCTACCTACCACACTCCCTGAGTTTGATTTTTTATTAATTTATAGAGATGTATACTTAGATCATTGATTTTCAGCCTTTTTTTTAAAGTATATTCATTTAATTCTACAAATTTCCTTCTCAGAACAGCTTTCAGCTTCATCCCACACATTTTTTATGGACAATATTTTCACTGTCATTCAAAATATTTTATAATGCCCACTGTGGTTTCTGCTTTTTCCCTGTGAATTATTTAGAAGTGTACTATTTTAATTTCAAATAACAGAATTTTTACTTATTGTTATTACTGATTTCTAGCTTACTGTGGACAGAAAAAAGAGGGATGCTTTCAATTGTTTGAAATTTGCTGAAGCTTGCTTTATGAGCTGTCATCTAGTCAATTCTGGTAGATTTCCCATATGCACTGGAGAAGTGTTTACTCTATAGCTTTTGGGTGCAGGATTCTATATGTCCGTTAGGATGAGTGTGTTCACTGTGTTCAAAATGTGTTCAACAATTCGAATCCATACTAACCTTCTGTCTGTTTGTCCTATCAGCTCTTGAGAGAGGCTTTGTTAAAGCTCCATAGACTTCCTCTGCAGGGGCCAGACAGTGAAGAGTTTAGGCTTCACTGGCCCCCTACAGTTTCTGTTAGATATTCTTTTTTAAACCAACCCTTTAAAAACTCCAAAAAGCATTCTTAGCTCACAGACCCACACAAAAGCAGGCCAAAGGCCAGACTTGGCCTACTGGCTACAGTTTGTGGACCCCTGTGCTCACACGTCCCACTGTGATTACAGATATGTCTGCTTCGTTTTTCAGTTGTGTCAGTTTTCATCTGATGCATCTGGAAACTGTGCATACTAACTTACAGATCTAGAGAATCCGGAAATAATCCTGGGGCGCTGACCTTTCTTCTCAAATGTCCCTTCTTCCTCTCATGGCCATTTCTACCTGAAGTCCACTTCTGATGCAGGCGCACTGGTTTCTTTGGGTTAGCAGCTGCACGGAACAGCTTTTTCTGTCCTAAAACTTTTAATTTCCCAGTGTCCCTGAGACCTTAGGTATCTGTTTGGTTGGTGATTTATTTTTTAATTTTTATTTTGAAACGACTATAGATTCACAGGAGTTGACAAAGATAGGATAGAGGGCCCCATGTATCCTTCACCAAGGGTAACATCTGACATACTACAGGGCAATATCCAAACCAGGAAGCTGGCATCAGTGCCATCCACAATCCTTATTCAGGTTCTAGGCAATTTCAAAACCTGGTGGGTTTGTGTAGCCCCTGCCACTACCATCAAGAAACAAAACTGTCTCTCCACATAAGACCTCCCTTGTGCTGTCCCAAATCCCTGGCAACTTAATCTGTTATCCATCTCTTTATCCTGTCATTTTCAGAATGTAACATAAATAGAATCATGTAATATGTGACCTTTTGGGATTGGCTTTTTTACTCAGTATAATTCCCTTGAGATCCATTCAGGTGGTTCCAAGCGTCAGCCACTCACCAAGCGCCAGCCACTCATTCCTCTTTATTGCCGAGTTGTGCTTCATGGCATGGATGCACCAGCCTGTTAAACATTCGTCCATTTAAAGACATCTGGGTTGCTTCCAACCTGTGCTACTACAAATACAGCTGCTATGAATATTCATGCACAGGTTTTTGAATGAACCTAAGTTTTCATGCCCAGGCATGTGATTGCTAGTTCAGATGGTAAGTGCATTATTAGTTTTTTAAGAAACGGCCAAACTGTTTTCCAGAGTGACCGACACCAGCCATGTAAGAGGCTAGTGTATAAGGACTGCATCCTCGCCAGAATTTGGTGGTGTCACTATTTTATTTTTAATTTTAGCTGCTCTAATCCGTGTGTAGTGCTATCTCACTGTGGTTTTAATTTGCATTTCCCTAATGGTTAATTATGTTGAACAACTTTTCATGTACTTATTTACCATCTGAATGTCTTTGGTAAAATGTCTATCTTTGGCCTACTTTCTAACTGGATTGTTTTTAATGTTGAGTTCTGAGATTCTTTATATTTTCTAGGTATAAGATCTCTGTCAGACAGGAGGTTTGCAAGTATTTTCTCCCTGGCAGTAGGTTGTCTTTTCCTTATCCTAATAGAGCGACATTTTTAATTTTGAATTTAAAATGTTGAATTAAAAATGTTTCCAATTTATCAACTTTTCCTTTTATAGATTATGCTTTTGGTATGAAGTCTAAGAACTCTTTGCCTGACCCTAGATACCAAAGATCTTCTATTTTTTTCCCAAAAGTGTAATAGTTTTATGTTTTACAGTTAATTTCATTTTCCATTTGAGTTAATTTTACAAAAGTGTGAGGCCAAAGACAAGGTCCTTTTTTTTTTTTTTTCTTTTTTTGGCTTATGGGTATCCAGTGCTCCAGTCACATTGGCTAAATAGGCTGCCTTCCTCCAATGAGTTGCTTTTGCACCTTGTCCAAATCCACTGGTGGTACTTGTGTGGGTCTATGTCTGGGTTCTCTATTCTGTTTCATTGACCTTGTGTCTGTCCCTTCACCAACACTATACTGTCTTGATTACTGCAGTTATATAGCAAGGTATGTTATCAAATACAGTGATTCTGCCCATTTTCTTTTTCTTTTTCAAGATTATTTTCGTGACTTTTAGTTTCACTGCCCTTCCATACAAATTTTAGAATAATCTTGCGCATCTACAAAAAAATACCTTGCTGGGATTTTTGCTAGCAAGTACATCAAACCTGTACATCAGTCTGGAGGGAACCCACGTCTCTGCTGAGCCTTCCAGTACATGAACACGGTATGTGTCTCCACTTCTTTGGGTTTGCTTTGATTTCTTTTATCAGTATTTTGCAATTTTTAGCATACAGATCCTGTATATGTTTATTTAATTTATGCCCAGGTAATTCATTTTTGTGAAACAATTGTTAAGTGGTACTATCTTTTAAATTTAGGTTTCCATATGTTCATTAATAGTATATAGAAATGCAAGTGATTTTTGGTATATAGGTCTTGTAGCTTGAGGCCTTGCTGAACTCTCACTAGATCTAGTTTGTTTTTGTTTGTTTTTTAAGGACAGGGTCTCACTCGGTTGCCCAGGCTGGAGTATGGTGATGTGATCATGGATCACCAGAGCCCTGACCTCTCTGGCTCAAACAATCCCTCCCAGCTCAGCTCCCTGAGTAGCTAATACATCCAGCTAATTTTTCAATTTTTTGTAGAGATGGGGGTCTTACTATGTTGCGCAGGCTGGTCTTGAACTTCTTGGTTTAGGTAATCCTCTTAATTCAGCCTCCCAAAGTGCTGGGATTACAGGCATGAGCCACCACACCCCACCTAGCTCTAGTTTTTTTTGTAGATTCCTTGGGATTTTTTATTTAGAGAATCATGTCATTTGCAAATAGAGACAGTTTTGTTTCCTTCTTTTTGTCTGCATGCTTTTTATTTCCTTTTCTTTCCTCACTGCACTAGACAGAACTTCCAGCACTATGTTGAATAAGAGTGGTGAGGACAGACATCTCTGTCCCTAATATCCCTGATATTGGAGAAAAGCAATTAGTCTTTTACTATTATGTGTTACATTGGCTGTAGGGGCTTTTGTAGATGTTCTTTATCAAGTTGAGAAAGATCTCCTCCATTATCATTTTTCTGAAAGTTTTTTTTTTTTTTAACCATGAATGGGCACTGAATTTTGTCAAATCCTTTTTCTGAATGATTCATATGATCATGTGACTTTTCTTCCTTAATCTATTAATATGGAGGGTTTCACTGACTGATTTTTAAGTACTAAACCAGCCACTTGGTCATAGTGTATAATTAATTGCTGGATTTGATTCACTCATATTTTGTTCAAGATTTTTGTACCTACATTCAAAAGGGATAATGGCCTGTAGTTTTCTATTTTGCACTATTTTTTTTTTGTCTGGTTTGGGTGTCAGGGTAATACTGGCCTCACTGGGGAATGGTCTATCTTCTTGTATTTTCTGGAAGAGAATGTAGAACTAGCATTAATTCTTCTTTAAACATATGGTAAATTACCGAGTGACACCTCTGGGCTAGAGACCTCTTTTGAGGGGAGTTTGCAAACTACGGATTCAATTTCTTTAACAGTTATGAAGTTCTTTAAAGAACCTGTTTGGTATTGGGGGGTTGTGGTCACCTGTGCTTTTCTGAGATTTGGCCCCTACATCTAAGTTGTTGAATGCATGTGTGTAGAGTTGTTTATGGTGCTTCCCTTTCTTCTTAGAAGGGTCTATAGTAATATCCCCTGCCTTATCCCTAGTAGTACTAATTTGTGTTTTCTTACTTCTTGACAGGCAAACACATCAGAGCATAAGTGGTTCCTAATGCCAAGCTGACCTCCCTTGATCTCTGTCTTCTACAGGATATTGACATGGGACTTCTTTATTACCTTTTCAGTTCACTGATACCTTCAAATAGCTTTATTTAAAAAATGTTTTGCTAGCTTTTCTATTTGTCTTCAACCAGAAAGTGAGTCCAAATTATCTCAGTCTTCTATTCCTGGAGGCAGCTCCAAAATTGTTTCTCTCTATAGCTCAATTTTGGAGTGTGACCCCCCAAGGCTCAGGCAAGAAAAGCAAAAATAAACAAGTGGGACTACCTCACATAGCAAAGCTTAGCTGAACAGCAAAGTGACCAATGAAGTAAATGAAAAGGCAGTCTATGGACTGGGAGAAAATATTTGCAAACCATGCATCTAATAAGGGGCTAACATCCAAAATATGTAAGGAACTCACACAACTCGACAGCAAAAAACAAATAACCCAATTAAAACATGGGCAAAGGACACGAATAGACATTTCTCTAAAGACAGTACACAAATGGTCAGCAGGCATACGCAAGGTGTCCGACACTAATCACCAGGGAGAAGCAAATCAAACCCACGGTGTGAAATCACCTCACCATGTCCTAGGATGACTATCGTCTAAAAAGACAAGAGATAAGTGCTGGTGAGGATGTGGAGAAAGGGGAACCCTTGTACACTGTTGGTGGGCATGTAAATTGGCACAGCCATTATAGAAAACAGTATGGAGGTTCCTCAAAAGCCTAAAAATAGAGCTACCATATGACCCAGCAATCTCACTTGTAGTTATAGACCCAAAGCAACTGAAATCAGTATGTTGATGAGATACCTGCACCCATGTTTCCTGCAGCACTCTATACAACAGCCAAAGCACAGAACCAACCTAAGCATCTATCAACTGATGAATGGATAAAGAAAACAGTACATATTCGAAATGGAATACTGTTCAGCTACTAAAAAAAAAAGAAAAAAAATCCTGTCATGTTGTAACAACACGGATGGAAGTGCAGAACACTATGTTAAGTGAAATAAGTCAGGCAAAGTCAGACAAATACTGCACAATCTCACCTGCATGTGGAATCTTGAAAACGCCAAATACATATAAACAGACGGCAGAACGGGAGTTACTGGGTGAGGGAGGAAATGGGAAGAAGTGAGTCCAAGGACAGAGTTGCAGTTATGTGGGATGAATGGGTCTGGAGAGATCTAATGCATGGCACGAGGACTAGAGTTAATAACACTCTACTGTATACCGAAAATCTGCCTAGAGGGTAGACTTTAGGTGCTTTTACCACACACACATACACAAAAGGTGATGGATAGGTTAATTTGGAAAAACAAACAAACAAAATCTCTTTTGTATTATCAATCTTTATGGCAGCCTGAGGAAGCCTACGAACACTTTCTTAGAACAACAGTTAATGTGTATAATAAAATACACGGATTTATAAAGAAATTAATTATGAGACAGTTTTCAAAATAATATAAAAATCAAATGTAAGATACAGTAATTTAACCCCCTTTTTATATAGGTTGAACACCCCATTCTAAAAATACAGAATCTGAAATACTCCCAAATCCAAAACTTTTTGAACACTGACATGACGCTGAAACAAAATACTCACTGGAGCTTTTCGGATTTCAGGTTTTTGGATTAGAGATGCTCAACTGGTAAGTATAATGAAATATTCAGAAATCTGAAACACTTCTGGTCCCAAGCACTTTGGCTAAGACATACTCAACCTGTAAAAACTGTACCTAAGACCTAGCAATGGGTCTAATAATCACAGTTTTGAGAAAATGATAAGAGTAAACAATATATGAGGACTTCTCCAACTGTAATGAAAATATCTGATTTCTATTGGTAACAAAATCACAGGTGCTGTATTATTACTGTTTTATTGACTATATCATAAAGGAAATGATAAACTTCAGTTAGAAGTTAGTGAAAACACAGGTATATTTTTTCCTGTCTCAGACCACAGATCCCCACTAAAGGACCCCTGCACTATAGCCTAGTTTTAACAGAGCCAGCAGGCTGATCCTTCCAAAAGGTGAGTTGGGTCATGTCATTCCTTCGTTCCATGTCTTGAGCAAGGTTCCCATTTCCCTCAGCATAAACGCCAGAGAAACCCCTCACCAAGGCTGCCTGGGCCCATGGCTCCGGCCCCGTCCCTTGCTCCTCCTGATTTGCCTGACACAGGCACACCCCCACCCTTGGCACTGGCCATCTACTTAGCACGCTCTTCTCACAGAAAGCTGAATAGTTAATTCTCTTATTTTTTCAAGTCTTAGCTCAAATAGCCCCTTTTTAATGTGGCCAAATAAAGGTGCAGCCCACCCTGCCCACAACCGGAAGCTCGGGGCTCAGGTGCAGCCCACCCCGCCCACAACCAGGAGCTCAGGGCTCAGCCCTGCTTCTCTGCTTTCTAGGGCACTGGCTGCCCCTTTGCAGGCCCGTCTACGCCACCGCTTCCTGGTTCTGCTTCCTGCTTCCTGTCCATTTCCCCTGCTAGAATGTGGTTCTGCTTCCTGCCTCCTGTCTCTTCCCCCTCTAGGCTGCAGATCCGACAAGGGTTGGCGTCTCTCACTGATACCCATTCTCTTCACAGAGTCTGGCATAGAATAGGCGCTCAACGTATTTTTTTACTGTTTTCAACAAACGGAATGAACTGACAAGAAACTTTACTGTGGGACATGAACGGAAACAAGTCCTCAGGGAGGGGTGATGGTGAAGAGGACTCTGAGTTACACATCCTTCTAGCGGGTGGCAGGGTGTGTGCCAGGTGTCCACAGGTCAAGCCCAAATCAAAAGCCTTGGGCTCTCAAGTCTCAAGCTCCTCTTAGAAACTGCTCGGGGTTAAAGAATCCTTATAGAAAGAAAACTTAGATCAGATGTGCTACAGCTATTCTGGGTATGCTAAAGATTAATAAATAAATAAATAAATGGCAAGAGCGTTCTTTCAACACCTGGGCTGTGATCTCTGATGGAAGTCTGCAGTGTGTGAACCAAGGAAAATTCCACAGACAGAAATGAGCATTTTATGGCAACTCTATCAGGTATTAAATATAAACTCTAAACCAAGAAACAAACATTAAGCTGGTAAAAAGGTCATAGCTTGAAAGGGCTGACTGACTCAAAACATAAACATTTCCCTTTTGGTTTCAACTTCTTCAGTTAACTGCTCTGTTCTAAGGGTTTCTCTGCCATCCAGAATGAATGGTGCTCTCCCAGGCGTCTGGGTTTAGGGACGCGTGTGCACAGCACCGAGCAGCGTGAGCCGGTGCTCTCCCAGGCATCTGGGATTAGGGACGCGTGTGCACAGCACCGAGCAGCGTGAGCCTGTGTTCTCCCAGGCATCTGGGATTAGGGACGCGTGTGCACAGCACAGAGCAGCGTGAGCCTGTGTTCTCCCAGGCGTCTGGGATTAGGGACGCGTGTGCACAGCACCGAGCAGCGTGAGCCTGTGTTCTCCCAGGCGTCTGGGTTTAGGGACGCGTGTGCACAGCACCGAGCAGCGTGAGCCTGTGCTCTCCCAGGCATCTGGGATTAGGGACGCGTGTGCACAGCACCGAGCAGCGTGAGCCTGTGTTCTCCCAGGCGTCTGGGTTTAGGGACGCGTGTGCACAGCACCGAGCAGCGTGAGCCTGTGCTCTCCCAGGCATCTGGGATTAGGGACGCGTGTGCACAGCACCGAGCAGCGTGAGCCTGTGTTCTCCCAGGCGTCTGGGTTTAGGGACGCGTGTGCACAGCACCGAGCAGCGTGAGCCTGTGTTCTCCCAGGCGTCTGGGTTTAGGGACGCGTGTGCACAGCACCGAGCAGCGTGAGCCTGTGTTCTCCCGGGCATCTGGGATTAGGGACGCGTGTGCACAGCACCGAGCAGCGTGAGCCTGCGTTCTCCCAGGCATCTGGGATTAGGGACGCGTGTGCACAGCACCGAGCAGCGTGAGCTCGTGTTCTCCCAGGCATCTGGGTTTAGGGACGCGTGTGCACAGCACCGAGCAGCGTGAGCCTGTGTTCTCCCAGGCATCTGGGATTAGGGACGCGTGTGCACAGCACCGAGCAGCGTGAGCCTGTGTTCTCCCAGGCGTCTGGGTTTAGGGACGCGTGTGCACAGCACCGAGCAGCGTGAGCCTGTGTTCTCCCAGGCGTCTGGGTTTAGGGACGCGTGTGCACAGCACAGAGCAGCCCTGAGCTCGTGCTCTCCCAGGCGTCTGGGTTTAGGGACGCGTGTGCAAAGCACAAAGTGGCATTCCCCGCTTGCTCTACACGGAAACAGGCACTTCCTCCTCTTCTCTAGGGGGTTACCGAAACCCCTGTGCCAAGCACTCAGACTTCTATTTCTTACCAAGCAGGCGCTCCTCCTTCCTCTCCATGTTCCCATCTGGCTAGTCCAGATTTTCGGTTCACATTCGAACGCCTCAAAAGATGATCTCACTGTCTCTCCTGCCTCACCACTCATCCGTAACCAAACCACTCCAATCAGCCTCCGCTCCTCCAATCTCCTGGAATTGTTCTCAACAAGGTGAGCAGTGACCAAGGTTCAGGCCCAGTGGGTACTTACCGGTCTTTTCTTGCATACCGCTCTGCTGCACGTGGTCATCCCCGCATGCCAGCGCTCTCTGCTCTACCATTCCTCTAACGCCCCGCTGCCCGCCTCCCCCCCACCCCCGTGTTCCTCGACACTATGATCTCTGTGTTCACTGTCTTTCTGCTGGTCCTTCAATGAAGGTGTTATTCCCCTTGGCTTACTGTCCTTATCACACTATATGTGTATCTCTCAACTGAACCTCATTCTTATCTATTTACAAAGACATATGTCTTATGCTTCCCAAATCTTCAATGCCAAACTCTCTTACAAGCTTCACACTTCCAGATCTGTCTGGAAACAGATCTCATACACAGTCCTCACAAAGCTGACTTCATCACCTCCTCCCCTTGTCTGTTAACCTACCTTAGAGACCCGAACTAGAGAAATAGTAACCACACTAGGGCCTCCTCCTTGTATCTCATGCTGTAATAATGATGAGGGCCTAGCAATTTCACTTCCTGAACATGACCTGCCATCTCTCTCTTCATCTCCACCTCCAGTTCTGCTGTCCCAGGTAATTCATTACAGCTCCCCGTGTATCTGGGCAAGGCTCCTCACTGAATTCTCTGGCCTTTTTAGGGCCACCCATCTGTGGCTCCCAAACACCCCAGGGAATTTCTATGCTCTCTCTTCACAAACAGTCCCGCTCCTTCCCTTGTTCTTACCTCTGACTCATTAAATCCTACCCACCCTTTATCGATCTAGTCCAGAAGTCACTTCCTCCTTGGAGTCTCTGAGACATCTTCTATGCCCAGACGGGGACCATCCCTCGTCCCTGCATCCCGCCGTGCCCTGTGCGTCTCCTATGCAGTTCTCGCCCGCTGTACTTACTTTCTTAGGACTCTGAGCTCTCTGAAGGACCTCCTTGCCATATCTTCTCTGTACCCCTCCTCACAAGTCTGGCACATCACAGGAATTCAAATTTCTACTGAATAAATGAGTTTGCTGATTAAATATCAGAACATGATATACTGATTCTTTATCAACTGGGGCTGCTCAATTAATGAATGAGTGGAAGTGTCTTTATAGGGAAATATGCTGATTCCATTTTAGAACACAATGCTTATTTGCAAGGACACAATTATTAACTTACTGTGTAATAGGCCAAGATTCTTACTCAACATACGTCCTTTGTAGGCAAAAGCAAACCACAATAAGCCTACCCTGACCTGAGACGCTTGTTGTTAAGAACAACAGATAACCTGAGAACTGTGTTTTGCCAACAGTCAGTTTCCACCCTGAAGGAATGGACTTCACAAGGCCTTTGCTTTGTGAGGCCCTGTTGCCTATGTGCTGTGTGATTACAAACATTCCACAGTCGGTTATTTAGAAAGATACTGAAATTGCGGAACTCTGTGCTGACACACTGATTACAGCAACAACCACAGATTGGACCTACTTCATATGAACACTTTAACCACCAGCTTAGGGACCATCCCTGAGTTACAGCAGAGGGAGCCCTGAACTGGAAGCCCCAGCTCTCTCACCACCTGGCCAAGGGGCTGAAAGCAGGTGATGCCACTTCTGTGGGTTGTGGTGATCTCATCTGTGCAATGAAGAACTGGATTTGGTTCAGCTCAGTCACCAACAGCTGACAACTACTGAACCAAGTGCAAATGTGGAAGTCCTATCCTCAAGAAATTAAAGTATAATGGAAATAAAGACAGATGGCACCAAACTATCATCTACTGATGTGCTCTGACGGCCCTTCACGGGTAAAGCTGCTATGACATGCTGCAACAAGGACAGGTGAATACTCCTTAGGAATGTAAAGTGACATCACCCGTTCATCTAACAGATGCCATCCTGGGTCAGACACCCGACCAACAATGCCCTATTCATGGCACTAACACTGAGTGAAGGGAAGAAGAAAGGTGATTATTTCCCATACTGAAAACTGAAAAGTTTGCTCTTGAAAATAACCTGGCCTAAATGACAAGACGTGTTCATTCTTAGAAGTCAGGGTGTGCTCTGAACGAGTGTTACGTGTGGGTAAGTTTTTCAGTGAAAGAAAGCCTCAACGAGTCAATAATAAACATTAAACAATTCTGTTCCAAGCAGGAACTTGCAAACTCCTGGTGCAAGAGCATCAAGAAGCAATGAGATCTCGTCTCGGGCAGAGTAAATGGCTGAAATGGAACTTGCTGGGTCCACACCAGTTCACCCTGTTCTTCCTAAATACACCGACTTCTGTCAGGTTCATTCAAGCTAAAAGTCAACCAAACTTTCCATGCTCCCATTTCACAATTTACGTATAATTTACCTCTTTTATTTCTCTACCTCAAAGAATTACACATATGATCAAATCCAAAATGGGCAAAACAACCAATGGAGGATTTGAGGGGCGAGGAGCCAGTAGGACACAACCTGAGACGTGCTCTTGCCAAGTCAGAGAACTTACTGCGCGGAGTGGTGTCAGGACCAGAGGGGAAGTTTAACCCAAGATGCTTTTTATAGACATTCAGTTTCCTCAACAAGGCTTTCTTTTGCTGCTACTCTAAGCAGAAGTGAGGGTAAAAAATCCAGGTAGAACTGAGGAATGATCTGGCATGCCAGCAGCACCGTGTAAACAATCCAGGTAGAACTGAGGAATGATCTGGCATGCCAGCAGCACCATGTTGGTGCTGGGGGCTCTGGGATGCTGGGTTTGCATATTCTGTGATTTGGTACCTGGGCATTTATATCCGGCATCAACAAGAACACCTATGCTCTTTTCCTGTGCTTCTGGAGGTCTGGGAGACAGAAGATACTATTTTAAAAGTGTGTTCATTGCAAAATTCTTATTTCCCAGATAATATACTGTAAAAGTGCTTCTCAGGCCTGTTTGCCTTGTGCTTTTACTTTTCTAATTATAACGTAAGCTTTATAAAGTAAATTACACCTCTTCTCGGCAAATTTCTGTTAGGAGGTCCATACCAAAAACACTGTGCGGTAACCTTGGGACTTGTGAAAAGCTTGGTAACAAAGACCAATTTTCAAATTACTAATCAAACAGAAAAAACAACTAATTTAAGCTAACTGGAGTTACATTGGGAGACAGAACATTTTCACAGCCTGCAGGAGTAAAATCTGAGGATCTGAGGTTATCTTTTCAGCAACAGAGAAAGTCACCTGGTGACTCTCCTTCCCTAAGGAACTCTGGAATTTAGGGAACATTCTGGGAGCCCAAGTCAGCGTGACAGAGGGTTGGCCCCAGGTCTAAGGCTCACATCACCACTTCAATATGATTGAAAGGTATGGCCTTTGGCTTGTCCAACCCAATGAATAAAATTCGTAAATAAAAGTAGCCTGTATTTTGGAAATAGGGTTTAAGGTGCTCTGGAATAAAAGACAAGGAAAGCTGAGCTCTTCCTGCTGAGGCCATAGAGTCCAGGGTCCCAGGGCATCTGATGGGAACCAGGAAACTGGAAAAACCAGTTCTTAAAGTTCCTAAAACCTGACAGTAAATATTGAACAGTAAACAGCTCAACTGTTTTTGTGTTTATATGCTAAGGAAGGTTCATTTACTAGGGTTTATTGGCAGTTATGTAAAATGATACTTGTATGAACAAAACTGCTATTTTAAGTTTCAGATATTGCTTCATCAGGGTGCTTGTCCTACAAGTTGGCGGAAATCTAAACAGAGGGAAAACATTATGAATACATTGTTATTTATTAGTAAACAAAACAGCAAAAATAAACTGATTTTCTTTGGTCCAAAAGGCCTAGTTTGATTTTATAACTAAAATTCTTTCTCTTCACTAGAAGTCTTCCGATTGTAGTTGGGCACAGTCTTACAGAACGTAAGCGAGCGCCAGTGCAGCTTCTACTCATGTCCAGCTACTCCTCAGCCTCCTTTAGCAGGGGCAGGAGGAGCCAAAACCTCCCATGTTGGTAAAGATGCTCCATGAGGGCAGAACCCACCAACCCAGCAGCACTGCAGTTAACACCTGCACTCATCTGAGATTCCCATGCTGTATCTGACAGCTGTCTAAAAGCCCACACAGTATTTACCTAAGGAAACAGCATGGCTCTGAGTTACAACTGTCAGTTCATAAAATTAGACTATCTTCTAAGAACGCGCTCACATTCAAAGAATCACAGAGCCGGATGAGACAGGAGCACAGCCAGGCAAGGCTGAATTTAAATCCCACCCCCCCGCCCCTGTAGATACTACCATCATCTTGGAATAATTTACGTTAGTCAAACCGCTTTCATTAGATGTCTCTGAAATACTAATCTCAGTGATTCCTAATAGATTTAATCACTCTTTTAACATTAATATAATTAAAATAGTGTATGTAAGCAGTACCTGAATTGAGGCTTTCTTAGCTTTTAGGACTAAATCAAGTATAAAAAATCATTCTTAAAAAAAATTTTAATTAAAACTGAGAGTAAACAAATTACTCAGACCGCATGAACCATGTTCTTATCAAATGGCAAAACAAGACACTGTATGTCTAGATAGAAAATAAGCTCTTATTATTCCTAACGAAAATTTTATTTTACTCATATCAGTAGGATAAACTCTTTAAAAATAACTGAATAAATATGAGAGTCAACTACCTACTTTCACGCTTATTTTTTCTGTTTTTCAATTTCCTGACTCACTTAACACAGGGAAAACGGCAAGAAAAGATGAATTTCTTGAAAACTGCGTGAAGGTCCTGAGCCAGGCCCTCGGTTATTTGGTTTCCATCTCTTCTCTGCTCCAAGCCTGAGGGTGGCAGCTGGCGCCAGGCGCTGCTCTTGGGACTTGCAGCTGCAGCCTCCTGGCCAATCATCTCTTACTTCCTGTCTCGGAACGAATGGCAGACACTCTTCAAGGCCTGACTCCTGAAGACTCACGTGCTAGGAGCACAGAGGGGGCTCTGACCACCAGGCCTCATTTGACAAGTGCTGACTGTGAGATGTTTTTTGCTTTTTTCTTCAATTAATCTTTCTGGAGAATTTCTTTTTTACCCTTTTGCATCTTAAGGTGGAGGTTTTTATTCCAAATGTTTTTTACACACAATTCTTGAAACTCCTGAATTCAATGACAGCTTCTTATCATGGCAAAAGGTACATATCAAAAAAACAGAAAAGCTTTAGTTACTAACATCCGAGGGGGATGTCATTCCACATATTTAAGGAAATTGCTAAGCAGGTCCACACAAACACTTGTAAAGAAAGGTTCATAGCAGCATTATTCACAGGGCCAAAAAGTGAAACTACCAAGTGTCTCTCAGCTGATGACAGACAAACAAAACATCGTCCATCCACACAACCCTCAGCCACTGAGAACCTGGGAAACACAGTGCTCAGTGAATGATGCCAGACACGAAAGGCCACAAACTGTGCGATGTCATGTTTATGAAATGTTCAGAACAAAGAAATCTACAGAGGCAGAAAATGGATGAGTGGTAGACAGGGGCTGAGGAGTGTGGGGCTGGGGCTGGGGGGAGGGAGACTGCATAAGAGGTAGAGGTTTCTTTTTGAGGTGACAAAAAGGTTCTAAAATTGATTGTGGCTGAACAACAACTCTGTGTTCAGAGCCATTAAATTGTACACCTTAAATGGGTGAACTGTATAGTTCATGTGACTTTGTCTAAATAATGTCTGTCTATCCATCCATCCGTATTGAGATATATATACACCATTTCTTGCTTGGTGGGGTGGTGGCTCAGTGTTGACTCCCGCCTGCACACAGGGCCAAGTGCTGCAAATTCTACTGCAGTATCTCCCGTCTGTTAGAGACGCACAACCATCCTGAGACCTCAGCATAATGAAGAATAGGAATAATTGTATTTATACATGTAAAGCTACAGGAAGAAACCAAGTTTAAAAGAATGTTAAGGAAAACAAGTCCTTAAAGGTGTTAGAAGGCGAATCTTTATAAGAAATGCGGTGAGGTAATATCTGAACTGCTGACTGCAGTTCTGCTGTTCTTCCCCTTTACTGCCTTGCCCCGCCCTCTTTAGTCATTTAGGACATCCCACAATGACAGGTACAGGATCAGAGGGTAATATTACCGAGTTCTGGCTTCTGAGTTTAGGTTTAACCCCCAGAAGAACTTCAAAGAACTCAGATCTTCCAGAGCACGACTGGACAGCAGCTCCTGGAACCAGGAAAGGCGAGAGGAAGCCAGGGGCACAGAGAAACTGGGAGCCCTACAGAAACAGGGTCCTCTGCCTCACCCCCCAGAGGAAGGGTGATGGACCCTCAGGTGGCTGGGGCATCTTAGAGCAGACCATCACTTTCCCTGTCTTCCACAAAGAGCTCGGGGACGTAGCTGCGTCTCAGAAAAGAAAGGTCTGCATGGACTGTCTGGGCAGCAAGGGCCCCCTAAGGTGCCACTTAGCACATGTGGGAGCAGGAGGACACAAGGCCTGGGGGCCGCCCCGCTGGGGAAGTCTGTGAGGTGCAGAGAGCAGGGCCAGGAAAGCTCAAGGGCAACTGAGAGTCTCCGTCTCACCTCTGCAATGTCTCTGCGATAAATTTCTGCCGACTCACAGAATGGGTTTAAAAGAGAAATTAGATTGCTATATTCAAAAAAGGTACATTTTTTGTAAAATTGAAATTACATCCTGAAATTTGCTTCTGCTGTAGAAAAATAAGTTACATGTGAAAGATTCTTATTCACGAAGATAAAATCCATCTACCAGCATTATAGCATAAACTCTTAAGTATAAGATTTATGGACATATTCAGCAAACTGACAATTAATTATTGAGTACCTACAAGGTGCAAAGGTTCCATGGAAATTATAAAAGACTCAGTTTCCACCCCCAAGTAACTGAGCTCTCCTGATTCCAAGAACATAGACATACTTCTCTTAAGATTCTCCAGGACAAGAGAAACCTCCTATCTAGGAGTCAGGTATGGGAGCAGGAAAAAAAAAAAAAAAAAAACTACCCTAAGTTTGCTGAGGCAAAGGTCACCCGAGGAGTGCCACAGGCTACATCCAGTGGCGGGTTCAGCCCCGGGGCCTGCCCCAGCACTGCTGGCAACACCTGGAACCTTTATCATGAGAGACCTTTCCAGTTGACTTCCTCACTCTCTCCAAACTGGACTCGGAATTCTCTGCTTTCTGCTATAGTCCTTCTTACCTTTTCTTGCTTCCTCATAGAGATCACATTTTCTCAAACACGTATCAAGATCTGTAGCAGGAGACACCTACTACAATTATGAGGACTATGGGCAAAGTCAGTGAAAGTGGGGCCCTGCTGCCAAGTCCAGGAGGCAGACGCACTGCACAGCTGGTTCCAGGCATCCTGAGTTCTCAAAGTCCTTTCCTAGGTTCAAACGCAGCCACAAACCTCTCTTCTCTCTTGGCCTGTGAAAATTCTGGATAAATACTGGAAAGTCTATGTGCACAAGAGAGAATAAAAGTGAGGAAAAATATGAATACTAATTTCTTTTGCTTTGTTCATTTGCTTTCTTTTGCTTTGTTCATTTCTATCTTATCTCATTTAAGCTGCTGAGGGACTCATCAGTCATCTTCTGTGTTTACAGAAGCCCAGTAAAACATTCAAGATTTCTATTTCTACTGCTACGGGCAAATACGTCCTTCCAAAATTTCTTATGCTGAAGGCTAAATCCCCAATGGGATGGTAATTGGAGGTGGGGGCCTATGAGAGCTGATTGGCTCATGGTGGGGGGGTGGGGGGCACCCTACCAAAGCAGGTGAGTGCCCTCAGGAGACTGCTCTCTGCTCTCCAACCTATGAGGACATAGTGAGAAACTGGCTGCCTGCAAGCCAGGAGGGAGCCCCCCCCCCAGCCCCGGCAGACAGCAGAGCTGCTGGCACATGGATCTTGGACATCAAGTTTCCAAAACACTGAGAAGGGAATGTCTGTGGTTTTAGGCCACCCAGTCCGTGGTGTTTTGTTATGGCAGCCCAAACTGACCAGTACATCTACTATTCATTCATTCACCAAATTTTTATTGAGTGCCCAATAATGAAAGCATTTTTCCTTCTTTAAAAATTGTATTTCTTCTGTGAACTTGTGTAGGGAAGTAAAAACATTTTTGTAAATATCTCCTTGAAAACATATTACACAATCCTGTATTTTCATGGTTGTCTTAGGGATTTAATCGGTAAAGCGCCATCTTAACGGCTTGATCTCATTATGTCTTCAAAGCATTTTGATTCTGCCTACAGAAAAATATTCAATTTGTAAAGTGAGAATTCACCAAGAGCAGCACTGAGTAAAGATCTTTTATGAGAAGGTTTCTAAATCTGCTTTTGACACATGGCATACCTGCTTATCACTTTAGAGGTGTCTCACTGTCTGGTGAGAAGACAGGAAGTAAAGGGAGTGCATGGTGGAACTCGGAACCTTGGCCTTTTGATCAGCTCAGACATGCACTATACCTTGACCTGGTGCAAACCGTTCCACTAATCTGAGCCTAAAACCCTGGTCTATAAGACAAAAGTGCTTGACTGAACTGTCTCTAAGGTACCACTGTGCTCTGAACCAACAGGCAACATTACACTTCAATATTAAATCACACAACATACATGCATATTGAAACATTTCACTGTACCCCATAAATATGCACAATTATTATGTCAACTGGAAACATGACTTCATCTTAAAAAGGCACTTGATGCTTGTAAGGCCCCCTAATAGGTGTGAGGAGATCCATGTGAGTCAGCCACAGCCCTACCCCTACAGACTCCCAAATCCAGGTTTTATCATGGCGAGGGTCTTTGTGTAGGAGAATTAGGTGGAAGTGGAACCAAGAGTCAGGGAATTTATATCCTCACTTCAGCTCCTTTATAAGGACCAATGCCAAGACACATAATTATATCTTCATTTTTCTAAGAATAAGATAGGACTTAATTACCTCAAAGGAATGACATGAAAACTAACTACCAAAGCCCTCTAATGTCTTTAAAACTTGCTACATTCACGCATGGGGTTATTACTGTCACTGTGTGTGCGTGCAGACCTGGCTGCAGGAGGGGCACAGAGACAAAAGCATGGGGCTCCCCATCCTGCCGTCTCCCCGCGGACTTACCTGCTGGCTCCAGCCAAGGGTCAGCACGCTCTTCTGGAAAGAGCCAGATGGAAACACTTTTGGCTTTGTGGGCCATATGATGTCTCTCGCAGCCGTTCAACTCTGCTGTTGCAGGGCAAAGGCAGCTGCAAATGACTGAGCATGGCTATGTGCCAAGAAAACCATTTCGGACATAGAAATTTGCGTTTCATGTAATTTTCACATCATGGAATATTATTCTTTTGACTTTTTCCCTAACCATTTAGAAACAAACACCATTCTTAGCTCACAGGCTTCACTACATGCTGGTGGCGGAATGTGGCCTATGGGCGATAGTCTGGTAACCCCTGGTTGAAGCTTTTGACAAAGTGAGAGTATCATTATCATTTAAAGTTTCATTAATTTGTAGCAAAATAAAAATATCATTTGGAGATTCAATGGCATAGAATTATTTTTATTTTCAACTTCTACTGGTGAGTTTTATAGCTAACCTAAAAAGAAAAATTTGTTTAAATCAGAATTGTCACAATTTAAAACAAGCTTAAAAGTGACTTATTCTAGGTTAATGAACTGTTTCTGGTGAGAAGAAAAGGATCAAAGCAGTGTGGGCTCAGATGCAATGAGCATGTTCTACCTCATTCTTCTCTCATCAAAGTCCTGAATATGAATATGGCAACAAGAAAGAGAAAAAAAAAATCTAAAAAATAACATGAGCTTATCCGAGGCTGGGCAGGGCGGTGAGTGTGTGTGTCCTGACCTGAGGCCATAATCAACAGGACTAGGGGAAGATCAAGGCCCAGAACACTGTTCACTTTGTGTACTCATGCCGACAAAGTACTCATTTGTTGGATAATGTCACAATGTTCTTCTCAACAGCCTGCTGTCCCTGGCTACGCCTCACCTAGTCTTTCACCCTCTAAGCCTTCGCTGGCTCCTCTCAACCCCCATTCACCCCACACCAGAGACCATGCTGGCCCTGAGCTCTCTCCACTCCACCCCTCACCTCCCAAGTGAAGCTTCCCCTCCTGTGGGTGACATGGGCCCCTGACGGGTGTAGGCCACCAGGGGAACCCCACTCAGGTGCGCTCACACGCCACTCTCCCTCATGCCCTGGCACCTGCCCCTCAGAGCACAGGTCCAGCCAAATAGACTCAGCTGCCTGCCCCTCCCCACTTGCCATTCCCCTTCCCGGCCACCCCCACTTCCCAGATGCAATGGAGAGACTCCTACTCTTTCCTAGGAGCCAGCAAGGCTCTGCCAAGGCAACTGGCCAGAACCTAACCGCTTCCCCCACCCATGAGTCCCAGCTCTCAGCTCCCCACACACCAAGCTCTCGTCTCACCAGGATAACTGGGGAGGCCTTTGCTTCCCTTTCAGCTTTCAGGCAGCAGAATCTAACTCCCAAGAACAACGATTTAGTGCCACCTCCCAACAGCTGCAGAGAAACTTGTATTATATCTTGAGAGTCTGGATGTGCAACATGCCACTGAATGACAGAATGCCACTGAGTCTACATTTTGCTTATTTATCTATTTTTTCGTACAAGACTTAGGCTCCAAGCATTTTCCCACAGAGAACAAGAAACAGCTCACTGCTGTTATGATTGTGAGGAGTTCCTGCTCTGTCCCCTTTGCATTTCTGGCCAAGGGTCCTTTTACCAACACCTGCTGAGCCTGTCACAGACCACCCCACCCGATGGTGATGGCAGGCGGATAAACACTTGCACCAACTGGCCAGGCTTTGCAATTCTGATAGTCTCAAAAAGGGTGTGTGTTCCTTCCGTGATTCCAGCAGAGCCCTGCTCCAGGCAGCCTGTGGGGGAGGCGGGGTGTCAGGGGCCGAGCCCTGCTCCAGGCAGCCTGGCAGGGGGGAGGGGGGGGAGGGAGGGGTGTGTGTGTGTGTCAGGAGGCCCGTGCTCATGCCTCTCTACCACTGCCACCACCCAGTTTTGCCAACTCTTTGATTTGAATTCCCTCAGGAGGACACATCTAGTTCACGAACAGAAAACATCTGGGCTTTTTTCCTGGGCAATTCTTTCCTCCATGGGTTCATGCTTCAGCATCTGCTATCATCAAAAGCACTGTCTGCAACCTCTTTCTTCAGGTGGACATTATTTGAGAACAAGGGGCAAAACCAAAGGGTGAAGTCCAAGACACAACTTTAGTTTCAAACAGCCAAGAATGCATGACATAGACCACAGCTGTCATCCCTAGTAAGGCGAGAAGGAACCCTGCAGACCAAGCAGCAGATGAACCTAGACTCTTTTCTGCCACCGTCTTGAGAAATCCCCACAGCCAGCATGAATCCTCGTCCTCCATGTTCAGACATAAGCCTCTCATTAGCCTTGGTTTATGACATTTTGGTCTCAGAAAATCCAAGTGGGCTCAAAGTCTGACCACCTTCACACACACACAAATACGTATTCAATTCCATGTGGGTAAAGTGCCAGGAGGGAGCTGTAGGAGACAGGAGATGGCCTAGGGCTCAGCCTGACTGGGGGTTTCGGCAGGAGTACGTGCCCCAGGCACACCACGCCCTTTTCTGCACTCTGCCCCATCCTCTCCTCCTCTCATTCTGATGTTGTAAACTCCAGAGCCCTAGCTTTGCTTTTCAACCCAGAAGTCAATCCAGTGAATCAGAAAATCATCCCATGGTCATCTATATGAACATGTACGAAAGGGCTTTTAGCTTCACCAACTGTAGGTCTCACTCACCACTGCAATCTACAAGCTCATAGCATTTCCAGGTAACAGAGGGGTGAGAAATGAAAACGCCACCACAGTTATCTGAAGAGGATGATCTTGGGGAGGAAAGAAAGGCATGCCAGCATCTGTGTTTCAGCAGCACCAGCCTCTGAAGGGCCCCCAGGCATCCCTGTCCCAAGTGCCCCCATCAGCTCTTGAGACTAGAATTGTAGAGAACCCCAGAGAGAGGTGTCAGAGGGAGCTCTGCAAAGATGGGGCTTTGTCTAGACACCTGCTTTGTATTTGCACAAACACTTTGCTGAACCAGACAGACTCTGCCTGTCTCAGCAAATGCTCATGTATACTTTTAAATTGCAGGTATCCATTTAATGAAGTTAATCAATGTTGGCAGGATGCTGGGTGCTGGAAAATAAAGAGGAGCAAGAACACTGTCCCTTTCCTCAAAGGGGCATTAGTCTAGGAGAGAAGGGAAACTGAAAACCCTAAGTGGGACACTCTGGCTTCTCACCCACGAGTCCCCCTCAGAACACACACCAGACCAACCTAGCCAGGACTCTGGGATAGTGACTTGGCATGTGGATTCAGAACAAGGCCCACAGTGTGAAAGGTGCTGCTGAACAAAGATAAATAAAAGGGACATCGCAGGCTCAAAGGAGAAGAGGTCGGAGAAGGTGGAGGAGACTCAGGGCCCCTGGATATGGAAGTTGGGCATTTTTCAGCCTTTGCTTCAGTGACTTCATGCAATGGAAGGGGCAGGCATCTCTCTCAGTGACTGAACAAGGGGAAATGCAGCACAAATCACCAGCACATAGCCACATCCCAAAAAAACAAAACACATTTTTAAAAAATTATGTTTTGGCTGGGCGTGGCTGCTCATGACTGTAATCCCAGCACTGTGGGAGGCTGATGCAGGCCCATCACTGAAGGTCAGGAGTTCCAGACCAGTCTGGCCAACATGGTAAAACCCCATCTCTATTGAAAATACAAAAATTAGCTGGGTGTGGTGGTGCATGCCCGTAATCCCAGCTACTCGGGAGGCTGAGGTTGCAGTGAGCTGAGTTCGCGCCACTGCACTCTAGCCTGGGTGACAGGGTGAGACTCTGTCTAAAAAAAACAAAATAAAACATGATGTTTAATAAGTGCTTTCTTGATATAATCTCACTGTAGGAATGCCATGTTTCGCTGGTGCACACACTATCACAGCACAGTGATTACCAAGGAAATGGAGATCCAGAATTACTTTATTGTTATGATCCTGTAATCAAAATAAAGTAAAAACTGGGGCTTCAGGCCTTGCCTGGGACCTGTATTTTCACTAAAAGCTGCTACTGGCATAGACAATGATCAGTCATCACACTCTATGTTAACAAACACAGCACACACAGCTTGCTGTTTTCTGAGCGCCCCAGCAGGCCCCAGGCCAAGCTGTGCTGTACAAGGCAGAGGACGATGCTGCTGACACAGGTGTGACTTGCTGCACTCGCCATGCACACCAGGGACAGCGGTGGGTACGAGGCAGCCACATGCAGGGGAATCTTAAGAAGATGGCTTGAATTTTATAGTAAAATTTTATCTTTCATCAACTCACATCTTTTCCTTTTAATTTTCCAACCAAAAAATGACCAAGAACTTCCCAATGATTAGCTATGAGGCACTAGAAAAAGTGGCTAAGGTACCAGCTCATGGAGTTCTCAGTGTGTAAGAGACGGAGCCAGAATTCCCTAACAGTCAGAGCCTCCACCTGGAGAGCGGGCTGGAGACAAAGCCAGCAGGAGGAGGGGTGATGGTTTTGTGGCTTTCAGAGCCCTGACACGGCAAAGATAAACTGATGGGGCAAAGAAAGGCAGAGGAATTTCTCGGCTTTTTCTCCAAAAAGAGAGCAAGAGCTCATTTATAAAATCATCATTGCCACGGTGGTGGCTCCTGCCTGTAATCCCAGAACTTTGGGAGGCTGAGGCAGGAGGATTGCTTGAGCTCAGGAGTTCGAGACCATCCTGGGCAACATAGCAACACCCCATCTCTCAAAAAAAAAATACAAAAATTACCTAGGCATGGTGGTGTGCGCCTGTAGTCCCAACTACTAGGAAGGCTGAGGTGGGAGGATGGCTTGAGCCTGGGAGGCAGAGATTGCAGTGAGACAAGATTGTACCACTGTACTCCAGTCTGGGCAACAGAGCCAGACCTTGTCTCAAAAAAAAAAAAAAAGAAAAAAGAAAGAAAACAAATTATTATTATTATTGCACCCTGGGATGAGAGCAAAATGACTTCTGAGCACACACCATGTGAGTGCACACACTGGGCCTGGACCCACGGCAGTATACGTAGTACACACTCCACTCTGCTCAATGAGAGAATAACGGCAACCATGGCATCGTGTTCTACAGAGGACTTTACAAAATGATCTGGGCCTGTATCAGATTCTTACAGAACACTGGGAGAGTGGCAGGTAGACAATTATACCTCTTTCCACATTCCTAGACAGTACATGGTATGCCCACTGACTGCAGACAGAAGCCTGAACCAGGATGCTGGACTCCAGGCCCACAAGGGCACCAGCTGTGGAGAGCTGGATGGCAACAGGAGAGTGATCCATAACCTTGAATGTCCACAGAAACATTCCTCCTGTCACATCAATAAGCAGGGTACTGAGGGTGCCAGAGTTCATGTCCTCTTCTGCCCTGTCTCTACCTCCCCCCTTCAAGTTGTTTGAAGAGGGAGACCTCACAATTTACTGGTCCATAATATAATTCAGCCTATTGCTTAATTTACTTTACTTCTGTACTATAAAGAGATTCTGGTCAGATGTGGTGGCTCACACCTATAATCCTAGCACTTTCAGAGGCTGAGGTGAGTAGATCACTTGAGGTCAGGAGTTCAAGACCAGCCTGGCCAACATGGTGAAACCCTGTCTCTACCAAAAATACAAAAATTAGCCGGGTGTGGTGGTGTGTGCCTGGAATCCCAACTACTCAGAAGGCTGAGGCATGAGAATCAGTTGAACCCAGGAGGTGGAGGTTGCAGTGAGCTGAGATCACGTCACTGCACTCCAGCCTGGGCAACAGAGCGAGGCTCTGTCTCAAAAAATTAAAAAAGAAAGATTCTAACTTAAATCCTACATACATCTATACGTATGTGTATGTATGATCACAAGGGTTGTACACACTATGTATGAAGGATCACATGTCCTATTCAAAGTTCAGTCGAGCAGGTATGTTCTCTAGAACCATACACTAGAAGCTCACACTGAAAGTTACAGACATGAATAGGAAAACTGGCAAACACATAACTGGCACTCAGAGACCTAACTACAAAGGGAAAACAACTGCCATCATTTCTGCTCACAGGCCTGTCCTTGGTATCCAGAAAACAGCAGCCTCCCGTCACGTGCACAACTATCCTTTGTCCTTTACTTTTAAAAGTCATGTTTTGGTTTTCTTAAACTGTAAGTAATACTGCTTTCCTTCTTTCTTCTTTCCTTTACTTATAACATTATTGCAGGTTAAGGGTTCTTGTATTCTTATGTATTTCTATGTAGGTAAATGAATGTGTATATACATAAATATGTACTATGCACCTTTACACATATAATCCAGTCACCTAAATTTTTAATATGTATGTAACTATATATATACACGTATATATATATATACGTGTATATATATATATATATATATATATATATATATATATACACGTATATATATATAGTTTTAAGGCTATATTTGAGTAGGAAAGTAATGTTGGGCAAAGAACTAATAGGGTGTTTTAAAATTCACTATGAGCAACAGTGACTTACCCACTGCCAGAAGAGCCACCTACCCAACAGTGGCTGGTGACACCAGGGCACACACCTCTGTGGCTCAATTAGCTCATTATTGAGAAAGCCACTGCGAACTCCCAATGCAATACGACTGCAACGTGAAGCAGTCAGAACAGAGTCAGGCTGTGGGGAGGCTGCACCTGGACCCAACTCCTTCCCCAAACCACATCTCCACCTTTCACAGGAGGGAGCCAGCAGGGCTGCTGAGTGGTGACTCTGCCCTACCTAGGATTTCAAGCCAGTCCTTGGCTGGTGGGGAGATGAACGAAACTCACTTTCTGTTCTTAGTGCCATGGTTTGTTAGAAAAAACGCCCTCCTTGTGGAAGCATTTTCCTAAGTGACCTCAGGGATCACAAGCTGCCCAGTCACAATTCTCAGAAGGAACCAATGATTAATAATAATTGGCACAGGTCCCACTTCTAACAGAACAGAACTAGAAGCATGGGACAAGTCTCTGCTACGTTTGTATACGCCAGTGCTGCTGAGTGGATGGCTGAGGGGAAGTGGCCTCTGTGTGATGGCTGCGTACTTATGGGAGTGCTTTTAAAACCAACCTTTTTCTACAGCATCTTTATTTAATCATGTCTTTCTCATGGAAAGTGGCAGCATGGCCAGAACCCCGGACAGGGTGTCAAAAGCCTGGCTCTACTTTAGCCTTGCCAATTACAACATGGCAAGGGTGTGCACATCCACGGGGTGTGGAAACGAAGATCGAATGCACTAAATGCCTACGAAGAACAGTACACCTTCTGCTGCATTTAAATCTTGGTTTCTTCATTTTACAAATGAGAGGACACTGAGGCACACAGAAGTTTGGTTACTTGCCGTATGTCCTTAAGAACCTGCTCAAGACCCCATAGCTGGTGAAGGGTAGACCCAGCTCCCTCATCTGTGTGACTCTCAGACTCCAGTGCTATGTTGCCCACATGGCCTAGGACCAGAGAACAGGACCCAGGGTTCCTTTCTGTAATACTTCTGTCTTGTTGTTTAATTCTTCTGACAGGGAAGAGGGGAGCAGGTGAGGCCCCCAGACTATAATGGAAATGGCTCAGCAGCTGCTACAAACACCCACAGCCAATGGCAGCCACAACCAGGGCCCAGGAGGGAGGCCAGGGCTGCCGCTCGGCGTGAAGAATGCACATTAACCTACTGATAACTTAAAATTAACATTTTAAAATTCTGTTTTTGCTTAATGGAGGAAAAAAAGGCCACTTTTTGGATACTGATGCTATGAAATTTCTAATACAAAAAAAAATCTGGCATTGTTCATTAGTTGGACTGCTATGCTATGAGAATTAGTTTATGAATGAAACCTAGTATTGAAAGTTGTGGCCGGGTGTGGTGGCTCACACCTATAATCCCAGCACTTTGGGAGGCCCAGGCGGGAGGATGGCTTGAGCCCAGGAGTCTGAGACCAGCCTGGGCAACATAATGAGATGTCGTCTCCACACACACACATGTACACGCACATGTACACACACACATATAAATTAGCCAGGGTGGTGCATGCCTGTGGTCCCAGCTACCCAGGAGGCTGAGGTGGGAGGCTCACTTGGGCCTATGGGGCAGAGGTTGCAGTGAGCAGGGACTGAGCCATTGCATTCCAGCCTGGGCAACAGAGTGAGTCTTAACACCAAAAAAAAAATAAGTTGTGAGGTGATTTTTTTTTTTTTTTGAGACAGAGTTTCGCTCTTGTTGCCCAGGTTGGAGTGCAATGGCACGATCTCAGCTCACATCAACCTCTGCCTCCCAGTTTCAAGCGATTCTATTGCCTCAGCCTTGCAAGTAGCTAGGATTACAGGCACACACCTGGCTAATTTTTGTATTTTTAGTAGAGATGAGGGTTCACCATGTTGGCCAGGCTGGTCTGGAACTCCTGACCTCAGGTGATCCACCCGCCTCGGCTTCCCAAAGTGGTGGGATGACAGGCGTGAGCCACTGCACCCGGCCTAAGTTGTGAGGTTTGAGTAAAAGCCATTTATAAATGAAACTTAGTTTTTTCCATTAGAAAAACAAGTAAAACGAATGCAACTAAACTACAGCTATGGATAAACCAATAACCACGATCAGATGGCATTGATAAAGCAGAATTTTAAGATTCCATCCACAGGTGACTTGACCTTGGGATATTCTAACAGGAAACAACACCCAGTACCCAGGTCCACAAGTGTGCAGCCACAGAGGAGAGCTGTGGAACTTAGCTGTGATTGGGCCATTTTGTGAAATTAAAGAAATAAGCACTCCCGGAGGGCATGTCTGAATACAAACAATAGAGGCTGCGGATCTCCCAGCTGAGGTGTACCCTCTCCCTCATATGAAGTTCTTTACTGAACGCTTGCCACAGCCAACGCGCCAGGAGGGATCCAGGAAGGTGCCAGGCGGCCCCACCCTTCAGCCAGCAGCCATCTGGGAGGCAGGCCAAGGGAGGGCCAAAACTGCTAACACCAGAAATTAATAAGGTTTATAGAGAACCACATAACCTATTCTCTTCAAATCACTAGCCTATAAAGGCAGTATTGAGAACTACAAGTTTCACAAAACTGGAACTGAGGCAGCACCTATTAGTACCTCATCTGGCTGCTCATCCCAGAGCCATTAAAGAGACGAAGACAAACTACTGCATCACGAAAAGATCCTGACTAAAATACCTTCCTGATCTTTTCTGTGAAACTTCAACTATAATGGGAAAGAGAAGGCTGGACTGCACAGCTGTCTTCCGGGCAGTGACAACTAACTGGTCACGTCTGTACCTGTAGATTTACAAGCTGCGAGGTGGATTTTCCTTGGAGGCACAAGGCCTGCGCAATAAACGCATGCAAATCCTCCAGGCAAAGCGTGTCCACCTGAAAAGGACAGAGAAAGGCCAGTGTTAGGCTACAGGAAAAATTAAACATTTCTTACAAATTGATCTCAGTTATTAACTATGAGTGTGTGTATAGGCGCAAACATGCACACACAGGCACGTACAGGCACACGCACAGGCACCCACATGTGCACACAAGCACACAGAGGTGCACACACATGGGTACACGCACAGGCATGCACACACACATGGGCACACATGTACACACACAGGTGTACACACAGGCACACGCACAGGTGCACAAACAGGCACATGCACAGGCACACACATGGTGCATCAGACCTCAGGCAGCAGACAGTATGCAGGTGGAAAGAGCACAGCCTCTTCACACCATCCTTGGCTCCTGGCTGTGAAGCTCTCTCTATGGTGTCCCCAGTTGTGCACACAACTCACAGCCCAGCTGGAAGGGGAGCCTGAATTTCTAGTCAGGTTAGACTCTAACAAGGCAAAACTCCGCAGAACATCTGGGAATAATCATGAGGTGCCAACCAAGACCAGGTCTTAGAGCCAGACAGTTGATCACGTTTGGGACAAATTGCACAGAGCAAACAGTTCAGGGGTTTTCAGAGAGCGAATATCCACAGCTGGGCTGAGCTGGGGTCATCATCCACTTTTGGCAACCTAGAGGAAACCTGTGTCCTCGAATCCTAGTTGAGAGTAAATCAGAACCCACAATATGAGACCCTACTAATCCTCTGTGGAATCAAGATGCAGCAAAAGTGAGAAAAGGAAGGAGGGACAGAGGAACAAGAGACAGCAAAGGACAGACTGAACACTGCTTGGTGTGGAGTAGATGATGGAGATAAGGAGAGGGCGTGAAGAGCGGGGAAGACACGGACGGTCCAGACCCCATCAAGAGCAGACGGTGCCACCCCTTCCCCTGCCCCACACTGTGAGGAGGTAGAGACATTCCTCTCCCAGCCACCGCGTTCAGCTACCCAGATAAAGGCAGGACGTGCCCGCTGACTGAACGACTCCACAGCATCCTAAGGCCGCAAGAGCTGCTTCTCTCAGAAGAGCACCTTCTGCGGCAAGTAAAGGCTCGCGGAAAAAGAAACAGAAAGCCAACAGCAGACCCATGAATAACAACTTCACTGATTCTTCTTGGATATTAAAAATGGCTAACATGCCTATTTGCAATAAAAACAACCCCACCATAAATCAGAAAGACTCCTGTGCTCCCCTGGAGGATGGCGGCATTTGCTTCCACCAGGGTGGGGGTGCTGACTGCTGCTTGGACCTGCCAATGCTCTTACTCACCATGTCACTATCCTAGTCCACTTTTATTCCAAGTAGGTATTACTTTGGAATAAAAGGAATATAAAATATATGCATTTCTATGATGTAAACTTACCTTTCCAGAGGATATTCTCAGATGAGTCTCTAATAAAATCATTTGTGGCTGTTGTTAACTGGGAGGTCAGACCAAATGAGAGTACAGTTGACCCCTGACAATACAGGTTTGAATTGCATGGGTTCACTTATATGTGGATTTTTTTTCAACCAAATGCAGATGGAAAAATACAATGTTCATGGGATGTAAAACCCGAATATAAAGGGCCAGCTTTTCAAATCTGTGGGCTCCACAGGCTGACCGCAGGACTTGAGGATGCATGGATTTTGGCATCCTTGGGGGTCCTGGGACCAATCCCTCACATATACCAAGACACAACTGTATTTAGTTTCTCTGTCATTTTCATGCACTGAACAGTATGTTATTTTATCCCATATTACACATCAAAACATCGAATTTAGGCTTAATATATAAAACTGTAATATTTTTATAAATGTATCTTTTTAGCCTGATTAATTCTGAGAGTTATTATCCCTGGGAATAATACAGCACCTTCTTCATCTAGCGAATACAAAATTGATTTATCAATCTGTTGTTTTCTAGTTTTTAAAAGTTCCAATTTAAACCTCTCCTTTAAAGACAAGTTACCAAGTCTGCTCATGCCAACTTGCACTACAGAGATTTTACTTAAAAGGTCTTTATTAATAGAAAAAAGGTAAAGTGGAAATTTTCTTCCTGACGCTTGTCTTGCTTCAGGCTTATATAAACAGGGATGTGATGTTACTGTTCTGGGGTCCTGGGCTTTTTCTGCTTGAAGTGAATTTAAAGAACTGACAGTCACCTGCACAGGGATGGGAAGGTAGAACTGCGCTGCGTGACCACACACAGGATCAGCAAGCATCGTTCATATGGAACAGCAGGCGGTGTGTCCCTCCTGGGGGGCTGACAATGGCCTTCCCATTGTTGTGCACACACATAGTATCAAGAACAAAACACATGTATTTTTATGGGTGGGAAAAGTCAGCTTACTGGCTATGCACCACTTCTCAAGTCCCACTATGACTCAACGTTAACTACAGACACCTGTAGATTATTAGAAAATAGAAAATATTAACCAATAGTGCATACATGCATATTTAACATATAATATCAAAAGAAATATCTTTTTACATTTTTTTCCTCCAAAGTTTAAGTTTGGGGGTACATATGCAGGATGTGCAGGCTTGTTACATAGGTAAACACGTGCCATGATGGGTTACTGCACAGATCATCTCATCACCTAGGTATCAAGCCCAGCATCCATTAGCGATTCTTCCTGATGCTCTCCTTCCCCCTCCCCGACCCCCTCACAGTCCCCAGTGTGTGTTGTTCCCTGCTATGTGACCCTGTGTTCTCATCATTCAGCTCCCCCTTATAAGTGAGAACATGCAATATTTGGTTTTCTGTTCCTGTGTTTGTTTGCTGAGGATAATGACCTCCAACTCCATCCATGTCCCTGCAAAGGACATGATGTAGTTCCTTTTTATGGCTGCATAGTATTCCATGGTGTATATGTACCACATTTTCTTTACTCAGTCTATCACTGATATGCATTTAGGTTGATTCAATGTCTTTGCTATTGTGAATAGTGCTGCAGTGAACATACTCATGCATGTATCTTTACAATAGAATGATTTCTATTCCTTTGGGTAGATTCAATAATGGGATTGCTGGGTCAAATAGTATTTCTCCTCTAGGTCTCTGAGGAATCACAACACTGTCTTCCACAATTGTTGAACTAATTTACACTCCAACCAACAGTGTAAAAGTGTTCCTGTTTCTCTGCAACCTCGCCACCATTTGTTGACTTTTTAATAATAGCCATTCTGATTGGCATGAGATAGTATCTCATGGTGGTTTTGATTTGCATTTCTCTAGTGATCAATGATGTTGAACTTTTCTTCATATGTTTGTTGGCTGCATATATGTCCTTTTTGTTTTTTTGAGATAGAGTCTCACTCTATTGCCCAGGCTGGAGTGCAGTGGCACGATCTCGGCTCACTGCAAGCTCCACCTCCCGGGTTCACACCATTCTCCTGCCTCAGCCTCCCAAGTAGCTGGGATTACAGGTGCCTGCCATCACTCCTGGCTAATTTTTTTTTTTCTTTTTTTTTGTAGAGACGGGGTTTCACCGTGTTAGCCAGGATGGTCTTGATCTCCTGACATCGTGATCTGCCTGCCTCAGCCTCCCAAAGTGCTGGGATTACAGGCATCAGCCACCGCGCCCGGCTATATGTCCTCTTTTGAGAAGTGTCTGTTCATGTCTTTTGCCCACTTTTTAATGGGATTGTTTTTTTGCTTTTTTTCTTGTAAATCTGTTTAAGTTCTTTGTAGACTCTGGATATTAGACCTCTGTCAGATGAATACATAGTAAAAATTTTCTCCCATTCTGTAGGTTGTTTACTCTGATGATAGTTTATTTTGTTGTGCAGAAGCTCTTTAATTAGATCCCATTTGTCAATTTTTGCTTTTGTTGCAATTGCTTTTGGTGTTTTCATCATGAAGTCTTTACCCATGCCTATGTTCTGAATGGTATTGCCTAGATTTTCTTCTAGGGTTTTTATATTTTTGGGTTTACATTTAAGTCTTTAATCCATCTTGAGTTAATTTTTGTATATAGTGTAATGAAGGGATCCAGTTTCAATTTTCTGTATATGGCTCAGCCAGTTATCCCAGCACCATTAATTAAAGAGGGAGTCTTTCCCTATTGCTTATTTTTGTCAAGTTTGTCAAAGATCAGATGGTTGTAGATGTGTGGTCTTATTTCTGAGTTCTCTATTCTGTTCCATTGTTCTATGTTTCTGTTCTTGTATGGGTACCATGCTGTTTTGGTTATGGTAGCCTTGTAGAATAGTTTGAAGTTGGGTAGCATGATGCCTCCAGCTTTGCCCTTTTTGCTTAGGATTGTCTTGGCTATTCAGGCTCTTTTTTGGTTCTGTATGCATTTTAAAATAGTTTTTTCTAATTCTGTGAGGAATGTCAATGGTAGTTTAATGGGAATAGCATTGAATCTATAAATTACTTTGGGCCATATGGCCATTTTCACAATGTCGATTCTTCCTATCCATGAGCATGGAATGGTTCTCCATTTGTTTGTGTCCTCTCTGATTTCTTTGAGCAGTAGTTTTTAGTTCTCCTTGAAGAGGTCCTTCACTTCCCTTGTTAGCTGTATTACTAGGTATTTTATTCTTTTTGTAGCAATTGTGAATGGGAGTTTATTTGTGATTTGCTTTCCTGTTGTTGGTGTATAGGAATACTGGCGATTTTATATCCCGAGACTTTGCTGAAGTTAGTTCCCACGGATAAAGTCAACTAGATCATGGTGGATAAGCTTTTTGATCTGCTGCTGGATTTGGTTTGCCAGTATTTTAGTGAGGATTTTTGCATCAATGTTCATCAAGGATATTGGCCTGAAGTTTTCTTTCTTTGTTCTATGTCTACCAGGTTTTGGTATCAGGATGATGCTGGACTCATAGAACAAGTTAGAAAGGAGTCCTTCCTTTTCAATATTTTGGAACAGTTTCAGTAGAAATGGTGCCAGCTCTTCTTTGTACCTCTGGTAGAATTCAGCTGTGAATCCATCTGGTTCTGGATTTTTTTTTGTTTGTTTGGTAAGCTATTTATTATTGCCTTAATTTCAGAACTCATTATTGGTCTACTCAGGGATTCAATTGGTCTATTCAGGGATTCAATTTCTTCCTGGTTCAGTCTCAAGAAGGCATATGTGTGCAGGAATTTATCAATGTCATCTAGATTTTCTAGTTTATGTGCACAGAGGTGTTTACAGTATTCTCTGATGGTTGCTTATATTTCTGTGAGGTGAGTGGTGATAACCCCCTTATCATTTCTGATTGTATTTATTTGATTCTTCTCTCTTCTTTATTAGTGTAGCTAGTGGTCTATTAATTTAAAAAAAAACAGCTCCTGGATTCATTGATTTTTTTTTAAAAGGTTTTTTGTGTCTCTATCTCCTTCAGTTCAGCTCTGATCTTGGTTATTTCTTGTGCTCTGCTAGCTTTGGGGTTTTCTTTTGCTCTTGGTTCTCTAGTTCTTTTAGTAGAGATGTCAGGTTGTTAACTTGAGATCTTTCCAGCATTTAGTGCTATAAATTTCCCTCTTAACATTGCTTTAGCTGCAGCCCAGAGATTCTGGTAAGTAGTCTCTTTGTTCTCATTAATTTCATTATTTAACCAAGAGTCATTCAGGGGCAGGTTGTTCAATTTCCATGTAGTTGTGTGGTTTTGAGTGAATTTCTTAATCTTGAGTTCAAATATGACTGCTCTGTGGTCTAAGAGACTGTTTGTTATGATTTCAGCTCTTCTGCATTTGCTGAGATGTGTTTTACTTCCGATTATGTGATCCATTTTAGAGTAAGTGCCGAGCAGCAATGAGAAGAATGTATATTATGTTGAATTTGGGTGGAGAATTCTGTGGCTATCTATCAGGTCCAAGTGATCCAGAGCTGAGTTCAGGTCATGAATGTCTTTATTAATTTTCTGTCTTGATGATCTAATATTTGTCAGTTGGGTGTTAAAGTCTCCCACTATTATTGTGTGGGAGTCTCTTTGTGGGTCTCTAAGAACTTGCTTTGCGAGTCTGGGTGCTCCTGTACTGGGTGCATACATACATAGGATAGTTAGCTCTTCTTGTTAAATTGAATCCTCTACCATTATGTAATACTCTTGTCTTTTTTAAATCTTTGTTGGTTTAAAGTCTGTTTTGTCAGAAACTAGGATTGCAACCTCTGCTTTTTTCTGTTTTCCATTTGCTTGGTAAATTTTCTTCCAACCCTTTATTTTGAGCCCATGTGTGTCTCTGCACATGAGATGGGTCTCTTGAAGACAGCATATGGATGGGTCATGGCTCTTTATCCAGCTTGCCATTTTGTGCCTTTTAACTGGGGCATTTAGCCCATTTACGTTTAGGGTTACTATTGTTCTGTGTGAATTTGATCCTGTCATCATGATGCTAGTTGGTTATTTTGCAGGCTTGTTTATGTGGTTGCTTCACAGTATCACTGGTCTGTGTACTTCAGTGTGTTTTTGTAGTGGCTGGTAATAGTTTTGGCTTTCCATATTTAATGCTTCCTTCAAGAGCTCTTGCAAGGCAAGCCTGTTGGTGACAAATTCCCTAAGCATTTGCTTGTCTGAAAAGGATCTTATTTCTCCTTTGCTTATGAAGTTAGTTTGGTTGGATATAAAATTCTGGGTTGGAAATTCTTAAGAATGTTGAGTATTGGCACTCAATCTCTTCTGGCTTGTAGGGTTTCTGCTGAGAGGTCTGCTGTTAGTCTGATGGGTTTCCCTTTGTAGGTGACCTGGCCTTTCTCTCTGGCTGCCCTTAACATTTTTTCTTTCATTTCAACCTGGAGAATCTGATGATTATGTGTCTTGGGGTTGATCTTCTCATACACTATCTTACTGGGGTTCTTTGTATTTCCTGAATTGGAATGTTGGCCTATCTTGCTAGGTTGAGGAAGTTCTCCTGAATGATATCCTAAAGTATGTTTTCCAACTTGGTTCCGTTCTCCCCATCTCTTTCAGGTACCCCAATCAGTCATAAGTTTGGTCTCTTCACATAATCTCATACTTCTTGGAGGTTTTGTTCATTCCTTTTAATTCTTTTGTCTCTATTCTTGTCTGCCTATCTTAATTCAGAAAGATAGTCTTCGAGCTCTGAGATTCCTCCGTTTGGTCTATTCTGCTATTGACACTTGTAATTGCACTGTGAAGTTCTGTGAATTTCTTATGCTGTGTTTTTCAGCTCCATCAAGTTGGTTATGTTGCTCTTTAAACTGACTATTATGGCTATCAGCTGCTGTAGTTTTAACATATTTCTTAGCTTCTTTGCATTGAATTACAACATGCTCCTTTAGCTCCGCGAAGTTCATTATTACCCACCTTCTGAAGCCTACTTCTGTCGATTTAGGCATTTTAGCCTCAGCCCAGTTCTGTGTCCTTGCTGGAGAGGTGTTGCAGTCGTGGAGGAGAAAAGGCGCTCTGGCTTTTTCAGTTTTCAGCATGTTTGCATTGATTCTTTCTCATGTTTGTAGGCTTATCTATCTTTGATCTTTGAGATCTCTAACCCTATCCATAACCTTTGAATGAGGTTTTGGTGGGGTCTTTTTTGTTGATGTTGTTGTTTTCTGTTTTTCTTTTAACAGGCCATTCTACTGTAGGGCTGTTGCCATTTGCTGGCGGTCTACTCCAGATGCCAGTTGCCTCAGTTTCTCCCATACCTAGAGGTACTACCAGTGAATACTGTGAAACAGCAAAGATGGCAGCCAGCTCCTTCCTCTGGAAGCTCTGTCCTAGTGGTTACTGACCTGTTGCTGGCCCACACCCACCTGTAGGAGGTGGCTGGAGACCCCTACTGGGAGGACTCACCCAGTCAGGAGGAACAGGATCAGGGATCTGGCTGCTTTTTGGTAGAGCCAATGTGCTGCACTGGAGATGGGGGACCCTCCCTCATCCGGACTGCCTGTGTTCTCCAAAGCTGGCAGGCTGAAGCAGGTAAGTTGACTGAACTGTGGCCGTCCCTCTTCCTGGGAACTTGGACCCTTCTAAGGAGGACTCTAATTCACTGCCATTGGCCGGCTGGGATTCCAAGCCAGAGGGTCTTAAATTGTGAGGTGCCATGGAAGTGCAGCCTGCAGAATGATGCCGTTTGGCTCCTTGGATTCAGCCCCTTTCCTAGGGATATGTACAGACAGATTTCTTGTCTTGCCAGGGATCCCAGAGCCGGAGTATGTAAAACTCTTGGGTCTCTGTGTATGCCTGAGCAGCTGCTCTGCTGAGACTCCAAACAGCTCTGTGTATCAGACTCAAGGCTGTGGTGGTATGGGCTCATGAAGGGATCTGATACATGGGTTGCAAAGATCCATGGGAGAAGCATGGTTTCCCAGGCAGGGTCACACAATCACTCACGGCTTCCCCTGGCTGGGGGTGGGGGTTCCTTTGGCTCCATACTGTTCCCAGGTGGGGCACTGCCCTCCACCCCTAGTTTACTTTGTTCTCTGTGGGTTGTGTTGTTTGCCTACTCAGTCCCAATGTGAAAATCTGAGTATTTCAGTTGAAGGTGCTGAATTCACTTGCCCCTTTTCATTCCTCTCTGTGAGTGCCACGGACCGCAGCTGCTTCTAATCAGCCTCTTGGATTCATCTCCTCTCTTTTTACATCTACATTTTAAATAGTTCCTGCCATCCTACATTAATTTATAATCTGCTACGTCTTGAGCAAATAAAGAAGTAATCTACTCAAAATGGTAATGCAAAAACCAAGGTTTACATTGGTGCATGTGAAACCAATAATGAAGCAATAAATCCTCTAAGCACTACTTAACCATATCACATCTTACAAAATGCAAAAGGTAGAGCAAGCTATAGAATGGGCAGACCCAAGAGGACATTTAGAAAGAAAAAATCAGTCCAAGATTCCCTTGAGATGTATTTCTACAATAAGAGTACATTTCTTAAAGACAATCAATAATTTGTAAAGTAAATTCAGGTTTGAAAAAATAATTATATAATTGTCTATTCCAGGTAAGTGAACACTGAAAGGCTATGCCAATGGAGACCCACCATATAGGGAGGTCAGAGAAGCTGAGACGATGGCTTGAAGGAGTGAAGAAAGCTTATGAGACATCTCAACAGCCTGAAGAAGTAGACACTTTGTCAACAGTGGGACAAAAATCATCTTAAATCACAGAGCCAGGGAGGGAGGTGGGGAGGAGCAAAGCAGAGAAAGAGGGGCTGGGAGATGGGAGCATTCTCAGCCTTTCTTTTACTAAAGGTGTCCAAGCACTATTGTGCATGTAGAAAACTATTAAAAAGGTGAATCTTTTAACTGATTTTTATGATTTTCACATATAAACTACATATAAAGCTAATGCAAAAGAAACAGTCCACCTTGTCGAGTGAGCCTAAATGAAGGATCTACCACTACAATCTCTAGCTCAGCAGGATGGGAGGACCTAAATAATGAAGGTTATGACACCTGAAATCGCCCCAACAGCCCTAGGAGGCAGCTACTAAGATTATTTCATTTTCAGATTAGAAAATGAAGGCATATAATCAATAAACATTTGCTGGATGATGGAATGAAACTGACATAGGAAAAAGCTGAAGTAGTCTGTCCAGAGGCAAAGAGCTACGAGAAGCTAGGTCTCTAGCCAGGTCCTTTCTCACCTTTACACTAAAACCCAGAAACAAGAACCACCACCTAAACAATGCCACGAGGACAGAGGAGGTACACTATGGTCCACAAAGTTTGAGAAAGTTTAGTCAAGGCCAGAGCAGCTTCCACCACCTGCAAGATTTCCTAAGTCTCTAATACAATCTCTAAAGCTGAGGTAGTGACAGAGTTTCTTGTACGTATTTTGCCATACAATCTTCTTTTTATTTTTAGAGCACTTCAAAGGACTAATAATGTTCCATGGAACAGACATTGGAAAAAGACAATCCGGGACACCAGCCATGGCAATATCCCACATGCTCCCTCTCATAAAGTAAGCGCAGGCTGCAGTGACTAGAACGGGCAGCTGGACATTACCTGGACAAAGAGGTAGATCAAGAGGCAGCACAAAGCTTGAAATGGGCTTTCGACAGCCTGCAGCTCTTCTCTTGAGGAGGAAAGATTGAAACAGGCTAGGAGTGTGTCCAAGCGCCGAACCTGTATTTCTGGCTCTTGGTTCAGCCATAATATTTTCAAACTAGGCGTTCCCCCTAGTTAAGAAAAAAAGTCCATTAACTATTGTTCTTTGCAGCACAGAGTTATAATATGCTCCTTGTAGAAATACAGTAAAAGGAAACAAATCTCTTCCCTTCCTGATGTAAAAGGAACTAGAAAGTAAACATGATCAGATTAGTGATTTTCTTTAAAAAGCCCAAACCTAAAGGGCTGGCATACGTACGTTTCAATGAAAACATTCCTTCTTTTTTTAATGGCTAAATTTTGAGGGATACTGCACTTTCGACCATTAAGAATGCTTTCAGAACATCTTTCAAATGCGCTGTCTCAAGGATATAACAAGGCACTGCCGCCCTGCAGTATCACAGCTGATGGAGCACTTGGATAAAACACCATCCATCTACCCCTTAGTTTGCTCTCTTACTCTCTTAAATTAATGGTTTTCAACCTTTCATGTGCAAAAGAATCAACTGCAGAGATTGTAAAAAAAAATGCATTTTCCTGGGATCTATATGCAGAAACTCTGATTTGATTAGACAGGTATGGGTGCCTGGAAGTCTGCATTTTAACAACTCAGAAGACTTGGATGCAGGCAATCTGTGGACCCCAGGCTTTGGAAAGCACTTTCCTAAAACTATTAAATACACAGAAATTCCTAAAATGTAATTTTTAGTGTTTCACTTCTATATTTTATATAGATGTTTAAACTATTAAAATCAAAAGAAAAACACCCTTACTCATTGACTGAAACCACGACAAATGATGACGACTCACACTGAGTTGCAGATGCAGGTGCAGCTCTGCTTCCACACTCTGACAAACAGAAAGGTGCTGTTTCTAAGGTCAGACTTGTTAATCTGTGACTGCTGAGATGTCCTCCCTTGCTATCCACAGCTGTGATTTTCTGTGAGGACCACTTGGCTATAAAATACATGCCAAAAGCTCAAGGCTGGCTGGGATCTAAATGTCCCTTTTGTTTACTAAGGAAACAGAACCTACTAACCAAACGGCCTCAGAGTCCAAATGACCCAAAAAAGGAAATTCTTCTCTTTCTTTTCTTATGTTTCCCACGATAGCACTGACTACTCTCAGTGGTATATTTCCCGCCATCAGAAGTGAAACAACTCAACAAAACTCACTTACATTTCCAAAATGGCTGAAGTATTCCCTCCACCTGAAAAGCTTTTTCATTATTTATTTTGGAGAGAGAAAAAACATATTTTTCTCTTAAGAAAATGCTAAGGATAATTAGCAAAAACAAAACAACCCTATGGCAGTAGTACTTAAGATAGAGATGAGTCCAAGACAACCACAAGTGTCAGTAATTACTTCTTAGAAACATACTTTCAGGAAAATAACCAACTCAGGCAACGTGTGCAGTCTCGGGACAAACCCAGCTCCTGCCTGTTTTTATGCACCCCATGAACTAAGAAGGGCTTTCATATTTTTAAGTGGTTGAAAAAAAAAAACCAAAGTAAAAATGATATTTCATGATGCAGGAAAACCACACAAAATTCCAATTACAGCAACTGAGGCTGGGCTTTACTGGACCATGTATACACACGTGGGTATCGTCCACGGTTCCTTCCAGGCTTTAATGACCAACCTAAGTAACAGAGACCATGTGGCCTGCAAAGCCTGAAATATTTTCTACATTACCCTTCACAGAATAAGTTTACTAGTCTCGGATCTAAGGTAAGTAATGAATCTTCTATTATCACAGTTATTTCAAATATACTAACGATTTTGAAAATCATTTTTTGACTACAATTCAGACAGGAAAGTATAAAGAAGAAAATAAAAACAATGTACAATTCTACCACCCAGATATAACCATATTCTGAAATACAAGTTTCCAGTCCTTTTTTAATGTGAATAAGACATTTATGAACATGGCTGAAAGGTCATGTCCCCATCAGCGTGCAGGGAGATGGACAGTGGAAAGATTTTACCTGTGTTTCATTGCTTACACATGAAAATTTAATACAAAAAAAAAAAGATTCATTACATATATTTAGTAGAACCCAGTACAGCCATGCGCCACATAACAACATTTTGGTCATCGATAGATCTCACATATAATGGTGGTCCCGTAAGATCACAATACCATATTTTTACTCTACCTTTTCTATGTTTAGGAATGTTTACATACACAAATGCTTGCCACTGTTACAGCTGCCTACAGTATTCGGCAGCCACACGCTTCACAGGTTTGCAGCCTGGGAGACACAGGCCACACAATTTAGGTTTGTGCAAGTACATTCTATGATGTTCTCATGAGAGAATCACCTAGCTGCGCATTTCTCAGAACTGATCACTGTGGTTAAGCAATGCAGGGCTGTCTAGTGGAAATGATCAATGAGAGACTTCCTGAATACATAACTAGGAACTTGTGATCTCTTACTCACTCCCTACAGGTTCAGACTCCATGAGATGGGCTTAGACATCCAAGGAAGAGATTTCCAGGTATCTGTCTAATAAACAAGACAGGAAGGAAGAAACACAAGATCCATCAATTGTTTACCAACATTTTTCCTACCATACTGTCACAAAAGTTTCTATGAAGGCTGAGAACTGAAGCTCCATTCATATGCACTGATACATACAATTCTAGGTGCTCTGCACCTGAGTGGCCCCACATGAAAGATGAACAGCTGCTAGCTACCTTGGAAGAGCTTGCAGGAGAAGGCTGTGCAAATATTACAAGAGTGCGAAGGTTTTATGACAGGAGTTCTTTCCCTTTTTTTGGAGACAGTGTCTTGCTATGTTGCCCAGGCTGGTCTTGAACACCTGGCCTCAAGTGGTCCTCCCACCTAGGCCTCCCAAAGAGCTGGGATTATAGGCATGAGTCACCGTGCCCAGCCTGTTAGAGTTCTGAAGGTCAAAGAGAGTAACAAACAAATTGGGGCAGGGCATTAATAAATTTTCATGGAAGAGACTGGTGGGAACATTGGGCTGGACTTTGCTGGATAAAGGACACTTATAAACAAAACTTATTCTGGGATTGAAAGGAGGCAACAATGGACAGTGATAAAAGCCTTCCAGCCTTCCTGACCTCTACCCAAGCATCCAACCAATCACATGCCAGGCACCACAGGAGGTGCTGACACAGGGAAATGACTCACTGTCTGCCCCCGGGGAACATTTACAATCAGTGGAGCACACTGAAACTAACCAAATACACTCGTGTCCAACTACAAAGCGTAGGGCAGAGGACTGCTGCTGCAGGGCAGAGACATTGTGAGGAAGAGACTTGAGCTGAGATTTGAAGAGGGGGTAGAAATGAACAAAGACGAGAGAAGAAAAGGGGAAGTTCAGGGAAGGGAAATGTCCCAAGTGCAATAGGAGCACACTGGAGGGAAGCCCTAAGGAAGACCAGCATCAAGTCTGCTATGCAGGAGGACTCTGGCAGCAGTGGGAAGCTGACTGGGGGAATGTAAAGGGAAAAACAAGAGGCAGGCAAAGAGGTGAGGGAATGGATCCACGCAACGATTAGGGGAAGCATGCTGAGGTGACTGGGACTCCAGATCTACGGACTTGCCCAGGTGGTGGCGGGGACATCCACTGCAATAGACAGTGGGATTCCAAGGTGGGGCTGCTCAGGAACCAGAGAGAGGCTAGCACCGCAGGCAACGGTGCAGGTGAATGGACTGAACGATTTCATCCGTTCTTCCAAGGTGGGGCTGCTCAGGAACCAGTGAGAGGCTAGCACCGCAGGCAACGGTGCAGGTGAATGGACTGAACGATTTCATCCGTTCTTCCAAGGTGGGGCTGCTCAGGAACCAGAGAGAGGCTAGCACCGCAGGCAACGGTGCAGGTGAATGGACTGAACGATTTCATCCGTTCTTCCAAGGTGGGTCTACTCAGGAACCAGTGAGAGGCTAGCACCGCAGGCAACGGTGCAGGTGAATGGACTGAACGATTTCATCCGTTCTTCCAAGGTGGGGCTGCTCAGGAACCAGAGAGAGGCTAGCACCGCAGGCAACGGTGCAGGTGAATGGACTGAACGATTTCATCCGTTCTTCCAAGGTGGGGCTGCTCAGGAACGAGTGAGAGGCTAGCACCGCAGGCAACGGTGCAGGTGAATGGACTGAACGATTTCATCCGTTCTTCCAAGGTGGGGCTGCTCAGGAACCAGTGAGAGGCTAGCACCGCAGGCAACGGTGCAGGTGAATGGACTGAACGATTTCATCCGTTCTTCCAAGGTGGGGCTGCTCAGGAACCAGAGAGAGGCTAGCACCGCAGGCAACAGTGCCAGCAAATGGACTGAACGATTTCATCGGTTCTCAGTCTTCAGAGGCCGTGACACGTAAGTGACATACTAGTGAACAAAGCTGGTAAACAACTTATGGAATCAACAGGTTTTATTTTTCTCTCTCCCACATCTTTTATTAGACCAACAGCCTTAGTATCATCTGGGAACTCAGAAATGCAAATTCTTCAGTCCCACCCTAGACTTACTCAATTAGAAATTCTAGGGGTAGGGCCCAGCAATTTGTGTTTTAACACACCAGCCAGGTGATTCAGCTGCTGAGTTTCAACAAAAAGGCTACAAAATCATTTACACACAGAAAACAAGTAACTCACCAACAATAAAGGAATTGGCTCTTGAGGAGTTCTAATGATATAATAGATTATAGAAAATCACCAGAGTAGGAAAAATGTCCTGATAAATCTTTTTAATATAAAAAATTTTCATCCTAAATTCAATCAATATTTTGCCAAGAAATATTTATTGAATGCCTATGTGAATACTAATTTAGGAGATAAGATACCTCCATAGCTCTCTCCAGAACTTGCAGGTATTTAATGGAAGATAATATACTCCAAGGTTTTTGTCTTTTAATGCTACTACCACAACGGAACATCCTCAGAATATGTGGAAGTCCTCTGACCACTCTACAAAAAGGCTTTAATTACAAAGTTACTTCTTTTCATAAATGCGGTAAAATGTTAGCTCCTCCTAGCCATACACAGGTTTATTTCTTAGCTGACAGGTTTCCAGGAATCATCTTATCCAGGGGAGGGTGTGGATGTTTTTGGAGGATCATTTAGATCACTTCTCTTCTAGTGGTACACTCTCTAAAAAGAATGGCTAACTCAGGTGTGATAACTCAGGAGGGTTGCGATGCAAGAGAATTGTTAATAAGTAATTTCAGTTTAAAGGAAATGTACTTGCATCAGAATTGGAAGGCAGACCAACTCAGGGGAGGGCAACTCAAACTTTATCTGGTGTGTAAGAGGACTCCATCCACACCCATCCAGTCATCTAGGTCTTGAATAAAGATAAGACTTTGCCAATAAAGATCGAAGGTGGCCCTCATGTTTCACCCAGAGCCTCATGGGCAGCTGAGATGTTTCCAACAAGAACTTAGAGACAAAACAAGCAATCTGGTCCCCAGGTCACCCACCAGCATCACTTCTAAAACGCATCAGCTTCAAAAACCCCGGTACACAATTTGGTAAAAGGTTTTGTGTGAACAGATGGACAGGACAGCCTCAGGGTCTTTTCAGGAGGGACCGAGCCCCAGGGGGCCATGCAGAAGCGCAGGCAAAGGAGGCAGTTCTATGGTGGGAAGCTCTGAAGGCTGTCCTGAGAGGTGTCTGGAGGACTTGGCCCCTGGGGGAGAGTTGTGAACGCACCTCCTGAGTGCCCCATTGCTGTTTCCACAGCTACAAACACAGAAGAGTGAAAGGCATGCTGGACGCTAAGCCATGGCACTTACATGTGCTTTTTACATGGAAATAAGTTTTTTAATAGGTAGGTTTTTGAGTTATTTTAAGGTTATTTTCCTTACATATTCCTAGGGTTAATAAAAACGTAAAACTGCCTGGCTTGTGTCTATTCTCAGGATGTAAGAAGTGAAACTCCTAGAATTAACTTGCATATATCTTTTAGCTCAGATCATTTGTGAAAGCTTAAATTCACAAGTTCAATTTAAGTGAGTATTTATTTAGCATTATCTGTTGGTAGATCATTCCTGGCCAAAAGGAAAAAAAACAAAAAACAAAAAACAACCAAACCAAAAAAACTCAGAAAACTGGAGACACGGGCTTGGCCTCCCAGCCTACATCCTTCTCCCATGCTGGATGCTTCCTGCCCTCAAACACTGGACTCCAAGGTCTTCAGTTTTGGGACTTGGACTGGCTCTCCTTGCTCCTCAGCCTGCAGACGGCCTATTGTGGGACCTTGTGATCATGTCATGGCTATGATCGTAATCAATCCATGAACTGAAAATACTGGAGATCTGGCAAGATGGCCAAGTAAGAACAGCTCTGGTCTGCAGCTCCCAGCAATTCCAACGCAGAAGGCTGGTGATTTCTGCATTTCCAACTGAGGTACCTGGTTCATCTCAATGGGACTGGTTAGGCATTGGTTCAGCCCATGGAGGGTGACCAGAAGCAGGGTGGGGTGTTGCCTCACCCAGGAAGTGCAAGGAGCTGGGGACTGCTCTCCCCCAGCCAAGGGAAGCCATGAGGGATGGTGCTATCCAGCCCAGATACTATGCTTTTCCCACAGTTTTTGCAATCCGCAGATCAGAAGATTCCCTTGTGTGTCTACACCACCAGGGCCCTGGGTTTCAAGCACAAAACTGGGCAGCTGTTTGGGCAGACACCGAGCTAGCTGCAGGAGTTTTTTTTTGTACCCCAGTAGTGCCTGGAATCCCTGCGAGACAGAACTGTCACTCCCCTGGAAAGGGGGCTGAAGCCAGGGAGCCAAGTGGTCTCACTCAGCGGGTCCCATTCTCATGGAGCCCAGCAAGCTAAGGACCACTGGCTTGAAATTCTCACTGCCAGCACAGCAGTCTGAAGTCGACCTGGGACGATCGAGCTTGGTGGGGGGAGGGGCGTCTGCCATTACTGAGGATTGGTAGGCGGTTTTCCCAACAGTGCTGGGAGGCCAGGAAGTTTGGACTGGGCGGAACTCACCACAGTGCGGCAAAGTGGTTGTGGCCAGACTACCTCTCTAGATTCCTCCTCACTGGGTAGGGCATCTCTGAAAGGCAGCAGCCCCAGTCAGGGGCTTATAGATAAAACTCCCATCTCCCTGGGACAGAGCACCTGGGGGAAGGGGGCTGCTGTGGGTGCAGCTTCAGTGGACTTAAACGTTCCTGCCTGACGGCTCTGCAGAGAGCAGCAGCGGATCCTGGCAAGGAGGTTTCTCCCAGCACAGCACTCCAGCTCTGCTGAGGGACAGACTGCTTCCTCAATGGGTCCCTCATCCCCGTGCCTCCTGACTGGGAGAGACCTCCCAGCAGGGGTTGACAGACACCTCATACAGGAGAGCTCTGGCTGGCATCTGGTCAGTGCCCCTTTAGGAGGAAGCTTCCACAGGAAGGAGCAGGCAGCAATATTTGCTGTTCTGCAGCCTCCGCTGGTGATACCAGGCAAACAGGGTATAGAGTGGACCTCCAGCAAACTGCAGCAGACCTGCAGAAGAGAGGCCAGTTGGAAGAAAAACTAACAAACAAAGTAACAGCATCAACATTAACAAAAAGGACACCTACACAAAAACCCCATCCAAAGGTCATCAGCCTTATAGATCAAAGATAGATGAATCCACGAAGATGAGGAAAAACCAGCGCAAAAATGCTGAAAATTACAAAAACCAGAATGCCTCTTCTCTAAATGATCGCAACTCCTCTCCAGCAAGGGCACAAAACTGGACAGAGAGAATGAGTTTCATGAACTGACAGAACTAGGCTTCAGAAGATGGGTAATAACAAACTCCTCTGAGCTAAAGGAGCATGTTCTAACCCAATGCAAGGAAGCTAAGAACCTTGATAAACACTTACAGGAACTGCTAACTGGAATAACCAGTTCAGAGAAGAACATAAATAACCCGATGGAGCTGAAAAACACAGCACGAGAACTTCGTGAAGCACACACAAGTATCAATAGCCAAATCAATCAAGTGTTAGAAAGGATATCACAGATTGAAGATCAACATATTGAAATAAGGCATGACGACAAGATTAGAGAAAAAAGAATGAAAAGGAACGAACAAAGCCTCCAAGAAATATGGGACTATGTGAAAAGACCAAACCTACGATGGACTGGTGTACCGGAAAGAGATGGGGAGAATGGAACCAGGTTGGAAAACACACTTTAGGATATTATCCAGGAGAACTTCCCCAACCTAACAAGATAGACCAACATTCAAATTCAGTAAATACAGAGAATACCAATAAGATACTCCTTGAGAAGAGCAACCCTAAGACACCTAATTGTCAGATTCTCCAAGGTTGAAATGAAGGAAAAAATGTTAAGGGCAGCCAGAGAGAAAGGTCAGGTTACCTACAAAGGGAAGCCCATCAGACTAACAGCAGATCTCTCTGCAGAAACCCTACAAGCCGCAAAAGAGTGGGGGGCCAATGTCCAACATTCTTTTTTTTTTTTTTTTTTTGAGATGGAGTCTCGCTCTGTCATCCAGGCTGGAGTGCAGTGGCATGATCTCAGCTCACTGCAACCTCTGCCTCCCAGGCTCAAGTGATTCTCCTGCCTCAGCCTCCCAAGTAGCTGGGATTACAGGTGCGTGCCACAATGCCTGGCTACTTTTTTGTATTTTTAGTAGAGACAAGGTTTCACCATATTAGCCAGGATGGTCTCAATCTCCCAACTTCATGATCCGGCCTCCCAAAGTGCTGGGATTACAGGCATGAGCCACCCCGCCTGGCCCCGACATTCTTAAAGAAAAGAATTTTCAACTCAGAATTTCTTTCCCTCTTTTTTTTTTAAATTGAATCCAAATTTTATTAAGGATTTCAAGTTACATACTTCAAATTTCTAGAATGGAATGGAATCATTTTGGAACTGGAAAAATGGCAAAAACACTGACATCCCTTAAAACTTCAATTTTATAAAGAAAATTCTTCTGCAAATCAACTCAGAATTTCATATCCAGCCAAATAAGTTTCACAAGTAAAGGAGAAATAAAATCCTTTACAGACAAGCAAATGCTGAGGGATTTTGTTACCACCAGGCCTGCCTTACAAGAGCTCCTGAAGGAAGCACTAAATAAGGAAAGAAAAAACTGGTACCAGCCACTGCAAAAACACACCAAAAAATAAAGACCATTGACACTATGAAGAAACTGCATCAACTAATGTGCAAAATAACCAGCTAGCATCATGATGACACATAACAATATTAACCTTAAATGTAAATGGGCAAAATGCCCCAATTAAAAGACACAGACTGGCAATTTGGATAACGAGTCAAGACCTATTGGTGTGCTGTATTCAGGAGACCCATTTCATGTGCAAAGACACACATAGGCTTAAAATAAAGGGATGGCGGAATATTTACCAAATGGAAAGCAAAAAAAAAAAAAAAAAAAAGCAGGTTGCAATGCTAGTCTCTAATACTACACACTTTAATCCAACAAAGATCAAAAAAGACAAAGCGGTATTACATAATGGTAAAGGGATCAATGCAACAAGAAGAGGTAGCTATCCTAAATATATATGCACCCAATACAGGATCACCCAGATTCATAAAACAAGCTCTTACAGACCTACAAAGAGACTTAGACTCCCACACAGTAATAGTGGGAGACTTTAACACCCCATTGTCAATATTAGATCAACGAGACAAAAATTAACAAGGATATTCTGAACTCAACTCTGGACCAAGTAGACCTAAGAGACATCTACAGAACTCTCCAACCCAAATCAACAGAATATACATTCTTCTCAGCACCAGACAGCACTTATTCTAAAATCAACCACATAAATGGAAGTAAAACGCACCTCAGCAAATGCAAAAGAACAGAAATCATAACAAACAGTCTCTCAGACCACAGTGCAATCAAATTAGAGCTCAGGATTAAGAAACTCACTTAAAACTGCACAACTACATGGAAACCGAGCAGCCTGCTCCTGAATGACTACTGGGTAAATAACAAAATTAAGGCAGAAATGAAGAAGTTATTTGAAACCAATGAGAACAAAGAGACAACGTACCAGAATCTCTAGGACACAGCTAAAGCAGTGTTAAGATGGAAATTTCTAGCACTAAATGCCCACATCAGAAAGCAGGAAAGATATGAAATTGACACCCTAACATCACAATTAAAAGAACTAGAGAAGCAAGAGCAAACAAATTCAAAAGCTAGCAGAAGACAAGAAATAACTAAGATCAGAGCAGAACTGAAGGAGATAGAGACATGAAAAACCCTTCAAAAAAATCAATGAATCCAGGAGCTGGGTTTTTTTTTGAAAAGATTAACAAAATAGATAGACTGCTAGTCAGACTAATAAGAAAACAGAGAATAATCAAACAGACACAATAAAAATGATAAAGGGGATATCACCACTGATCGCACAGAAACACAAACTACCATCAGAGAATACTATAAACACCTCTACCCAAATAAACTAGAAAATCTAGAAGAAATGGATAAATTCCTGGACACATACACCTTCCAAGACTAAACCAGGAAGAAGCTGAATCCCTGAACGGACCAATAATAGGTTCTGAAATTGACACAATAATTAATAGCCTAGCAACCAAAAAAAAGCCCAGGACCAGACGGATTCACAGTCGAATTCTACCAGAGGTACAAAGAGGAGTTGGTACCATTCCTTCTGAAACTATTCCAAACAATAGAAAACAAGGGACTTTTCCCTAACTCATTTTATGAGGTCAGCATCATCCTGATACCAAAACTGGCAGAGACACAACAAAAAAAGAAAATTTCAGGCTAATATCTCTGATGAACATCGATGCGAAAATCCTCAATAAAATAATGGCAAACCAAATCCAGCAGCACATCAAAAAATTTATCCACCACGATCAGGTCGGCTTCATCCCTGGGATGCCAAGCCTGGTTCAATATATGCAAATTAATAAGCGTAATCAATCACATAAATGAACCAATGACAAAAATCACGTTTATCTCAATAGATGCAGAAAAGGCCTTCGATAAAATTCAACAGCCCTTCATGCTAAAAACTCCCAGTAACTAGGTATTGACGGAAGATATCTCAAAATAACAAGAGCTATTTATGACAAACCCAAAGCCAATATCATACAGAATGGGCAAAAGCTGGAAACATTCCCTTTGAAAACCGGCACAAGACAAGGATGCCCTCTCTCACCACTCCTATTCAACACAGTATTGGAAGTTCTGTCCAGGGCAATCAGGCAAGAAAAAGAAATAAAAAGTATTCAAATAGGAAGAGAGAAAATCAAATTGTCTCTGTTTGCAGATGACGTGATTGTATATTTAGAAAACCCCATTGTCTCAGCCCAAAAACTCCTTAAGGTGATAAGCAACTTCAGCAAAGTCTCAGCATACAAAAATCAATGTGCAAAAATCACAAGCATTCCTATACACCAATAATAGACAAGCAGACAGCCAAATCATGAGTGAACTCCCATTCACAATTGCTACACAGAGAATAAAATACCTAGGAATACAACTTACAAATGACGTGAAGGACCTCTTCAAGGAGAACTACAAACCACTGCTCAAGGAAATAAGAGAGGACACAAACAAATGGAAAAACATTCCATGCTCATGGATAGGAAGAATTAATATCATGAAAATGGCCATACTGCCCAAAGTAATTTATAGATTCAATGCTATTCCCACCAAGCTAACATTGACTTTCTTCATAGAATTAGAAAAAACTACTTTAAATTTCATATGGAACCAAAAAGCCCGTATAGCCAAGACAACCGTAAGCAAAAAGAACAAAGCTGGAGCCATCACGCTACCTGACTTCAAACTATACTACAAGGCTACAGTAACCAAAACAGCGTGGTACTGGTACCAAAACAGATATATAGACCAAAGGCCTCAGAAATAACACCACACATCTACAACCATCTGATCTTTGACAAACCTGACAAAAACAAGCAACAGGGAAAAGATTCCCTGTTTAATAAATGGTGCTGTGAAAACTGGCTAGCCATAAGCAGAAAACAGAAGCTGGACCCCTTCCTTATACCTTATACAAAAATTAACTCAAGATGGATTAAATACTTAAACGTAAAACCTAAAACCATAAAAACCCTAGAAGAAAACCTAGACAATACCATTCAGGACATAGGCATGGGCAAAGACTTCATGACTAAAACACCAAAAGCAATTGTGACAAAAGCCAAAATTGACAAATGGGATCTAATTAAACTGAAGAGCTTCTGCACTGCAAAAGAAACTATCATCAGAGTGAACAGGCAACCTACAGAATGGGGGAAAATTTTTGCAATCTATCCTTCTGACAAAGGGCTAATATCCAGAATCTACAAGGAACTTAAATTTCAAGAAAAAAACAACCCCATCAAAAAGTGGATGAAGGATATGAACAGACACTTCTCAAAAGAAGACATTTATGCAGCCAACAAACATATGAAGAAAAAAGCTCATCATCACTGGTCATTAGAGAAATGCAAATTAAAACCACAATGAGATACCATTTCATGCCAGTCAGAATGGTGATCATTAAAAAGTCAGGAAACAACTATGCTGGCGAGGATGTGGTGAAATAGGAATGCTTTTACACTGCTGATGGGACTGTAAATTAGTTCAACCATTGTGGAAGACAGTGTAGCAATTCCTCAAGGGTCTAGAACCAGAAATACCATCTGACCCAGCAATCCCATTACTAGGTATATACCCAAAGGTATAAATCTTTCTACTATAAAGACACATGCACACGTATGTTTACTGCAGTACTATTTACAATAGCAAGGCTTGGAACCAATCCAAATGCCCATCAATGATAGACTGCATAAAGAAAATGTGGCATACACACACCATGGAATACTATGCAGCCATAAAAAAGAATGAGTTCATGTCCTTTGCAGGGACATGGATGAAGCTGGAAACCATAATTCTCAGCAAACTAACACAAGAATAGAAAACCAAACACCGCATGTTCTCACTCATAAGTGGGAGTTGAACAATGAGAGCACACGGACACAGGGAGGGGAACATCACACACTGGGTCCTGTTGGGGGGTTGGGGGCAAGGGGAGGGGCAGCATTAGGACAAATACCTAATGCATGTGGGGCTTAAAACCTAGATGACGGGTTGATAGGTGCAACAAACCACAATGGCACATGTATACCTCTGTAACAATCCTGCAAGTTCTGCACATGTATCCCAGAACTTACATTAAAAAAAAAAACAAAAAAAAAACTCAAAAAACCCTGACTACGCACATGCAAAGTGAATCTTTAGATGAACAAAATTCAAAAGCCTATTTATAATAAGCAAAAAAATTCATTCATATATAAACAAAACAGAATACATTTACATCTCAATACATCAAACTCTATACTTACATGGATAAGTTTTCTAATTTCATGCTTGCAAAAATTACATCATTACACCACTCCCATCTAATGCATTCAACAGTGAAAGTGGCTATAAAAAGTAGTAATGCAAAATTTAACCCTTGTGACTCTAATGTGAATTTGTTAACACATTTGACAAAGCTTCACACTATTTTTTACAAGTTGGTGAAAAACTGCTTTTGAGATTTTAACCAATTTATGTTGATCTGCAATGGTCGGGGCAGTTTCAGACACTGGCAGCCACATGAGCAGAGCCTCACCAAGGGCAGGCACACACACACCCAGCTTCCTTAAGGGCATGTGCACACACACACACACACACACACACACCAGCTTCCTTTTACCACTCACAGAAACCTCCAAGACTTGTTGAGCACTTTCTTGACTGACCTTGCAACAAGGATCAGATGAAAACCTTCAACAGTGTATGTAAGAGGAGGTGAACAAGAAAGCCACTACAACTGTTTGATAGCAAATGACAGATTGAATCAAATACATGGTCCTTTTTTCATGAAATGTATGACTTACCCTCATTTCGTTTTGTAAAATAGTCTTCTAAGATATTCTGCAATTTTGGTAAATCAAATGTGTATAGCCAAGAAATACTAAGCTTTCTGATTGTTGAACACCACTTTAAAAAGGTTCTTCAAGATAGACAAATTACCAATGAGATGTGTGCATTAGTTTTCCTAGGTTTCTAAAATAAGGATATGCTTAAAGTAACTTAAAAAAACAACACTTAGAAGAGAAAAAAAGCCACCAGCACTTTGAAAATGAAGAATTGACAAATCTCCAATTCTGGAGACTGAAAAGGCAATTTCAAATGCTTGCCTTTGGTGTGGGCCAAGACTCCCAGCCACAGAATGGAGAACGTCAGGAAAGTTAGTAAGGGAGTGAGAGCAGGCAGTGTGCTGGGAAAGGGTAGACACACATGCACACATCAAGGACCTTTACGAGCTGGGTTTGGGAAATGGAAGCTAAACTGTGTTATCAGAAACATCATCTTCCATGATATATTGTAAAAGAAATGAAATGTAGTATATATATCCTATATACATGCTCCCACATGCACACACGTAAAGATGGGGCCCATACGCTGGGCAGTGGCTGACGCCTGTAATCCCAGCACTTTGGGAGGCAGAAGCGGAAGGATCATTTGCGGCCAGGAGTTTGAGACCAGCCTGGCCAACAAGGCGAAACCCAGACTCTACTAAAAATACAAAAATTAGTTGGGTGTGGTGGCATGTGCCTGTAGTCCCAGCTACTCAGGAGGCGGAGGTTGCAGTGAGCTAAGATTGTGCCACTGCATTCCAGCCTGGGCGACAGAGTGAGACTCTGTCTCAAAAAAAAAAAAAAAAAAGATGAGGCTCACAGAAATATATGCATGTAAATAAGCTCCCTGAATAAAACAAACCAGTGTCTTGGTCCATCTGAGATGCTATGGCAAAACACCATAAATTAGGTAGCTTTTAACAGCAGAAAATTTCTGGAGGCTGGAAGCCCAAGATCAAGGTGCCAGCATGGTTGGCTTCTGGTGAGGCCCCGCTTCCTGGTTCACAGATGGCACATTGGCACCTTCACACGGAAGAAGGGGCCTCTTTTATAAGGGCAGGAATCCCATCTAATCACCTCTTTCCCTCCCAAAGGCCCCACCTCCCAATACCATCACATTAGTGATTAGGTTTTCAATACAGGAATTGCGGGGGGCGGGGGGGCGGTGGGGTGGGGGTACAAACATTCAAACCATAGCACCCAGGAATGAGATTTCTTTTTCTGCTCCCTGGCTCGTTAATTTTGATTATTTCCCCTTCCTAATTTTTAACTAATTTCTATAGTTTTTTTCTGCACCCTTCGGCCTCAGTTCCACTTTGTTGGAAAATACTTGTGATTTCCTTTTATTTCTACAATTCAGGAAAGCAAGCATTAAATCACATGTGCTACCAGAGGAAAAAGACTTTAAAAAAAAAGAAAGAACATGGGCCACTATATTGAAAAATTCACTGAAAATGTAGCACTTATGAGATTATCCTAATTAAAACTGTCTTAGAAGAACAAGGAAAATCAGGTATGGGTGTCATTTGGGAAAAACTGGCTCTAATGGTGCGACAAGAACCTTTTGCAGGTTTTCCTGACAGGTGGACAGGAAGGGCCCATCGGCAGGATCTCACTTTTTTTTTTTGAGATGGAGTCTTGCTGTTGTCGCCCAGGCTGGAGTGCAATGGCGTGATCTCGGCTCACTGCAACCTCCGCCTCCAGGGTTCCAGCAATTCTCCTGCCTCAGCCTCCTGAGTAGCTGAGACTACAGGTGTCTGCCACCACACCCAGCTAATTTTTGTATTTTTAGTAGAGACAAGGTTTCACCATGTTAGCCAGGCGGGTGTCAAACTCCTGATCTCAGGTGACCCATCTGCCACGGCCTCCCAAAGTGCTGGGATTACAGGCGTGAGCCCCCCAACCCCACCCAGCTGATCTGTTTTTAATCGTATGTTGTATTCATGTGAATACTTGACAGGCAATTGGATGTTCTGTTTTCCATTTTTGTCTAAAATCATTTGGCAATATTCCTCATAGATACGGAAAAGCACTTAAAATTTAAAATCTTGTCTTTTGAATTATCATCATTATTGATGATATTGCATTAGTGCAAGTGTAAATAAGGAGTCACCCATTGAAATAATCTGGAATAAAAAATTCAAATCCAATTTCTAGAGTAACAGCTGTGGAAATGAGTGTGTTTGAGATGTGGCCCTCCGTGTAAAAGTTCAAATCCTATGTCTGGAGTAATAGCTGTGGAAATGAGTGTGTTTAAGACGTGGCCCTCCATATAAAAATTCAAATCCAATTTCTAGAGCAATAGCTGTGGAAATGAATGTGTCTGAGACGTGGCCCTCCGTATAAAAGTTCAAATCCTATGTCTAGAATAATAGCTGTGAAAATGAGTGTGTTTGAGACGTGGCCCTCCATGTAGGGCACAGGCTTCCGGAGCTCCTTCCAGAAGAGAACCCAATGTGTGGTCCAAGGTGCTATACACACGCTTTCCCACTCTAGGAGTGCAACAGAGGATGTTTTCACAAGCTCTGAAGTAGTCTCTCTAATACTTATACAATTTCTGGAATTTATTAAAACATTATATAGAGTGGCCTTTAAAATTAACTCTTGACACAATGACGAACAGTCAAATGTTCTCTTTAATTCAAACAATGAAAAGAGATGTAATAGTCATTTTCCATATTATATTTGGAAAGATACTATAAGATGAAAATACATATATAATAAAACATTTTTGGAAAATTATTTTGGCTATCCTTTAAAAAAATGCTCCTTACTGCAAAAACAAATGTCAATGCATTCTAATTATGTTTCTCTGGTAAGTACTTTTAAGGTTTTAGTGTATGATTAACAGAATAAGGAAACACTCCCTACAATAGCTTTTCTCAACTTCTCTCTCAATACAATTCCATTTATTTAAAAACCAATTATAGTGCTCAGATCTGTACTTGGTAAATTACACGTTCATGTCATGGAAAATAGTAGCGAAACCAGAGAATTTAATGCATATGAAAATGGAATAGCAAAACTGTAGGAAAATATTTGTTCGGTGAAACAATGACATGAGCCACTAAAAATAAACTCTGAAGCTTAGCCTCCTCTTCCTTAACTGTTTGTGTGTAGAACCCTACCCTGACACTTGTACATTCCTGACCTGTTTCAGATACTACGAACTCACAGAAAGAAAGGCTGCTCTTTGGATATACTTCAGCTAATCTGCAGGTGAACTTTGTTTTTCCTTACCTCTCATTAAGCTTTAAGATATTGCTCATGAAAATATAACCTTTTTTCCAGTGGAAATAACCCTCCTTTATCTTCTCTTTCTGGTGCCAGAACTCATCAAAATATGCTTTCAGTGGTGGGGAGAAGGTAAGATTGTTGATTCAAGCAGAATATCAAGAATCTATCCTGTTAAACTCTGGACGTCTACCAAGCAACAACTAGACATCAGGCACTGGGGCTGCGGCAGCAACATGCGCTGACCACGGCCATCCTTCTGTCTCTTTTCTCTCTCCACTGCTGTGGACCTGGACCAGGGTGGATGGAGAAAGAGGCAGAGCACCGCCGCAGATGGTCCAGGGTAAACCTGCCACAGCATCATCCTTCCATTATTTTGGGACTTTGTTAGATGGATACATTAATCATGAGCCAAGGGTTTAAATAAAAACTAGTATTTGTGCAATTCTGGTAAAAGATGCTTTCCATAACTGATGCATTCTTAGACTTTTATCATAGAATGGAAAGATCTGTGGTTCATTTAAAGAAAGGCTGCCTGTACCTGGAATGGTCATCTGCAGCGGCCTGACGAGGTCCGGGTGCCTCAGTGGGTTCCCAGGATACACAAACCACTCCTTGACAGCTAGGCAGGTGCTGGTGACATCTGAAGAAAAAGAGTTGGGTCAGTAGATGCATGAGGGCATGCATCGCCAGGCTCACAGTGTCACAGACCCAGCTCTGCCCAGGTGGCCAATTCAAAGGTGAGCTCTCAAATCCAAGGTGACTGAGTAACCTTAAGTTATCCAACAATTAATTTCTTATCCTCCAATCTGAGGGTAATCTGTTCATTCCATCAAGAACCATACCCTGTGGAACCGACAAAATCCTCAGGATAATCTGGGTAAGTAAACAATAATATGGGAGAGAGAGTTTACCATGTTAATGACTCCTACGATGTCTTTCCTCCCTACCTCCCTCACACTGTTCCAGAAAACACTTAAAGAAAACTGCTGGAATTGGACAGTCAACATGGATACAGTTTTTTAAAGCAAGACCAGGTAAAGAAGACAGTGGGTGTAACTGAGGAACTCTGAAGGGAGGAGGTCAGCAGAGAACAGGTGCTTAAGGGGGAAGGGAAGAAGAGGTGGTGTCCCTAGATGCCAGATATCCCAGCACAAAGGTGATCATCAGTCAGACAGCTGCTCAAGTTGGGCAGAGGGCTTCGATGCGGGGCAGAAAGAGGCAGTGGGCTTGGTCCAGGGCTGGGGGAAGCAGGCCTTGATGAAGAGAAGAAGAGTGGACACTTCTATAAAAGAGCTGAGAAATGAAGTGGAGAGATGTCCCCTTAATGTAGCACAAAAACACAAAAACAGGAATCAAAAGATGAAGAAAGAGAGTATCAGTCCAGGAAGCCCCACCTGCATTTCACAGCACTTCCAGGAGAGAACTGAGACAACAGAGATTCGCTAATCACAGGATAAAGAGAACACCTCAAAACCTTCTAAGAAAAAAAAAAAAGTCGGTAAAAAAGGAACATGAATCACTCCAGCACTCGACTTTGCAGCTGGCATTATCAGCACCTGTGATGCCACAGGACCGCGGGGGTGACTGTGATCGAGCAGAGCCACTGAGCAGGGGACAGTGGGGGTGGTCGTTTGTGAAAGGGCAGAGCCACTGACCAGCCTTCCTACCATCAACACTAGAACTGAAGAAATGGTTCTAGCAACTGCATTCATGTGACGGACAATGGGCAGTGCCAGATTGTTATCCCAGACAGAAGGGAAACAACTCTCTATCACGCCAATTTTGTGCCCACAGGCACTGTCCAGACTGTATCCTAGTGAGGGAGGTAGTTCCTCAGATGAGGAGACAGAGACTGGAGATCAAGACTATTGAGGCCACCATCTGCAGGACACAGCACCAGAGAGCAGGGCAGTGTGCAGATGGCAAGTGCCCTTTAGACTCTGGCTGAAGAGAGAGCTATCAGGATATAGGGTAAGACTCAGAGAAGCCAGGCAAGGTCCTGGGGCTGGCCAACCAATGGAGCTTGCACTGGGCTTGAAGACAGTGGAGCTTCCACCACCAGCAAACATGAAGAGACCTCGTCCTACACCTTGGGCACTCTGGTGATAGCCTGGAAGGCCCTGCCTTAGGAGTAGGGCTGTGCTAGCTGTAAAGTAAAAGCCACAATGGACACAGCCTAATGAAGTTTAAAGGCAAGTCTCGGAAGGAGCAGGTAGAGTAACTGTCTGACAGAACTAAACTCTACACTCTTTTTAGTATCCAAAATGTTCTGGCATATAATCAAAAAACGCTAGACATGAGAATAAGCAAAACTATGTGGACCCTGTAGGAGGAAGTCAACAAATGGCCCAGAGGAAGAGGCAAAAGAGATTGAGAAAGACAAAATCTTATTTAAAAAAACGCTCATTTCTTCCAAATTTGATAGGAAATATAAACCCATAGATTTAGGAAGCTCAAGAATCCCATGAAGGGGGCAGGAGTGAACCTTACTCAAAATCCAGCAAACAGGAGAGGAATTGCAAAGACAGCTAGAGGAGAAAAGCCACGTAACACATGGGGAACAACGATAAAGATGAGCCTTGCTGTCTCATCAGAAACTACACATGCCAGGAGAAAATACAGAACGACCTAAAATTCTATATGCAGCAAAACTATACCCCCCCAAAGAAAGATGAAATACAGTCCTGTACTGCATAAACCATGATTTGGTTAGTGATGGACTGCACACACATTTCTGGTGAAGCCTTGATGATCCTGACCCCGTGGAGTCCTAGACTAATGTGCGTGCTTGTGTCTGAGCTTTTAACAAAGAAGTTTAAAAAAATTAAAAGTTTCTAAAGTATGAATTCAGGAAGTAGAGTTAAAAATTTTTCTAATAGAAAAAGGCTTATAGAATGATATAAAGAAAGAATTTTTTGTCCAGTTGTATAATGTGTTTGTATTTTAAGTTAGGTGTTAATTACAAGAGTCAAAAAGTTAAATAAATTTAAAAGTTTATAAAGTAAAAAAGTTACAGTAAGTTAAGGTTAATTTATTGTTGAGGAAAGAAATATTTTTTGAATGTATTATAGCCCTAAATGTGCAGTATGTATAAAACCTACAGCAGTGTATGGTCATGTCCTGGCCTTCCCATTCACTTCCCACTCGCTCACCGGAGTCACCAGAGCAGCCTGCGTGTGCAGTGTGTGTAAAGCCTACAGCAACACGGTCATGTCCTGGCCTTCCCACTGACTCTTCACTCACTCATGGACTCACCGGAGCAGCCTGCGTGTGCAGTGTGTATAAAGCCTACAGCAGTATACGGTCGTGTCCTGGCCTTCCCACTGACTCTTCATTCACTCATGGACTCACCGGAGCAGCCTGCATGTGCAGTGTGTATAAAGCCTACAGCGGTGTATGGTCATGTCCTGGCCTTCCCACTCACTCTCCACTCACTCATGGACTCACCGGAGCAGCCTGCGTGTGCAGTGTGTATAAAGCCTACAGCAGCATGGTCATATCCTGGTCTTCCCACTCACTCCCCACTCACTCATGGACTCACCGGAGCAGCCTCCGTGTGCAGTGTGTATAAAGCCTATAATTTAAAGTGGAAATTGGCAAACTACCAGCTCATGGGTCAAATCTGCCTGCTTTTTTACAGTCTGAAAACTAATAATGTTTTCATATTTTTTTAATGGTTGGAAAAAAATGTTTTTAAGAATATTTTGTGACTCCTGAAAATTATACTCTATAAAATTCAAGTTGGCCGGGCGCGGTGGCTCACGCCTGTAATCCCAGCACTTTGGGAGGCCGAGGTGGGCGGATCACAAGGTCAGGAGATCGAGATCATCCTGGCTAACACAGTGAAACCCCGTCTCTCCTAAAAATACAAAAAATTAGCCGGGCATGGTGGCGGGTGCCTGTAGTCCCAGGTACTTGGGAGGCTGAGGCAGGAGAATGGTGTGAACCCGGGAGGCGGAGCTTGCAGTGAGCCAAGATTGTGCTACTGCCCTCCAGCCTGGGCGACAGAGCAAGACTCCATCTCAAAAAAAAAAATTCAAGTTTTGGCCTGGTGCGGTAACTCACATCTGTAATCCCAACACTTTGGGAGGCTGACGTGGGGGATATCTTGAGGTCAGGAGTTTGAGACCAGCCTAGGTAACATAGCGAGATCCTATCTCTTCAAAAAAAGAATATTTAAAAATTAGCCGGGTGTGGTGGCGCATGCCTGTCATCTCAGTTACTCAAGAGGCTGAGGTAGGAGGATCCCTTCAGCCTTGGAGTTGAAGGCTGCAGTGAGCTGTGATGGTGCCACTGCACTCCAGCCTGGGCAACAGAGTGAGACTCTGTCTCTAAAAAATAAATAAATCAATAAAATAAAATTCAAGTTCTGTCACATGGGAAAATTGAATAAAGGCTTCCTGGCACACAGCCACATTCATTCATGTACATGTTGTCTATGGCTGCTCTTGCACTACAACAGCAGGATTGGGTAGTTGTGACGGGGACTGTGGAAGGAGCCCTCAAAACCTACAATATTTATTATTATCTGACCCTTCACAGAAAAAGTGTGCCAACCCCTCATGTATTATAGGGTTTACAACATATGCATAATCTCCAAAGGTTACATATTGTATGCTGCCATTTATGTAACATTCTGAAATGAACAAGAACATAGAGATGAAAAACAGATTCGCAGTTGCCAGAGGACAGGAATGGGGGGAAGAAAGATTGCCAGGACACAGGGGCACATGGAGGGAGTGCTAACAAACCAGCTCTGTATCTTGGCTGTGGTGGTAGCTGCAGGATCTTTGCACAGACCTACACACCCACACACATAAATGCATGCATGTAAAAAATGGCACAACTGAATAAGGTCTGCAGTTTAGTTAGCATTGTACCTGATGTTAACTTTCTGGCTTTGATATTACACCACAGTTATATAAGATGTCATCTTTGAAGGAATCTGAGTGAAGGGTACATGGGAAACTATGTACTATTCTTGCAACTTCCTGTGAATCCGTAATTATTTCAAATTTAAAATATATATATATGTACAAGACATAAAACGACAATAGCAAAAATGTTGGGGAGAATGAAAATACACAGTTACAAGGTTTTTACATTGCTAGTAACATAGTATATTATTTGATAGTAAATGGTGATGTTAAAGATATTAAAAGTAATTGCAAAAACCGCAATTATTTTTGCACCAATCTAACAGACCCCCAGATCAACCACTTTTTTTTTTTTTTTTTGAGATGAAGTCTCGCTCTTGTCCCCATCTTGTCCCCAGGCTGGAGTGCAATGGTGTGACCTTGGCTCACTGCAACCTCTGTCTCCTGGGCTCAAGCAATTCTCCTGCCTCAGCCTCTCAAGTAGCTGGGATTACAGGCACCTGCCATCATGCCCAGCTAATATCTGTATTTTTAGTAGAGACAGGGTTTCACCATGTTGGCCAGGCTGGTCTCAAACTCCTGACCTCAGGTGATCCGCCTGCCTCGGCCTCCCAAAGTGCTGGGATTACAGGCGTGAGCTACCGTGCCCGGCCAACTACTTTTTTTTTTTTTTTTTAAAGGTAAATCTAATAATCCAAATGAGTGCATAAAACACAATACTAAAAATTATTAAACTAATCCAAAAGAAGTATGAAAATGAGAAAATAAGGTGGGGAAAAAAGAACAAAAGGCAAAACGGAAGAGTGAGCCCTAATTATGCCAAGAGTTACGTTCAGTCTGAACATTCCAATTAAAAGAGAGACTGTGACACTGGACATGCTGTTTTTAAAAGAGATGCACTTTAGATGTTAAGAAATAGTTTAAAAGGATAGAAAAAATACCATACCATGCAAACATTAACAGTAAGAATACTGGAGTGACTATATTACAATAAAACAAAGACAACTTTAGGACAAGGAGTATTACCATGTTTTTAAAAGTGAACTCTCCTGTTAAAAGGGTCGATTCATTAAGAATCACAACAGTCCTCAACGTATATGCACCTAACAACAGAGTTTCAAAATACCTAAAGCAAAAACTGACAGAACTGAAGGAATAAATAGACAAATCCACAGTAAGAGCTGGAATTTTTAACCGTTTTCTCCTGGGAACTAAGAACAAGTAGACAGAAAATCAGTAAAAGACTTGGAATAGCCTTATTAACACTGCTGACATTTACAGAACACTCTACTCAACAACTGTAAAATACACAACATTTTCAACTACAAATGGGATCATAAACTAAGTCAAACAAATAACATAGGATACACTTCATTATTATCATCATATATAAATCAGCAAAAACAGCATTTTATTTTCATATCTTAATAATGTAAACTTCATGTAGAAAGCCAAAAAGTTGAGGGAGAAAGAAAGAAACTAAAGATCAACCATGAAGACAAATTCAATGTGAATGGTTTTTTTATGTGGTTATCTAATAAAGTTATCCACTTGGTCATAAATATATTACATTAACAAAGTATGAAATTTAGGTTAGTGAAATTTATATAGTTTAATGAAATAGTCTGAAAATAATTCCAATATTATTATTTAATGTAAAAATGTTTTCATGAGGAAGATCTCTTTTTTCCATCATTAGAGTCAATGTGCAAACATCCATGTTAAGAAAGAATGCGGGTAGAGAGCACATAAGAAACAGAAATTTTAAAAAATGATTTAAATATCGTTTGGCTCCAGAGTTTATTACACAGGTTCTTTATTTCTGTTTTTAAATCAGCTTAAACATCTTTCTCATGTCTGCTTCCTTAGGTCACAGAGGTGAACTCTTGCAGTATGTATGGGAGAAAGCAGTGCATGCTGGGTGGTGCTACAGGAATCTAACAAAAACTGGATTTAAATAACCCCACTACCCCTGAGCCCCATCATCCAAAAATAATAATGATGACTTTTCCATCTGATGATTCTATCACCACTTTTAGATTATGTAAATGTTCACTTTCTGGAACAACAGAGTACGGTTAATATTGACATGTCTGGAAATAATGATGTTTAGGCAAATGGACCACCTGCACCAGTATCCTACTCCTTCTCTCTCTTATCCTGGTAATAGTGTGTAGACCATGTTTCTTATCAACACATTCTCAAATCAGACCATAAAGTACCTAAGGTCTCTGTCTAAAATGAACAAGGCCTTACTGAAATAGAAGGGCACTAAATGCATTCAACATCTCTGGTTTCTGATATGAAGTGTTCTTCCACACTCCTCATTCCCCCCAAAACTATTCCAAATGGTGAGTTATGGGACCTTCACTAACTTTCTCCTTGGGGTTAAAATTCCTCATTTTCACTATTTGGGTCCTTGATGGTCCGCTCTCTACTCTTGTTGCTAAGCACATAATGGAAATATAGATGAGAAAAAACACAAATTACAAAAACACCAAAGGAAAATTGTTTGTATTTAAAAACATGATCACTAGATTTTGTAAAATTATTTTATAAAAATCACATTTTGAGGGAAGACTAAGTAGACATTGTTTTCTTCTAATAATAGGCATACTCTACTCTCCCCTACAGGAGGAAAGAATTCTCACATTTTTTAAAAAAGCAAAAATCCTTTTAAGGCATAAAAATATGACATTTTATAGAAATCATGCATTCTTCTTTTAATGCACACTCATCAACTTACTGTTCATTAGATATAGACGTCCAATGGCACTTACGCTTAATTTTTTACAGATGTCAGTGGTATTCTCAATTATAGATTTGACAGGGATATAAAACCCATTTAATTGTCTCCATGTCTTGAAAGAATGCACTCTATTTCATCTGGCCAGTTTCTCAGAACTCAACTCCAAATAGAACCTTTACTAAGAGGGACCAACCAATTCTCACCTTGACAGTCCTCCAGTAAGAGTGAGTAGACCCGCTGTCGAATGGGACGGTAAATGAAGGCCTGGCTGGGTAAGGCCTGGTCAAGCTCATCTTCTAGGGTGTTGCTGCATTCAATCTCTCCACTGCTCATGATGTTGTACACCAGGTAGCTTTCTGCTTGGACGTGATGTGTTCTAGCAACCTGTTTGAAATTTAAATACAACTGAATTTCTCCTTAAAAACAGGATAGTAACCTTCAAATAGAAAAAGTCAATGCCTTTCATCATATGCCAGTTTTTTAAGGCCCTCAGAAATGTAACTGACCCTGAAATTCATGACATCAAGTTGCCATGTTCTCTTTCCTTTGGACTACCAATTTCAAACTTTCTATTCCCCCTCCTCCTCCTCTCTCCAAACGTCTACCAGTCTTATCTTCTGCAGTATCTCACTGTTCTGTCTCCTTGATAACCTCCCAGTAACCAGGTGCTCACTACTTCTCACCAGTATTGCTATGAAAGGGTCTTAATCCCCTAGACCAGTTTCTCCCCTTTCCAACCCATCCTTCACACCATTGCCATACTGTCTTTGAAAACTTTGCTACCCTATTCAAAACATTTGAATGGCTACCACAAATCCTTCACCATAACATTTGAGGCCCCTCTATAAAGCCTCAATCTCCTTTTTCTAGCCTTGCACACCATTTCACCCTCATAGAAATAGCCATAATTCAGTCTCAACAGAACATCTTCATTGCTCCTCAAGAGTACTCAATCCTCTTCTACCTTTACTTGTGCCCCATAAGAACTTACCCTACCCAGAATCTTTCTCTTCCAGTCTTTCCCAGCCTCCCACTTTACAATCCTCTTTTCCCTTTAAGGTTTGCTGATGTCACCCTCTCCTCCTCCCTTAGACAGGACCAACATCCAGCTTGCCTTATGGAGCTCATATCCTATTTTCCCTGTAACGCAGCTGTCTGGTCTGCCTCCCTTATTAAACTGTAAGCTGCTTAGTGTTAGAAGCCGTACTATATTCATTCACTCATTTGTTGAGAAATTGTTTACTGAGTGAAAAACCATGTGCCAGGCACAGGTGCTTCTCCTCTGTAATGTCAAGACAGTGCTGGCTCATGGTAGGTGATGAGATACATGATTTAAATTAATTCCACTTTCTCATTAAGTAAGTAGTTAAAATCAGAAGGGCTATCATAGCCTGAATATATAGGTTTTACCTTCCAGTGAAGAACATTCTTATTACTGTGAGAATAAGTTCATCTAGATTACTATTCAAAATTTAAATCCAGTCTACTACTAAAGGCATTAAAATGTGATGCTAGAATAACCTGGATACCAAAAACTCTGAATCCTAAGAGTGTCTCATTTATATGTATTTAAATAGTCCTAGTTATGTTGATTCATTATTCATAGGCTTCAGTCTTAATCTCTCTGTTCCTTACCTTCTTCCTATAGAAAATGGGTTGAATAAAAACGTGCCCGGCTCCCAGGACTACTGTGAGGATTAAATGAGTCAATATAAGAAAAGCACTTGTCCTGAGGTGTGGCTTGCAGCTCACTGCCAATGCATGTTCTATAAGATTATAAGACTATCCGGCCAGGAACGGTGGCTCATGCCTGTAATCCCAGCACTTTGGGAGGTCGAGGTGGATCACTTGAGGTCAGGAGTTCAAGGCCAGCCTGGGCAACATGGCGAAACCCCATCTTTACTAAAAAATACAAAAATTAGCTGGGCGTGGTGGAGTGCACCTGTAGTCCCAGCTACTCAGGAGGCTGAGGCAGGAGAATTGCTTGAACCTGGGAGGCAGAGGATATAGTGCCACTGCACTGCAACCTGGGTGACAGTGAGACCCTGACTCAAAGAAACAAACAGTAACTCAACTGATCTTCCAAAATGCTGACATAGAGAAGACACAGATATAAGGCTGTGGTTATGCGTGTATCCAATGTAACTGTTGTGCCCACAGCCTTTCTACCTGAGCATTTTTCCAGGGTGACTATGTATGGTTAAAATACACGTTTGAATTTTAGTTGCCTGTTAGGGTTTGAAGATGACATTGCAAAAAAATTTTATAGAGAAAATGTAAGGGCAATGTAAGAAACTTCAAAATTGTTTTCAAAGATACAATTAAGTTCAATCCATGTGAACAACTCTCGACCCACCACTTTGCCCAGGCACTCCCTTCCTGTGAGGACTCTCCTTGACCCTGCCTTCCCCAACAAAGTCTCTTCCACTGCCAAACTCCCTGTCGGCTTTGCCTCCACTCCCAACCCTGTGCTGCAGTAACTCTCTGATGCCATCAGGACCTCCTAATTACTGACCCAAGTCCCTATGTCTAGTCCTATTCTACCTCTTTACCTCTGTAGCATGTGATACTCCTGACCGTTTCTTTTCTCATTCTTGAAACTTGCCCCCTTGGACTTTTGTGGGGATTATCCCCTCCTTATTCTCCTTCCTCCTCTGCTCACTCCTGATCTCTCAGTGGACTGTTCCTTAAGTCTCCATCCCACATCATCTTTTACTTTACACATAAAATAGGATAACTCCCAGATGTCTGTCTCTTGCCAGTAATAGAACTTTAGGTCCATATTTCACTACGAGAACATGTGTTAGAGGTGCCATCTACTCAATTAAAATATAACCCACTTAATCTTCTTCTCCCTGTAAAACCTTTCCTCCTTCTTCTTTAGATTAACACCATCTACCATCGCCGGTACTCAAGGAGGAACTTCACCTCCACAGCAAGACTTATTTATTAGTTTCACTTCTGAAACATTTCTTGAATTTGTTTCTTCCTATTTCCACTGCCATTTTCCTAATTCTAGCTCTTTTGTATTTTACCTGAGTTACTACAATGGCCACTTTAAATCCACTCACTGCACTGTAATGTTTCAAAAACCAAAAATCTGATCATATCGATATACCTGCTTAAAAAAAATCGAATGCTGGTTGGCTGGCAGGTTCACATGGCTGCCCTCCAGGTATCACCACACAGCTGCTCAGCTGCTGTCCGGGCCTGAGTTTTGCATCAGACTAGGAGCAGGAGCTTCCTTACAGATCTATGTAGTTGTAACTAGATGAAAGATGGTGGTGCTCATAGTGCTGGGAACAAGGAAAGGTGTGTGGTTAAGATAGTTAAGTTTGGTTTAGAACTTGCTGAGGTACCTTTGAGACATTCATGTGGACACAGACCTCTTCTGTAAAACAAGGATAAGTCTATCTCACAGGGCTGTTGAGAAGATCTAATGAGAAAAGTTACCTAATGCACCTAGCACAGAACCTCACACGTAGTGGCCCCCCATCAAAAATCTTCAAAGGCGCTGTAATACTTTCAGAATTAAGTCCAAATTCCTCATGTGGCATTTAATAACCTTCCCAATTTGGCTATGATTGTCCACCTTTTCCCATTTTTTTCTCCAAACCCCACGCTCTAGCCTGGACTTTCTCCCTGCGCCCCCGCGTGATGCAGATTCAAAACGCTACACCTTTAGTACTTCCACAACTCCCAAGTCTTTGCTTATTCAATGCATATTTTGGCTGCCCCATTAAGGTCTGGCTCCAGTTCTACCTCTTTGGGGAACTTCTCCCTGTACTTTATTTATTTTTATTTTTTGAGACAGTTTTGCTCTTATTGCCCAGGCTGGAGAATCTCAGCTCACTGCAACCTCCGCCTCCCAGGTTCAAGTAAGTCTCCTGTCTCAGCCTCCCGAGTAGCTGGGATCACATGTGTGCGCCACCATGCCCAGCTGATTTCTGTATTTTTAGTAGAGACAGGGTTTCACCATGTGGGTCAGGCTGGTCTTGAACTCCTGACCTCAGGTGACCCACCTGCTTTGGGCCTCCCAAAGTGCTGGGATTACAGGCATGAGCCACCACGCCCGGCCTTCTCCCTGTACTTTAACCCACAATGTTCTCTTTCTCTCTTGTATTCTTATAGCACTTTTCTATAATATTCATGTGACAGTATCCAACATTGGTTGTGAGTTTCCACACATATAACGTCACACTTCCTAACGAGACTTAGAGACTCCTGTTGTGCATCCTCTCAGTGGCCAAACACTGAGGCAGTAATGGATCTTCACTAACAAATCCATCAGCGGATATATTTTCAATCATGGCATATTGGCTGGGCAGATACACATACCTTTAAGATTTCAGTGTCTGAAACCATGGTTACTTGTTGCTTTACTTCAGGCCCCACATTTGTGGGGTCTTCTTGTTTAATTTCAGGGTTTGTACACATGAGAGCTTCTAGCTTAAATTCAAAATCTGTTGCTACAGGTAATTTTTGATTGATTTCAGCGTGTGTACACATGGAGTCTTCTTGCTTGGATATAGGATCTGTACATATGGGAACTTCCTGTTTGGATTCATGGCCTGTACACATAATTTCTTGCCTAGATTCAGGGTCTGTCCGTATTAAAACTTCTTGCCTGGATTCAGGGCCTGTATACATGGGAACTTCTTGCCTGGATTCAGGGCCTGTATACATGGGAACTTCTTGCCTGGGTTCAGAGCCTGTATACATGGGAACTTCTTGCCTGGGTTCAGAGTCTGTATACATGGGAACTTCTTGCCTGGGTTCAGAGTCTGTATACATGGGAACTTCTTGCCTGGCTTCAGGGCCTGTACACATGGGAACTTCTTGCCTGGGTTCAGGGTCTGAACACATGGGAACTTCTCGCCTGGATTCAGGGCCTGTACACGTGGGAACTTCTTGCCTGGGTTCAGGGTCTGAACACATGGGAACTTCTTGCCTGGGTTCAGAATCTGTATACACGGGAACTTCTCGCCTGGATTCAGGGCCTGTACACATGGGAACTTCTTGCCTGGATTCAGCATCTGAACACATGGGAACTTCTTCCCTGGATTCGGCGTCTGAACTCGTGGATATTACTTGTTTGTCCAAAGTTATTACACCTTTGGGTTTTTGGAAAAACCATGGAGATTTTTGTCCTGGTAAAAGATATGATGCCATTCCTTTATAAAAAAGAGCTTTGTTTGGTCCCAGAGGTAATATCTCTTCTAATTTTTTCTCACCTTGATACAAGTAAAGAACTTTCGATATATGGTCTGACACAGCTAATATGATGTTACCTTTTTTGTCAAAGTTCTCTTTTACAGAGGTGTAGGACGATAAGCATTTGTACCTAAAGCTTTCAAACATGCCCTCTGGGATTATGTCGTTGCCAAGGAGGCAGGCCAGAAGAGGAAGGTCGGCCACACAGAGGCCCAGACTCTCACAGAGCTTCTCTCTGCAGAGCATGACGGTGTCCAGGCTCTCTAGGCAGAGCTCGCTAATTGAAAAGTAGGGACAAGTGTCATAGATTAGGTAATCAGTGTCTTCCCCCAGAATCCCAAGACAGTTATGCTGGAGGCCATAGGAAGCTACCTCATAATCTGCTTCCTGCAAAGAACACAAAGTTTCCTGGCCCAGTGTCTTTAGAGCAAATCGTGTAAACACAGCTAGCCCTGAGGGGATGAAGAACATATTTCTGCCTGGCTGCTCCTTGTGTGACTTGATGTAATGAAAAATCCTGGATATCTCCCTGTTGTTCTTGAGCCTTCGTTTCACCCATTCATCTCTCTTATCCTGCTCCACCATGCCATCAAAGAAGAATATCAACTTGATCCCAGCTGCCGTAAAAGTTTTAACAAAATCTCGCAAAGCAGAAAAGTATTCTCGCCACTGGCCACCGCAGATCCAAGATTCTGGAGTATACCAATATCTGAGACAACACATGGCATCAACCACAATGGTAGGGGTACATCCAGGATACTTGCTTCGGTGGTGCTCTGCCAGTTCTTTGAAATTTACTACTGTACATATATGTGGGCAGGTACTTCCCACAAATCCTTGCAAACCTCTCACACCCATAACTGAACTCCGGGAAAGGATCTGGAAAGAAAGATAAATTAATCAGTAATTATGGCATTATCATTAGATATATGGCACCTTTCAAAGCAAACACAGTAGTTAATATTCACACTGTTTCCAAAAACACTCTTGTCTCCAAGGTAACATGATATGCTGGTTAGGAGCCTTAAGAGTTCTCAATTCAAACATATGAGGAACTTTACCTAAGTATAAGTTAATTACTTGAGTTGGACTTTCACAAGGACAAGAGAGTATAGCAGTCTTTTAATGTTTTCACTAAGATTATCATTCAAGGTATTTCTTGATAAAATTCAAAAAGAGGTTAAGTTTTCAAAGTAGTAGTATTTCTCATCTAGGAACTCAAACAGAAGTTATTGTTAAAAATCTAAAACATAAATTGAAACACCACATGGATGATTCTCAATATAATTTTTCTGAGTAAAAGAAGTCAGACAAAAAAAGTACACACTATGATTCAACTTATATAAAATTCTAGTACAGGAAGAGTTATGCTAATCCGTAGTGACAGAAAACAGATCAGTGGTTGTCTGGGATGGGGACAGACAGTGGCGGGAAGGATTACCAAGGAGAAACTTTTGGGGGTGACAGATACATTAACCACTTAGTGGTCATGGTTTTACAAGTGTATGCATATGTTAAAACTTACCAAACTGTATACTGTAAACATGTGTCACATACACCTGAATAAAGGTGTTAAGAAGGCCACATAAAATTCACTATGCCAAATGTTGTAGTATCTGAGATAGTGATTGACTGACTTTGCAGAGAAACTGCCCATTTGAAAATTTAAAGACAGATACAAAGTAGTTTACAGTTAGAATTTGGAATCTGGAAAAGGTATGAGCACAATATTGTATATGACATTATAAAAGGCGTTCTTCAAGTAGGCAATGATGTGCGTGAATGGTCAGAAAAACTCCGTGCTGACATTTTTATGATCTATGCTTTTTCCACTATAGTTTTCTTTAAGAGTCATGCAGGCTTTATGTCCTTTGATAAAACACAACAAAAAATTCTTAATATACAAACAGCAGCACAAAACAAATGACGCCTCTCCTAGACAGGCTGAAGGCAGCAGTCATGAGGTGACTAAGCACATGGGTATCTCTCATGTTGAGGGTATTTCCCAGCTGCCAGACAGTGGTAGGCATTTAACATCTACATTCTAATCTTTAGGACGACCCTGACACGTAAATATTATCAGCTTTATTTTACAAATGAAGAAACTATAAATTGTTAGGTTGAGAAAAGGCATCCTCACAGGACTATCTTTTAAGAATATACTGATTTTTTTTTTTTTTTTTTTTTTTTGAGACCGGGTCTCACTCTGTTGCCTCGTCTGGAGTGCAGAGGGGTGATCACAGTTCACTGCAGCCTCAACCTACCAGGTTCAAGCGATCCTCTTGTCTTAGCTGCCACCACACCTGGCCTTTTTTTTTTTTTCCAGTGGAGACAAGATCTCACTATGTTGTGTTGTCCAGGCTGGTCTCAAACTCTCGAACTCAAGCGATCCTCTCGCCTCAGCCTCCCAAAGTGCTGGGATTAGACATGAGCCACTGTGCCCAAACAGAATTTACTGATTTTTAATGGGCTCTAGCCCCTAACAGTAGAATTTGAGGGTATGCTTTTAATAGCCACATTAATGGGATTTTCATTAATTGCATAATGAAAATATGCAAAAATTGGGTGAACATAAATAGCACACATTTTATGATGACATTTAGAGAAGGCTTGCTCATAAAGTTATTAAATATAATGGGATACATTCACACATCTACACCAAATCACTACAGTATTGTGACTTGTAAAGAGTTTATCTTGGAAACATAGCCAAGGTATTTGAGTTTTTGAAGTGGAAACTGGGCTTCATAGTGTGATTACGTCAACTGTAAGGTGGTTCTATGGCATGGAACCTATGTCCAGGAAGGTTACACTCTTATTTCTGAAAAAGGGTATTCTTTTTCATTTGTTATTCCAACAGAGTAGGCAGGGGACAGGTGTTGGAAAGGAAATACAAGAATACAAAAAAGGTTGGTCAAAATGGCTTTTAAAAGAAGGCTTAGATTTCACCAGCTCTAGACGACTGCTCTATGCCTGGCTTTAATTTAAACAGGCCTTGCATGGTTTGCTGATGATGAGCTGGCCAAAGATAAGCCTCACAAATCTGGAGTGTGACTTGATTTCTACGCTGTGAGGGAAGGCCCCACTTCTCTCACCAAGCTCTGTGCTGGCTGCTGCAGGCCCAGGAGAGCCCCTGGACAGCAGAAAGGAAAAAACAAGGAACAGCATTTGAATACAGTCGAAGCAGAGGACTGAACCTGACTGCAAGCCAGGCCCTAGGGTTCACCGCACGCCCACTGTGGTCAGCAGCCAGTGGGGCTCTCAGGCCAGGCAGTTCCCAGAGTTGCTGGTTGGACTGCTCAAGACACACAGGACCAATTTCTCACAGTTTGAATCATGAGTTAGAGTGTGACATTACAATGTGCTCTTCTATACTACTTACCAAGAAAAATTGGGATAGCAAAGGTTTTGGGAACTTGTGATATTAGAGGATGCCTTCCAGTATTTCAGTATCTTCAAAGTGCTAAATACTCACAACATCTATTCATCAATGCAATTAGTGAGGTAGGGAATAAAATGTATAAAAAGATATAGAAAATTCCATGGATATCGCTTTAAATTTTTTCTTTTTTAAGCCTTTCATTGCTAAGAGCATATATGCAGGCTTTTCATTCTCTAAAGGTGGTTATTATGGGATGACTGGGGAAAATAATATGTGTATATAAAAGTCATTCTACCTGCAAATTATATAAGAAATTTTCATTATCTAGGTAATAGTTGTTTAGAAAGAAAACAGAAGTTATTTCTCATTAGGGAGGAGTCTAATTGCCCCAAATATGGCCTGGGACCCTTTGGGGATCACTCCCTTTGAGGTGGGGCTCACCATCCTGTCTTATTCCAGCACCTAGCACAACATCTGCATGGGACAGGCCCAGTATTTGAATAAATAAATGAATTAATCCAAGGACAGTATATAAAGAGAAATCAGGAATCAGTAAGTTACAGACTTCAATTATGGCCAAAGAAGCAGTGCAAAGTAGAATCACTGCCCTCAAGCAGCTTACAAAGGGTTTGGGAAACAAAGCACCAGCAGGAAATCCCAGTAAGGAGCTGCAGCAGGCATAAGGTACAGCTGGAGGCTGCCTTGTTCCTAGGGCTGGCTCATTCTCCTGACAGTCAGACCAGTCCCAGGGTATTGAGTTACCAGTAAATAGGGAAATGGAAAGAGCAAAGAGAAGTTCAGAAGCTCCTTTACTATAATCTTTCAACTTACAAACCTTGAGGTTAAGAGCAATGCGCTCAGCATAAACAAAGCTGCCTGATGTTGATGGACGCACACACAGTGAGGAAGACTCATCTGGCGTCACTCTGGACACAGGGATGAGGGACTTACAGACAGCCCAAGGGCAACTCCCCACACGGACAGCAGCCTCTGCGGGACAACCAATACTTGGCTGCTGTAACCACCTTAACAGACCCCCAGCATCTAAGCCATGTCAAAGCATAACTGTCTAAAGCTAAAAGACATAACTCAGGCAAGTAGTAATAAGCAATGGCACGTAAGAGACAGGGAAGCTGGATCAGAGCACTAGAGGAGCTCAAGCTCACACAGTCCATTAGCAAAGGCACATTGGAATAAGCAAGGTAAGCTGGAGACAATAAAACCATAATCTTTGCACAGAAATAATTCGCATCTCGAATCTACAAACTAGCATATAACATCACAATGTTTGTACTCTAATGGAGAGTAAGCAGCAAAGCCAAACAGAGGTAAGTCTGTTAGAAAATTAAATAATCTTGGGTGAGTCTGAAACAACAGCCCAGTATGACAATACAAAACACAAAGTCTTCCTTTTTCTTGTTTTATTTCCAAGTACAAAGTAATTTTTCTTTCAATGGTAACTTCTGGCTGGGCCTGGGCCCAGGCTCTCCCAGTGATGTTCCCCCATGGCTTGTTGTGGAGTATCTGAGGTCTATTTTTTCTTCTCTCCTCTCCTCCCCCGCCTAAAAAGTGAAACTCATAGGGACCTCTTAAACACCAGTTGGGTGAGAACAGGGACCGAAAATCCCAAGAGATTAATATTTATCCCTTGCCAGCACACAGGATAGTATCTGCTGAAGGTTTATTATTTATGAATGCACAAACAACCAGGTGAATAAATAAGGGTGGGTGCCAGTTAAGTTGGTCTTGATGCTTCAGATGATCTCCATACAGGGGTCATTAAACTGCTGAGCTTTGCAAGAATTCCCAATCACCGATAAAGACTCTCATCTTGACCACACTTTTGCTAGGGCCTTGAGCCCTCCTCTCTACCAGGCCTCAATCTGGGGCTTGTAGCAAGAATCCTGTTAAGTCAGTTTAAAGAGAACCCACCTTTGATATCTGGCTACCTTGGCCTGCTTTCAGCAAGAATTTCCCTATCCCTGATGTCTTCCCTTAGAAATTTCCCATCCCCTCACCCCTTCACTCTGCTCCTTGGTTGTAAATCCCCAGCTGTCTTCACTGTATTCAGAGCTAAGCCAGATCTCTCTCCTTCACTGCAATAGTCTTGAGTAAAATCTTCCTACTGTTTGAACAAATGTTAGAATTTTAACATCGGCACCTCAAAGAAAGCCTATAGCTATTATGCACTTTAGAATTTCTAGGAATAGATGTCTAGACTCAGGGTGCCCTGGAGGATACCTCAGAACAGTCGGGCCACAACCACTGGTGCCAGCTGATGTCACAGGGGAAGTGGGAGAATAATGGGTAGAGTTTTGTTGATAAAACGAAAAGTTCCAGAATAAAATGCAACAGTCCAGATTCTAACTGCCACTTAGTAACAGTGAAATTGTGGTACAATTTTATTTATAATTGTATTATAAATTTGTTCATCAAACATGTTTATCAATTGCCTAAAGTTTAGTAAAATCAGCCCAATATGTCAAAATTCTTAAATTATCACAAATTTTAAAACAAAGACATAAATTTTAGGGAGGTTTTATTGTATTTATAATTTTTATAAGCTAGATTACTTTTTAATATTGGGAAATATATTAATTTGTAAAAAAATCTGATCAAAAAACGAACCATTTGCAGAAAATTCAGAGAAAACACAAGAAAAAATTTTTAAACATTTTACATATTTCAGCCTTTTTCTACTATTCACTGCTTCTAAAAATTGAGATTATACTTTTATAATCTGTTTGTGTCTAATTTGTTATAAATATATTCCCAACTCATGATGTCACTGTTCTCCTACAGTGTCATGTATAACAGATGTACAACGTGGACGTAAGTTCTTTAACTCTGCTGGAGAACACCTGGATTATTTCTGATATTGCACGCCATAACTAAGAATATGAAACGCATCCTTGTATATAAGTCTTAGACCTCTGATCATTTCCTTAGTATGTTAGGAAGCTGCTGAGTCACGGCATAGGCACATATTGGTAGTTTTTCTCCAAAAGCATTGCATCAAGAACAGACCCACTTGTAACTCATGAATATTCAGCTCTCTTCAACAATACCAGGTAATTTTATTTGAAAATAAATTTGGCTTACTCATTCAGCAAGCACCTTTATGTTAGACATTGGAGTAGTCACTGAGCTATGAACAAGACAGATGAGATCCCTGCCCTCCAGCAGACAACAGTCTCTTGGACACGAGTGTAGGACAGAGAAGGTAAGAGTGCTGGGGAATTTTCAGCAGGGAAAGCCAACCTAGTTTAGGGCTCTAAGACAAACCCTGAGGAGAGGGTACTCAAGGCAAGGCCTGAAGACAGGCAGGTGTGGCCAGAGGAAGGCATGAGCAACACGGAGGAAATCTTTTAAAGGTCTGCAAGGTATCTTTTTTCAAATTATTAGGTGCTCAAAACATCTGCTCTATTAAGTAGTTTAATCTAACTTGCAATTGTATTTATAAATTTGTTCATCAAGTGTAGAAATGGGGAAAAAAAACTCACCTTCAGTATGTCTAGAACCTATTTTAAGGGAAGATGAAGAGATGAGATACTGCTGGAGGAGTTGGGGCCAGATGAATGAAAGGCCTGGCAAACCATGCTAAAATGTCTACGCTTCACCCAAAGGGAAACAAGATGTCACTAAGGACTCAAGCAAGTGCATTTCAGAAACACTGCTCTGCGTATGTTCTGGGGATGGGTGGAGGCAGACAAGACTGGAGTCAGATGGTCCATCGTGAACCAGGTGCTATGGCTGTTCAGCATCCACTCTCCCTCCCTATTCTGGGAGAATCCCAAGGCTAGAGGGATGCAGGGCCACTTCCTATCACAGAAGAAAAAGAAGGGCAGAGAGACCCTCTTCTATCCCCCCAGAAATACACTAAGAACATGAGATCTAAACTCAACCAAATTCCCACATTCACTCATAAATACTCATTCAGGATTTACTGTGCTCCAAGGCCTATGTTAGGAGCTGTGGATACAGCAATGAATAAGACAAGATCCCCAGCTAAGACCATGAACCCTGAGGAAGGAGGCAAACAAAGACTCGGAGTCCTCTGAGAAGCAGAGAGCTTTGGTTGGGGGCTGTAACACATATATCAAAATGTACTCAATTGTCTAAGTGTGTGCAGTCTACTCCAAAAGTCCCATGGCAGCCCCTCTAGTCCCACTGGCCCAGATTAGAGCACATTATCAGTTTTGTGCAGCCTCTTAAGTCAAAGACACATTCTAGCAGCAAAGAAGAAGGCAGGAGTCACTTTGGGGAGGCAGCAAACTTTGTGTCAGGTGAAATCACCTGCCTGAAGCCACAAGCAGTAATTAACAAGGAGGGCAGGATTTGAATCCATCTGACTCCAGATCCCAGCTGCCTTTCACTAGGCCACAACCCTCACTTAGCACTGCTGTAGATTAGTGATCTGGTCATTGCTGTGTGCTGCCAGTGGGGCAAGGGCCTCACCACAGAGCCACCCTGTGGGATGTTTCCTTACCCAAGATCTCTCCTTCCTACATTATTCCCAGTCACCAGCCTATCGGTGGGCTCTGAGAGGAGGATCAGGAATAAAAGAGACTCTCTGGCTTTTCCCAGCAACCCAGAACTCTGGTGCCCTTGGCCTTTCCTACCCACACTGTGCTCTACAAAACCCCTTAGAGGCTGATGCAGCATAAACAACTTACTCACAAGACACTTATTTAGGCTTTTATTATCATCTACGGACTACCTTTCTAATCAGTTCTAACAATTAGCTCCTAAACCCATAGTAGAGAAAAATATAGAAACTTTGGGCAGGAAAACTGACAGCAGTTAGAAGTGCTAACAGCTGACCCAAGGAAACAATAGGACAGAAAACTTTAAAAACTGGAAAGATGCAAAAACCCCCAAAGGAAATAGCTGTATATGCCTCAATAAGCCTAACATTACTATTCACATCACAACATAACATTATATCTAAATGGTCACTTGAGAGCATTGAGGAAAGTTTACATCACATTCAGCACATTCTATTTAAGAACACAAGAAATAATATACTTTAGGAAGATTCCCAACCTAAATGGGATATTTTGGTGCTTAATGGGCAAAAACCTAATCTAGCCAGAAAACTCCTCTGCTATTCAGAAAGTTAATATGCTCTTATCATAGTTAGCCATGGTTTTACTGTAAATGACTTTATAATAATTTGCACAAATCCAAATTAAATTAATTCTTTGGACTAAAGTCCTAATAGGAACAGTATTAACACTGCCCACTTTTATAGAACCTAGTGTGTAGATATATACGGATGTGCACAGATAGGTATTAATATATGGAAACACCAAAAGATATAATTTGGTCCATCTTATATTAAATGTTCTATAATAAGAACTGATAAAATAGATTCCTCTTTATTAATATTTGTTTATAAGCAAAACAGTACTCAGGAGCTGGCTTTTTTGGCTAAGGGAGGCCCTGATTTACTGTACAGCTGAAGACAAATCATTTAACCTCTTTGTACATCACTGATGTCCTTATTTGCAAAAATAAGATAATTATTTACTTCTCATATTAGGGAAATTTAAAACTACTACTAAAAAATTCCTTAGAAATACCTATCTTTGCATAAATAATTTAAACTTTAAACATGTTTTAAATCTGAAGATTTTCCAACAGAACACAAATTACAATTATTTATACTCATTATCAAGTTCTATAAAAATAACTGGTGGCATTTTCAAAGTAATAAATCAAAAGTCACAATAAATTCCTGTGTGAATTTACACAGTGTATAACCCTAGTTTCCATGGAGTTAAGAGTTGCTTTTATGATTTCCATTAAGCGGACTATCCTTCTTAACATCAACCTTTTCTTAAAGGGAGTGGCAACTCAGCAGTGAAATAAATCTAACAATACAGGCATTTAAGCTTGCAACAAAGAAGTTACAAAGATCCTGTCCAACATGCTGAGTTACTAAGCTCTGACATCTCCCTCCTGACACTAGAGCTAAATAAAGTCAGGTTATGGCAGGAACTTGATCAGTTCCATTCATTCACATTTTGTTTCTCCAGGCCTAAATAAAAAGCACACACCAGAAGAGGAAGAAGTAGGAGGTAGGGAAGGGAAGGTGTCTGAAGGACAAAAATGCAAATCTCAAGGCTGGATATGACAAATAGCCAGTTTTGCAGGGATCTAAGCTGTGAAAGACTTGAAACATACCATTTGGAAACCCTCTTTTCAAAAAAGAATACAAATTATAAACACAAGATCTCTGAGGTCCCAGAGCCTAGGTAAGGGCCCATGCAAGTGACAGACCTAGAAACCTGAACTTCATTAGCTTTACAGTAAATCTGCCCCATAAATGGTATCCAGATTCAGGTTCCAGGATGGGGTAAAATCTCAGAATGCTAAAAACTACGTTACCCCAGATGTCACCTACTGTAGTTTTCTCAGTGGGCCACAGGTGATCAGAGATTTCAGTATGTCTGGAAGATTAGGTGGTTAGAAACCAAACAAAAAAACTGGAAGGTCAAGGTAGTCACAAAATGGGGTGTGTGTGGGGGTGTGCGTGTGTATGAAGATGAGCAGTGAAGACCCCGACCCAGCTATGGTGTTGGTGCTTTTCAAGAATACAACTGGTAAGAAGGCTCAATTAGAGTTCCAAAACAAAAGGAATGGCAAAGTCAGGGGAAACACTCACTAATGATGGAGCTGGGAGATGGCAGAAATGGGATGAAGAAGGTATCAGAACACAGAGTGTGAAGGCTGTAGTGGTGGCAGAGGGTGGCTCCTAACAGCAAAGTCCAAAGATGGGCAGGTCAAAGAGCCTATGTGAAGGGGAGGCCAGAGAAAGGTCAAAAACAAAAGCATGACACTAGACACGGAGGAACTTGGGAGTACAGCTGCGGATAAGATGCTCTCACATACTCAGGAGATGGTGGTTAGGACCCTGCTGCTCCAGATATGGTCCCCATTCTGGGCTTTTCCCTCTCGGCACTTCTCTATTCAAGGGCTCAAGCCATCAGAAAGACTACCCTCTCACTTCTTTACCTCCAGGTTCTCTCCACTACCATTTCGGGGTTTCCAGTCCCTGAACGACGACAAAAGCCTTTTTGTCTGTCTGCAGTCACCCTCATCCCCACCCCTATATCTGCCAGACTGAATCTCTTTAACGCTAAGATCTGATCACATCACTTCCTTGCCCCACATTCTCTTTAGCTTCCTTCCTGCCATTCCCCATCCCTAACCAACATTTCTTGTCTCACAAATGCTCAACTCCTAGTTCCCCAAATATGTCAAGACTCTGAAACCTTCATGTCTTAAACATTTATGTTCTTACTGCCAGGAATAGGCTCTCAACTCTCGTTCATCTCCCAACTCCTACTTAAAACTCTGCTCAAATCCAACCTTTATGGAAATTTCCTGGACCCTCCTGGGCAAATCACCCTCGAGGGACCCTTTTCTTTCTACATTGTGGGATCTGCTTGACGCTCAGTGTTATCCCACGGGTCTGCAAACTCCTTGCTGGCAGGGAACCCTGTCTTTCTGTCTGTCTTTCCCCCAAGAGCTGGGGCCCTGATTCAGGGATAGCCCACAGATGATGGGAGAAAAGTGAAGAGATCAGAGGATGCCTCTCTCTTCTAGAGACGACCAGAAAAGTCGTGCAGCTACGAAGGATAACAGCTCTGACCCAAAAATGACATATAGGAGCCAAACACACATCTTAAGGGAGGGAGTAGGGGTCAGAGGTGACCTCAAGATGGGGCAGGCAAGGCGACGGTCGCGAGGTCGGGGAGCACGCAATGACGCGGACCAGGGCTCGGCAGGAGGGTTCTGCGCAGGGACAGGGATGACGACGGGCTCGGCAGCGGGGACGCGAGGATCCCATGATGTCGCAGCCGCGGTGACAAGGACAGAGGCACGGCCAGGAAGGCATCGGGACCGGGCAGAAGCCGAGGGGCTGACGCGCGCGAGGGTCGGACGCGGGTAACGGACGGTCACGCAGGCCGGGAGCGGCCCGGAAGACCCGCGGGTGCCCTCGGGCCCGGCCCTACCTAGAGATGCGCCAACACCAGCCGCAGACGCGCCCGCTGCACCCTAGGCCCAGCCGCCTCAGCCACCGCCACAGCCGCCTCGTTCACTTCCGCTTCCGCTCAAGGCGCTTCCGCTCGGGACTTGGCCGGGTTCGCAGAGGCGGGGTCTGCGTGACCGTTGCGAGAGTGAGGAGCGCCCGCGTCGTGGGTTGGGCGGGGAGAGAGGCGCGCAGGCGCGGACAGCGGACGCGGCGCGCAGGCGCCGGCGGCGTGGGACGCCGCGGCCTGTTGCCACAGCAACTGCTCTGGTGCTGGCGGACCTCGGGTCGCGCAGTCAGGTAGCTGCCCGCTGGCGTCGGGCGGGTGCCGCCCTTGAACCTCTTTGTTCATACACTGTCCTGCGGCCCGGACGGTGTCTTGACGCTGCATGCCGGTCTTTGTCCTGCCGGAGGCACTGAGGACTGGCGGCTCCCGGGGCCTCAGGCCGAAGTTGTGCGAGCGCGGCCCAGGCGGGTGGCCCTGAGGCCGGGAGCCTCGCCTGGGCCGGAAACGGGGACAGCGGGGGGCTCCTGCACAGGGGACCCGCCGCGCGCTTCCCCGCCACGTTTGGGGAGGGAGCGGGGACGTCCTGGCGTTCGACCCTCGCCTCCGTATCGGGACGGCGCGGCCCCAGTCAGCGCTGAGCACTTCTCGGCCGGGTGTTCTGACCGTCACCATTGTTGCTCTGGACTACTCTTCAGCTGAAAGTTGTTTCAGGCAGGTTTGCTAGTCCGGAATTGGGTGGGAGAGAATTCCAAGGAGAGAGAGGAAAGGCAGAGGCAATGGCAGTGAGGGAGCAGGATGCTTCAGAGGAATTCCAGTGGCTGCTGTGGATACATGGTGGCGGGGACAGGGGAACAGGTGCCACCTGATCGTGCAGGTCCCTGTCGTCATATTCAGGAGTTTGGACTCTGCAGTCCACAATCTCAGTCTTATTTCTGCAGCTGCTCTAAGATGGCGAAACTCACCTTCAGGACATGCTCCCTTGGGCTAGGAGATCAGGTGGGCTCCGGGTGATGCGCAAGTCCACCCCTCTAGCTGCAGTTCCGCCTTTTTCTCTACAACCAAGCAAACATTTTGGCAGGCACGTGTGAGTGACGACCTTGAAACCAATCTGATTTATTTTTCTGAAAAGTAAGTTATTGACAAATGTCAATTTTTAATATCAACTTATTTAGGATGTATCTCCAAACCTATCCTTACACACAGTATGTCTCAGCAAGGCAGCTATAAGCCCTGGTGAGCTAATGAGTCTTCCATCAGGAAAGTAAAATGGTCAAATATTGTTCTAGGAAAAACATTCTATTGATTTTCTTCAGAATCTCTAGCAAAGCACTTGATCAGGTACTCAGAAAACATTACCAAATTGAAGTGGCACCACGTATGCATTAAAGGATTTGGGAAGGAATCTCGATTCAGCATACAAGGCTTACGTTTCCTGATGGGCTTTTCTTTAAGTAAAATCAACAAATGGTGTTCAGCACCTATTGCTGATTAGTGCTGTGGGGTGACACCAAGCAGTATGTGAAATGACCTCTAGTCTTAAGGAGTGCTCATCGTGGTTGGGGACATAAACTAACATACTTTAAATACTAGGCAACAAGTGAAACATATTGTAAGGAGTAAGGGTTGTAATGTTTCTGTCCCCCGCCCCCCCCAAGTTCATAGGTTGAAATTAATCCCAGCGTGATGGTCTTTGGAGGTGGGGCCTTTGGGAAGTGAATAAATCATGAGGGTGGAGCCTCATGAATGGGAATAGTGCCATAACGAGGCCAGAGAGCTCTCTTGCCCACTTTCCACCGTGTGAGGATACAGTGAGAAGATGGCCTGCAACCCAGAAGAGAGGCCTCACCAGAACCTAACCATGCTGGTGCCTGATCTGAGACCTCAGCGCCTCCAGAGCTATGAGAAATGAATTTCTAAACCCAGTCTATGGTACTTTGCTGTAGCAGTCTGAACAGTCTAAGACAGGGATGAAAAAGCTTCAAGGAGCAAGTTTGTGAACTGAGCCTGGAAGGAGGAGTAGGATCTGACAAAGGGTTAGAAGAGGAAGGACTCCAAGCAGAAGGAGCAAACCTAGGAAAGAGACTGAGGGAAAAATTCAGGAGACCAAACTCTCATGCGCAGGAGGTTCATGCTGAGGGGAGCAGGAAGCAGAGCTGGACTGGGGAGGCCTTGAAGGCAGGCAGAGCAAGGAGCCCCACCAGGTGACTGCTCATTGGCCTCCCAGATGGATTCGATGGTATCGCTCAGATGATGGAACAAAAAAGAAAAAGAGAAAACACAAATGTGACATGTGAAAAATAGGAATGAAAGAGAAAGATAAAAGAGAAGGAAAATCTTCCCAGGTCTAGAAGATACATTCTCGTATCGAAAGGGCCCAGCAGGTGCCCAGCACAACAAACCTAGGAAGACCAACACCAAGGCACATCGCCACAGCATTCAGAACACCAAGGATAAAGAAAAGATCTTCAGAGTTTCCTGAAGGAAAAATGAAAAGGTCACATTTAAAGGACTGGAAATCAGAATGGCATGGAAATTCTCCACAGAATCCCAGGAAGCTGGAATACAATAGGGCATTAACTTCAAAATTCTGAAGAAAATAATTCTAACATAGAATTCAACTCTCACTATATTAGCTGTTTGTGGGTAGGATGTAGATATTTTCAGATATCCTTATCTCAGAAAGCTACTGGAGGATATTCTTCTCCAAAATTAAGAAATTAGCCAAGAAAGAGGATAATATTTGGGACCTAAAAAACAGGAAGTCCCAGCTTAGGAGAGAGGAGAAGGGAAGTACTAGGACAGAAGCTAGGACTTATACAGTAGGGGATAGAGGCCTCTAGGAGAGATGTTTCCAGAAGGAAGTGAATCACATGGAATGCCTGTTATGGATGAATATCTTAAAAGGGATCTTCAGAATTTGATGATGATAAGTAATAGCTAGATAGGAAAGTGAATAAGGAAATAAATGAGGCCATTATTGAATCTAGTGAAAACAATATGCAAAAAAGGATATAGCATATGTCTTGGCTGTGAATAAATATGTAATTATAACAAGATAATTGCTGAATGGGAGTTTAACCCAAAGGGGTGTTATAATTATTTTTGAAAAAAGGGAGGTGACCTTACGTGTGTTTACATAAATGTGCATGTGTCTAGGAAGTGAGGGTGGGAGAGTTAAATCCTTGTCTTCTAGAGTTAGGAAGTCCATAGACTATACGCACAATTGAAAAGTAAGGACAGAACATTAAATATGTGTTCTTAGAAAATATGAGCATAAGGCCGGGCACATTGGCTCATGCCTGTAATGCCAGCACTTTGGGGGGCCAAGGTAAGAGGACTCTGTGAGCCCAGGAGTTGGAGACCAGCCTGGGCAACATAGTGAGACCTCATCTCTACAAAACATTTTTAAAAATTGGCCAGGCATGGTGGCATGCACCTGTAGTCCCAGCTACTTAGGAGGCTGAGGTGGGAGGATCATATGAGCCCCAGAGTTTCAGTCTGCAGTGAGCTGGGATTGTGCCACCACACTCCAGCCTGGGTGACAGAGTAGGACGCTGTCTCACACACAAAAAAAGGAAAAGAAAGTAGAGTAAATTCTCTCATATACAAAAGAAATATATAAGAGATAAATGTAAGAGAAGGAATTGGGAGTGGGAGTGTGTGGTGTGGGCAACTACTATTTTTGTTAACAAATCTAGAAATACCATTTGAATTTTAAGATTATAAATATTTGATATAAGGAAAAATTTTTAAGTTTTAAAAAGTTATTCACTAATACAAGTGGTAGTAAGTGGCACGACTGTCACTCAAATTCCAATCTGTCTAAATCTTGAAGCTTTAAAAAATTGTTATGACTACAGTACACTACAGCAAAGGGAAGGAAAAGTCAAATATTACTTCAAGGTCTCTTTCCTGGGAGACTACAAGAAAAGTTGCATGCAGAAATCAGTGTAACAAGAGCAAGAAGAGTTACGTAGGATTATCCACATCCTGCTTCACCTCCTGCTTCATAGCTCAGGCAAGCACTTCCCTGTGCTCTGCTGTGCACAGCCAGTTTATCAGTGTGGGAAAAAATCTATAAATAGGATGGAGGTTTACATAAAAGAGAAACATAGGAAAAGAAAGGGGAATAAAAAAGAAACTGTAGAGCGAATTTGGGGGTTAATGCAGAGGAAAAAGCTAAAGTGAGAGACATCACATCAGCTGTGAGAGAGAAACCCAGAAAATGAATGGCAGGGGCATCTGGGACAGGTTTCTCTTGGTAACAAGTTGACCCTTTAAATAGACTGCAAGATGTATTTGCAGTTTTTATTTGGATGCTGAATGAAATTTCTTTTGAGTATAACAACCACATGAGCTCAAGATTTTATTTGGGCAATGATATGGTTTGGCTGTGTCCCCACCCAAATCTCATCTTGAACTGTAGTTCCTATAATCTCCACATGTCATGGGAAGGACCTGGTGGGAGGTAATTGAATCATGGGGGCGGTTACCTCCATGCTGTTCTCTTGATAGTGATTGAGTTCTCATGAGACCTGATGGTTTTATAAGGGGCTTTTCCCCTGCGTCACTCCACATTTCTCCTTGCTGCTGCCAGGTGAAGAAGGACTTGTTTGCTTCCCCTTCCAACACGATTGTAAGTTTCCTGAGGCCTCCCTAACCATGCTGAACTGTGAGTCAATTAAACCTCTTTCCTTTATAAATCACCCAGTCTCAGGTATGTCTTTATTAGCAGTGTGAGAATGGACTAATACAGCAAATTGGTACCAGGTAGTGAGGTGCTGTTGTAAAGATACCCAAAAATGTGGAAGTGACTTTGGAATGGGGTAACAGGCAGAGGTTGGAACAGTTGGGAGGGCTCAGTAGAAGATAGGAAAATGTGGGAAAGTTTGAAACCTCCTAGAGACTTGGAGGGCTCAGAAGATAGGAACAGGTGGGAAAGTTTAGAGCTTCTTAGAGACTTGTTGAATGGCTTTGACCAAAATGCTGTTAGTGATATGGACAATGAAGTCCAGGCTGAGATGGTCTTAGATGGAGATGAGGAAGTTGTTGGGAACTGGAGTAAAGGTCACTCTTGCTATGCTTTAGCAAAGAGAATGGCAACATTTTGCCCTTGCCTTAGAGATCTGTGGAACTTTGCACTTGAGAGAGATGATTTAGGGTATCTGGTGGAAGAAATTTCTAGACAGCAAAGCATTCAAGAGGAAGCAGAGCATAAAAGTTTGAAAAATTTGCAGGCTGGCAATGCAATAGATTAAAAAAACCCATTTTCTGGGGGAGAAATTCAAGTTGGCAACAAATTTGCATAAGCAATGAGAAGAAGAATGTTAATCACTAAAACAGTGGGGAAAATGTCTCCAGGGTATGTTAGAGACCTTCATGGCAGCCCCTCCCATTACAGGCCTAGAGGCCTAGGAGGGAAAAATGGTTTCTTGGGCAAGGCCCAGGCCCCCCCTTTCTGTGTGCAGCCTAGGGACTTGGTGCCCTGCATCCCAGCTGCTCTAGACATGGCTAAAATGTGCCAATGTACAGATCAGGCTGTGGCTTCAGAGGGTGCAAGTGCCAAGCCTTGGCAGATTCCATGTGGTATTGGTCCTGCTGGTGCGCCAAAGACAAGAACAGAGGTTTGGGAACCTCCACCTAGATTTCAGAGGATGTATGGAAATGCCTGGATGTCCAGGCAGAGGTCTGCTGCAGGGGCAAAGCCCTCATGGAGAAGCTCTGCTAGGGCAGTGCAGAAAGGAAATGTGGGGTCATATCCCCCACACAGAATCCCCACTGGCACACCACCTAATGGAGCTGTGAGAAAAGGGCCACCATTGTCCAGACCCTAGAATGGTAGATCCACCAACAGCTTGCAAAGTGCACCTGGAAAAGCTGCAGACGCTCTATGCCAGCCCATGAAGGCAGCCAGGAGGGGGGGGTTTACCCTGCAATGCCACAGAGGTAGAGCTACCCAAGGCTGTGGGAGCCCACCTCTCGCATCAGTGTGACATGGATGTGAAACATGGAGTCAAAGGGGATCATTTTAGAACTTTAAGGTTTAATGACTGCCCTATTGGATTTTGGACTTGCATGGGGCCTGTGGTCCCTTTGTTTTGGCCAGTGTCTCCTATTTGGAACGGGTGTATTTGCCCAATGCCTGTGCCCCAGTTGTATCTAGGAAGTAACTAACTTGCTTGTGATTTTGCAGGCTTATAGGTGGAAGAGACTTGTCTTGTTTCAGACACTTTGGACTTGGACTTTTGAGCTAATGCTGGAATGAGTTAAGACTTTGGGGGACCGTTGGGCAGGTATGATTGTGTTTTGAAATGTGAGGACATGAGATTTGGGAGGGACCAGGAGTGGAATTATATGGTTTTGCTGTATCCCCATCCAAATCTCATCTTGAACTGTAGTTCCCATAATCCCCACATGTCGTGGGAGGAAGTTTCTGGGAGGTTAATTGAATCATGGGGGCAGATACCCTCATGCTGTTTTGGTGATAGTGAGTGAGTTCTCATGAGACCTGATGGTTTTATAAGGGGCTTTTCCCGTCCTTTGCTCTGCACTTCTCTTTGCTGCTGCCATGTGAAGAAGGATGTGTTTGCTTCCCCTTCTGCCATGATTGTAAGGTTTCCTGAGGCCTCCCCAGCCATGCTGACCTGTGAGTCAATTAAACCTCTTCCCTTTATAAATTACCCAGTCTCAAGTATGTCTTTATTAGCAGCATGAGAACAGACTAATACAGGTAACAATTGACCGTCCAAAAATTAGGAAAGACAAAAAGCCAAAACCATGAAAACATACTGATTTCTACATAGAGAATGCACATTAAATGCTGCTGAAGTGTTTTATTGCTGATAAAAGGTATCATGTAGAAAGACAATGTTCCTCTTCTTATGATCATTGTAATGGTGAAGATGTCTGGTACTGCTGCAGACATCATGCAGTCAGGAAATGGAGTGACTGACAGGGCATGGATGTCAGAGCAGAAAGAAGGAGAGCACTTGGGCCTTGACGTGGCAGAGCCACTACATCAACCAGCACTCAAACCACCTTCTTTCCTGATTATAAGAGAGAGAATCTTCTTTATACATAGTCAGATAGTGAATCAGGATGTTCTGTTACAACCAAAAGTGTCCTGTTCTAGCTTCCATCCAAGAAGGAATAATTCCTACAGAACTGGTCCTCCCACTTTAAATAACTAAAAAACTGGACAAAAATACAAAATTACTATTTTCAGACAACAGACAACAGGAAGTAAAGGATGGAGAATCTTGAAAGGAGGAAAACAAATGAGGTGAGCCTAGTGGCTGCCCCATCTCTGCCTAGAGCAGGGAAAAATCAATGACACAAAAGACTGGTTCTTTGATAAGACTGATACAACTGATAAGCCTATAATACTCTGATCATAATCTCTCAAGAAGAGAGAAGACACACATTGCGCATCCCAGCAATGGAAGACAGTGTCACTACAGAAACCACCTGCAGTTAAGGAATAAAAGAACATTTGAACAACTTTAGATAAGAAATTCCTTGAACCATGCAAATCACCAAACCTGAACAAAGAAGAAGTAGAAATGATGAGTAAGCCTATATTAATTGAAGAAGTTGAATTAAGTAAACAAAACAAAACAACAACAATAAAAAAAACCTTCCCACAAAGAAAAGGCCAGGTGCTAATAGCCTCACTAGTGAATTCTATCAAACTTTTAAGGAGGAAATAGCAATCCTACACAAACTTTCAGAAAATGGAAAAGCAAGAAAGTCTTCCCCAACTCATTTTATAATTCACCTGGTGGCAGAGACAGGTCCAGTTCCACTTTGGGTCCTCAGCCCCTGTGATGAGTCAGGAGTGAACAAGCCAGTGAGGAAATGAAGTGGCCTTCTACTTCCTGCATGTCTTGCCCTAGCCCACCAGCTCTAAGTCAGTGTGGGTTCCCCTCTGCCTGGAGAGTGGTTGGCTCCTTGGTGCCCAGATGCCTGAGCTCTAGCCACTGAGAAATGAGTGACAGCTGGCAGGTGGTGGTACTTTCTAACACAATCAGTGCCTGGGACCTTCGCAACCTGCAAGCAGCCTCACATCTTGCCTCAATCAGCTTATTAACAGGAATAAGAACAGTCTCAATAGTAGAAAAGCAAATCATAGTTTGTGATGGTTCCTAAAAAAAATTCAGACTCACCAACTAGGCTACTACTGATCCCCCAATGAATAAATTTTGAAGGCATTGTATGATCATGAGTTATTAGTGATGATGACCGACAAATATGCCACTCCAGTTCCCATTTTACTAAAAGGAACAAAAAAAAAAAAAAAAGAAAATATTGCATCTTGAAAACAAATCTTGATGGTGATCCAGAACTATCCCTGTTCTGTTTCCTCATTGGAAGTGGTGGAGAGAGGGAATAGGAATTACAATGACAAGAATGAAGGAAACTGTTGAAAGCAAGGAATGCAACAATAGAAACTAACATTCTGAGATTAGGAAATATGTTGATTTGAAAGTGAGAAAATACTTGCCTAAATTTTGTTCCTTCTTTTTTTTCCCCTCTGATACTTGGATACTTGGGCTGTTTATTGGGGTCCCTTTCTCTCCAGCCCATTTATTGGAGCAGGGCTTTGCAAAGCCGGTCTCCTAGCAGCCAAATGCAGAAGGCCCATTCATATTACAATGGAAGGAAAGGAAAGAAAGAGCTTGGTTTGTTTAAACTGCCTCTGTCTTCATTCACAGCCTGATGTCCATGTGCATTGTGAGTCCACAATGGCACTAAAGGACTCATTGTGGCCGAAAACAAATCAAAATAAAATAAGGGATGCTAAGATAAAAGAGTCATGCAACAAAATTGCTTAAAAAATCTAAGTCTTACATCTGAGATTTATGTTACCTTTTGGCTGTGTGGCCTATTGACCGGTATTTATAACAACCGCTAGAGTTTAATAAACAAAAAGATAAATGGGAACTTTATGTACATTTTTAAAGGCCTTACACAGAAGGGGTGGGTGTGCTGGGTTGCTTGGGAAGCTGTTTAATAATTATTGTTCTTTGTTTGCACAACATTTGGGGAGCCACACTCCGCACTTTGTGTTTATTTTCCGTCTGATAAACATACCCTCCCTATGCCCATGTGGGCCAACAGCTCCCCAGCACGGGCCCCCAACCTCCACCCAGCCTGAACCAACATTAGAGGTTGCAATAACCCACGCCCAGTGCAGCCGGCAACAGGTGGAAAGTTGAATAACTTCACACGTTTTTCGGGGGGAGGGGCGGGGTGGGCTGGAGGGAAGGCTTTGGGAGCCGATTTAAGGATTAGATCAGATGTTATTGCTAGTGAAAAATTAAACAGCCCGGTGCTCTGGGGAGTACAGATTAATATATTTAGTGACTCTGTGCACACAAAGGCCGCTCATTGTGGCCACGTCTGAATGCCTGTGAATGGGATGGAACGCACGCAGCCGGTCACCGCAGGTGCCCACATCTGTTCTCCCCGGCAGATGCTCACAGAAAGGGAGGCGGGGGCGGCGGGGAAGCACGGCGCGTTCGAAAGCTTCCACGGCCGCGCTCTCCGGGACTCCTCTGGAGCAGCCTGGGGGGACGCGGGGTCCCGTGGGGACATTCGTGAAAGGGCGTGGAGGAAACCCTGAGCCGCACACGCCCACGGCCAACCAACCCTGCAGCCAGACAGGCCCAGGGGCCACTCCAGAGGCTGTGTCAGGCCCTGCGGGTGCGCGCCACGTTTCTGAGTTTATTGTTTGCGAGCCTCTGAGCTCTGGGCCTTGAAGCCCCCCGCGTGCCCCCGCTCCCGGCAAGCTGAGCCCAGCGTGGGTGATTGACAGGCCGCCCTGGGAACCAGGAGCGACAGGTGCCGCGACCTCCCTGTGGTGGGCACGGCCCGTCCGCCCATCGCCCCTCTCAGCGCCTTTTCTTCCCCATTCACTTTTTTACAAAGTCACAGGCTGCGATTTCCAGGTGCGACGCCTCGACCCCCCGGATGCAGCCGGAAAGGAGCCGCCGCGCGGAGGCGGAGGGTGGCGGCCGCAGGGGGCCCGTACCGAGGGGCCTGGGCCGGAGACCCCCACCCCGCGCGGGCTCCTGCAGCACCTCCTGGCGTCGGGATCCGGGGTCTCGGCGGGCCGCGCTCCTCTGGGAACGCGCGGTTTCCGCTAAGAGCGCACAAAGGGCGCGCCCCGGCCCCGCCCGCCGACCCCGGCCCCCAGGGCTCCGAGGTGTGCGCCGTCGCCTCGCACAGCCCGGGGCCGGGCCGGCTGCACCCGGTGAGGTGGGAATGCGGGCACGAGTCCCGCACGAGGCGGCGGCCGGGCGCGAGGCTGCGTGGGGCCGTCACGACGGCGACTGGGGTCCACCGGGAGGGCCCTGGCGCCGCCCTCCGCCCTCGCAGTGGCCCAGGGATGACCCGCCGCACGGCCGCGCCGCCTGTGCCCTCGCGCTTTGGGCCTTGCACTGGTGCCCCTCGTAATGCTGCCTGGCGCCGCCACCACCTCCAGGAAGCCCTCAGGTGCGCTCACTCCCCGTCGCGGATCTCAGCGTCCGGCAATCATCGCACTGAAAACAGCCCCTCCCTGGGACACGCGGCCTCCTTCTAACCCCCCAACACCCGGCCCCCCAGCCCCGGGTCCCGGCGCGTTCAGTCGGCACAAAGTTCGGAGGGGCAGCTCCGGGGTTCGCACGGGGCGGGCCCGCAGCAGCTGCTGCGGTAATCTGATCCCGGGACAAAGGCGTGCCCGCCGGTGCTCCGGCCGCAGGTAAACACGCGCTTTGTCATGGAGATGGGGCGCGGGACAGCCCCAGCAGATGATCCGCGGGTTCCAGGGGAAGGAGCCGCGGCGCAGAGGAGGGGGCGGGGGCCCGCTGCCGAGCCGTCATCTGCGCCGGGGCCGCCAGCTGAGCCACGCGACCCGCCCGTTCTCATGCAAATCAGCACATGCCTCCGCTGCTCGCAGCGGGCCTGGCCTCGGCCCCGGGCTCCACGCACGCGAGAGGTGGGCGTCTCGCGGGCCCGTGGCGCGGTTCGGACTCCCCCCACCGCAAAACGACCCCCCGACACGAACCAGGTGGGGTTGGAGCCCGTCTTCCTGTTCTCTGCACGGCCGCGGATCCTGAGAAAGGAAAAGGGCGTGTGGCGCCGGGACCCGGCCGCACCGGGGAAGTCACTCGCCGGGTCTCCAGCGGCGCAGCCGCGGCCAGCGGGGAGGCTTAGGAGCCGCTGCGGGGCTGATTCCTTCGCCCCCGGCTGCTGTTCTTGTGCCCCCACCGTCGCCCACCTTCGCGCAGAGCTGCCCGCGCCGGGGGTCGCGCTCCTGCCCGCTGTGGAAGCGCGGCTGCCTGGGGGCCGCGCGCCTTGTGTGCACGCGGGCGGCGCTCACCTCCTTCCTGCCTGCGCCAGCGCTGGTGGAGCCTCGAGGTCCAAACATAAACCAGATCGATGCCCCCTCCCTTTTCCAGGCTGTGACGAACGATGGCTTCGTGGGCTTGTAAGTCCACGCGCGGCAACCGAGTGTGAACACATCTGTGCACCCACTTGGGTGGGCGTGGCTGGGCAGGGGACATGGCCCAGTGAGTGTGTGTGTTGGGGGGTAAGGTCTATGTTCACGTGTCCAAAGACAGCTTTAAGAAGTAAGCAGCAAGGAAGTAACCATGATAGCTCCAGGACACAGAGGCTTCGCCACGGACGCCTCTGAGAACTTCCCGTGTGGCAGCCAGCAGGTCCATTCCTCTGCTACGTTAACTGCTTTCAGATTCCAAAACTGACGGAAGGAGAATGGGCAGAGGGTGGTTGGTGCAGATGTGATACCAATACTAATTAATAAGCATGGTCTACGTCCCCTTCTTCTTCTTCTTTATTTCAAGTAAGCTGGCATGTTTGATCAACACCAGATTTGCTGCCTGGAAGTTTTTTATCTTGTTATTCTGAACAAGGACCCTAATTCTTCTTACGAATAAGAGAACCTCTCTGTTGGGTATACAGTATTCAGTTGGTCTGAGAAAACACAAACCCCACTCAAGTCTCCAGACTTGTTTACACAGAAAACTGAACCTGTGGCTGGCCTAGAGTCTGAGCCTATTCTGGGCATTGTTTATTGCAATCTGCCCAGGCCCTCCTGCCCCCACCACAGTCACCACCACACACGAACCTGGAGAATAGAACCTTTCTTTGGAAAGGGGGGTTGGAATAGGATTGAGTGACCATGGTATTAGGTCATGCACACACTGCTGAGGATGGCCGCACTGGAATTTGATAAGATGATGGCCATAAGCTTTTATTCCCAGGTGGCCTCATAAAATGGTGGGGAGATACTCAGTGTCTCCAGCAAACAGAGAACTCCACATGTGGTTGCTGTGGCTGCAGCTCTGATCATTATACAGCCTGAGCTTACCCTAGACACTGGGGTTACTCAGCCTGTGGGGTTGTGCTGCCCAGAAAACAAAACAAAACAAAAAACACCACCACCAGGCAGCAAATTCCTCCTTCCACTTCTGTGTCTGATGTATTGGGTGCCTTCTAAGCCCTAATGAGCCTCACTTTGTACAGTAAATTTCCTGAGACATAAAAAAGTATTTAAAAGAAAGTTTCCTGTTTTTTCCTAATGAGCAAGGTGAGGATTTATAGTGTGGGGAGGAGGGACTCCGGCAGCCGGGGCCAACACTGAGGCAAGCCTATTTAACATACCCTGGCTTAAGCTCCCTCCTGCGTTTGTGGGGTTCAGAGTGCTTAGTTGTGGGAGTATAGAGACATGCAGTTAGGGAGTGAAAAAACGCCATTTGGTTCGGAGCAGATGGCTGGCTAGGGGGCTGATGGCGTCTAAAGGCGTGTCGTCCCCTCCAGCTCGAATCCCTAAGGGCTCCCCTTGTCTTCCCAATCAATGAAAATTAAAGTGCAAAGAAAGGATGAATAGTTGGACCTCGAGTCTCTCCTTTGTTCATCCCAGCTACTGGTGCGCAGGAGTTAAACTACAACAGGCTCCTATAGAAACGCTGAAGTTAAACAGTCTCCCCGTTAGCACAGCTTTTTAAAGAGAGAGGGAGAGAGGAACCAACTTGGGGGTGGGGGGAGAGAAATGGGGGAGAGGAAGAAGGAGAAGAAGGAGGAGAAGGAAGAAGAGGAAGGAGGTGGAGTAGGAGAAAGAGGAGGAGGAGGAGGAAAAGAAAAAGGAGAACAGGAGGAGGAGGAAGGAGAGGGAGAAGAAGAAAAGGGCTTTCTGCTTGATTTCCCCAATACAGAATCGCGTGGCATAAATTAAGTTGGAAAAGAATGAACGCTTTGGGCAGGATTCTGATGGATTTTACGATGCCTTTCAGTTCCGCTTTGCCGCCGTAATCGAGAAATCTGTGCCATGTCAATTTAACAAATACTTGATACTGAGGGGGGTTTGTTAGAGATTTGGGGCAAGTCTTTTTCCCCCCAAGGTTTAAGCCCTTGCGCGTGGAACTTTTTATTTCCAGTTTTCTAAACAGGCATTCAAATGAGCCTGTTTTCCACTTCCATTTTCTAATTAAAAGGTTCCTGATATTTCATTTCTTACTGAAATCTACACTCAGTGTTGCAGGCAGAGGATTCTGGATTCTGACCTCGCATTCTCTTCTTTTTTTACATTTCTTCTGCTCCTGAAACCCTTTCACCTACCCTCACCCCCACCCCCAGCCCCCAGCACAGGGAACAGCTCCTGTGCCTTAGGGAAGCAGAATGCTCCGAAGTCAGCTTTTGGAGGAAACATCAACCTAGAGAAAAAAGGATCCTGACACTAGGTGGCAAGATTAAATTAGGATTTGAGCTGGCCCCTCCCTGTGGCGACAGCAAGTCCCTATAGAGTCCAAAAAGGACACCATCATGGGGGTGGCAGCATCTTCTGAAGCCTCCATTTGCTCTGAACCAAACAGTAGGGGGTTCACGGTGATCCCAGCCTGCCTTTCTCACCTGGCACTAAACATCATATGCTTGTTTCTTGTGGTTAACTCTTCGCTATTCCATGAGGCAACAGTGGAAAACCTAAAGTGGACATCTCTGTTGATCCTAAAACTTTACAGGTATTTGGGAAACAAGGTAGCAGGACACAGGCTGGGTCACTTGAAGAGGAGCCGCAGAGTAGCAATTCCAGCTGCGTAGCAGCCGGAGGGCCTGCCCTGGACGACTTCACCACGTGACCTTCAGATTTCTGGCTGCAGTGGTTGTCCTTGGTGTTTGAAGACTTTCCCTCTGCTTAGACACTTTGATCAAGACATTTGCCGGGATGAAAGTCTCGTTCTACCTTGACGGTGCCCTGTTCTCACCAATAAGGCAGCTCTAACACACCTACAGTGAGGACACTGTGGCCAGGCTGCTTCCTTGGGGCTGAGCTACAATCAAAGGGGGCACTCCAACACTCACCTGGAACCCTAATGAAGCTACGGAGGTGTTGGGGGTGGGCAGGGATCCACGGGCGGGATGGTAAAGAGAGGGAGAAGTGCAAAGCTAGGTGCCAGAGTAGGAGTCTCTGCCCCAACTTACTTCTCCATCGTGCCTAGGAGGGCAATTTAGATAATTCATTGTGTCATACGTGTGTTCTCGGCCCTCCCAATAAACTCATTTCCCTTTAAAAAATGAAAACAAAAGTTCTAGTGTCTGATGGACGTGTAAAAACCTAATAAGGTGACGGTTGTGTAAAGGTTGTGGGTTGGGGGCCGGGGCTGGAGGGGCTTTAGAACATGCGCCGGACATTGTTGCAGAGGCCGCGGCGCGCGCGGAGGGGAGCTCTTTCTCTCCGCATTGTGCGGGGAGCAGGTGCTGTCTGCATTACCATACAGCTGAGCGCACAAAGAGCCACTGATTCAGCCTCGCACAATAACAGGCTGCCTTAATGACAGCCACGCGAACGACACACACCAAACTCACTTCTTACCAGGCGGAGGGAGGCCGAGGGGGATACCCGGGAGAGAGGGGCCGAGACCCGGGGAAGGTGGCGGCGGCCGAGGATCCTGTGGGGGAGGGCGCGTGTCTGTGGGGGGAGTTGAAGGCCAGGTTCTCCTGGCTCCGGGGATATGCTGTCCGGCCCCCGGGCCCCTACTCCCAGTGGCCGCGGACCACGAGAGGACACCGAAGGCGCGGGGATGCGGGTGTCCCAGGGGGCGTCCCGGCCCCGCCCGCGCGTCGGCTCTGCACTCCCCGAGGCTCAGTCGCCGTCCTGGGCCAGGAGGTGTCCCCGCCTCGGACCTCCCCAAACTTCCCGAAACTGCCGCTTCGCTCTGGCAGCCCTCGGCCCACCGCTCCGCCCGCCCCTTTCCTACGATGCTCCCCGAATCGCCACCCCCGCCTCCGCCCCCAAGAGACTCCTCCTTAGGAAGCGCCTGCCCCGAAGAAGGGGCGGCCCCGCCAAGAGCTCGGGCCTCGAACTTCGTCCTCCTGCTCGCAGCCGCCCTCCCCAAGCCCCCGGGACGCTGTCGGCGCAAGGAGACCCCTCGGCTGCCGCCGCGGCCCGGAGTTTCGGAGGCCGCGTCCCGCCGCTCAAGTGGGGCCCGCAGCGCCGCCCCCCGCGTGTGGCCGAGGGTCTCTGGGCGTCTGTGGCCCGGGAGGGCGTGCGGAGGGGACGGGGCGGCGGCACCAGCTCCAGAAGCAGGGGGATTCTTGCGGTGAACATTTTGCAGGAATGTAAATGAGTGCGTTTTGTGTGGTGAGGGAGGAAGGGGGGGCTGGGGGCGGGGGCAGGGGAGGACTGGGGGGGCGGGGAAGGGTGGGGGCGGGGAGGAGGGTTGCACATTTTACAGCTCACTGACCATTTGGCGATCCATTGAGAGGAGGGTTTGGAAAAGTGGCTCCTTTGTGACAGCTCTCGCCAGATTGGGGGGCTGCTGATTTGCATCTCATTAGCCATGCGGGCGGCCGGCTGAATATAAGGGCGGCAGGCGCCGGCGAGAGCCAGATCCTCTGCGCGCACCCGCGGAGACCCGACCCGGCCGAGGGCAGAGCGCAGGGGAACCCGGGCAGCCGCGGCGCAGAGCCTCCTCCCACGGCCCGGCCCCTCCGGTCCTGCGCGTGTGTACTGGATGGCATTGGCTGGATTCATCGGAAAGACGCGGATCTTTGCTGTGACACCGGAGATCGGAGCCCGGAGTGCTCCCGGAACGACCGCCGCCGCCGAGTGACACCGGGCCGCGATCCGCAGGGGCCGCCGCGCACACCCGCCGCCGCCGACCGTCCCCTCAGCGCGCGCCGCTGGCCCCGGATTATCGCCTTGCCCGTGGGATTTCCAGACCGCGGCTTTCTAATCGGCTCGGGAGGAAGCTCTGCAGCTCTCTTGGGAATTAAGCTCAATCTCTGGACTCTCTCTCTTTCTCTTTCTCCCCCTCCCTCTCCTGCGAAGAAGCTCAAGACAAAACCAGGAAGCCGGCGACCCTCACCTCCTCGGGGGCTGGGAGGAAGGAGGAAAACGAAAGTCGCCGCCGCCGCGCTGTCCCCCGAGAGCTGCCTTTCCTCGGGCATCCCTGGGGCTGCCGCGGGACCTCGCAGGGCGGATATAAAGAACCGCGGCCTTGGGAAGAGGCGGAGACCGGCTTTTAAAGAAAGAAGTCCTGGGTCCTGCGGTCTGGGGCGAGGCAAGGGCGCTTTTCTGCCCACGCTCCCCGTGGCCCATCGATCCCCCGCGCGTCCGCCGCTGTTCTAAGGAGAGAAGTGGGGGCCCCCCAGGCTCGCGCGTGGAGCGAAGCAGCATGGGCAGTCGGTGCGCGCTGGCCCTGGCGGTGCTCTCGGCCTTGCTGTGTCAGGTAGGCGGGCAGGTGGGGGCGCCGCGGCCCCGCGGGGTCTCACGGGTAGCCGGGGCGCGGGGCAGGAGCGCGCGGGGAGGGGCGGACAGCGGCACGGGCCGCGCCAGCCACGGCCCGGAAGATGAATCCCGGGGGCGACGACCCCAGCGCCGGCCGTGCAGCGAGCGCGCTCGGCCCCTGAGCCCTTCCAGGCTCTCCGCACACCCCCCACCCAGGCCTCACGCCCCCTAGCTCGGGCGGGACCCGCGTCCTCACGCCCCCGCCCTCCCCCGTGCAGGTCTGGAGCTCTGGGGTGTTCGAACTGAAGCTGCAGGAGTTCGTCAACAAGAAGGGGCTGCTGGGGAACCGCAACTGCTGCCGCGGGGGCGCGGGGCCACCGCCGTGCGCCTGCCGGACCTTCTTCCGCGTGTGCCTCAAGCACTACCAGGCCAGCGTGTCCCCCGAGCCGCCCTGCACCTACGGCAGCGCCGTCACCCCCGTGCTGGGCGTCGACTCCTTCAGTCTGCCCGACGGCGGGGGCGCCGACTCCGCGTTCAGCAACCCCATCCGCTTCCCCTTCGGCTTCACCTGGCCGGTGAGTGCCGCACCTGCGCGCGCCGGGCCGGCCCTGAAGCTGGGCGGGCTGCAGGACGCGCTGGGATCCCGCCTTGGGCGCTCGGTGGCGGGACCTCGGGGACCCCGCGAGGCGCAGGTGGGCGCTGCGATCTGCCTAGCGGCGGCCCCAGGACTCCAGCCCAGCAGCGCGGACACCTCGCCCCGGGGCCCCGCGGCCTGCAGGAGGGGACCGCGCTGGGGCGAGGAGGAGAGGCCGAGCGCGCCCGGGAGATTTCCGTATCCGGCCTCTGTGCCAGGTCTCCAGTCAGAGGCGCCCCTTCACGTGGGAAGGTTCTGGTTTCCCGACTCCTAGACGCGTTGGTGGCGCGATTACCCGCGCAGCGCGACCGCTACCACCCGGAGCGTGCCCATCCCCCAAGAAAAATGACAAGGGCCCTCGGGCCTCTTCCACCCCATCCTGCCTGCATTCTCTCTCTCTCTCTAATTAAAAAAACAACGTAATATCCTGTAGTACAGGCTGAAAAAACACGTCAGGAAACCACTCTTTAAAAAGTTCTTCCATTTCCTTAGGGAAGGTGAGAGCAGGCAGGAGGTGCGTGGAGACCCTCTCCAGACACGCTGCCCCAGACCTGCAGCCTTCAGGCCTCTGTTGCTGACCTGGCTGTTAGGAATGACTGCTTTTTGCCGTTTTCTTTTCGTTACCTTTCTGGGTTGTCTAACGTCTTCTCCCCTCTCTCCCAGGGCACCTTCTCTCTGATTATTGAAGCTCTCCACACAGATTCTCCTGATGACCTCGCAACAGGTAAAAACAAAACCCAAACCCCAAAACTGCTTTCCCCAGTTAATAGCATTGGACTTTGCCCACCCATCCCCCAGCCAAACCCGGACAGCTTTCATTCTGCACGTGCCCCAGAAAGTTCAGGGTGGAGCAGCTTGGGCCTCCTTCCCGTGCTGAATGTCTCGGCCCACCCCCGCTCTGTCCCGAGTCACAGGGTTCTCGTTCAGAACCAACCAGGAGCATCTTCTCCCCGTAGAAAACCCAGAAAGACTCATCAGCCGCCTGGCCACCCAGAGGCACCTGACGGTGGGCGAGGAGTGGTCCCAGGACCTGCACAGCAGCGGCCGCACGGACCTCAAGTACTCCTACCGCTTCGTGTGTGACGAACACTACTACGGAGAGGGCTGCTCCGTTTTCTGCCGTCCCCGGGACGATGCCTTCGGCCACTTCACCTGTGGGGAGCGTGGGGAGAAAGTGTGCAACCCTGGCTGGAAAGGGCCCTACTGCACAGAGCGTGAGTCTCTGGGAAGGCACCGCTGGCTCACTCGTCCACGAACACGGACCGCGCGCAGGGACGGGGCTTCCTGAGCCACGGGGGGCTTGGGACTGTAGAGATGTTCTGGTGGGGAAACTGAGGCCCAGAGGACAGAAGTGGATTGCTATAAGTCACAGCTCGTCAGTGGGGGGGTTGGGGTCAACGCAGACATTTTAACATCCCAGGCTGTGTTTATCCACTATCGGAACTGCCTTTCTTAATCAGGGAGGATTTTAGAGACAGGGCCAGGGGTCAGGAAGTAAAGCCAGTGCTACCCCCAGGGTGTGTGTATTAGAGAGGGAGAGGAGGAAGGAAGGGAGGAACACAGAGAGAGCTTGTGTGTCAGGGGCACCATTTCAACCCGAGTTCCCAGTGCTGGAACAGCATCACACTGGGAAACGTTCCATTTTCTCTCTGGAGCTGGTGTGCTTGACCTCTCTGGAGCAAACGCCTTTCCGGATACTCCCTGTGACACGCACTGTCTATGCTGGCCAGAGAGCAGGCTTTCACTCCTGTGGGCTGCTGAGGCCAGGTCTCCAAGGCCTGTGTGGGCGAGGGGTGCACAGCCCCGTCTGGCTTGAATGCTCAGGCAGCACCTTGTCTGGAGAAGCAATGTCTTCCCAATAGTGACAGAGGCTCTACCTGCCTCTTATTAGGTATTGATGTGTCAATGTCATGGCAGGCAGGTGACTAGGGCAGGGTTGGGGCCGTGCTGGCTCCTGGTTCTGGCTCATGGGGACCTCAGGAGCCCTCTCTCCAGCTGACTGAGGCCTCGCCTGCACGCCTGGCCGTCCCAGCCCATTGGTACCGGATTTCTCTACAGCTGGGGATTGGGTAGGTCCTGGAGCTGCCCAGAAACTCCAGGGAACTGTCATTCTCCTTCCTTGGAACTGGACAACCTTGGAGAGGGGCTCTGGGAGGCCCAGAACCTCTGGCAGGAGCTGGGTAGTGCCTGGGGTTGAGGGTGGGTCTTCCCATTCACTGAGTGCCTTGATGTCCTTGCTCCTTAGCTTCCCAAATTCCCTCCGGAACTTACTGAGCTCCTTCTAAGCTTTGCCTTGGCCTGAACTGGTTCTGGGGAAAAACAAAAAAACAAAAAACAACTTGTGGAGCTGCTTGTTAATGAGTTTCATAACCAGGCAGCAAGAGCCAGCTCCAAGCCTCAAGCCCACTGTCTACTCCCTGCCCTGCGGGAGCCTCTGGCCAGTCTGCTGCCTCCCACCCTTCCTCCCTGCCTCTCTTCACCACAGGGTAGCCAGAAACTTAAACTTTTTTCTTCAAACACTGAAGTCTCTCCCCGCCCCCAGCTCGCGCGTGCCATAGATTAGATCTCTCCGGGGATAGGCGCAGGGACACCCGCCGGCTCCCATTGGCGGAAGGGGTGCGTGTGCGTGTGTGTGTGTGTGTGTGTGTGTACACGCGAGGGGTGTGTGTGAGGAGGTGGGGCCGGGGGCGCGGGGGAGGCCGGCATTGTTGCGCTGGGGCAGCTGCCGTGGAGGACAGACAATGGAGCAGCTGTCCTGCCCTGGCACCCTGCATACCAGCTGTCCACTCTTATCTGCACACACACTTTCTGGGATATTAAGAGGTGGAGCTTTGTGCACAGAATTGGGAAGTGGGGGAGGAGGAGGGGGAAGACTTCTGACCCTCTCTTAGAAGAAAAGGGGATAGGGTGGGGGTGGGGGCTTCCGAGAGCCCTTTTGTCCTTGAGCCCCTGTGTTAAGAAGAATGCTCATCCCCAGGGCTGAGTCAAGTCCCAGGCTACTAGGCAGGGGGGTCAGTCCTCCACAACCTGGGAAGATTAACTCAGCTGGGATTTGCTGACTGAAGCCGGCGAGTTGTGTCCTGGCCCCAAGGGCGGCAGCCCTGTTGGGACGTACTTGGCGTGGGGCTTGACCCTGTTTTTCCTTTGCTTGTAGCGATCTGCCTGCCTGGATGTGATGAGCAGCATGGATTTTGTGACAAACCAGGGGAATGCAAGTAAGTCTGCACAAGGTGGTGTTTTGTTTTGTTGCCTTTTCTTGTTATCTTTTCACAGCTGGTGTATTTGTAAAAACAGCCCTAGGTGATCATTCGAAAAACTCCAGTAAGATTGATTGAACAGGGGGCCGTTTTCTCATGTTTCTACTTAATCAATGTTTGGCAGCATGTAAGGTCATGGAGTTGTCATTCGTCTAAGCCCCTTAACGGCTATGAGAATTTACAGATAGTAGTTTAAAAAGAGTTGGCACAGGAAATGATAGTATAGTTCAATGGTTCTCAAATGTTGCCTCATCCTAGAATCACTCAGGGAGTGATTTTTGAGATGCTGACACTGGTGCTGCCCTAACACCCAAGAAGCCAGAACCTCTGGTGGGGCCCAGGCCCAGGCTGCAGCTCCCAAGGTGACCCAGTGTTCTGCTAATCTGGAGAACCAGAGGCTCACTGGTGCTGCGGGAAGATGGTTTCTAGGGTGAGAATGTCCACTGCAAAGCCAGCAACAGTCAACGTCCATCTGAGTCTTCTGCTTTTCTCCAAGGTGCAGAGTGGGCTGGCAGGGCCGGTACTGTGACGAGTGTATCCGCTATCCAGGCTGTCTCCATGGCACCTGCCAGCAGCCCTGGCAGTGCAACTGCCAGGAAGGCTGGGGGGGCCTTTTCTGCAACCAGGGTAAGCCTTCTCTCCCTGAGGCAGCCTGCTCCCTCCAGAGCAGCCCTGGACTTCCCTGGCTGTTTGATCACTGGAAAAATAAAGTCTTCCTGCATTTGATGTCGAGCTTCCTATCTCCTACTTTTCCTGTCCCCACCCTTCACAGACCTGAACTACTGCACACACCATAAGCCCTGCAAGAATGGAGCCACCTGCACCAACACGGGCCAGGGGAGCTACACTTGCTCTTGCCGGCCTGGGTACACAGGTGCCACCTGCGAGCTGGGGATTGACGAGTGTGACCCCAGCCCTTGTAAGAACGGAGGGAGCTGCACGGTGAGTCGGAGGCTCCATGGCATCTCACCCGGAAGCTGGGGTGCCCTGGTGTTGAATGGAGTGTGTGGGCTCCTTGGAGCAACTTTGGAAAGCCTTTTCTGACCTCTCCATCGTGTAGGATCTCGAGAACAGCTACTCCTGTACCTGCCCACCCGGCTTCTACGGCAAAATCTGTGAATTGAGTGCCATGACCTGTGCGGACGGCCCTTGCTTTAACGGGGGTCGGTGCTCAGACAGCCCCGATGGAGGGTACAGCTGCCGCTGCCCCGTGGGCTACTCCGGCTTCAACTGTGAGAAGAAAATTGACTACTGCAGCTCTTCACCCTGTTCTAATGGTAAGGGGGCAGCTGGTGATTGCTCAGAGACTCGGGCGAGCGGTCAATACTGAGGTGGCATTAAAAACAAGCATTTGTGAGTGACCTCGAGTTTATGAATCACTTTTATCCAGACCGCCAGGAATTCTCGATGGAAACTCTATCTTTGAGTCTGGAAAGGCCTGGGGAATGAGAGAGGCCAGGGCATTTGTTATGAAGTTCTCTGTGGAAACCTAGACCAAGCAGTGAATGACTTGCTCAGGGCCACAAGGTGCTTCGGGCACCTGCGGCCGCCTGAGGTTCAGTAAGTGATGCCCACAGGTGCCGGCCACTCCAGCTTGGGAGGATGGCCCAGCTGTGTGGCCACCCAGCACAGTAGTTGGGGGTGTCCCTGAGTGAGGACAGAGAGCCTCCTGCTAGCAGCGAGGGGCTGGCTGCCCAAAGGAGACACACAGCAAGGAGAGCTGGGCCCCAGATGTGCCGGAGCATTCCGGAATGGTCATCCTTCCCCTCCCTCCCTCCCCTGTTGTCAGTGCCTGCTCCTCTCACTTGCTGTGTAACTGTGGGCAAGGACACCCTCGTTAAGCCTCAGTTTCCCCATCTGAAACCTGGGTCGAGTGGCACATGCTCTTGCCCGGCTGTTGTGGCGACTAATGCAGCCACCAGAGTGTTCTGCACAGCGCCTGTCCAGATGCTGGCCGTGTGGTTTCTGACTTGTAGAGCTAGACCTGGACACCTCTCGTATTTGAGGTCCTAAACCATGTCACCTTGCGCTGTGGACTCATTCAGGCCACAGACTGTCTTTGGTTTGTCTGGTTTCTACAGTGTCAGACAGATAGATGCTTCAGAGTGACTTTTTGGTGAACAAACCTACGAGGAGACACGTGATGTTCATGTCCCTGTGTTCCAGGTGCCAAGTGTGTGGACCTCGGTGATGCCTACCTGTGCCGCTGCCAGGCCGGCTTCTCGGGGAGGCACTGTGACGACAACGTGGACGACTGCGCCTCCTCCCCGTGCGCCAACGGGGGCACCTGCCGGGATGGCGTGAACGACTTCTCCTGCACCTGCCCGCCTGGCTACACGGGCAGGAACTGCAGTGCCCCCGTCAGCAGGTGCGAGCACGCACCCTGCCACAATGGGGCCACCTGCCACGAGAGGGGCCACCGCTATGTGTGCGAGTGTGCCCGAGGCTACGGGGGTCCCAACTGCCAGTTCCTGCTCCCCGAGCTGCCCCCGGGCCCAGCGGTGGTGGACCTCACTGAGAAGCTAGAGGGCCAGGGCGGGCCATTCCCCTGGGTGGCCGTGTGCGCCGGGGTCATCCTTGTCCTCATGCTGCTGCTGGGCTGTGCCGCTGTGGTGGTCTGCGTCCGGCTGAGGCTGCAGAAGCACCGGCCCCCAGCCGACCCCTGCCGGGGGGAGACGGAGACCATGAACAACCTGGCCAACTGCCAGCGTGAGAAGGACATCTCAGTCAGCATCATCGGGGCCACGCAGATCAAGAACACCAACAAGAAGGCGGACTTCCACGGGGACCACAGCGCCGACAAGAATGGCTTCAAGGCCCGCTACCCAGCGGTGGACTATAACCTCGTGCAGGACCTCAAGGGTGACGACACCGCCGTCAGGGACGCGCACAGCAAGCGTGACACCAAGTGCCAGCCCCAGGGCTCCTCAGGGGAGGAGAAGGGGACCCCGACCACACTCAGGGGGTGCGTGCTGCGGGCCGGGCATCAGGAGGGGGTACCTGGGGGGTGTCTTCCTGGAACCACTGCTCCGTTTCTCTTCCCAAATGTTCTCATGCATTCATTGTGGATTTTCTCTATTTTCCTTTTAGTGGAGAAGCATCTGAAAGAAAAAGGCCGGACTCGGGCTGTTCAACTTCAAAAGACACCAAGTACCAGTCGGTGTACGTCATATCCGAGGAGAAGGATGAGTGCGTCATAGCAACTGAGGTCAGTGCAGGCAGCAGCCGCTCCCTCCTCCTCGGCATGGGAGCACCTGAAGCTGGAGCACGGGAATCGGTCTCAGGCTAACTTCCCATTTGTCTTGTGGCCCCCCAGGTGTAAAATGGAAGTGAGATGGCAAGACTCCCGTTTCTCTTAAAATAAGTAAAATTCCAAGGATATATGCCCCAACGAATGCTGCTGAAGAGGAGGGAGGCCTCGTGGACTGCTGCTGAGAAACCGAGTTCAGACCGAGCAGGTTCTCCTCCTGAGGTCCTCGACGCCTGCCGACAGCCTGTCGCGGCCCGGCCGCCTGCGGCACTGCCTTCCGTGACGTCGCCGTTGCACTATGGACAGTTGCTCTTAAGAGAATATATATTTAAATGGGTGAACTGAATTACGCATAAGAAGCATGCACTGCCTGAGTGTATATTTTGGATTCTTATGAGCCAGTCTTTTCTTGAATTAGAAACACAAACACTGCCTTTATTGTCCTTTTTGATACGAAGATGTGCTTTTTCTAGATGGAAAAGATGTGTGTTATTTTTTGGATTTGTAAAAATATTTTTCATGATATCTGTAAAGCTTGAGTATTTTGTGATGTTCGTTTTTTATAATTTAAATTTTGGTAAATATGTACAAAGGCACTTCGGGTCTATGTGACTATATTTTTTTGTATATAAATGTATTTATGGAATATTGTGCAAATGTTATTTGAGTTTTTTACTGTTTTGTTAATGAAGAAATTCCTTTTTAAAATATTTTTCCAAAATAAATTTTATGAATGACAACCAGAAGGCGTAGTTACTTGGCTTTGCCTTAGAGCGGAGGTGTGCTCACTCACCTGCGGCCCGCGAGGCTGAGGGCAGAGGTGGCCTTGGTGTTTCTCTTTTCAAGGCTTTGGTTTCCCTGGATCCATGAGAAGCAGCCCGTTCCTCTCCTCCCTCAGGAAGCTGCTTGCTGGCCATCATGAGGTGACTTGGTAAGAGCAGGCACGCGCATGAAGCAGCCGCGATTTTCTAATTCCATCCCCCCATGCATTTATTAGTTCTTTCCGCAGAAAGAATGAGCGTTCCTCATTCATTCATTCATTCATTCATTCATTCATTCATTCATGTCAGTGTAGACTTGTGAGTTATTTTGTACCCAGTGGGTCACAGCTGTCATGATTTTGTCGCCGTTTGACGCCAACATGGCCCCAGACGGGGCGTGGGAGTCACGGAAGCTGCTCCTCCGCTTCCCGTCGGTGGGCAGCCCCGTCTCTAAGCGCGTCCCGCCTGCTGGCTCAGCAGGACCGCACGGGCTCCCTGTGGGCTGACCCCTCATTTGCCGCTTTGCCCCCCGCTAAGCCCGGGTTCCTTATGGTAGTGATTGCATTTTTAACTTGCGCGTACCTCAAAGCGCTGAGCGGTTCCCAGGATGGAAAGAGGGCGACCGATGTAGCAGGAGCTGCGCGGAGGCACTGGCGCTCACTCCCCTCAGACCCGACTCCGCTTGCATTTCCTCCTTGCATTAAGGGCACGTTAAATGCCAGGCCAGCAACACCAGCAAAGAGGAGAAGTGTTTTGCTAAGAACATTGAGCTTGAATCCGATGACAGCTCTCAGTCTCATTACCAGTTACGGAAACACGGGACTGAAAACTCCTTCCTCGACGCCCCACGCATCTGCGCAGCCGAATCCAGGGAACTCTGTAGCCAAATAAATTGCAAGGAAAAAACAAGAAAATGGTGAGGGGGAACCCATAGATACAAAGAGACACGGACATATCAATCCATCGCAGCGTCTGGATCTGGTTCCTGTTTCAAACAGTTTAAAAATTTTATGAACCCACTGGAGACATGTAAGCGCTGACTGGGATATCCACATGATTTTAAAGTGCACCTGCTAAATAGTTTAGATGTGATGTGTTATTACTGTTCAGTTTAAAAAGAGACCTTATCTTTTAGAGAAAATTCTGAAATATTTATGGATGAAACAATACGAGGCCTGGGACTGATTCGGAGCCCCCCGCCGCGGGCACGGTGGCACGGGGAGTCCCACGAGCACTGCTGGGGGTCGCTGCAGCTGGGAGTGGCCCATGGGGGCGCTCACTTCCGTGTTCTTTCCTCTTTCGTACACGTTTGAAACTTCCCATAAGCAAAAGCATTAAGCCGGACCATACAGTGAATACACGCACACGCAAACACGACAGTTTCCGGGTGTGTATGGACCGCCGTGTCTGTGACGTGACCCACAGCAGAATGCATCTGAGGGAGGCTTGCTGTGGTTGCATACGCACATCGCAGATGAGAAATCTTACAAGGCCAAAAGCAAGCCAATTAAACTGGGTGGAGAGCGGGAGTCCGGTCAAGGACGCTGGTAGCAGAGTCTCAGGCTCGCTGGTGGCGCGCCTAGGTGATTGCCCACTCTGCTGAGTCCTTGAAAGGGAAACGGCAGCGTCTGCAGCAGTGCTGGGAGCACCTCCTCCCGTCTGCAGGGGACGGTGCCTTTCAGGGCACGGTTCTGCGCATGTGCTCAGCTGGCGCCAGCGAACGGCTTCCGGCTGCTCTTAGCGTGGAGTTCAAAATCCTTGACTTGGCCTCTCAGGTCATGCACCATCCGGCTCCCGCCTGTCTTGGAGCCTCGTTTCGTTATTCTCCCACGGGTCTGTTACCGCTCGGCTCCAGCCAGCGCCCTGGCAGCCTGGTTCTCCATCCGCCCCCACTCTGCGACTTTGAGTGGGATCTTCCATCTGTCTGGTGACTTCCAGTGTGACCTTCTTCCGCCACGAAAATGACCCGCCTGGGTTACCTGCCGCACGTGATGGTGCTCTTGCAGTTTGCCCTGTGGCATGATTAATTCGTGTAGCTGTTTGTTTAGTGGGCGTGTGTCCCAGGAGACTGCAACCTCAAAGAGGGCGGGCTGTGTTGGCCCTGGTTCACCACTGCAACCCAATCCCCACTTGAGGCTGAAGCAAGAAAACGTTCTCTATCCATGTGAGCTATAATTTGAGAACACACAGACACACACTCAGGACATTTCATCATGAAAGAAGCTTCATTCTCGTGTTCACTCTTACCAATGTCACTAGGAGTTTCGAACCATAACATGAAGCCAAACACAGGGATTATCTGAGCGGATGAACATAGTATTCTGTTTTTATTCTAATAACTGGCTGCCTAGATACAGCCCTGTATATGGTAAGAGTGCGTCTACTTGGTATCCAGCAAACAAAGTGTTATGCATTAGTAATTCCTCAGTCCATGCATTTTACAGAAAAGGCAGAGGGAAGGTAAATCGTTTCCTGAGGAACAGCTGAATGTCTAGAAACGTCAAGATGAAGAGTAGAATTTTGCATGCAAGGACACGCGCCATGAGCACCAGGCCTCACACGCAGGAGGCACACAGTACGTCTGTGTTGAATGTAGTATCTTCCACTACAAGGATAAGGAAACAAAAAGTACTTAGAAACTTTACACATTTGTCATTTGGAAACAATTCAGAGATAAGTTTTTAAGATGATATGTATTAGTGCAGAGTACTAGAATTTTTCCGGAACAACTTTCATTACATTTATTTGCTCAAACAAGTGACTATTTCCATTTTGGAGAAGCCCAACTGAGCTAAATCACTTTGCCACTGAGGAGGGCTGGGGAGGTGGCAGGGGTGCCATCAAGGTGTCGTCTGGCTAACACACATTCTTTCTATTTTTCTTGTTTCTTATGGAAACATTCATGGCTCCACGCCTGGCATTTGCTGAATCCATCTTCTAGAGATTACGATTTTAATAGAATCCGGAGTGAGGTACCTGAGGAAGGCAGAATGAAGCAGCATTTTAAAATGTATTGCAACATGAGCATCAGAACCTTTTGTTTTTTTTAAAGCACAGAAAAGAAAAATGACAAGACTCATGTCATTAATTACGTTCTCAAAGAAAATAAGGTCAGTGTAAGAGGAAATCATCTAAAATTGCAGGACAGGGCATTCTCGTTGGATCGAGGCATGAAGAAAACTTCAAGGCTGTCAGTGGTTTATCGAGGAAGTGGTAGAATCTTCCTCGGATACGATTTTTAGAAGACAAGCCAACCTTCCATGGCAAGAGGTGCAGACGTGTGCCTCAGCTGCCAAGGGCCTCCCAGGCTGTTTCCTGTGCACCAACTTCCTCTGCTTCCTCGGTGTCTAAACCCATGGTCAAAGCACCATTCACGAAAAGCATGTTACTGTTTTAAGTTAATTTGAACTTTAAAATTATTGAACCATAAGGAAAAATATCTCTGCTTTGTGGTCCTGGATATTTTACAAGAACCTTGATTCCTTTAGTGAATCTTAATTCACAGCTCAGTGCTGGGATATTCAACAAATAAAATCACTTTTCAGAGACAGGATCAGAATCTGCTACTTCCTGCTCCTCAGCCTGCCTTGCCAAACCCCCAAGTGGCACCCTGGTGTAGACATTATGGACCTCAACAGCAGTACTTTAGCCTGATGCCTAGAACCTCTTACACTTTTATGGAAGTGGCCTAAGAGTGTTTGTGACGGGATTCGTGGTGTCTCCAACTTTCTCTCTTGCGCTGTCCCACCCTGACCTGTGGGGGGAGAGAGGAAGGAAGGAAGAAGGGGGGAAGGGCGTCTGGTGTCAGACGCTTACAATAGGAATTGCTCACCTGCAGAAGGGCAAGTATTGTTTCTTCTAGAATTAGTATGAATTGGATTTTGTGAATTTCAGCTCTTTCTTAGAAGCTTAGAAAAAAATTTGGTATAAACATTTGAAATAAAAAAATGCAATAAGCAACAGAGTTAGATCTTGTCTCTACAAAAAAATTTTAAAAGAATTAGCTGAGTGTGCTGGTGGCACCTGTGGTCCCAACTACTCAGGAGGCTGAGGCAGGAGGACGGCTTGAGCCCAGGAGGCCGAGGCTTCAGTGAGCTGTGATTGCGCCACTGCACTCCAGCCTGGGGGACAGAGCAAGACTTCATCTTAAAAAAAAAAAAAAAAGCAATATTAAAAAGGTGTATTGAAAAGGGAAAAACACTCTAAATTTGAGAGTTTTAGTTAAAATGAAAAAGCAACAGTTAGGACCATTTCTGATCCTCAAAGTCAATACTTTTGAAACAGGAGAGGGAAGGGAGGTGGGGGAGCCCTGGAGCTGCTCCCAACGAGTGGGGCAGGGGCCTCAGACGCAGGCTCTAGAGCCCAGGCTGGACCTGGCAGAGGACAGTTCAGTGTCTCTGTAGTCAAACAGGTGTCAGAAATATCATGAAACCCCCAGTTTATTCGTCATGATTACACTCTAGCCCTGACTGGGTTTTTTGCTCATTTTTTGCTCAGTAGCTTAAAGTTAATGTTGAAAATGTCAAAGAGGCCTGCAGATACCCCTAGAGAGACAGCAGTTTGTTAAAGGGGATAAAGGGGAAGTGTTTATGTTTATAGCACAGAAAGTCAAGCTGTTAGAGAAACTGGACAATGGTGTAAATGTGAAATGTCACATTTGCCACCACAAATGGTGGCAGGAAGGTGAGGAAGAGAAAGAAATAAAAATACTTGAGATGAGGCCCGAAATGGAAAATGGAATTAATCATCCCATTGCTCTAAATGCTCTAAGTGCGCTAAAAGCATTTCTTTTTTTCTTTTTTTGAGACGGAGTCTCGCTCTGTCGCCCAGGCTGGAGTGCAGGGGCGCGATCTCGACTCACTGCAAGCTCCGCGTCCCGGGTTCACGCCATTCTCCTGCCTCAGCCTCCCGAGCAGCTGGGACCACAGGCGCCCGCCACCACACCCCGCTAATTTTTTGTATTTTTAGTAGAGACTGGGTTTCACCGTGTTAGCCAGGATGGTCTCGGCCTCCCAAAGTGCTGCGATTGCAGGCGTGAAACACCGCGCCCGGCCAAGCCCTTCTCATCTTAACGTCCTCTTTCAGCAGAAGGAACTTATCCTGGTCCTAACTGTTGAGGTCACTGCTGACTCTGCCCCCGGCTCCAACGGTACAAAGTCACCTCCAATTTAAAGATGCTACAGAGGACCCCGTCCGCACGTGAGCTCCCCGGAGTGATGGAGGGGAAAGGGCTGCCTTCCCATTGCCGTGCGTGGAGAGCAGCAGAGACTGTGTTTGGACTCCTGCCACGGAAAAGGCTGCGTTGGCCGTGTCTCCAGGGAGGACAAACTAATTTTAACAAACTGACCCAAACAGGACTCGGAAGGTCAGTATGTTGCAATCTCCGGTCCTCCTGCCTGCTTCGTGGTTCGTTCCAAAAGCTAAGTATGCTGTTTCAATTTGATCTGCTATTTCGGGTGATCTAGTCCCTGTTAGTTCTTGACAGTCCAGGAGGCGCCTGGTGGGTGGAGAATCTTCCCCTTTCTCCTCCACAAACCTGACCCTTGTGGAGAAGGCAGCCTGGAATCCCCTGGGTTCTGAATGTCTCCGCCTTTTCTCCAGCGCAAGCGCTGGGCCTGAGCACAGTCTCCGCACAGAGGCCTGCGGTGTCGCGGGGGTGGTGAGCCCTGGCTCGTCCCTGAGGCTGAAATCTGGCTTTTGGGCTGGGGGTTCTGCCTCTCACTGCCTTTGGCCACAGCTCTCTCCTCCACCCTGAAAGGCCCTCGGAGTGGAGTTGGGAATACAGTAGTGACAACGCGGGCTCCAGGGAAAACGTGCTTGTGATGTGGTGCCCACGAGCTTGTTTTCCAGACTTGGCTCTACTGAGCAGCCCTGGAAGTTGAATCTTCACGTTGTCCAATGAGACATAAAGACTGGAAAGAGTCTTTCCATCTCTGACATACCCAGCACCGAGCTTCCCTCTTTTTTTTTCGAGACAGGGTCTTACTCCTTTTGCTCAGGCTGGGGTGCAGTGGCACAATCTCAGCTCACTGCAGCCTTGAACTCCTAGACTCAAGGGATCCTCCCACCTCAACCTCCTGAGTAGCTGAAACCACAGGAATGTGCCACCACCATGCCCAGCTAATTTTTGTATTTTTTGGAGAGATGGGGTTTTGCCATGTTGCCCAGGCTAGTCTCAAACTCCTGGGCTCAAGTGAGCCTCCCATCTTGACCACCCAAAGACTGAGCTTATAGTTGAGAGCCACTGTGCTGGCCCAGGCTTCCCTCATTTATAAGGTGGGGCCAGGTGTCTTATGGCAGACTGGATAAATATCCATGTCATTTACTGTGTGTGTGTCTGTGTGTGTGTATGGTGGGGGTAGTAAGTTTGAAGGTAGGGGCTGTACTGTTTCTCCCTTTTCATCTTTTTTTCCTTTCTACTCCCTCTTGAAGAACATGAGAATTTGGGTAACAAAATGCCTCTTCATTACAGGGATACTTTGATGTTAAAACCCTAGGGTGAAATGAAATGGACTTAACAAATGCCTGCCTGCCTATCTTTTTTGTGGGGTCTAACTTGTACCTGCTTATTCTTTGGAAACCTCTATTTCTTTTAGGTGCATCCCACGGACTCATTTAAATGTTCCCTGAGTGCTTCGTCTGTGCCGCACGTTGCTCTGCGTGGTGGAGATAAATGAGGAGTAGAAGCTGCGCCTGGCCTGAAGGCACCCCAGGTCACTCTTGGGGAAACACAGTGCCCATCGCTGATGCTCACCAAGGTTCCGGTCCTGCGGACAAGCCCCTGCCATGCACCTGATCGTGGATCTGGCCTCTGTGACCGGCTCTGGAAGTTCCCATGAATGGACTCTTCCTCGGCATGCTTCCGGGTGGCATCCGTTCTTTCCCCGCGTATTGCTTAGGGGTTCTATGAGAATTTCTCTGAGGGAGCCCTGGGGTGAGGAGGCCGCAGGGACCCAGCTTTCAAGCGGCAAAGGCCAGCGGCTTCTCCGCACAGCCTGTCCCTGCGTCCTCAGGCTGACGCAGTTTCTGTAAAGGGTCACCCTGACGGATGCTAACAGCGGCTTCTCCGCACAGCCTGTCCCTGCGTCCTCAGGCTGACGCAGTTTCTGTAAAGGGTCACCCTGGCAGATGCTAACAGCGGCTTCTCCCGCGCAGCCTTTCCCTGCGTCCTCAGGCTGACGCAGGTTCTGCAAAGGGTCACCCTGACGGATGCTAACACTTTTTATTGGCTTCCTCTCCTCCCTGCCTTCCCTTCCTGTGCCCACATCTGTCTCTGGGGCTGGCAGGACGTCAGGCTGCTCCTCCGTCTGGTTAAAGCTGGGCCCAGTTGCTGGATGTGGGGCTCTGCTGGGAAGCTTGGAGACAGGGTGGGGACCGCAGGGAGGCAGCTCCCTTCTGGTTTGCCAGAGGGACCAGGAAGCAGCACCCACAACCCCTGCCTACCCCATGGCTTATTTGTCTGATTAACTCGTCATCATCTGCTGAAACCTAGAACGGGGTCTTAGGGTGATTGATTGCTTAGGAACAGGCAGGGGAGGGGGCTCAGGGCACCAAGGGGCTGCAGGACTTGAGTCAGGGTCAGGCTGTGGGATGGGTAGAATAAGCGGAATTATACAATCCTGGACCACTGGTAATACCAAGGACCTGTGTGTACCTGCTCCCCACCCCACACACCTTCCTTGGTGTTGTGGTAGAAATAGAAGCAGAACTACGAAGTTTCTTCCTTCAGTACAAGCCACAGCGGTTCTGGATACAATTTCTAACCCACCCCTCCTTGCACGGCACTGCCTTTCCTTCCTGCCTGATCCCTGGGCCCAAAACCCTCGTGACTTTTTTAAGTCATATATACACCGGTTCAGAAAGACGTCTGGCTGAAAGAAGAGAGTTATGCCCTGATTCATTTTCACCTTAATTCAATTTAAATCAAAGCAATCGTGAGCTGCTGTTCTCCATGGCGACGGCTCATCGTAGCTGTGGAACTCCACACACCTCACCTGGGGCAGCTGGTGCTCAGAAGGCAGATGGGAGGTCAGGTGCCCCTCGGAAGCCACAGCTGGCCACCCCTCGGAATGCTTGCTCCTAATTCTGCATCCTCTGCTTATTTAAGAGAACAATGTTACAAACCCATGCTGAGACATCCACCTTTTCCCCCGTGGATCTTAGGGTGTGGGGCCACTCCAGGGCTTACTGCTGCGGTGGCAAACCCTGGAAGACAGTGGGATCTCACTGAGACAGGCCCTCTGCGCCCCCACCTTGGCTCCGGAAGATGCCTTTGTACTTGTGCTTGCCTCCCACTTGCACGAGGTTCTGAGCCCTTCTCTCCATCAAACCAAAGTGGTAGCATGCAGCTGGGCTGTTGGCAGCAGTGCTCAGTGATGGGAGAGCTTAGGGAACATTCGCTGAAAGAGAGAGATGAATGAAGATTCTTGAACGTGGAAGGCTGTGATTTTGTCAGACAAGAACACCATGTGGGAAATTAGGGCCCAGAAGACTTGTTCCCAGTTGGACCAGGCTTATTCGACAGTCACCCAGGACCTGGTCGCCTCTTCTTGTGGGTTGAGAAGATCTTGCCTCTCAAAGGGAGTAAAACTGAAGCACCCTCCTCACTGGAATACCAGGTGAGAAAGGCCAGTGAGACAGATGCCAGGGCCCTGGCAAGGCGGGTGCGAGGCCCCCCCCCCAGTTCAGGAGGAGCCAAAGGAAGCGCGTTGGGCTGGGGCCTGGTGTCCGTCGCCCATCGGGGGCTTGCACAGCGCTGCGGCTCGGCGGCGGGAACCTCGGTGCCGTTCACTCCTTGCGGTGGGGGAACGGAGCCCTCGTTCCACAGGCCCTCGGCCTTCCCCACTGGTGAACTCGAGCTGAGCTGTGGGGGCAGAGGGGGCAGCAGCCCCTCCGTGGAAGCTCAGCATCCACAGGGCACCTGCAGCAAGGGAGGCAGAGCTGGGCAATATCCACGCAGCGTGAAGGCATTTAGCAATCAGTCGGAAACTAAACTCAATACGATGCCTCAGAAGACTGGTGATTCGCCCCGATTAGACGGACCAGTCCTTACAAATTGCCTTTTCATGTTGTGCTGTAAATAACCAACGTATGTAATAACATTATCATACCCCAGATAGAAGATTCCAGGGGGAGAGACTCAAAGCTGCAGGTTGACAGTTGCCCAGAGCCCGAGGGGAGGTGACCAGTTTTGCTCCCAGCTGTCACTGGGCTGGTCCCTCCCTGCGCACGGAAGACGAGAGGAGGCGAAGCTGCGGGAGCACCTCCTGAGAAGGCGCCACATGGCTCCCGTGGCTTCTCCGGCCCCAGCTCACCTCTAACCCAACCCTGTGCGGCCAGGGCAGGGGCGTCCTCTCCCCCCGCAGCCCCGAGGGTCCCTGTCGCTGGCCGGGCACCAGAGAGGCTTTGTGATCGTCCCCAGCCAGCGTTCCCTCCCTGGGCCATGAACTCTCTGAAGAAAAGGGTGGTCTGCTTCCCTCTGTCCCTCTGAGGCGGTTCCTGAGGCAGTAGGTCCCAGTGATCATGGAAGGTGGAAGGAGAAGCGTGGGAAATGAGGATGTGGGGTTAGCAGGAAGCGACGGCGCCCATGCCACTGCCCGAGGGCCTCGCAGCTGCTTGTGAGGGGCTGTGTCCACCAGCAGCGAGGGTGTGCTGGGCCCAAGGTCACCAGCTCCAAACAGTTGCAGGTGCGTCTCAGCCAGGTTCTTCCCTCCAGCATCAAGGCACCTGGGGTCCTGGCTCCTAGGTCTTGTGGAATTTGCCTACAGCACGAACAGCCTTCTGGAGACCTCCACACAAAGAACCCGACAGCCCCCCTGTCCTCCAGCTGGCTACGTTCTACGCATCAGGAAACCAAGGCACACAGACATCACCTTGGGCCACACGGCTGGTGCAGGGGGAGGTGGCCGTGAGACCACGCGCTTCAGATTCCACAGAGCCGCCGCGGCCGATGGAGCTTCCTCGCGGTGACCCCCGGGCCCTACTTCCCCTGGGGCTGGAGCCCACACAGCCGTCTCCTCTCTACGCTGCGTAGGCAAACCTGTCTTCTCCACAGGAAACCCAGCTGCCTCTAGAAATTAACCACATTCTAGAAAGTGGGTTTGACTCCTGCATACACTTTTACTTTCTCATTTGGGTCTCCGGAGGAAATGAAAATCCACGATTAGCACAGGAGACGCACGTGACCCGTGTGGCTTGCACCATTTGTCGTTTTCCCACACATCAGCGCCAACCGGGCATGCGTGGTCCTCACCCACAGGGACTTGCTCGCTCTGGGTTACTTCTGGACAAAAAAGTCTCTGCAGCCGCCCTTTCAGTGTCTGCACGCCTCATCCTCCCTCCTCCCCAGCCCGTAGCCCGGGCCCAGGGCCTGCGGCCGCTTCGTGCTCCCAAGCTGTGTCTCACGGGGGCACCCACCCTACCGTGCCAAGCAACCTGCTGATGGGCAGAGGGAAGGAGCCCCTTCTTGGCCTCCAGAGCCCAACAAGAACCAGCTCCTGGTAACAGTGGGGTGAAGCCAGTGACGTGGGTTGATAGGAAGCCATTCCATTTAGGAGATCATTTGAACATGATGTGGATCAATGGTGTGGAATACAGAAGAAAGGCCCCCGGGCACGGCCTCCCCAACCTCCCGACCCCAGAGCCAACAGCACGTTGTGGATTAAGCCCCAGGCCCTGAGATGTGGATTAGCCTGGATTCCCCAGGGGAGCCCAGTGGAAGAACAGGGTCTGTACAGGGGACAGAGGGAGGAATTCGGCAGCGGCAGGGGTGGGTCAGCGAGGCTGGAGATGCAGTGTGGCTCAGAGACAGGGAAGGGGCCAGGAGCCCAGGAATGTGTGGCCTCTGGAAACGGGAAGAGACATGAAGAGGTTCTCTCGGAGTCTCCGGAAGGAGCCAGGCTGGCCAAGCCTTGGTTTTTTACCCCAGTGGGACCCTTGTCAGGCTCCTGACCTGCAGAACCGTGAGGGGATGAATGTGTGTCTTGTAAGCCTCTCAGCTTGTGATGGCAGCGAGAGCTCCCCAGGAGGGGCTGCGAGCCGATGAAGAGGGAGGGTGCATGGTGGCCTCCGCCTGCCCCCTGGCCATCTGCAGTGGTGCCCCCGTGTGCTCATTAGAGCTTGATGCCCTTGTGCCTTGAAGACTTAGTCCAGACATTCTATGAAAGTGAAGAAGGTGGCCGGGCGTGGTGGCTCACGCCTGTAATCCCAGCACTTTGGGAGGCCGAGGTGGGTAGATCACTTGAGGTCAGGAGTTTGAGACCAGCCTGGTCAACATGGTGAAACACTGTTTCTACTAAAAATACAAAAATTAGCTGGGTGTGGTGGTGTGTGCCTGTAGTCCCAGCTACTCGGGAGACTGAGGCAGGAGAATTGCTTGAACCCGGGAGGCAGAGGTTGCAGTGAGCTGAGATCATGCCACTGTACTCCAGCCTGGGTGACAGAGTGAGACTCCATTTCAAAAATAATAATAATAATAAAATAAAATAAAAATAGCCAGGCATGGTGGTGTGCACCTGTAATCCCAGCTACTCGGGAGGCTGAGGCAGGAGAATTGCTTGAACCTGGGAGGCAGAGGTTGCAGTGAGCTGAGATTGTGCCACTGCATTCCAACCTGAGTGACAGGGTGAGACTGTCTCAAAAAAACAAAAACAAACAAAAAAAACAAAGTGAAAATGGCATGGGCAAATGATGCCACACGTCCCCTGGCCCCACACTGCCATCTGTGCGAAGAAGGGAGCAGGACGCTTCAGTGGGCACTGGGAGGGAGGCGGCACGTCACCGCGGTCCATGCCCTGAGCGGTTTCAGGGTGCGGAGCTCTGTGCACGGATACACCTCTCAGGCCCCTTTGTCTCAGCCAACAGTTGAGTGCAGTCAACTGTGTAATCGAGAACCCAGAGTATTTCTCTAGGAAAACTGCTCAGTTCTTTCCAAAATGCCACGAGAACTTCAATGATGGGAACGGGGAACAGGTGCTGGGAGCAGCTGCCACCGATTCACGGCTCTTCTTCTTTTAAATACATTTTCTGTGGGGAAACCAAGGGCTTTCACAAGCATTTTGCTCTGAAATATTCAAGGAATGTTTCTTGTTTTTTCTTATTACAGCAACAGTTTTAGTATTTATAAGCTGAGTCAAGAGGCCTGCCACAGAACTAGGGAAGTAGCAAGTTAGAGGGATAAAAAAAATCTCAATTACTAACCCCTGCAGTTGCTTTGAAATAGCATTTGGTTGTCTACTGGCAGCTTTCTGAGATGAATTCTTGACTCCTTTACAAACCTAGGCTAAAACAGGCGCTCAGAGACTGTGTGTAAACTGTCAAATGTCACCCTCAGGCGTTGGGGGTGGGCGAGCACCCGCCCTGGTGACCTGACTCCGAGGGTTTCATGGGCTTCTGCCCCATTTCCTGATCCGCTGTCACGCAGCATTCCCGGCATGGCTGGGGGAGGGCCCTGTCTTCTGGGAGCCCCAGAGTCCCTGGGCTGGGCCACGCTCCCTCCGCAGGTGTTTATGGTGTGTCTTTGTGCTGGGCCTGGGCTCGGTGAGCAGAGTCAACATGATTCTCGGGAGAGCGTTTATGGTCCGTGAGACAGATGTGAGGTGTGTGCATTCCCCACACAAGAGACAAAGTGAGGCCCCGGTGTTTGCCAAACTGGGATCGCTAGTAGCAGCAGGCTCTGTGGCGCCCACAACAGCTCTTAGACTTGGAACGACCGGAACACTAAGGGCTTCGTACTTGATTCTCATTTGTGTTTTGTGCCTCCTGAAAAGCTGGGTCCAAGTCAAGTCAGCTAGTTCCTGAGGTGGAGGATTACAGATGTCCCCACTTTCTCCATACATATGAGCAGGTACAGGGTCCCCACCCCGCGTCACACATGCTTCTGTGGGGAAGGCTGTAGGCTTTTCTCCCTCACAGGCATTTGTAGTAACGGGTGCTATTTGCTCACAATGTGTTGAATCTGTGGGAATGAAAGCTGCTTAGGGCCATACCGTTAAATGGTGGCAACAGATATTTTTAGATTAAAAAAGAATGTCACCTAAGAAACAAGAGCACACTTACCTCTGATGTCCCCAAGGCATTAGGTAGAATCCCGTTGTCCACACTGACTGGGTTTTAGGGAGGGATTTCGTGGCCTGCCTTTTTCGTAGAAAGTGGCCCCAGCCAGTGTGACCTGGTCTCTGAGCCTTGTCGTCACAACCACCTGCTGAGTTCCCAGGCTTCCTGGTGGGCACTTTTCCTGCCATTTATCAGGTCAAAGTAAAGTGGGAATTGTCCAGTGACTGCCAGTAGCCAGCTCTCAGGCTGCTAGTAGACTCACGCTTTGGGGGCCGACTTCTCTGGATAGCTGCTCACATTTCCTGCCTCAGTCAGCCCACTCCGCCCAGCATTTGCCCCACAGGCCGAGGGCCCTGGCACCCCAGATGTCACCCTTCCTCCCGGGAGGGCTGCAGGCAACGGGTGAGGTGCGGGCTCACACCTAGGAGACAGTGACCCATCCTCCCACGGGGCTTCCTTAGCGGGTGGTGAGGTTGTTGAGTTCTGAATCCATTCAGTGACAAGGACTGATGGTCACCGTGGGGCAGTGGGGGCTGTTCCGGGTATGGGGTGCCCCTTTACCTCGGGTGTGGCTGCTCTATCTTAGGAGTAGCGGGCACTTTCCTCCTCCTTGTACACCGAGTGAGTTCCCGGGGGCTGCCATGGCAAATTACCTCCTCTATGCAACTGAAATTCGTTTTCTCACAGTCCTAGAGATCAGAATTCCTGGATGCAGGTGTGGGCGGGGCTGGCTCCTCTGTGGCTGTCAGGGAGACTCCAGGCCTCTCCCAGCTTTGAGTGCTGTGAGATCCTGGTGCCCTTGTCTTGTGGGTGCATCACCTTGATCTCTGCCTCCCTCTTCCACAGCCTTCTTGCCCTGCCTCTGTGTCTCGTGTCCTTATAAGAACACCAGTCACTGGATTCCAGGCTGACCCTCATCCAGCTCAACCTCATCTCCACTCTCAACTATCTGCAGAGACCTGTTTCCACACAAGCTCACATCACGAGGCTCTGGGGGGACGTGGATTTTGGAGGAACACCTCTCAGCCCACTACAGAGCCTTTTACTACCATCAATCAAATGAATTTTTCAAAGGCACGTCTGTTATACATTTTTTTTTCAGTGAGCTTTTTCTGAGAACTTTTTGGGTTCAAAGCACCCAGATGGTATAAATGACGTGGAAAATGGCCCTCCCAAAAAGATGCCATGAGGGAGCTGCACATGGGGCTGGGGGGAGTCGGAGACAGCACGTGTGAGCGGACGTGTGGCCGGCACCCAAACCAGACGCCATGTGATTACAGATCCTGCAGGGAATTACAGGAGGCAACTCAACGTAGGAGATTGGTGTCATACTAACAGAAAACCAAGACTGAAGAGACAGGAACGACTGTCCGGGTTTCCCAGACAGGACCGTCCCAGGAAGCAGACAACACAGGCCTGCGTGCGGCCCTGGCCTTGAGTGTGCTGGACGCAGGGGACCGTCCCAGGAAGCGGACAACACAGCCCTGCGTGCGGCCCTGGCCGTGAGTGTGCTGGACGCAGGGGACCGTCCCAGGAAGCGGACAACACAGCCCTGCGTGCGGCCCTGGCCGTGAGTGTGCTGGACGCAGGGGACCGTCCCAGGAAGCGGACAACACAGGCCTGCGTGCGGCCCTGGCCGTGAGTGTGCTGGACGCAGGGGACCGTCCCAGGAAGCGGACAACACAGGCCTGCGTGCGGCCCTGGCCGTGAGTGTGCTGGACGCAGGGGACCGTCCCAGGAAGCGGACAACACAGGCCTGCGTGCGGCCCTGGCCGTGAGTGTGCTGGACGCAGGGGACCGTCCCAGGAAGCGGACAACACAGGCCTGTGTGCGGCCCTGGCCGTGAGTGTGCTGGACGCAGGGGACCGTCCCAGGAAGCGGACAACACAGGCCTGCGTGTGGCCCTGGCCGTGAGTGTGCTGGACGCAGGGGACCGTCCCAGGAAGCGGACAACACAGGCCTGCGTGTGGCCCTGGCCGTGAGTGTGCTGGACGCAGGGGACCGTCCCAGGAAGCGGACAACACAGGCCTGTGTGCGGCCCTGGCCGTGAGTGTGCTGGACGCAGGGGACCGTCCCAGGAAGCGGACAACACAGGCCTGCGTGCGGCCCTGGCCGTGAGTGTGCTGGACGCAGGGGACCGTCCCAGGAAGCGGACAACACAGGCCTGCGTGCGGCCCTGGCCGTGAGTGTGCTGGACGCAGGGGACCGTCCCAGGAAGCGGACAACACAGGCCTGCGTGCGGCCCTGGCCGTGAGTGTGCTGGACGCAGGGGACCGTCCCAGGAAGCGGACAACACAGGCCTGCGTGCGGCCCTGGCCGTGAGTGTGCTGGACGCAGGGTACCGTCCCAGGAAGCGGACAACACAGCCCTGCGTGCGGCCCTGCCGTGAGTCTCCACCTTTCTGTCTCTCTGGGCTGTGGCTGGGCAGCACGGAAGGGGGGAATCACCTACCTTTTGGTCCAGAAAAATCCATTCCACAGTTTCCACCTTCCCTCACTGACAAACGGGATTTTAAATCCCTTTATCTGGAGACAAACAGAAAGTGTGTGCTTGTGGCGAATAATTTCAGCTGATATTCTTACCAGCTGTTAAGAAACACATGCAAAAAAAAAAAAAAAAAAGACTGGTGACATCTGGCTGGCATTGATATTTTGTGACAGAGTATCTTTTTCCTGGGGGTGTTTTCCAAGAAACCAGTCTCTGGGTCCCCAATCCCCTCACTGCCTGACTGCTTCAGCCTCCAGCCCCCAACCTTTGACCTCTTTGAAAAACAAAAAAGAAAGTGATCATATTGACCAAAGCAACTGTAACCCAAATTGCGGCCACATAATTGGGCGTGGTGACATTGCATTAGCTCAGATTAAACAATGGCCCAGCAGCTGCTTCCCCACGCCAGGCTTTCGACTTCAACTTCCCCTGAGCCACACAATGGGGCATTTTGCTGAGATGGGAAAGATCAGGAGAGGAGGCCCTGTTCCCTGCCACGGCCAGCTGACCTCCTTCTCCTCTTCTAACTGCTTGTAATCGGAGGGATTGTAAATAATGTCAGATAAACGTACTAACACTGTGAATGTTTTCTCTGAAATGTCCAAGTCTATTTTGCCTCATTTTCCCAAGAACGCTGATGAAATGGGCCAGTTTCAGACGGAAGTTTAGACTGGTTAGACCCCTTCTGGATGAGCCGAGGTGCTCAGATACAGCCCGGCACCAAACAGGGACTTTGCCGTCAACGGCACACCCCACAGGTGGCGGTGGCGCCGTAAGATTGTCATGGAGCTGAAAGCGTCTGGTCCCTCGGCTGTCACCTGGCTGTCACATCACAGCACAACGCATGGCTCCCGCCCCTGTGTGACGCCAGCGTGAACAAGTCCACAGCGCTGCCAGCCGGGCACAAGTCCAGCACACGTGATCGTCCACAGCACACACGACCAGATAATGTTAATAAACTTTGTTCCCGGGTGCGTATTTACTATACCAAACTTTTAGTCATTATTTTAGAGTGCGTTCCTTCTATTTATTAAAAAAAAAAGTTAACTGTAGAGCAGCCTCAGGCAGGTCCTGCGGGAGGCGTCCAGGAGAAACCGTGTTATCACAGGAGACGACAGCTCTGTGCATCACTGCCCCCAGAGACCTTCCAGTGAGACCAGATGTGGAGGGGAAGACGGTGATATTGATGATCTTGACTCCATGCAGGCCTAGGATGATGTGTGTGTCTTAGTTTTTTAACAAAAAAGTTTAAAAAGTTAAAATGTTTTAAACAGAAAAAAGCTAATAGAATAAGGATATAAAGAAAGAAACTATTTTTGTGCAGCTGTACAACATGTTTGTATTTGAAGCTACATATTATAAGAGTCAAAGAGTTAAAAAATTAAAAAGTTTATAAAGCAAGAAGGTTACAGTAAACTAAGGTTGATTTATTATTAGAGAAGGAAATTTTTAACAATGGATTTAGTGTAGCCTAAGTGTGTGGTGTATGTAAAGCCTACAGCAGCACGGTCATGTCCTGGCTTCCCACTCACTCTCCACTCACTCATGGACTCACCGGAGCAGCCTGCGTGTGCAGTGTGTGTAAAGCCTATAGCAGTGTACGGTCATGTCCTGGCCTTCCCACTCACTCCCCACTCACTCACGGACTCACCGGAGCAGCCTGCATGTGCAGTGTGTATAAAGCCTACAGCAGTATACGGTCATGTCCTGGCCTTCCCACTCACTCCCCACTCACTCATGGACTCACCGGAGCAGCCTGCGTGTGCAGTGTGTATAAAGCCTATAGCAGTGTACGGTCATGTCCTGGTCTTCCCACTCACTCATGGACTTACCGGAGCAGCCTGCGTGTGCAGTGTGTATAAAGCCTACAGCAGTGTACGGTCATGTCCTGGCCTTCCCACTCACTCCCCACTCACTCATGGACTCACTAGAGCAGCTTCCAGCCCAAGCTTCATTCATGGCAAGTGCCTTACACGGCCGTACCACTTTACATCTTTTATGTCTTGTTTTTACTGTACCTCTTTTCTATTTTTTAGATATGTTTAGGTGCACAAATACTTACCATTGTGTGACAATTGGCTGCAGTATTCAGCACTGTGTGAGTTTGTAGCCTGGAGCTTCGGCCTCCAGCACGTAGCCTGGGTGTGCGGTGGGCTACACCTTCTAGGTGTGTGTGTGTGTCCTCAGTGATGTTAACACAGTGACAAAATCACCTCACATGCATCTCTCAGAACACACAGCTGTATTCCTCCTCCTCCTGCCTTGCATGCGGAAGCTTTTTCTGATGGCGTCAGCTGCCCATGGCTCCCACCCAGACCCCTCAGCACTCATGCAGAAGTGTCATGTTCTGTGTGGCAGGGACCGGTGAGTGCATGTTTAATCTGCTGTTAGAAGGGCCCCTGGGTGTTCCAAGAATGGCCCCAATGCACCAGGACTGGAGGCCCCCTGGGTGGAGAAATCACCTCTCCCAGCCTTTCAGTTCACAGATGGGGAAACTGATTCTAAATCCATTTCATCAGGCCCCGTGATCACAGTCGACGCCCTTGCCATCGGATGTGTAACAGCTACACACTCCCTGCACCTCCAGACTGCAGGGACCGTGCGGAGAACGTGGGACCCTCGTGCTCTCTGTGCCTTGTGACTGCAGGGGCCCAGCGTGTTTGCTGAAGGGAACCCTCTGCCTCCTCCGGTTTGGGTCTTTCCAAGGAATTGCAGGCAGTGGATCCAGGAGATCGCAGAAATCCCAGAATGGAAATGTGAATAAAAACACTTCCCTGGGGTCAGCAAAGGTCAGGAAAAACCTGGTAATTACTTCAGTAGAGTGCAGGGAAACACAATCTCTGCAAAACTAAGTTTCAAAGTCCTGATTTCAAGGGAGGTGGATATTGGAAAAAAGAAACAGCCAACACCCAACCTGAGTCTCTGCCTGTGGAGCCTGGGACCGCCTGGCTGCTGTGTATCTGCTGAGGTGACATTGCTCAGAACACAAGCACGTGGGCTCACGCTGTCCTGCTGTGGGGTCCTGACCAGAAGGGAGGTGATGAGCAAAGCCCAGGTCCTCCCACCGCGAGCGTTTCCTGCAGGGCCTGTGGGTGAAGGACCCTTCCCTTTCCCTCCAAATGTCACCCTGCCCCTGAATCCCTTGTCTCACGTCTTTGCTGGTGGATGTGAGTACCTTCTCCACTCCTTTAAAACTACATAGAACACCTTACAATGTCCCGATTATGCTCTGAAAGGTAAAAGCTGTTTCACAGGGCGTGTGTGTGCATGTGTGTAGACCAGTGCTGTACAATTTGGTTTAGATCCCTGAAAAAAATCTCAATTCTTTCTCATAATTTAGTGCAGAGAATAGAATAGAAGACAGCGTCAGTGTGGCAAGCTTCAAAACGTGTGAGTAGAATCGTGCCGTGGCTCACGCCTGTAATCCCAACACTTTGGGACGAGGCAGGAGAATTGCTTGAGCCCAGGAGTTCAAGCCCAGCCTGGGCAATGTGGCAAGACCCCATCTCTAAAAAAAAAAAAAAAAAAAAAAAAAAAAAAAAGATACACAAATTAGCCAGGTGTGGTGGCGCATGCCTGTAGTCCGAGCTACTTGGGAAGCTGAGGTGGCAGGATGGCTGGAGCCCAGGAGTTCAAGGCTGCAGTGAGCTATGATTGCACCACTATACTCCAGCCTAGGCAACAAGCAAGTCTCTGTCCCTAAAGAAAAAAAAAGCGTGAGTTGCTGAGGCCCAGAGAAGCCAAGGGACTGGCCTGAGGTCACACAGCAGGGGCACACTGTGTGGGGACGAAGCTCGGGCTCCCCCCACCATGTGTGCTTTCCTTGTTATTAATTCACACGAGTGAATAGTTGCAAATGATGCATCTGGATAAACACTGGACTTCTGTTTCCCCACAGCTGCAGGAGAATCACAGTCTCAGCGGCTGCTGCTCCTGACGGGCACGCGTGATGCCCAGTCTGGAGGGTTCGCTGCAATCAGTGCTACAGCTTTAGAAACTGTGATTTACTGCTGATTTAAAACTCTTTAAAGAGCCGACTTCCTGCCGATGGGGCTGAGGGAAGAGCGGCAGGCGCAGTGCTGGCAGAGACTCCGGCAGGGCCTCGTGCGGGGGCCGGGAGCAGCGCCTTCTTTTTAGGAAACGACGCTTCAGGCTCAGGCCCGTCCATGCTCCTCTCCCGTGTGAGTGCAGAGAAGGTCCTGGGTTCTGTCTGCTGCTTCACTCTGGGGGTGAGTGTGCCTCTGGAGTCTCTGAGGGGGCGCGGGAAGGACCTTCAGTTCAGAGCATTTAACCAAAGCTTTTACGGCAGCCGGCGGGGCAAGGGCTCCCGCAAACTCCGAGCTTGAGAGACAGCACCTCAAATTTTCGAACCCTGGTCCTCGTGGAGCCATGCAACGCTGCTCCAAGGAGGGCAGTGGCGGCCCTGGCGCTCTGGGAAGGCCTGGAGGGCTGAGCCTCGGGCAGCCAGCACCACCCTTCCCTCCCCTCGGTTCCCAAGAATCCCAGAGCCATTGAGGAATTGAGGCTGCCACGTTTTAGGCACCCCCAGGATGAGTACAACGTGGGTTTAACACGAGGGAGGCTGCCGCGCTGTCCTGCTTGGTCACGTTAACTATCCACATTTTCCCAAGGAGCAAGGATGGGCGCGTTTCCTCAAGGTTCTTTGGTGGTGGTTTCAGTCTCTGGCTGAGAGAACTGACTGCGCAGGCTTAGTCCTCATTAGTCCAAGACCCAAAGCTTCCAGGATGCAGACGGGAGCTGCAGTGAGCACCCGTGCACCTGCTGATTCTCCATGAGGTCCTGCATGGCCGTGGTGGGCTCTTTCTACAGAAGCTCAGGACTTGACTTGTGTTAGGATGGAGAGTCATAGTGTTGTCTTGCTTTACTTTTTTATTTTTAAAAAATAGACACAGGGTGTTGCTCCGTTGCCCAGGCGGGAGTGCAGGGGTGCAATCACAGCTCATTGCGGCCTCAACCTCCTGGGCTCAAGCAATCCTCCCGCCTCAGCCTCTCAAGGAGCTAGGACCACAGGCACCACCATGCCCAGCTCATTAAAACAATTTTTTTTTCTTTGGTAGAGATGGGATCTCACTATGTTGCCAAGGCTGGTCTCAAACTCCTGGCCTCAAGTGATCCTCCTGCCTTGGCCTCCCAGTGTTGGAATTATAGGCATGAGCCACCATGCCCGACCTTGTTTTACTTTTTATAAATCATGTATATAAACATATTTTATTAATCCCAATACAACCAAGGCCTTCAAGTCCAAAAGACCTGCAGCAGAGGTGGCAGAGGAGAGAGATATGTAAGTGCGGGAAAAATATTCTTAAGGTCTGTTTTCAAGATTTAGTGAAATTTTGGGAAAAGGTACGGAAAATATTTTCATATTTTTTACTTACAATTGTCACTGTGAAAAGAGTTGCTTTTTATGGAGTGACATAAATTTGAAAAAAAAGGTTGTGTTTAAGAAATTAGATACAGCTCTGAAGTATACATGGAATGTCATTCGGCTCAGTAGAATGTGGTGTGTGGGCAATTACCCAGCACGGTAATTCCACATTACAAACCTTTAAATTTAAAACAGATCAAAATAAATCAATTTTGTAAGTGGCTTTACCTAGGTGCAGTGTTTGCATTATGCAACATTTATTTAATATTGTCACGCTGTCCTTGAAGAGCCCGTTTATTCATATTTTGGTCCTCAACCAGGAGCAGTATCTGCTATCTGCACAGCTGCCTCTGGGGGCAGCTCCCAGATCAGTGGCTGCAGAGGCACAGGTGGTGGCTCCACCTGGGCGTGGTGTGGGCTGCGGTGGCCTCCGAACACCTCCGGGAGTGAAAACCCAAACTCTCCTTTGCTGTAAAGCATAATTTTTGTTTTAAATCCTAGATTGAAAAAACCGTGTCACTGGAAGTTAGGAAGCAAACTTCAATCCTAGTATTGTTTTTTTTTGAAATGGAGTCTCGCTCTGTCACCCAGGCTGGAGTGCAGTGGCGCGATCTCGGCTCACTGCAAGCTCCGCCTCCCGGGTTCACCCCATTCTCCTGCCTCAGCCTCCCGAGTAGCTGGGACTACAGGTGCCCGCCACCACGCCCGGCTAATTTTTTGTATTTTTAGTAGAGACGGGATTTCACTGTGTTAGCCAGGATGGTCTCGATCTCCTGACCTTGTGATCCGCCCGCCTCGGCCTCCCAAAGTGCTGGGATTACAGGAGTGAGCCACTGCGCCCGGCCCAATCCTAGTATTCTTAACCACAGTCATTTGCCATTTTTCTTGCACTTCTTTTTCCTATGTGCACTTTTTACAAAGTTGCAATCATAGTCCAGGAACGATTTTTACATTCTGCTTTTCTTTTTACTCAGTATGTTATCTGCAATTTCTAAGTTGCTACATAGTCTTCAAAACCATAATTGTAAAAGTCTGCTTAATACTTCATCGGGCATTTATTTTGAAAATTCTCTGTTCTATAAATGACACTATGACCAATATATGCCCCTCCCTCATGCCATGTTAATTACTGGGTCAAAGGACATAAACATAATTTTGTTTCTTGATACACATTGCCACATCTCTCCTCCCCGCATTGAACAAGCTTCAGTATCACTAATATATAAGGATACATTTCACCACAACTTATCATTACATTTTTGTAACATAATGAAATAAACGATTATTTAATTACATTATTTGACCATGAGCAAGTCTGGCTATTTTCTCATTAAGATTTACAATTTTTCTTTCATGTTTATCTAAATCATATTAATGGATTTCTTATCGATACATTTTTCTATCAATTTGTTTGATCTTTTTATGTAATAAATAATCCCTTATGCTGCTTTTTAAATCTCTAGGATTGTCAGAATATATCGGGAACATCAAAGGCCATTTTTTAATTGTTTTTTCCATAGAACCTGCATTTATTTTTACTTTAATGTTTTACCATTTGGTTGATGGAAGTCACACTTAACTGCCAAAGGGAGCTGTTGAGTTGGTCAACCAGTGTGCAAATCTGATTTGATGTCATGCCAGCCCAAAGTAAAGACCCTGGTTTCTGCAGGGCATGGAATGGGTAATGAACTCTGACCCTTTCTGTAAGGAGGATGGATGACAGCGCGGGGATTCCCATCAGGACTTCCACTTCCAGGAAGGTCGATGGGCTCCAGCCATCTGCAGCCTGCGTCATCCTCTGCCTGAACTCACTGGGGTGCAGTGAGAAGGTGCCCAGACGCCCCAGGGTTTCCTGGGGCTGCTGAGGGCTTTGAGAAGGAGGCTTGCTGGGCCCCAGGGCAGGGAGGAGGTGCCAGGAATTAATTTCATTTTTGCAAATTCACATTAGGACTCAGAACTTTGGAAGACTCATGGAAATTCTCGAAAAATTATTCTGCCTCCAAAGCATTGTGAGAAAGCTGGATCGATAAACATCATTGCTGACTGTGTGCCAGGCACTGAGTTGGCGCTTGGTGTAAACGGTCTCTGCTCCTCACAACGATTCTAAAAGGCTGGTGGGTTTTTTTACTCCAGGTTGGAGAAACTGGAAACTCAGGGTAAAGTGTTCCTTGGTGATGTGGTGGGTGACCTGCAGTGCCGTGACCCGTCCGACTTGAATCTTACGCTCTTCTTACTGGCTGTGGGTCCTAACAGAGACACTGACGCCATTCTTGCCCAGTTATCCCTTCGGGATTTGTTAATCTTTTATCTGAAGCTTCAAAGTTGTCAATTGGTCTAGGGCTCTGGGCCAAGTATGGACTTTACATGGTTCAGACAAGTTGCCTAGGGATTAATTTTCTTCTTTGTGCCTTTTCTGTAATTAAAAGATTTTTTTAAACAATAACTGTGTATCAGAAAAATATAATAAATGCTGTAAACATTTTTATGAAGCAGACAATTTGCTTATAAAAGCAATCATGGCTGCAGGGCTTAGGGCAGAAGAAATGAATGTTTCCCTGAGATTTCCTCTTTTTGGCCGTGGCTAACCAAGCAGGCCACTAATGATGAGATTGGAGGGAATTATGTGTCATTTCCCTCGAGGGGTGGCCAGTTTTCGGCAGCAGGGCAGGGTTCCTGGGGACTGTGAAGCCTCTTTGGTTTTGTAATACTCATGTGAGGCTTGGCCCACATCACTTAGAGTGTTTTATTTCTCTTTAGGTCTTGGACCTGGACCTGAGAGAGCCCAGAACCCCAGTAGCAGCAGAAGGGCCGAAGCGTCACATAGAAACTGTGGGCTGCGGTGGCTCTGGAGCTGGTCAGCGTGACTCTGCCGTTACCTCTGTCCCCTTGGTGAGGTGATTCAAATTCTCAGAACTCTTTCCCCATTGGAAACATGGGGATAATAGCTGCTACTGGGGTTCTGGGCTCTCTCAGGTCCAGGTCCAAGTGTGTAGTGCTGCTGTGAGGGTTAAACGAGATAAATATGTGTAAAAGTGCTTAGTAGAGACACACTTCGTATTCTCAGTCACTGCCTGTGTTCCACCCAGAAAAAGTGCTTTCTGAGTCAAATTTTATCTGTTTTTCAAGGCTCAGCTGATCCCAGCTGTGAATAAGTTTATAGGAAGCTTACTGTTACCCCAGGCAGGAATCCCTCTACTCCAGCTGAGATTTTTCGGCAGTTAGGGCCTGTTCTATGGAGTAAGCCAGCAGTAGTTACATTTAGCCTTATGTTGCTGTGTGCATTTTAATGTTTGTGCCTGAGTAGATTATAAGCTCTTTGAGGGCAGGAACCATGTGTTCGATGTCTTGGAATATCTTACAGAATCTCGAATAGTGGCCAGTCCTCCAGCAGAATCTGCAAACTGACTCCTTAGTGTGAGCCGGAAACTGCAATGCTGTTTTCAAAGTGCTGGCCTTCAGGAGGTAGAGAGACCACACTGGCCAGTGCATGTGGTCCATGCCAGATGGCTCCATCCTACCTCCCTTTGCAGGGGCTGGACAAGGGCAGGCTGGGTGCTTGACTCAGCCAATTCTGAAGATAGGTTTTTGTGTGGCAGAGATCAGCCAGAAAAAGAAATTCTATTTTGATTTGGTCATTTATTGGCATGAGGTTTTACTTTTGCCCGTTGTGGTCAACCAGATGTACTGGTTGGTGCTGGCTGCAGCCCACGGAAGGCCCCACCTGTGCCATGGGCACAGACAGATGGGAGCAGCTGGCTGCCTGGAGACAGGACCTTGGTTTCCGTTTGATGCAGTCACTCCAAATAAACATGCAGTCTATTGTCTGTAGCTGGCATCATTGACTTTCACAGGTAACCTCCAAAACAAGACGGGGTCTCTCCACCGGCCTGGGTGGGGGTACAGCTACACCTTGCACACGGTTTCATATGAAGAGAAACATGAGATGAAATAAATAAAGGAACAGGAAAGAGAGATACAAGAACTAAGACTGAGGAGTGTCTCACTTTTAATCTTTCTCTCCTCGTGTCTTTGGGGTGCCACAATTTTAGTGACTGGGACTAGCGATTCCAGCATATAATACATTTCACAATCACAACTTACATTTTTTCTGTTTTCCAACACGTTTAAAGTATACGAAATGTAACATCACATCAGTCTTCAGAATAGTGATAGAGTCAGGTATTACGCATGATCGTTCTACTAAGTCTATTTGAGGGAAGCAAACGTTGAGAATTCAGGGATGAGATTCCAGCGTCTGTCGACCTCGGCGCCACCTGGGTGCTGGTTTCTCCTGAATCCAAACGCGCATTTTAAGCAGACCCAGGCGGTTTCTTGCACATTCGCGTTGGAGAAGCGTTGCTTTGGGGTCGGCACAGAACTCCTCTCCATGTTTCGTTGAGTTACAGCAGGCCCCCGGGTTAACAGTCCTCCCCCGACTTGCCAGATACAGCAGCCTTCCTTCTTTCAGAAGGCCTGGGAAAACTGCTCAGGCTGGGACTTGCGGGCGGTGAGATTCGGTGCCACAGGGGGCTTCTAGTTGAGATTCGTTCCCCATCCCCCGGGTCCCAGGGGCTTTGCTTGTGAGAAACTGTTCTGCTCTTTTAGGGGTAGCGGCAGCCACTTCAGCACAGGCTGAGGGTCTCTTATCTGAAGTGCTTGGGACCAGAAATGCTTTGATTTTTGGATTTTTTGGGGGATTTTGGAATATTTGCATATATATAATGAGATATCTTGAGACGGGACCCAAATCTAAACATGAAATTCATTTATGTTTCATACACATAGCCTGAAGGTCATTTTATGTAACATTTTAAATAATTTGTGCATGAAGCAAAGTGCTGACTGTGTTTTGACTGTGACCCATCACATGAGGACTGGTGGAGTTTTTCACTTGTGGTGTCATGTCGAGGCTCAAAACATTTCTGATTTTGGAGCATTCTGGATTTCAGATTTTCCTATCGGGGTGCTCACCTGTGTCACTGCTCTGCCAATCCACCACCAGGCTTGTGCCCCTCAGGTGAGACACATGGTCCAGAGAGATCTTGGGTCTCAGACAGACAAAACTGACAAGGACAAAAATGCACCCTCAGCTGAGAAAAGAGGGCAACAGAATCACCCAGAAATGCACCCTCAGCTGAGAAGAGGGCACCAGAAATGAATTCTGGTTAAAAACACTGTGGGGCAGTCAGGTGTCCGACCTACGTGGTCGCGGACGAGGGAGTGGGTCACGGCTGGCTGGTGTGGTGTGCAGGAGACGGGGGCTCGGTTCCATGGTCGCGGACGAGGGAGTGGGGTCACGGCTGGCTGGTGTGGTGTGCAGGAGACGGGGGCTCGGTTCCATGGTCGCGGACGAGGGAGTGGGGTCACGGCTGGCTGGTGTGGTGTGCAGGAGACAGGGGCTCGGTTCCATGGTCGCGGACGAGGGAGTGGGTCACGGCTGGCTCCATGGTCGTGGACGAGGGAGTGGGTCACGGCTGGCTGTTGTGGTGCACAGGACATAGGGGCTCGGTTCCATGGTGTCTCCCTGTGACCACTGCAGAGAAGGCATCCCAGTGGACGCCACTCACACAGGGGCAGGGAGGGTGGAGAGTGCGCCTAGGGGCTTTCCGATATACTAAATTGCCTAACACAGCAGTTCCTCGTGGACACTGGTAATGAAGGCAGGATGTGTTTTTGGTTTATTGTTACTTTTGGCTAGTCTCCAAAACTCATACAGCCCAGTTTTCTGATGGAAACTGAGAAACATTTATCAACGACAGTATCTACCCAATAGAATCTTGTTAACTTAAATGCAATAATGTGTCTGTAGAGCACTAGAGTCTTTGAAAGAGACCCGTATCATGAAGTAAGAGTATCGTGTTTTATTCTTGGTGAACTTCAGGAAGTACAAGTACTGCCCCTGGCTGGGAGTTTCCTTCTTCATTTTCGTGCCTGGAGTGCCTTCGATCACACCTGTCGTGTGCGTGAATCAGGTCTTCTCCATTTCTCAGAGGTACGTCATGCGTTCTAGAGAGTTCTGTCTCTCATATGAAGTGCTTCCTACAGAAAGAATGAATGTACAGCTCTTCATGTTGCCAAAGCACCAAGACACACTAAACCCACACAGGCACATTCCACAGGGCATTTTGAGTGGCTGGAGGCCATGGCACCAGAGTCCGGGGTGGCACCTGCACCCTCCCATGTGGGAAGTGGGCATGACCAGAGGCAGAGACCAGACTTGGCAGCACGTGGTGAGGCTGCACAGCCCTGAGGAAGCTGCTAGGCCCCGACACTGGGTGGCCTGGACAATCCAGCCTGACAAGGAGCTGCATTCCACCTGCGTTGGAGATGGATGCTGACAGACGGCCGCACAGAAGCTTCTGCAGCCTGGTGCCCACCAGGCCCACAGAGGAAAAGGGTTCTGGAGTGAAAAGCCTCATCTGGCACTCAGGAGGTATCTGCGTGAGGGCAGGGCCCTGTTTGCCCCCGGGTGTCAGAAGATATGAAGGACCAGATCTGGGCTTGGCCACTCCTCAGACAACTTCAATGGATCCTGCACACAGCATTCCCAGGCCAGGCTGGAGGGACTTTGATGGATCCTGTACACAGCATCCCTGGGCTGGGCTGGAGAGACCTCCTGCCTGCTTGCACATACTGGAAGAGATATTGTTGTGTGAATTGTTTTCTGAACACACCATTATCCTTACAGAAACTCCTATTCATCCTTCAATCCCAGCTCACAGTCACCTCCTCCGGGAAGCCCTCCACCCTCCATCGCCGGTCAGTGTTGGGTGGTGTGCCTGTCTCCTCTTTGGACTGCGAGCTCCCCGGGGTCCTTGTGATGTCTTTTCATTGCTTTCCTCCACTTCCCACCTGGTTCTTGGCACACACTGGGTGCTTATTGAACACATGGTCAGTATATTTGAAGGATGAGACGTACTGAATTAACATTTGTATCAGGTGTTTTTTTTCTGTATCAGATTTACAAGATCCACAATACCCACCATGTGCTAAGAGCAGTAACTACACCCCATTCTCTCCGCACACTTTCCTGCTGCCACAGGCTTACGTTTTTATCCTATTATGAACTTAACGCCTCTTGAATTCACTTCTTGAATTATTATCCTGGCTGCTCAGCTAAGAGATGGATCCCTGTGGCTCTCAGTGGCGTCCGTCCTGCCGTGGGCTGAGATCCGTGACTTCTCAAGGGTAATTACAGTGAAGACACTTGCTGGCCTGCTTGTGGCTGCAGACCCAGGGATTCCGGAGGGGGATAAAACCCACAGCTGACACAGCTCTGCGGTCCTCAGGTTTCCTCTCACAGACAGAGAGGGGAGATGACACTCTGGTTCTCCTATAGTTTGGAAATTTCAACTAAGCATCTGGAAGTGTTTTACAGGGAACACGCTGGGTCAAAAATGGGAACCCTTGGTTTGGGCAGCAGTTAGAGACGGCAGAGCCACGCTGAGGTTGCAGAGGGGGCTGCAGTTTCTAACTGCACTGTCAAGGACCTGCACCTGAGGCGACTCGGCGTCGGCATTTCCGCAGCCTGTGACCTTCAGCGAGTGCAGATGTCAGGTCTGACCCTTGCTCCGTGGCTTCCTCCATCAACTTCGGGAAAACAGGTTCACATCCTGGTGGATTTTCGTTTCAGACCAATTCGTCTTTGCCCCTGTGTCCGGGCTCTGGGCTCCGGTGTGTGAGAGCCGCTGGCTTTGATGCTGTGGTGATGTTTCCGTGTTTCCTTGGTTAGGGCAACTCCTGGGCATGCCCATGTTGGTGGGATGCAGAGTGCGGGTTCCTGGCGGCCTGAGATGCATCTCCAGCCTGGCGAGAGGGCACCCCGCAGAGCTCGGGGTGTTGAGTTCCTCTCCAGCCTGGCGAGAGGGCACCCTGCAGAGCTCGGGGTGTTGAGTTCCTCTCCAGCCTGGCGAGAGGGCACCCTGCAGAGCTCGGGGTGTTGAGTTCCTCTCCAGCCTGGCGAGAGGGCACCCTGCAGCGTTTGGGGTGTTGAGTTCCAGCGAGAGGTCCAGGCATCCGGGGATGCCAAACAAAGGCTGGATACGACTCGGCACCAGTGGAGTTTGAAGGTGTGCCGTGTTTCAGCAGGGCTGATTTCTTCTAGATTTGCAATAAGGCTTAATCCTGAGAATCCAGGCATTCACCCGACATTCCCGTTAATCACAGAATTTCAGGAAAATAAGCAGAGGGGGAGGCCTGGGGTTGCCCCCCAACCCACGGCTGCCAGGGAAGAGCTGGACTGACCTCGGACTCTTGCCCTTTAGTTGAACGGCAGTCTTTGGAGACAGCCTGAGGAAGGGACGTTCTGAACTTCCTAGGGAATCGTTGCGCCGATTTAACTCCCAGCGAAACCGCCAACCTTCGCGTCTTCCTTCTGTTCATCTGAAACTTCTGTTGTTGTGCAGCTTGAACTCCTTAGCCATGCAGGTGGGCCGGGGCTGCGAATCCAGGCTGCAGTGTAGGGCCAAGTGGTCATTTAAGTGAACACTCGATGCACATGTTAGGCCTGGTAAGTACAGCTGATTGACATTGGTATTAGATGAAGACGCCAAAGCTGCCAAGGATGGAGCAAAGGCTGGAGAAAGGCCACCTTTAAAATGTGTTTGTTGAGTTCACTTAGGTTACCTGTGGGCTGGGGCACAGCTGTGCAGAACGGCTCCGAGGCCTGGCTCTGTCTGTAATCGCTGTGTACAATCGGCCACACTTCCCTTCTCTGTGACCTGGGATTAAAATATCTCCCTAATAAGGTATTGGGAGGATTAAAGAAGATAATGGATGTGAGTGCTCGGCTGGGTGCCCAGCACATGCTTGGCGAGTGGGGGCGAGTGACGGGGCCGCCGTGCCCCAACCACCGACAGCAAAGCTGCTCTCAGGGTCAGTGGAGCTCACCTCTGGCGAGATGGCTTTTGCTTTCCTAGGACCCTGGGGTCGGGTTGGTTGTGTAACTTGGGCTTTCAGAGGCAGGGGCCCTAGAGAACACTGTCCTGTTATGCAATCCATGCCATCAGCGCTCGTGCAGCAGGAGCTGAGCCCTGGGTCTGAGCTGTGTGACTGCACCTCCTATACCAGCAGCCGCCATGGCCCAGGTCTCCTGAGCTCAGCTCATCCACGCCGGAGCCTTTCTCACACGGCGGATGCTGACCGCCATTTCACATGGGTCCAGCCCCAGAGACAGGTCCTGCATCCCTCCAGAAAGGACCTCACCTAGCCACTGAGGCTGCTAAGACCTGTCAAGGCCACTCAGCTTTGGGACGACTCGTGTCAGCTGTAAGGAGAAGTGAATGGTGGCTGGGACCCCATGTGCGGGTGGAGGGCTCTGCAGACGCTGACACGCGTGAGCTCATGGAGGGCCGTGCACGCCGCCGATGGGCTTTGCAGACGCTGACACACGTGAGCTCATGGAGGGCCGTGCACGCCGCCGATGGGCTTTGCAGACGCTGACACGCGTGAGCTCATAGAGGGCCGTGCACGCCGCCGATGGGTGCTCACACAGTGCCACAGGAACACCTTGGTGCCTGCCTGGCATTTCGTGGGCTTTCTGGGCCTGCAGCCTACCCTGGCTTCTGGAAGCTTCCCTCAGGAAAAGGCGGCCTGTGGGGGAGGATGACTGGCTGGGGTCTGTTGGCAGGACCACCGTTGTGGGGCTTCCTGGAATGTTCCTGGGCTCAAGCAGGTGCCTGCCCAGGGGCATTGCAGGGGCCACTGGGCCTGGAGCCCCGTGGACGTTGGGTGGGAAAAGCCACTGGTCCCTTCTGACACAGGCGTCTTCTGCAGATGCTGAGCTCACGCCCCTGGAAAGGGCTACAGCTCAGATGGGCCACGTTCTCCACGTTCTGTCCCAGGAACATCTAGATAATCTTAGCCTTTCATGTTACTACCCTGGTTTCCAGATGAGAGGCGTCCACCTTATGGTCATGGTGCAGCAAGCCAAGGGGAAAATCTCCAGAAATACTTGGGCTTTTGGATCACACAGCTCCTTCTGCAGGAACAATCCGTTCCAGGTCACAAGCTGAACACAGGGCATGTGGGTGTCAGCCTTACTTCCATTTTATTTGAAACAAAAGAACTATCACCGATGAGTCAGTTCAACAAACATCTTACCTCTTCCAAATCCCAGTCAGATTAGGTGAGGCCGCACATCTGAATTTCTGCCTGTGCAGGATTACTTGTGATCTCCTGTGAAGTTCCCGTTGGCCCGTGTTTGGATGAGGTGGCCACACGAGGGAAGCCACGAATCCCGTCAGTGAACGCCCGTGTCCTTTTTTCTTTTCCCTTTCGCCGTAGACTTTCCAGCCTATCAATCAATCAGCTGATGAAGTGTCAGGATGGCTCCTTGCTTCGTCCTGAATGGCTGTTGTCACAGGGAGAAGCTTTGAGTTTTTCTAATTTAAAAACAGCATGCACAGAAATGAATGCACAGGGTCTCATGGCGGCTGAGGTCTTCTCCAGTGGGCTCCGTGACTCTCCTCTGGGTTCCGGAGAGGCACTGTGCCTCGGTGTCTCCATTTCAACCTGGGTTTCATAAACCCTTTCCTTTTCCCCCTTGAAACGCCCGGCGGATAGATTAGGTCATTTATACAGGCAGCACAAAGCGTAGTAAAAGAGCTGACTCACAGGCCTGTGTCGCCCCCCGTGAGCCCTGCAGCTGCTCCCAGAGCCTTTGGATGCCCCAAACCGTGTGTGTGGGTATTTTTTTTTTTTTTTTTGGTAAAATGTGCCTAGCAGGAACTGTTAACATGTTAAGTAAATAAAAATATTTTTAAAAGATACATTTTCACAGCTCTTAAGAAAGTTTAAAGTGCTCCATTCGCGGTGCTGCATTCAGGCCAGGGCATGACTGAATTTTCAGGTCTGATGTGGTCTTGACTTGAGAGAAAGTCGCGTCTGCGTCTGCGTCTGTGTCTGCTCCGCAGGTGCTGCTGCAGCTTCTGGGAGGTGCAAAGGGACTAGACATTTCTTCCTGGAGTCTTGAGGTGTCCAGGCCCAGAGGCAGGAGGGTGGACATGCGGGGGTTAGGGTTCCGTGCAGCACATGGGTGATGTTGCTTCTCTGGGTCCTCCCGGAGACACGCTGCTGCTACAGGGGTGGCTTCACAGCGAGGGGCTCTGGGAAAGGCAGGCTAACAAGGCCACCCCTCAGGAGAGCTGTTAGGGCCACTCCTCAAAATAACAGGCACCGAGCAAAGCAGACACCATTTGGTGTCTGGTTCCAATGGGAAGGGCAGCGGCCGCGGCCAGTGTCTTTCCAGGCCGGCATCACAGCGAGATCCTGCCCAGGCCGTGGGACACGCACGCGTCCACACCCTCCAACCACAGTCCTGCAACTTTCCAGGAACACACACAAAGCGTCCCCCACAGATGTGCGGACTTTCCCATGGGTTCTGTAAGATGTGATGTCATGGCCTCAGCCTCAGTTTCCTCACTAGTCCTCTGATCATATCCAGAATGAAATCACCCCCAATTTTAAGGTCAAATTCTATCTTTCAGGTGAGAAACAAAGCTTGCGTTAAAGGTCGAGATTTGATTGTAGGTACTGGGTTTTTAATCTTGGGTTTGGTCTGTGTTTCCTGCGGCCCGAGCATGGGTCAGTGTGTGTCTCTGAGCTGGGGAGGGTAGACTTTGTTCCCTCCCAGGCCTTGCTCCTGGGTGTTGAATGCCCAGTGCGCAGTGAGAAGGGGGTTTGAGGCCCATGCACGGGGCAGGTGTGGATTTTGCTCCAACCTCACTTCAGCACGACAAAGGGAGCAGCAGAGGGGCTGTGAAATCCATCCTGTATCTATGTGGGGCCTGTGCCCAGCCCAGCCTGTGGCTCCCGCTCTGCCCACAGCCCTGGGTCGCACCCCACAGCTGGCGGGGGGATGCCTGTCCCGTTTCCACATCTCACTCACCTGCCATGTTCACGGGCACCGGCCCAACCTTGGGGCTGCTGGTGGCCAGGACGGGATGGATGGGATATGACAAAACCCTCAGTCATCACAGACCCCTCTTAGACCCTCACAGCACTGCTGCCCCACCCCCGGGGAGTTGAAGGAAAGGGAGAAGAACGTGTGTGTAGTTAAAGATGAGGGGAGCTGCGGGGTGGGGGACAGCGTGGGAGCCGCATGTGCTGCTGTGAAGGTGTCAGGAAGGCTGCCAGAGAGCCGGACCCCAGAGGGAGTGAGACCCCCTAGGGCTGCAGGCCAGACCCCTCTCCGGCAAGGCCTGGGGGCCGGGGTGGGGCTGGGTCTCCACACCGAGGGGCAGCCGCTGGAGGGGAAGGCAGGCAGCCGGACCCCCCCCACTCCGCGGGACTCTCCGTCCTGGGCTGAGCTTCGTCCTGGGCTGGCTTTCCTCTAGTGCGACTATGAATGAAACTTCATTCCTCCATTTCCGCTGGGACAGCTGTGCTGCTGGTCCCTGAGCATGCACCAATATTCACAGGAAAAATCAACTTTTCCAACTCACTCTTTAATGTTGTTTTAGGCTAAAGTGCTCTAACAAGGGACCTGCAGCCGCCTTCTTCTACAACGTCTCACTGCATCTCCATAGTCTCCATATTCTCTGGGGACAGCCTCGCTGAAATGAGGTGGCTTCTCTGGATGTCCGTTCCCGCACGGTGTGGGTCGGGCTGCAGAGGAGGGTGGCCGGAGACCAGGCTGCAGCTGCCTCGGAGGCTGCCATCCGACCATGCGGGCACACCCTGCTCTCCCTGTCGCGTCGCTCTGAGAGCTGATGGTGGGGTATGGCTGGGGAACCTTGCGGCCCACTGGAGGGGGTTTAATTGCCGGCTTCCACATCATGCTCTTAGTTGTTACTGAGTGAGTGAGACGGCTCCAGTTTCTGCTCCCACAGGGCTCAGCATTAGGAGAGGCGACGCTCACTGGGAAACGTCTCCAAGTGCGTTTCTGTGGTGTGAGATGCAGCCGCTCATACCGGCCAGCGCTCCCCGCTCTGCGTTGCAGTAACTTTGAGCCACAGACGCTGGTGAACAGCTTTTCCTCTGCATGGGAATCCAGCCCTTCCCACACACAGCCCCGTGTTGTAAAGACCCTGGCTGTCTGCAGCAGGCCAGTGCCAGGCACAGCTGTGAGCCTTCAGGGAGCCCTCCGGAAACCCTGGCTGGACCTCTGGCCCCGCGGGCCGCACACAGACCGTTGTTGGAAGGCCTCGACTTGACTTCATCTTGGTTTCCTTCTGGTGTACACCGTCATCTCGTTTTTCTTCTCGGTGTACACCGTCATCTCAGTTTTCTTCTCTGCATATACCGGCATCTTGGTTTTCACCGGCATTGGGGCCAGATGCCCCTTCATCTCCCTGTCTCATTATTCATTCACTTGTTCACTCTGTAAACGTGTGACGAAGGTGTGGACAGGAGTGGGCTTGGCTCTAGGGGCCCAGTGATGGGTCAGGAGGTCTGGCATCCTGGTCCTTTGTCCTTGCCTTTGATATTTCTGCCCTAAGGCTGTACGATGATTTACAGTTTAGAAAAGACCACCCCATTATATTCTGTGGAAACTTCCCAGCCCCTGGGAGCTGAGCTGGGTGGATGGCGCCCATGTGAGGCAGTGCCTCGGGAAGAGCTCATGGTGCCTCCTGGGTCTGCTGCTGCCCTTGCCCTCCTGCCTCTGCTGCTGCCCTTGCCCTCCTGCCTCTGCAAGCTCGTCTCCTGCGTGGCGTCATTCTCTCCTGTCCAGGAGCCTGGTACACCCGGCGGAGGGGCCCATGGGCCGCAGCTGCCCAGTGCATGGGAAGGAGCAGCCGCCGGGCCCCTGGGTCCCCTTCATGACCCCACCTCGGTGGATGCTGGTGGCAACTGAGGAAAAGTGTTCTGAGTGTGTGAGGAGAGGTGCTGAGACTGATGTCATCAATCACACACGGAGAGCAGAGCCGTGTCGGAGCCGGGGTGAAGTCATTCCAGCTTTGTTATCCTGGGGTTCCGGCGAGCGCCGCGTGGGCAGAGCCCGTGTTTATGCTCAGGGAGGCGGCATCGCCCTGAACAGTGTCTTTTCTGTGGCTCAGGTCTGCCCTGAAAGCTGTTCCTTTTACACTCCTTCCTGTTCGTCAGGTTTTACCTCAGTGTGGAAAGAGTGACAAACAGAAAGAACAGGGGCCATAAGCACAGTTGCTGGGGGTGGCGAGGGCTGGAGCTGGGGGCGGCTGCAGGGGCGGTGAGGGCTGGAGCTGGGGGCGGCTGCAGGGGCCTGGAGGGCTGGAGCTGGGGGCGGCTGCAGGGGCGGTGAGTGCCGGTGCTGGGGGGCGGCTGCAGGGGCGGTGAGGGCCGGAGCTGGGGGCGGCTGCAGGGGCGGTGAGGGCCGGTGCTGGGGGCGGCTGCAGGGGCGGTGAGGGCCGGTGCTGGGGGCGGCTGCAGGGGCGGTGAGGGCCGGTGCTGGGGGGCGGCTGCAGGGGCGGTGAGGGCCGGTGCTGGGGGGCGGCTGCAGGGGCGGTGAGTGCGGGTGCTGGGGGCGGCTGCAGGGGCGGTGAGGGCCGGAGCTGGGGGGCGGCTGCAGGGGCGGTGAGGGCTGGAGCTGGGGGCGGCTGCAGGGGCGGTGAGGGCCGGTGCTGGGGGGCGGCTGCAGGGGCGGTGAGGGCCGGTGCTGGGGGCGGCTGCAGGGGCGGTGAGGGCCGGAGCTGGGGGCGGCTGCAGGGGCGGTGAGGGCTGGAGCTGGGGGGCGGCTGCAGGGGCGGTGAGGGCTGGAGCTGGGGGCGGCTGCAGGGGCGGTGAGGGCCGGTGCTGGGGGGCGGCTGCAGGGGCGGTGAGGGCCGGTGCTGGGGGCGGCTGCAGGGGCGGTGAGGGCCGGAGCTGGGGGCGGCTGCAGGGGCGGTGAGGGCCGGTGCTGGGGGGCGGCTGCAGGGGCGGTGAGGGCCGGAGCTGGGGGCGGCTGCAGGGGCGGTGAGGGCCGGTGCTGGGGGCGGCTGCAGGGGCGGTGAGGGCTGGAGCTGGGGGCGGCTGCAGGGGCGGTGAGGGCCGGTGCTGGGGGCGGCTGCAGGGGCGGTGAGGGCCGGTGCTGGGGGCGGCTGCAGGGGCGGTGAGGGCCGGTGCTGGGGGCGGCTGCAGGGGCGGTGAGGGCCGGTGCTGGGGGCGGCTGCAGGACGGAGACACAGCAGCCTGCAGAAGGGCGCCAGCACTCACCTTCGTGTTCCGCATGGCCAGGAAGTTCTGATTAAGACTGGATGCAGTGTAATGAATGACATGATAATGGATGATCACAGAAGCTGGTTTGTGAGGCAAACAACCACACTTATAAAATTTGGTTTCCCACGGTTCTCGCCCAGGGAGGGGAGCCCACGCCTGCCATGTAAACATCTCCCTTTCACCCCCGTGGGCACCCAGCAGCCGGGCATCAGGGCTCCAGGCAGGCGCTGCTTGCATCCGCTTGGGTGTGAGGTCCCAGGGCTTCCCAGGGCTTCACAGCGGGGGCCATTTGCAGGAACCACTCTTGGAGAACAGCCGTGTGATGTTCCGACCAGGAGGACTGCACAGCCAGGGCCATGGGAAGGGGTTCACGTTTCAGCCATGTGGGAAAATCCCAGGCCCTCAGGTTGCATTTGCAGGCTTGGCGTGAGAGCCCTCGCGACGGCTGCTCACCCTCGCTCTCCCACCCCGTGGTGCAATCTGACCTTGGTGCTCTCCCCCGGCCTCTCCTGGATTTATTCCTCATCCACGTTTTGTGACAGCAAAGCCTTTGAGGAGAAGGCCTGGGGCCGACGTGGGTTCCGTCCCAGCTCTCCCAGGAGCTGGTGCTGTCTAGGGTCAGGTGCGGGACGTCGCTAGCTGCATCTCTCATCCATAAAGTGAGGAGACCCGATCACCTGCGAGGGCCTGGCAGGAGGAGAAAACAAGCTCCTCGTGTGTCTCTGCCAGGTGCACAGTTGGCCTTCAGTCAACGTCCCCTGCTCAGCAAGTTGCTGATTATTTACAAATTTAGAATATCCAGAATTCCTGAATATTCAATATGGCATTACTCATCAGCACTGAAATTTCTAACTGAAGAAAGTCTTTTCCTGCTCCGAACTTACTTTAAAAGTCTGGTTGTACTCAAATATCATCTGCAAAGTGGTCGTGTGGCCTGGAGACCTTGCAGTCGACAGACAAAGCGGCCACAGACAGGGAGCTGAGGTCATCTGGGGCGGCCACAAGCCTCTCTCGCGGGGCCCTGTGTCCTGCGGGGACAGCGAACCACAGCGCTCCCTCAGCTCAGCCACCTAGGACCAGCCACAGTGGGGGGCCCGTGAGGAGGATGGTGCAGCTGTGGGGCCATCCTGACACCTGGCCATTCGTAGGAAGGCCGTTTGCTCTCAGGAAGTGATTAGGGGAGATCCCCGGGGCCTCCCTGAGCTCTCGGGAGTGTTTTGGGGACACAGAGCCGAGTTGCCAAGGGCGGCCCTGCTGTTGACAGGCTGCTGTCCTTCTACGTCTGGGCCTCAGAGCATCTTCCAGGGGAACTGCAGTTCTGTGTGCAGGCGCTGCCTCAGTAAGTTTCCCGCCTCGGAAAGGTCCCCGCAGCAGCTCTGGATGTTTGGGCGTTTGACCAAGGGTGAGGCCCAGGGACAGCTTGGGACACTGCGTGCATGCACAGCCAGGCTGCACCCCATTAGCAGAAGGTGTTTAACACTCGACACATAAATAATAGCGTTCACACACACATCTTATCACAATGCTTAATAGCCTTATCAAGAATCAGGAGAAAACAATGCATCCTTTTATAGCATTTTAAGTTAAAGAAACAAAAACAGTGAGAGAGGAGAAAGCTGCCCTGCCAAGAACCGTTCCTGTCTCCCTGGCCCTCAGCACTATTTATGACAGTACCCGCGGGTCGTCGCAGTTATTATTATTGTTGTAAATGCTCCTAGAAGTGGGCCGTCCCTCCCCAGCAGACAGACCTCCCTCTCAGCCGGCCTCTCCTGTTGAGCTTAATTGAATGTCCCGATGCATAGGAGGAGGGTTAATGGCATAACTCAGTCACACAATATCTTGGATTACAGACAGCCAGCAAGCAAAGGCCCGGCAGCATGGCAACGGGGCCGGCACCGTGGGAACAGGCGGGCGGACAATGATGGGATTGACAGTGTGCATGGAAAGGCCACCTTTGGGAGAAACCGTATCTCCCAGCATGCTGGGGAAAGTGAGAAATAGTGGCAGATGCTGCTGGACTGCAGCAACAGATGCTTCTGGCCGGGCCCCGCCAGCCAACCAGATCACACGTCGCTAAGTAGGGAGCACTGCTCCCCGCCCCCGCTCTTTGTCGGAGGGAGGCAGCAAATACAAATATTGCAGAGGAATTAGAAACAGCAGATGGTGGCAGCAGGGCTGGATGAGGTCAGGGTTAGGCACAGGCACATTTGGTGGTGGCATTAATCACCCCTTCCTCTGGGAGTGGAGAGCTCAGGCCTCCAGCACAGCCCGGAGCTGACCACCTCCCTGCGCTTCACTCCGCCCCTCCCCGACGCCTGCCCCGCTGCCTGCCCCCCTCTCGAAGGAGGCTGAGCCCACAGATCAGCTTTTAGATGTCTCATCCAATTTAGCAGAGTTTAAAAGAACATATGTTGAATATTTTGTTAATTCAATTTGTGTTTAAATAATTGATGTTGGCCAGTTCCAAATGTGAGATTCTAAAGGGCTCATATGCTGGTTTGATGCATTATCTATCATCCTATTGTGCGAGGTCAGTTGTTTTCATTACAAGACAAATACTCACTCTCTCTTTATTATGAGCTCAGGCGGCACCCAGTTTAGAGTGTCTGTAATCAGGAGTGTTCAGAAAGAAGTTCTTGTAAATCGCAGACTCCTCAGTGGAAGGTCAGCGGGCAGAGGAGAGACCTGATTCCCCGTGACCTCTGGGGATGGAAATTCCACTCTGGAGACTTTCTCGGGAGGACGTTCTGGTTTCACTGAAAGGAGTATGACTCTGTGAGGAGGGAGAATGTGATTTGGTGTGTGCTTGCATGTGGCGGGACTGGCGTCTGCCGTCCATATATGTGAGTGTGTCTTTGTGTTCCTGTGTGCTGACTGGAGGTGCTGTGTGTGTGTGTGTGTGTGTGTGTGTAGGTGTAGACATCCCTTAATAGCTTACCTTATGAAAAATAAAACCTGTGGGGTCGGGTGCGGTGGCTCACGCCTGTAATCCCAGCACTTTAGGAGGCCGAGGCGGGCAGATCACTAGGTCAGGAGATGGAGACCATCCTGGCTAACACGGTGAAACCCTGTCTCTACTAAAAATACAAAAATTAGCCAGGCATGGTGGTGGGCACCTGTATTCCCAGCTACTGGGCAGGCCGAGGCAGAAGAATGGCATGAACCCGGGAGGCAGAGGTTGCAGTGAGCCGAGATTGCGCCATTGCACTCCAGCCTGGGTGATAGAGCAAGACTCTGTCTCAAAAAAAAAAAAAGAGAGAGAGAGAGAAAGAAAACTTGTGTTCTAAATGCTTTCAGAAATGAATCCAAAGATTCTTTAAGGGTTATCACATTTACGGCCAACACGATAGTAGGATTTCTTACAACGTTTATGTTTTAATACCTTAAGCCACACCTGCGTCTTTTCCAAGGCTCAGAGATGGCTTCCTGACCGCACAGAGGAGTGTCTTGGGGCAGACCTGTGGGCTGTGAGGGGCTTTGCCTGTCGAGCCCTCTGTAGGCCTGGATCCTGCCTCAGGCACCCTGTACTCAAAGCGTCTCTGTTGGGGCCGTTACGGTCTGCGATGGTATAGCAAGGGGCAAGTGTGAAGAATTCCAAGTCTTTGACCTTAAATAAAATGTTTCTCTCCTTGAGGTAGAAAGAAATCTAGATGTGATTTTTATGCTTATGAACACAATTTGTTCCAATTCAAAAGTAATTGCTGCTCATTCTAGAAAATCTAGAGAAGAAAGAAGTAGAAAAATAAAATCATTTGTGTCTCGCCAGCATAGGCAGCACTGGCCATGTGGTATTCCTTCCTTTCCCACGTGTAATGTCCGCTGTCTGTGTTTAGAGTTAGGGTCACTGGTATTTCTTTTTTTCTTTTCTTTTTTTTTTTTTGAGACAGAGTTTTGCTCTTTTTGCCCAGGCTGGAGTGCAGTGGCGCGATCTCGGCTCACTGCAACCTCCGCCTCCCGGGTTCAAGCGATTCTCCTGCCTCAGCCTCCCAAGTAGCTGGGATTACAGGCACCTGCCACCATGCCCGGCTAATTTTTTTATTTATTTTTATTTTTATTTTTAGTAGAGACGGAGTTTCACCATGTTGGCCAGGATGGTCTCGACCTCCTGACCTCGTGATCTGCCCACCTCGGCCTCCCAAAGTGCTGGGGTTACAGGCGTGAGCCACCGCGCCCGGCCTGAGACCGGTATTTCTTCCTCCCTTTCCCATGCGTAACGTCCACTGTCTGTGTTTAGAGTTAGGGTCACAGCTTCACTTTAAACCTTGATTCGTTTGCTTCACATTATTATGTGTGCATGTCTCTGCCTTTGTCTTGTCTATATAATAGTCCACTGACTTGATATATTCTCTTATTTAACATTTTCTTCTTTTTAATACTTATTTGAACATTTGAAATGGTAAAAGTCTTTGCTTTCACAGACAATTCTGGGATAAACTTGCTTTAAAGATATTTTCTTTTTCTAGAGCTAAAAAAACTTATTTGGGCTAACTTTTCAGGAGTAGAATAATGGGACACATGTAGAAACAGGAAACAAGGCCAGGCACGGTGGCTCATGCCTGTAATCCCAGCACTTTCGGAGGCTGAGGCAGGTGGACTGCCTGAGCTCAGGAGTTCAAGACCAACCTTGGCAACACAGTGAAACCCCATCTCTACAAAAAACAAAAAAACTTACCTGGGCGTGACGGCACACACCTGTAATCCCAGCTACTTGGGAGGCTGAGGCAGGAGGATTGCTTGAAGGCAGAGGTTGCAGTGAGCCAAAATATCACTGCACTCCAGCCTGGGCAACAGAGCCAGACTCCATCTAAAAAAAAAAAAAAAAGAAATATGAAACAAAATAATTTCCCTTTCTTTCAGTTCATAAAGAGACATTGTAGCTAGCTGAAAGAAAGAAGAAAGAAAAAACTAACAGAGCCACTGTTAATATGTAATGTGTATCCTTAAAGTTTTCCTCCCTTTGCTTATATTACATACATCTTTCTCAAAACTGGGGTCCTTCAGTTTTGTAAGCAGCTTTCCTTTAATTGTGAGAAAAACCCACATAGCATTAAACTCACTCTCCTCAAAATTCCCATGCGCGTGGTGTGATACTGCCAGCCGCACACTCATTGCCGTGCAATGGAACTAGTTCTTTAACTACGATGTTGTGAGCATCTTCCTGTGTCATTAAATATTCTTTAAAACATGATTTTATCATGTCTAGAAAGTGTTTAATCATACAGATATTCTAAAATTTACTTAACCCCCTTTCATTGATCATGATTGTTGCATCTATTTATTACTCCTATTAAATAAAGCTGCGATGAATATGCTCGTATAAAAATGGTTCCATAAACTTCTAATTATTTCTTTAAGATCAATTTTGGGAAACAGAATTACTGGTTAAAATGCACAAACCTTTGAAAGGTTCTCAGTTATACGCTACATTGTCCTCCCAATATCTGAACGTGTGTGTGTAGTTTATGACAGTTTCTTGTGTCCTTGCTAACTCTAAATACAGATACTAAATATTATGGAATATTTATAAATGTATTTATTATAATATTTATCACATTAATAATATAGATACTAAAAAGTTTGCAAATTTGGTACCATGTACAATTTTAATTACTTGTGAATCTAACCTATAAAAATATGTTCATGGTTCACTTGCATTTCTTCTTGGTGAACTGCTTATTCTAGAACCCACTTCAGATGCTTCATACTTAGGGACGAGCTACTTCCTGAAAGCGTGGCCCCATTTTACTCTTACATGGGATCTGCGGTGGATTTGGGAAAACCAGGTTGACTTTGCCTGCGTCCCTGTGTCCCTGAGTTCAGGTAGAATTGTGCTGTTTTAACTGGGTCTGGAATCCTTCGGTCTCTTGGAAACCACAGGGCCCTTTCCCCACGGACAACAGGTTGAGTGGTGTTTTCTCTCCTCTCTGTGTATTACAGGACATGGGGGTCTGCTGGAGAGTTCTTAGGAAGGAGCTACCACTCCCCAGGCCCCTCAGCCCTTCCTAATTCTTCTGGGGCTGGAGTATCCTACTGATCAGTAGTTCAGTCATTCCAAACTAAGGTCTGGTGGGGGACCTGAGTTCTGGGTTTGGGGGACTCCACTTATGTCAAGCTCAGCAAGCATGCAGGGAACAAGGATGCTGCTTTTTGAAGAGATGTGTGTCACCCACCCCACTGACACCCGTGTGGGCTCAAGCCTGGGCACTCTTGCCATGGTTTCTGGGACAAGGCAGCAGGCAGTGATGGCCACTGGAGGCGTGGAAGCTGGAGGCGTGGCCCCTGGAGATGTGGTATTCCCAGTAGGAGGTCTCCGTGTGGGCTTTGTTGGTTTTGTGAGACTTTTAAAACTGGGCAAAATGGTGGGTGTTGGTGAGTTTTTCTAGGTAAATGGTCAGTTTCTTTCACTGGCTTGTCAAAGGAGTCCGTGGCTCTGAGACAGAGAAGTCAGAGACATTTGAGGTGGAGGCTAGCCAGCAACCAACCTAATTGCAGATGGTGGTTTGAAATTTCTTCTACGCATAATTGTTAGTGTCTACAGGATGTTCTATTGGTACAGATTCTAAGTTTATTTAACTAGCCCCCTTTTGTTGGGCATTTATGTTCTAGCTATATTTTGTTATAAATATATATTTTTATGACTGAGTTCTTGTTCTGATGCCTAGCATTTTGCAGCCTTGGTTCCTTCTGATGTCTAACAGGAGTCTTTGCAGTTGAGCCCATTGTTTATACTTCAGAGGCCTGGGAGCAGTGGCCAGTGCACGCCCCCAACACTCACTCCCAGTTTAGTTTTCAAGGCCACTCTGGGCGTCGAGGCTGATAAAACCACACAGCCATACTCACAGGCTCTCTAGAAAACACGTTTCAAGCCTCCCAAACCATTGATATTTTAGCTTAGAAGAAAGCGATGCTCTGAACTGATCACGCCGTATTAGTGGCGCTGCACCTGCCTTTCTTGTTCCTGGGGGAGTCTGGCCCCCGACATCCCTTGGAACGGTGTGCCACACAGAAGTTGACAAGGAGCTTCTCTCTTCCACTGTGGGCTGGTGCAGGCATCACCGTGAAGCAGGGGGAAGAGTCACGAGGGGCTCTGCTGGAGTCCCCCAGACATCGGGCTTTTCGCTCCATTGCTGTTGGTGGAGAGGGTCCTGTGAGCCAGGCACTGGGTCAGCCCCGGGACTCAGATAGCACGGCCTCACCCCAGGGAGAGGCTGGGGCAGAGACATGCACAATCCCCCGCAAGGATTTGGCTTTTCCAAGTGCCAAGAGGGTCAGGCTCGTGGTCACTAGAAGCTGTACTTGGGCCCTGAACCCAGTCTGACAAGGGCTGTGGCCATAGAGCACTTCCCTTGAGAAAGGAGCATTTGAGCAGACACCCGGAGAACCCACTGTGGCTGACCAGGCGGGGCCGAGGAGCAAGACCTTCCTCGGGAGAGGGGCCAGCATGTACAGAGACCCCAAGGCACCTGGCAGCCGGGGCCTGGTGTGCTGTCCATGGGTCTCTCCTGTTTGCGATGGCCGAAAAGCCACAGTCCCCCAACCTGCCTCCGGGCAGCATAGTGCTCCCTTGAGGAGGGACCCCGGGCTGACTGCATCTCCATGGAGCACGGCAGTTGCAGTCCCTTTTTGCAGCTGCTCCTGACTGAGGACTTGAGACCCTGGGATGTGGGTGTCAGGACCCTTCTGGAGCCTGGGGGCTGTTTTGTTTTTAAGAACACACAAGCGAGTTCCTGACTCCTGCCCTGAGCTCCAGCCCTGTACGAGCCCCTCCATGTGCAAATCGGCTCTGGGGCTCCAGCCTGCCCTCCTGGGCCCTTTCCATCACCCTGCACAGGCCCTTTCTGAGGAAGCTGTGGAGTTGCTGGGCTGCATTTCTCCCTGGACAGGCTCCGCCAGGAGTTACTTCTTCTGTGAGCCTCATTGGACCAGGTGCTCCTTTGCCCAGCCCAGCACCGGGCTCCTGCCCTTCTGGAAGCCTGGAGGCTGGGAGGATGGCACAGAGCACATGTGGGATCCAGTGAGAGGCACAGAGCACATGTGGGATCCAGTGACACCGTCCTTCGCAGTGAGGGAGATGCAGTCGTTTAAGAGCACAGGTGGGATCCAGCGACACTGTCCTTTGCAGTGAGGGAGACGCAGTCGTTTAACACGTGGGATCAAGCGACACTGTCCTTTGCAGTGAGGGAGACACAGTCGTTTAACACGTGGGATCCAGCGACACTGTCCTTTGCAGTGAGGGAGACGCAGTCGTTTAACACGTGGGATCCGGCGACACTGTCCTTTGCAGTGAGGGAGACGCAGTCGTTTAACACGTGGGATCAAGCGACACTGTCCTTTGCAGTGAGGGAGACGCAGTCGTTTAACACGTGGGATCAAGCGACACTGTCCTTTGCAGTGAGGGAGACGCAGTCGTTTAACACGTGGGATCAAGCGACATTGTCCTTTGCAGTGAGGGAGACGCAGTCGTTTAACACGTGGGATCCAGCGACACTGTCCTTTGCAGTGAGGGAGACACAGTTGTTTAACACGTGGGATCCGGCGACACTGTCCTTTGCAGTGAGGGAGACGCAGTTGTTTAACACGTGGGATCAAGCGACACTGTCCTTCGCAGTGAGGGAGACGCAGTCGTTTAACACGTGGGATCAAGCGACACTGTCCTTTGCAGTGAGGGAGACGCAGTCGTTTAACACGTGGGATCCAGCGACACTGTCCTTTGCAGTGAGGGAGACGCAGTCGTTTAACACGTGGGATCCGGCGACACTGTCCTTTGCAGTGAGGGAGACGCAGTCGTTTAACACGTGGGATCAAGCGACACTGTCCTTTGCAGTGAGGGAGACGCAGTCGTTTAACACGTGGGATCAAGCGACACTGTCCTTTGCAGTGAGGGAGACGCAGTCGTTTAACACGTGGGATCAAGCGACATTGTCCTTTGCAGTGAGGGAGACGCAGTCGTTTAACACGTGGGATCCGGCGACACTGTCCTTTGCAGTGAGGGAGACGCAGTTGTTTAACACGTGGGATCCGGCGACACTGTCCTTTGCAGTGAGGGAGACGCAGTCGTTTAACACGTGGGATCAAGCGACACTGTCCTTCGCAGTGAGGGAGACGCAGTCGTTTAACACGTGGGATCAAGCGACACTGTCCTTCGCAGTGAGGGAGACGCAGTCGTTTAACACGTGGGATCAAGCGACATTGTCCTTCGCAGTGAGGGAGACGCAGTCGTTTAACACGTGGGATCAAGCGACACTGTCCTTCGCAGTGAGGGAGACGCAGTCGTTTAACACGTGGGATCAAGCGACACTGTCCTTTGCAGTGAGGGAGACGCAGTCGTTTAACACGTGGGATCCAGCGACACTGTCCTTTGCAGTGAGGGAGACGCAGTCGTTTAACACGTGGGATCCAGCGACATTGTCCTTTGCAGTGAGGGAGACTCAGTCGTTTAAACGGAAACTCCCCCATGTTCACCACATCTTGCTTCCAAAGCACAGGTTCTGTGTTGAGACAGTGTTTACTCTGCAGGGAGGGGTGAATTTCTAAGGCATACAAGCTAGTTTCAGATGCTGGCCAGCTCTGCTGTTCCTGCTCAGTTGATATCTGAAAGCCACTTTCCAAATCTTCGTTCCTCTTACTTTTGGATTTGTTGTGTGTTTTCCATGTACCGTGTTGAGTAGATGGGAAAGGAGTGTGTGCACATATTTGGATCAGCAGCTCTGCACCCAGGAAGAGTGTGGGGTGCAGGCTTTCCTGTGGCCTCGAGAATCTTTGGGACGCCGGGGTCTTTGGGGGATGTGGTATTTGAGCGATGGAGCTTCTCGACACCGTGCTGGGCCTGACTGTGTCTCCCCAGCTGTCCTGGTGGCCAGTGCTTATGCTGGGCGCCCTGGGCGGCTGCTCCAACCTCTTCTGTCTTGGTTGATTTTTGGGTGAAGTAAAAAGGAACTGAAGGGTTTTCTTTCCGTCGACTCCGGCTAATGACACGTCACCTGCTCCCTTGGCTGTGGGGGAGTGGTGCAGGGGGGTTAGAGGAGGAAGGGGCCTGATCTGCTGTGTCTGCCCAGGGTCCTGGATGCTGGAGGGTGGTGGCAGGAGACAGGGAGGGGGGCAGGCTTCAGAGGGGAATGTGGAATTCAGTTTCTGGAGGAGGAACCCCCCAGCGGCCCTCCCCTGGCTCTCCATTCACAGCCACAGCCCCCCAGCCTTCCTGAGCTGGCCCTGCAGGCGCCAGGTTCCTGGTGCGGCTCTGAGTTCAGTTTATCTGGAAAGTGAGTGGCTGACCTCCGACCTGGGCCTCCATCTGGGGAGCGTGGTCACGTGGAGATGCTCTGGGGGGAAGAGTCGCTTCCCAGATGTGATTTAAGGATCATCGTGAGAAACTAACGGTGGCAAAGTGACCATTTTTCTGCGGTTGTAAACTGACAAATGGAAAACAGTCAACCATTGATTATCTATGTAAATCGTCAGGTTTTATTTCTCTGCATGCAATAGGAAGTTTCTTTGTTTTACTTTTCCCCATCAAGGAGCCAATTAAATCAGACTTCCCTGTGCAGGCAGGTCCAGCTGTCAGGGACTTGTTCCGTCAGCCCCTGTCATCTATGAATGGGAAATTAATCAGCGCCATTAGGGAGAAAACTCCCACTCGACACCACGGCCTTTCTTTCCCCTGATTGTGATTTCATACCTTTTATGTAAAGCAGACTTCAGAGCCTCCACCTATTTAAGGAATTTTTCAATTAACATTTCTTTTGCTCGAGAGAGACCAGGGCCTTTGGTTCTCCACAAAGGCTGGCTTTACTTTTCCTATCACAAATGTGCCCAGGTCAGTCCCCGCAGGCTGAGGGCCTATTATTTGGCATTGATGATTTTGTTTAACCACCCCCCCTCCCCCTAATCAATAGCTGATCAGTGCACAGCAGGGAAGTCTCTGCTTTAAATCCGCTGCTCTTCAGACTAAAATCGTCTCCTTTGAATAAAAACCTGCCTCGGTTGAATGTTAAATCCATCTAATTGGCGGCGTTTTTAAAGAAAGCACAGAAAAGAGATATAAGGAAAACCACCACAACAAAAATCTATAAAAAGCTTCTTTTACTGTTGGTGGAATCTTATGCTTATTTCCAAATATACATTTTTTATTGTCACAATTTTTTTGAATGTTTTATTAATTGATCCTTTAATGGAGTCATCATTTACTTCAAATAAAATCCTATTGTATTAAATCTTTTACAGATTTCAAAATCTTCTACTAGAGTCTAATTAAATCTTCTAGCAAAGATTTAATAAGAACAGTGTCCAGTCTGACAAGCAAAATTTAGTGGCGAATTCAACTAATTTTGCTGAAAAATTCATGGCATTACTTTACAGGAATGTCTAACAACTCCATTCTGTGCTGAGGATCTTTGGTCAGTCATGTATGTTTAAAACCACAGTCAGAACCAGCAGAACAAAGAGCAACTCAACAGGGAGACAGATGATCCTGCCACAAAGCCAGGGAGTTGAGGCAGTGGGCAGGGCGGCCACAGCCTCCCAGGCAGCCCTGCGCAGTCCTGGCGGCCAGAGACGGCCGGCAAGGAGGCTGCTGGGAATGCACAGACGCTGCTGCGCTGATTTCAGAGACCCAGAGGATGGGAGAAAAGCAGCATCTGATGTTAAAGTGGAGGCATTCCTTCCATCCTTGACTCGGTCAACTTGATTACGGAACCCTAACACAGGGTGAGCCTTCTGCCCTGGGAAGCTTGGTAAGTCCTAGTGGTCCTTTGATACGCGATTATTCTCTGCACTTGAAGTAAGTGTGCTAGACTTTTTTTGTTCCCTGAAAGGGGCTTATTTCTAAAGTAATTTTGGAGTCCACTTAATATGCAGGGTAAACAAATCTGCAATTCTTTCTTATTTCACTTTCTGTTTCTATAGTGCACGTTACTGCAATATTTGCTTTCGTAAAACTGCGATTTCAGCATGATACATTAAAAAGGAGGGCAAAGGATGCTCTTTTTGACAAAAGGAAATCCACAGAAAATCAAGAGTCATTAATAAAATAAAGGCCTTTGTGTCTTCCAGTCACAGTGTCTGCTGTGTGTTCTGTGTGGGGAGGGCTTGGGAGTCCTTCCCTGGTGTGGCATCAACCACAGGTAACATTGGCACCTTGCATTTGCCAGGCAGTGCACTGAACACCCTATGAGCTGAATCTTCACATCAGCCTGTGAGACAGGTCCTGCTGCAGAGGAGCTCGGGCTTAGAGAGAGAACACGCGAGGCCGAGTCCACAGCGGCACTTGGCAGGGTTTGGACTCAAGTCCAGACTGTCTCTCTCTGGCCTGGGCTGGTGACCCGCACTGTCTTCTCTCCTCACTCTGAGGAGAGCCTCACTCTGTGGACACCGCAGACACCTGCTCACCCTTCCGATTGGCTCTCTGTGAACATTGTAGATACTACCTATCCTTCTGATTGGCTCTCTGGATGCTGCGGTCACCTGCCCACCCTTCCAATTGGCCTTCTGTGGATGTTGTGGATGCCTGCTCACCCTTCTGATTGGCTCTCTGTGGACACTGTGGACACCTGCCCACCCTTCCGATTGGCTTTCTGTGGACTTTGTGAACACCTGCTCACTCTTTCAGTTGGCTCTCTGTGGAGATTGCAGACACCTGTCCACTCTTCCGACTGGTTCTCTGTGGACAGTGCGGACACCTGCCCACCCTTCCAATTGGCTGTCGGAAGCTCTGACTGTTCCCTCACATGAAATGATGTCATCATGGAATTGGAAAACAGCCCTGAACCCACAGATGGTGTTTTGAAAGAAACCAGGGATTGATTTTCATGTTGTATCTAAAATGCAGGCCTGGTGCAGTGGCTCACACTTGAAATCCCAGCACTTTGGGAGGCCGAGGCGGGCGGATCACTTGAGCTCAGGAGTTCAGGACCAGCCTGGACAACATGGTGAAGCCCTGTCTCTACTAAAAATGCAAAAAAATTAGCTGGACGTGGTGGGGGTGCCTGTAATCCCAGCTACTCGGGAGGCTGAGGTAAGACAATCGCTTGAGCCTGGGAGGCGGAGGTTGCACTCCAGCCTGGGTGACAGAGCGAGACTCTGTCTTAAAAACGTAAAAAAAAAGATAAAAATAAATAAAATGCAAGCCTCTCCTGGCTGATGTGCAGCTGCAGAAGCTGCGTGGCTGCTCCTGGTCGAGGTGCTCACCAGGTGAGAAGAGCCTTCCCAGCGCAGGAAGCAGAGAGGAGAAGGCTCGGACCCCAGGATGGAAAGGGCCAGAGGTGACTCTAAGTCCTCATATTTCCATTGAAGAAACTCCAAAAGGTGGCTGGATGCAAGAGCTGACTCACAGATCTGAAATGTCAGATGTATAAGTTTGGGTCAAAACTCTGAAGATGTGAGTCAGCTGTTTGGATGATAACACGGTTATTTTATAGGACAGACATTATGCCTAAACATTAGTGAAAACAGCGGGGCCTGCATGGGGCCTTCCAGCGTGGGGAGCCGCTGGTCCCACCAGCCCCTGCCCTCATCCCCCCCACCCAGGGTGGGGGTCTCTCGGGACACCGTGGGAGCTGAGACCTTGTCCTCGGACCCTCGGGCCACAGTGCAGCTCTCTGGGTGGAGGAGGCGGCAACTGACCAGGCCTTCGTTTCTCAGATTTTTTTCTGTGACAGGGACTTAATAACACCTCTTGGTGTGGCTTTCACACAAGGGTCGCAGAGCTCTCCCATTAATTAATTAGCTTGTTACCCCTTCTGAATTATTTCTGGCAGGCAGGCAGCACACAGCCTCTCACGCGCCCTGACACCGACCCCAGACTTGCTCTGGCCGTGGCGCTGTCAGTGGCGCAGGCTCTCCCCGGGCTTGGCTCACCCTTCTGTTCAGATGGGACAACCAGGCAGTCCTCCATGGGGCTGCTGTGGACTTGGTCAAGTGGGAACGTAGTTTCAGCGTTAGGAACAGCCTAAAAAGTGACCAGGTCCAACTCCCTAAGTCCGTAGACAAGGATGCTGTTTTCCAGGAACTCCCTAAGTCTGTAGACAGGGATGCTGTTTTCCAGGGCAGTCCAGCAAATTGCTGAGCTTTGTCTGGCCATTTGGTCAGGGCTGAGCTAACGCCAGTGGTGTCAGCAGCCTTCCCTGGGCCAAATCTCAGCACTCCCGACCCCACGGCATGTTCAGGCATGTCAGCGTTTGGAGCTTAAGAGCCAGAGGAATGTGATTCAAAGGAGAGAGAAATCACCAGAAAGTGACTCTTGCTGTCACTGTTCAGGAGCAAACCCTTTCTTCAGACGCACAGAACTGCATCTCACAGAGTCAAATCCTGCAAGTTACAGAGCTGGCCTGGGAGGCCACACGAGGGAGGAACAGCTGTGGCTCTTCTGGTCCATCACCCTTACCTGGAAAGGCGACCTGGGGCCCCGCACTATCTGGGGTGGGGAGGAAAAAGGGGCACGTGGAGAGAGGAGCGACGGCAAAGCCCGGCTTCGTGTAGGGCTCTGGGAGCACTGGCTTTGCAGGGCTCACACATCGTACCCAGGAGGAGAGAAGCCCAGGAGAAGCAGCCACCACAGGGGATCGAGCGGTGCTGATTGTTGTTATTTTTTAATTCCCAAGGGTCTGTCACTCACCAGAGGTGCCAACCAGCAGCCTGTTGGCCAAGTGGGAATGGACTTCTGTGCTTGTGTCCTGAACACAGTGTAGGAGACACAAAACAGCAGTTTAGCGGCTGGACGTTAGGCCTCAATAACGAGGAGAGAACTAAGATGCAATGAATAAAGATGAGTGGTGAGAGGCCCCCAGCGGCCCAGCCTCCCATCACCTGTGTCCTCTGCATCGAGCTGTGGGAGGGACTTGGCAGCAGCATTTGTGTCCTTCTGCTCTCTCTATGGCTTCCCCTTAGAAGCAAGCTCTGTCTTCAAACACGCAGGGGGCATTTCACATTGGATCCTGGGAGCCACGGCCAGGCCAGGCCTCCCCCGTGCCCGCTTCTGTGGGTGGTGTCTCTGGGTGAGTGAGTGGGATGAAGGTCTGCAGGCTCATTCTGGGTTCCAACGGGACTAAGTGATCCCAGGGAAATAGAACCTGGCGTGGCTGGAGGAACTGCCACTTTGATAAAGAAGAGACACGTCTATAATCTCATGGGACCCACATGCAACACCAGCTGCTCCCCCAGAGTCCTGCAAACACTCCAGTATTCCAGACTCCACCCTCCTTCCCTAGCCGGGCAGTGTGCTTGGACAACTGGGCAACCATGTGTCTCCCTCAAAATACTTGTCGTGTAACTCAGAGTTCATGGCCTTCATCACGAAAATGCAATGCACTTCACTCCAACCTGAATACAGTTTATTCTAGACACACAAAATGACGTGATTTCTCAGCCAGATTTGCAGGCTGACAGGGCTGCAAGGCCCCCACGCAGGTCCTGGGCTCCTCGTAGGCTGGCACACACTCCCACTGAGGGTGCCAAGTGTGCCATCTACAAATAGCTCTGAAGAAGCCGGGATTTAGTCAGTTGCCTTTTCACCCATGTGTTTCGTCTGGGTGCAAAGCCACCCGCCTGGGTCCCTCCAGCCCCTCAAGACCCACTCAGCCCACTTGGCACGTGCAGGGCCCTGTCTGGCATCAAGATATGAATCTCGGCATCGGAGCTGCCTCGTTTTCCAGGATCGGGCCAAAGCACACTCGGCGCCCACACTCGCACGCTGGCTGGCACAAAGCTGGGGGGTGCAGCGGAGCCTCGAGGGGTTGTTCTTGCGGCCATCAGGGACCACCAGCTGTAGAGCTTGAGCTACCACCTCCAGTGCCCTGGAATGCTGGCTTCCAATCAGGTGTCACTTGCCCTGCTGTCATTTGATTCCCTGCGGCTGCAAGACTTACTCGTTGTGGTGTGACTGACTTTCCACAGCCGTCTGATTGAGTCCCCGAGGCCGTGTGACTGACTCCCTATGGCTGTGTGACTGACTCTCCACGGCCGTGTGGCTCTCCGTGGCGGTGTGACTCCCTATGGCTGTGTGACTGATGCTCTGCAGCTGTGTGACTGATGCTCCGTGGCTGTGTGACTCTCCCCGGCCTTGTAACTCACTCCTCGTGGCACTGTGAGTGGCCGTGGCTCCTTTTGCTCCTGGGTGTCCCTGAGTCCCTGGGCTGATGGGGCAAAACTGCCCTGCTGGGCGGGACACCTCTCTTTCCACTATGTGGCCCCAGGGAGGGTTTTACACATCCTCCTCCTGGCTGCAGTGACCCACACCAGGGCAGGCGGAGCACAGCCAGGTTCCTGAGACCAGAGCTGCCGGCCCTCAGGGTCTGGAAGCTTCCAGAACAAACACAGCAGCAGCAACTAGGCCCATATTTTTAAGGTCTCTGTCCTATCAGGGCATTTGGCTCCTGAACAGAATTTGCTGGGAAGTGAGCAAGATAACCGGAACCCTCTTCCGTGTCCCTAGGGAAAACTCCTTCACATTCTCTCAGCGTGTTTATTTCTCCGAAGCAGAAGACCTATGTGGCGTTGCAATTCAGGCTGAGAAGCATCGAGTGCGGCGAGTGTGGGGTGGCGGTGACAATACGCCGAGCCCTGGTGCCCCGATGTCTCAGTGACAGATCCCACACTCAGGAGGCCACGGGACACGGCTGCTGGCTTCACTGCCTTTCCTGGTTCCCACTCGGCTAGAAGCAGAAATCTCCAAGAGCTATAAGGTTCCATTCTTGTGGTATTTTCAGCCTCTTCCCTGGCTATGGTAAAATTTCCAGGTTTGGGCCAAGGTCTGGGAGCCCAAAGCCATGAGTGCTGGGGAGGGCTGGACAGCTGCGTGGGATTCCACGTCCTGCCTGTCACTTCTCTGTTATCCAGCAGGGCAGGGGAGGCCTGGTTCAGAGGGAGTTAGAATAAATGTTAGGTAAGATGAACGATTTCCAAAGGATTGCGACTCACCTGACAATCCACTCACTTGCCTCCTTTCTGGGTGAGTGATCAGATACCGGCACTGCCGCGTGGCCTCCTCCATGGTTTCCCTGCCGGCCGTCTGCAGCCCGGGTGTGCCAAGGGCAAGGATAGCTGAGGGAGCAGAACATTCACCCTCGGATGGCCCTGAGCACTTCCAGGCACTTTGTGCGAGGTCTGCAGACCATGCTGGCTGGAGCGGACCCCTCGCTGTGTGGAGAAGCCGCCTCACCTCCCCGAGCCCCTGGACCAGAGAGTGTTACCAACCCCTATTCCTTCCCTGAAAAAGTGTGGCGGTGAATGTTTGTCATGGACTCTGCAACGCTCCTGGGTGCATGCATTTTCTGAATGTTTTGTTACATGTTTTTCAGGACAGTTGAGGGCTGAGGGCACATTAGCACTGACTTGCTGTGCACGGGGGTGGATGACCAGGCCTCCTGCTCTGGGGGCTCATTGGAGGGAGCTGAGGGTCTGGGGGACACCTTCAGCGTCCGCATCAGTGGCTTCCTCTGTGAGTGGCTGAGAGTGAGGTGGGAGGCTCAGCTGCAGGAGGTGTGTTATCCACCGGGACCTGATCAGCTTGAGCTCTTGGGGTTTACCCACTTACGAGAAGCAAATTTTCCCTCAACAGCTTCATTCTTACTAGCTCTGAAGTGTGTGGCAGCTTTTATCATGGAAGTCAGCGTGCTAGAAATTAACAAGAAAACGTGCCAAGAAGTGTGGTTGGTGACGAGGGGGTGAGAGCCTGGCGCGTGGGTGAGGAGAGGGTGAGAGCCTGGTGCACAGCCAGTGCGGGAGCCCCCTGCATCTGTCCCCTTGCTCCAATGACAGCTCCCGTGGGGAACAAAGCTCGAAGCCTCTCTCCTCGGCAACACAGGGCAGAATTTGTCCCTTGTTTGGTTTTTGTGGCCACTGCCCTGGGCCTCCCTACCCTCTGCTTCGCACGAGGTCCTGGTCTTCCGCCCTTAGCTGGCCTCTGCTCCTCCTCCTGCAACTCCTGCTCCCTGGGACTCTGAGGTCCATGTCGCCCTTGGCTCCTCACTCTCCTGCTGTCCTTGACACCTGGTGTCTTAGTCTTCACACACACGCAAGAACACACATGCACAGGTGTACATCTTCCCACAGTGCAAGTCGTTCTCTCTGTCCAAGATGGAGAAGACATGAGAATGAACTTTAGCCAGGCTCTCCCCAGGATCTCTGTCGTGGGCTCCAAAGCCCCTGGAATGAGACGGAGAAAGAGCCGCTGGCGCTGGCAGCAGCTCGGCCCTAATGACCAGATGGCCACACTCACCGCCACGCACGCCAGGCATTGCTGTGGCCTGCCCTGGAAACTGCCTGGGCTGGCGTCTCCTTGCCCCTCCAAGACAGCGTGCCAGCCAGCACCCCCTGGGGAACAAAGCAAAGGGGAAACCCAGGGCCCTGGGCCGGGCACAGGCAGGCTGCCTCCTGCGTGCTCAGGGCTGAGTCACCGGCACTAGCCCAGCCTGGGGGCCGCTGACCACTGCTCTCTGCAAGTTTTGATGTGATGTTCAACTCAATCCCAGTAAGTGCTGAGAACCAGGCAGCTGTTGGTGCCTCAGTCTCACAGGGGGCAGGGACCAAAGCCCCTGCAGCTCCTGAGGGAGAAGAGCTGAGGCCACGCAGCAAGGATCAGGGCGAAGCCACCAGGCAGGATGCACCCCAGCTTGGTAATGTGTGGCCGTTCTGATGCCTTCGCTGCTGGTTACAGGAACTCGAGATGGAAAACCTGCTGGAGTGTCCCAGCAGTCCCCCGGCAAATGCAGACTACGTCACGTGTAAATAAAAGCCATGCATTCTGAGGACGAGGGAGGGGCCCCAGAGCTCCTTAGAATCCCATTCTGGTTCTGACTCCTTTGATGGCTCTTCTCAGGCCTTCATCAGGATTGAGATCACATCCCTCAGCTCTTCCCACCATTTTTCTTTAGCCTTCACTAAAAATTGCACTTTAATTTTTTTTTTTTTTTGAGGTGGAGTCTTGCTCTGTTGCCCAGGCTGGACTACAGTGGCTCGATCTCAGCTCACTTGGTCTCCCGGGTACAGGCGATTCTCCTGCCTCAGCCTCCCAAGTAGCTGGAACTACAGGTGCGCACCACCACACCTGGCTAATTTTGTATTTTTAGTACAGACGGGGTTTTGCCATGTGGGCCAGGCTGATCTCAAACTCCCGACCTCAGGTGATCTGCCCACCTTGGCCTCTCAAAGTGCTGGGAATACAGGCATGAGCCACCGTGCCCAACCTTAAATTTCTAAAGAAAGCTTTGTGTTGTCAAAATCTGTTTGCTATAAGACAAATGGAAGGGGGCGTGATTTTAGGAGGTCGGCACAGGACCCCACCAACCACCCTGGTCTGCCTGGCACAGAGGCCTCGCTCCAGGACACAGGACTTCCGGGGCTACACCAAGGGGAAGTCCTGGGCATATCCAGAGCAGGGGGCCCCAGGTCAGGCCCACACACAGGCAGGAGAGAGCAGTGGGCACAGGCCCTGCAGATTCCGCAGTCGAGGACACCAGTCCCTACACTGCTGACCACGTGGGGAAAGTACTCCTTATAAGGCAAAAGAAAAAAAGCCTTGGGTGTTGTTGAAAAACACAAACCACCGTTCACAGTGTGAGGTGGAAACCAGCGGAACATGGAGCACCTGTCTTCCTGGTGGGCGTCTTGGGGGATAAAGTGTCTTGGTGCCCCTCGTGGGACTCAGTGAACCTTCTCTTAGGAATTACCAAACACGGCTGAAATCTACTTGTATTTTTATCCGAACTGACTAACAGCGGCCAAATATGTTTAATGTAGTGACGAGAGCAGTGAGAACTGCAGGTGGCATCTTGGAAGGGCTCCTCTTCCAGCCTCCTTTGCTTGGCATGTCAACAAAGAACACGCGGTCGCCTGCATCTGCAAACAGCACATTCTTGCCAGGTCATGATAATATTGCAAAAGTTGTTGGGGTGCCAAGACGGGGAGGGCATGACGGTTAGATTCCATCAGGCAAGTGTGAGCTCGCTGGAGATTTAGAAAGAAGGCTTATGAAAGATATTCAAATCTGATTGTTCAGATCACGATTCCTCCTGCAGTACCGGGCATTCACTGATGTGAGCGGGCCTCTCACTTGACAATACTCGGAAGGCAGGGGTGAAGGCTACAAGCGGACGAGGCCAGCATCTAGCATCCAGCGTCCAGTGAACTTACTGGGGCAGGGCTGTGGGGATGGTGAGACTGGAGGTGGAGCTGCACAGACAGCAGGGCTGACCTCAGAGCACGTGATGCGTCGTGCTTTTCCCGTGTGAGGTGACAGCGCTGGCCCTGAGGACGGTCGCTTTCAGCTCTAAGCATTAAGAATCCGGCATTTCTAATGCTAACAGCACTAACCGGTTCACATGGATATTATGCTGCGCTGTGGAGGTGGTGGCCATGAGCTGGGTTTTCCGGCAAACAATGGCTGGTTGGGAGAAACATGATCTAGGTGTCCCTAAGGGAGCCGTTCTCTATCTGGAAGAACGTGATAAAAGACTAAATTTAAGAAGTAAACTATGTTTACGAAGTCCATTCAGTTCAGGAGTCCAAAAAACTGCATGTAAGACCTGTTTGACCTCAGCAATGTCCTTAGCGGGTTGGGTGAAGGCAGAGGAAGCCCGCTAGGCTGTGGTTGTGCAACACAGTGGCACATGTGTGTCAGCCCTGCCCGTCCCACAGCACAGTGGGGCCAGGCACCTCTTCTCCTCCTCCAGGCTCTGGTACCTTGGCAAGAGTGCTGGGCTGGGCTGGGCAGCTCCAAACCAGGTAAATGCTGGTGTGTGCCTGGAAGTGGGAGTGACTCGTGCTTCCCGGAATGGCTCGAGGTAAAGTCTTCTTTTCGGCTGCTGGTTTCTTGTGAACGTATTGATCTTGGAGGCTGTCCCTTTGCGTGGCTGATTCCGAACGTGTTGATTTTGGAGGCTGTCCCTTTGTGTGGCTGATGGCTTCCTGTCTTCTTGTGCCCTTCCCAGCAGGTAGCATTCCTGTGGGGTGCAGTGCTCCCCAAGCCCACTTGGCAGTGCAGAGTCAGCTCTGGTGCACCTGGAGAGGAGAGTGCCAGGCACAGGGAGAACCAACCCCAGGGATGGCCGTGTCCTGCCTGAGCACCTGGGAGCTGGCCTGCCTAGTATGCGATGCATTCATTTTCCCTTATTTGATGTTCAGAATAGGGTGTCACCTGGCCTCCTGGGTTTACAATTAATAGTCTGTAGCCCAGGGACTTCCCTCTCCTGAGTCACAGCCTGCCATGCGTCTGCCCGGTGAGCAGATGGGACTTGTGCTGAGCCCTGCGGGCTCACGGGCTCAGGCTGTGACAGGCAGATGAGAAAGTGAATTCCAGAGTTATGCACATGCTGCCTCGCACACTGCAGGAATTCGGGGCTGCAGGCAGGGACCAGGAATGCAGGGCAGAGGGAAGCGGGGACAGTGTGGAAGGAGAGGCAGGCATGGACGTGTGTCGGCCCTGTCCCCAGCGGGGCCCAGGAGGCAGGGGTGGTCAGTGGGGCCACAGAGTCTCCAGGGACCTGAGCTGACAGGTAGCGACCTGCCTGCCTGTGTGCGGCAGCAGTGGGGCTGTCTTCTTTAGAGTATGGGCCAGGGGCCAGCCCAGACATTACTGTCAGCACAGACGCTCTTTTAAGGGGAAGGGGCAACTCTAGAGGAGAGGCCCAGACCACAGGCTGCGGCTGATAAGGAAGGCTGCTGGCCTCCCTGCTGGCTGCCTGGTGCTGTCGTTGCCGGCCCAGGAAGTGTCCTGGAAGCGACACACAGGCCTGGCCCCTAGAGCTGCTGCTGCAGGGCCTGCCCTCCATAAGAAAGATTAAAAATGACATTTTACAACCGCATCGGAAAAACATGAATACATTTGTATACAATCAAACATTTTCTTCTACCTCCCAGTTTGTTTTCTTCCTTCTTATTTTAAAAGGGATGAAAACATTTCTGTGGGGCCCTGACAGTCCTGTGGACTCAGGCCCTGCCCTGGGCACCTGGTGGAGAGGCCGTTTCATCCCATCCCATCCTGGGCATGTTGGGAGCAGTGACAGAGCTCTGCACCTGCTCTACACCTTGTCTGTGATCCTGCAGAGACTGTTGGCTTCCTGCGTGGCTCAGGGACTCTGTCTGTGGAAGGGGGCTCACCCTGAGCTCCCTCTGGGCCTTGCCTTGTGGGGCTGACATTGGAATTACTCACGCTCACGGCTGCGGAGTCCTGTGCCGCGTGGAGGGCTGAGAGCAGCTGAGCCCTCACCTGGGCAGCCGGGTGTGCAGGGTCTCGTGGTGGGAACAGTGTGCGGATCTGGGGGCCCCCGGCTGGAGGTGCTCCTCAGAGTCACTGTCAGGTGAGATGCTGGGAAGGAGGCAGATGAGGCCAAGAACTCGAGACGGATGGAGGTCAGGGCTCTGGGGCATCCTCCTGCCTCCCTCGGCTGGTCCACTTCCTGCTGTCCTGGGCCGCCTTTCTACCTTAGTTCTCGCCTTCTCTTTGAGGTTCCTCTCCCCTCTCCTCTTTCTCCTTCCATTTGTCTTTAAAACAAATTATTTCTTCTTTGTTATAATAATCGCACCATCTTACCAGGCCTGAAATGAGAGTTGAGGCAATTCTCGAAGCAAGTACCCTCAAGGTGGGTCTCATCTCTGTTTCGGGAAAATAATCACAAGTTTTTTACTTTTAACCCTAGGTGGCTTTCTGGCTGTTGGCCCTACCCACAGGAAGCCCCACCCAATTGCTGGGTGAACTTGAGGTTGCCAAAGCTGGACCCAGACTGGATCAGAAGGGTTGGCCAGCAGAGGCCTGGCAGGACCCTGGCCCAAGGGAGAGCAGGCCAGAGGGAGGTGGATGCTGCTCCTGCAGCTCCATGGGCATGGGGACCAGGGGTCGTGGTGGCGATGGTGGGAGGAACCCTGCTTGGCACTGCCTGCGGGTGGAAGGAAGGCTGGGGACAGGTGGCCGTGCTTCTTCCGCACCAAGGGCTGGTAAATATTTGTAGGCAAACAGCCCTGGCACTACGCGCAAGCCTGAGCGAGGCTTCATTAAACACAGTTTCTGCTTCAGATCGTTAATTTGTTTTAATTAGGTGTCCACCGGTCCAAAGGGATTGCACAACAGGCTTTAAGTGGGTGGAATGCAGGATGTGGCTGCAGCCGCAGATGGGCTCGGCGGGGAAGGGGCGCGGCAGACAGAGGGGAGGTGCGGGCGCGGAGGGCGGGCTTCTCAGGGAGGAGACCCTGCCCAGGTCTGCGTCCTCTGCTGCTGACAATGGCACCGACCGCCTTGTGGGGGATGCTTGGCAGGGTTCTCACCAACTGGGCTTCCTGGCCGTCAGCTGTGCGTTTTCGGCCCCCAGCCTGTCATTAATCGTGAACAATATTCTCAGTCACGATCTTTATTGCTTAATGAGCCTCGGTATGCTGTGGGCCCCATCAATTCTGAGTTCCATTATATGACTTCTGTTGTTGTTCACTATGGAAAAGGAGGGTGGGGTCAGGAAAAGAGATTAAACTCGTTTTCCTTCCCCACAAAATGGCAACAGGAAGGTGGGCTCAGCATAGCATGGTTCTAATCTGCAGAGACGTGACCCAGGGAGGCCGAAGAGGGCTCAGGAGCACATTGGTTCAGAGGCGGCCCAGGGAGTTTGTGTCATTTTGGACTTTAAATTACTTGTGTGCATACAAATTCCAGGTAGTACTGTTTTTAATATCCTACATTTTCCTCTATTTTTTCTTGTGGTAAAATACACATAACATACAATTTACCATCTTAACCATTTTTTAACTGAACTTTCATAAACCACATACTCTTTTAGATCTCCATGTCGCTTCTCTTCCAAAAGGCTCAAAAACACAAAACCTGTCTCTTTACATGAGATAATGGGAGCTGTGCATTCGAACTGCGAGGTCTGCTTCCACCACGGAGCCACCCTGCTGATGGCCCCATCCCTGGATGCACAGTAAACGCCTCTGGGGAGCTTTTAAAACTCGCTGACAGCCAGGACAAAATGCACAGGGTCCTTGGGAACAGGATCCCAGTGTGGGATTTCAACAGCGTCCCCAGGTGGTTCTGACTGAGTGAGAACTGTCAAACTCGAGCAGCAGCTCTTAGATTTCAGGTGCATCAGAGTCAGGGTGGAGACCCCAGGAGAACACGGGTTTCCAGAGCCAGCCTCAGCGTTTCCGACTCGTGGGTAAGGGCTGAGTCTGAGAATCTGGAACGCTGGGAGCTGCAGATGCTGCTGAGGCCGTGGTTCTGGAGACCCGGTTTGAGAGCCACGGGGTTGGATGGCGTCTCGGGCCTTCCACACAAACATGTGCACGTCACACGCTCAGGTGCTGCGCTTCTGGGGAAGAGCATTTTCCAGTTCGTTTTGCGGAGATCGATGCCTGGTGTGCCAGACAGCCACTCGCCTGCCGCGGGTTCCCGAGCGTGCTAACACAGTCCACTGGACTTTCTTTTTGTTCCCAGGCTAAAAGTCCAAATGCAACAACTTTCTCACAAAATTATACTTCTCTGAAAACCTAAGGAAAATGTGGACGAATGGGCAGCGAGGTTATTGTGCACGGATTAGGCAGCTGTGGCTCACGCTACTGGTTTCTGGGGCACACCACTGTGGCTTCTTAACCATCCCCGTCTGAGAACGCACTTCCCAGTGCTCACTGGGGTGGAACTTCCCCTTCATGTTTGAATAAAACGTTCTAACTGAAACTTCTCTTTCCTCTGGGATCCTCTCCGTCTACGGTCCCATTTCTATCCTCACTTTCTTAGTCGGAGTTCTGGAAAGGTGACCAGACGGCAGCAGCCCCTTGCTGGAAAGGCGCTTTCCTGCGCGGCTCCAGCCCCTCCGACAACCCCACCCCCCACCGCCACTTCTGGCCATCAAAGCCTTGGGCTTCTGCATCTAAGATTGGCAATTACTTTTCTAAAGCCAAATCTATAGTTGGATCTTTAAAACCACTTCACTCGGCCGGGCATGGCGGCCCACGCCTGTAATCCCAGCACTTTGGGAAGCCGAGGCAGGCGGATCACGAGATTAGGAGTTTGAGACCAGCCTGGCCAACATGGCGAAACCCCGTCTCTACTAAAGATACAAAAAATTAGCTGGACGTGGTGGCACCCGCCTGTAATCCCACCTACTCGGAAGGCGGAGGCAGGAGAAACGCTTGAACCCAGGAGGCGGAGGTTGCAGTGAGCCGAGATCGCACCATTGCACACCAGCCTGGGCAACAGGGCGAGACTCCATCTCAAAACAAAACAAAAAACACTGTCTGCTGATGACTCCAATTATAAAACAAAAACAGGTGAATATGGAGTCTTCGGTGCTCCCCGCCTTCCGGATCTCTCAGTACTGACTCCCCGTCTGGAGTCCAGTGCTCCCCGCCTTCCGGATCTCTCAGTACTGACTCCCCGTGTGGAGTCTTCAGTGCTCCCCGCCTTCCGGGTCTCTCAGTACTGACTCCCGTGTGGAGTCTTCAGTGCTCCCCGCCTTCCGGATCTCTCAGTACTGACTCCCGTGTGGAGTCCAGTGCTCCCCGCCTTCCGGATCTCTCAGTACTGACTCCCGTGTGGAGTCTTCAGTGCTCCCCGCCTTCCGGGTCTCTCAGTACTGACTCCCGGTGTGGAGTCTTCAGTGCTCCCCGCCTTCCGGGTCTCTCAGTACTGACTCCCCGTATGGAGTCTTCAGTGCTCCCCGCCTTCCGGATCTCTCAGTACTGACTCCCGTGTGGAGTCTTCAGTGCTCCCCGCCTTCCGGATCTCTCAGTACTGACTCCCGTGTGGAGTCTTCAGTGCTCCCCGCCTTCCGGGTCTCTCAGTACTGACTCCCGGTGTGGAGTCTTCAGTGCTCCCGGCCTTCCGGATCTCTCAGTACTGACTCCCGGTGTGGAGTCTTCAGTGCTCCCCGCCTTCCGGGTCTCTCAGTACTGACTCCCGGTGTGGAGTCTTCAGTGCTCCCCGCCTTCCGGATCTCTCAGTACTGACTCCCGGTGTGGAGTCTTCAGTGCTCCCTGCCTTCCGGATCTCTCAGTACTGACTCCCGTGTGGAGTCTTCAGTGCTCCCCGCCTTCCGGGTCTCTCAGTACTGACTCCCGGTGTGGAGTCTTCAGTGCTCCCCGCCTTCCGGGTCTCTCAGTACTGACTCCCGGTGTGGAGTCTTCAGTGCTCCCCGCCTTCCGGGTCTCTCAGTACTGACTCCCGGTGTGGAGTCTTCAGTGCTCCCCGCCTTCCGGGTCTCTCAGTACTGACTCCCGGTGTGGAGTCTTCAGTGCTCCCTGCCTTCCGGATCTCTCAGTACTGACTCCCGTGTGGAGTCTTCAGTGCTCCCCGCCTTCCGGGTCTCTCAGTACTGACTCCCGGTGTGGAGTCTTCAGTGCTCCCCGCCTTCCGGGTCTCTCAGTACTGACTCCCCGTATGGAGTCTTCAGTGCTCCCCGCCTTCCGGATCTCTCAGTACTGACTCCCGTGTGGAGTCTTCAGTGCTCCCCGCCTTCCGGATCTCTCAGTACTGACTCCCGTGTGGAGTCTTCAGTGCTCCCCGCCTTCCGGGTCTCTCAGTACTGACTCCCGGTGTGGAGTCTTCAGTGCTCCCCGCCTTCCGGGTCTCTCAGTACTGACTCCCGTGTGGAGTCTTCAGTGCTCCCCGCCTTCCGGGTCTCTCAGTACTGACTCCCGGTGTGGAGTCTTCAGTGCTCCCCGCCTTCCGGATCTCTCAGTACTGACTCCCGTGTGGAGTCTTCAGTGCTCCCCGCCTTCCGGATCTCTCAGTACTGACTCCCGGTGTGGAGTCTTCAGTGCTCCCCGCCTTCCGGATCTCTCAGTACTGACTCCCGTGTGGAGTCTTTAGTGCTCCCCGCCTTCCGGATCTCTCAGTACTGACTCCCGTGTGGAGTCTTTAGTGCTCCCCGCCTTCCGGGTCTCTCAGTACTGACTCCCGTGTGGAGTCTTCAGTGCTCCCCGCCTTCCGGGTCTCTCAGTACTGACTCCCGTGTGGAGTCTTCAGTGCTCCCCGCCTTCCGGGTCTCTCAGTACTGACTCCCGTGTGGAGTCTTCAGTGCTCCCCGCCTTCCGGATCTCTCAGTACTGACTCCCGGTGTGGAGTCTTCAGTGCTCCCCGCCTTCCGGATCTCTCAGTACTGACTCCCGTGTGGAGTCTTCAGTGCTCCCCGCCTTCCGGGTCTCTCAGTACTGACTCCCGGTGTGGAGTCCAGTGCTCCCCGCCTTCCGGGTCTCTCAGTACTGACTCCCGGTGTGGAGTCTTCAGTGCTCCCCGCCTTCCGGGTCTCTCAGTACTGACTCCCCGTATGGAGTCTTCAGTGCTCCCCGCCTTCCGGGTCTCTCGGTACTGACTCCCGTGTGGAGTCTTCAGTGCTCCCCGCCTTCCGGGTCTCTCGGTACTGACTCCCGTGTGGAGTCTTCAGTGCTCCCCGCCTTCCGGGTCTCTCGGTACTGACTCCCCGTCTGGAGTCTTCAGTGCTCCCCTCCTTCCGGATCTCTCAGTACTGACTCCCGTGTGGAGTCTTCAGTGCTCCCCGCCTTCCGGGTCTCTCGGTACTGACTCCCGTGTGGAGCCTTCAGTGCTCCCCGCCTTCCGGGTCTCTCAGTACTGACTCCCGGTGTGGAGTCCAGTGCTCCCCGCCTTCCGGGTCTCTCAGTACTGACTCCCGGTGTGGAGTCTTCAATGCTCCCCGCCTTCCGGGTCTCTCGGTACTGACTCCCCGTCTGGAGTCTTCAGTGCTTCCCGCCTTCCGGATCTCTCAGTACTGACTCACCGTCTGGAGTCCAGTGCTCCCCGCCTTCCGGGTCTCTCGGTACTGACTCCCGGTGTGGAGTCTTCAGTGCTCCCCGCCTTCCGGGTCTCTCAGTACTGACTCCCCGTCTGGAGTCCAGTGCTCCCCGCCTTCCGGGTCTCTCGGTACTGACTCCCGGTGTGGAGTCTTCAGTGCTCCCCGCCTTCCGGGTCTCTCAGTACTGACTCCCGGTGTGGAGTCTTCGGTGCTCCCCGCCTTCTGGGTCTCTCAGTACTGACTCCCCGTCTGGAGTCCAGTGCTCCCAGCCTTCCGGGTCTCTCAGTACTGACTCCCCGTCTGGAGTCCAGTGCTCCCAGCCTTCCGGGTCTCTCAGTACTGACTCCCCGTCTGGAGTCCAGTGCTCCCCGCCTTCCGGGTCTCTCAGTACTGACTCCCCGTCTGGAGTCTAGTGCTCCCCGCCTTCCGGATCTCTCAGTACTGACTCCCGTGTGGAGTCCAGTGCTCCCCGCCTTCCGGATCTCTCAGTACTGACTCCCGCTGTGGAGTCCAGTGCTCCCCGCCTTCCGGGTCTCTCGGTACTGACTCCCGGTGTGGAGTCTTCAGTGCTCCCCGCCTTCCGGGTCTCTCAGTACTGACTCCCGGTGTGGAGTCTTCGGTGCTCCCCGCCTTCTGGGTCTCTCAGTAGTGACTCCCGGTGTGGAGTCTTCGGTGCTCCCCGCCTTCCGGGTCTCTCAGTACTGACTCCCCGTCTGGAGTCCAGTGCTCCCCGCCTTCCGGGTCTCTCCGTATTGACTCCCCGTATGGAGTCTTCAGTGCTCCCCACCTTCCGGGTCTCTCGGTACTGACTCCCCGTCTGGAGTCCAGTGCTCCCCGCCTTCCGGGTCTCTCAGTACTGACTCCCGCTGTGGAGTCCAGTGCTCCCTGCCTTCCGGGTCTCTCGGTACTGACTCCCGGTGTGGAGTCTTCAGTGCTCCCCGCCTTCCGGGTCTCTCAGTACTGACTCCCGGTGTGGAGTCTTCAGTGCTCCCCGCCTTCCGGGTCTCTCAGTACTGACTCCCCGTATGGAGTCTTCAGTGCTCCCCGCCTTCCGGGTCTCTCGGTACTGACTTCCGTGTGGAGTCTTCAGTGCTCCCCGCCTTCCGGGTCTCTCGGTACTGACTCCCGTGTGGAGTCTTCAGTGCTCCCCGCCTTCCGGGTCTCTCGGTACTGACTCCCCGTCTGGAGTCTTCAGTGCTCCCCTCCTTCCGGATCTCTCAGTACTGACTCCCGTGTGGAGTCTTCAGTGCTCCCCGCCTTCCGGGTCTCTCGGTACTGACTCCCGTGTGGAGCCTTCAGTGCTCCCCGCCTTCCGGGTCTCTCAGTACTGACTCCCGGTGTGGAGTCCAGTGCTCCCCGCCTTCCGGGTCTCTCAGTACTGACTCCCGGTGTGGAGTCTTCAATGCTCCCCGCCTTCCGGGTCTCTCGGTACTGACTCCCCGTCTGGAGTCTTCAGTGCTTCCCGCCTTCCGGATCTCTCAGTACTGACTCACCGTCTGGAGTCCAGTGCTCCCCGCCTTCCGGGTCTCTCGGTACTGACTCCTGGTGTGGAGTCTTCAGTGCTCCCCGCCTTCCGGGTCTCTCAGTACTGACTCCCCGTCTGGAGTCCAGTGCTCCCCGCCTTCCGGGTCTCTCGGTACTGACTCCCGGTGTGGAGTCTTCAGTGCTCCCCGCCTTCCGGGTCTCTCAGTACTGACTCCCGGTGTGGAGTCTTCGGTGCTCCCCGCCTTCTGGGTCTCTCAGTACTGACTCCCCGTCTGGAGTCCAGTGCTCCCAGCCTTCCGGGTCTCTCAGTACTGACTCCCCGTCTGGAGTCCAGTGCTCCCAGCCTTCCGGGTCTCTCAGTACTGACTCCCCGTCTGGAGTCCAGTGCTCCCCGCCTTCCGGGTCTCTCAGTACTGACTCCCCGTCTGGAGTCTAGTGCTCCCCGCCTTCCGGATCTCTCAGTACTGACTCCCGTGTGGAGTCCAGTGCTCCCCGCCTTCCGGATCTCTCAGTACTGACTCCCGCTGTGGAGTCCAGTGCTCCCCGCCTTCCGGGTCTCTCGGTACTGACTCCCGGTGTGGAGTCTTCAGTGCTCCCCACCTTCCGGGTCTCTCAGTACTGACTCCCGGTGTGGAGTCTTCGGTGCTCCCCGCCTTCCGGGTCTCTCAGTACTGACTCCCCGTCTGGAGTCCAGTGCTCCCCGCCTTCCGGGTCTCTCAGTACTGACTCCCGCTGTGGAGTCCAGTGCTCCCCGCCTTCCGGGTCTCTCGGTACTGACTCCCGGTGTGGAGTCTTCAGTGCTCCCCGCCTTCCGGGTCTCTCAGTACTGACTCCCGGTGTGGAGTCTTCGGTGCTCCCCGCCTTCTGGGTCTCTCAGTAGTGACTCCCGGTGTGGAGTCTTCGGTGCTCCCCGCCTTCCGGGTCTCTCAGTACTGACTCCCCGTCTGGAGTCCAGTGCTCCCCGCCTTCCGGGTCTCTCCGTATTGACTCCCCGTATGGAGTCTTCAGTGCTCCCCACCTTCCGGGTCTCTCGGTACTGACTCCCCGTCTGGAGTCCAGTGCTCCCCGCCTTCCGGGTCTCTCAGTACTGACTCCCGCTGTGGAGTCCAGTGCTCCCTGCCTTCCGGGTCTCTCGGTACTGACTCCCGGTGTGGAGTCTTCAGTGCTCCCCGCCTTCCGGGTCTCTCAGTACTGACTCCCGGTGTGGAGTCTTCAGTGCTCCCCGCCTTCCGGGTCTCTCAGTACTGACTCCCGCTGTGCAGTCCAGTGCTCCCCGCCTTCCGGATCTCTCAGTACTGACTCCCCGTCTGGAGTCCAGTGCTCCCCGCCTTCCGGATCTCTCAGTACTGACTCCCCGTCTGGAGTCCAGTGCTCCCCGCCTTCCGGATCTCTCAGTACTGACTCCCCGTCTGGAGTCCAGTGCTCCCCGCCTTCCGGATCTCTCAGTACTGACTCCCCGTATGGAGTCTTCAGTGCTCCCCGCCTTCCGGGTCTCTCAGTACTGACTCCCGGTGTGGAGTCTTCAGTGCTCCCCGCCTTCCGGGTCTCTCAGTACTGACTCCCCGTGTGGAGTCTTCAGTGCTCCCCGCCTTCCGGATCTCTCAGTACTGACTCCCGTGTGGAGTCTTCAGTGCTCCCCGCCTTCCGGATCTCTCAGTACTGACTCCCGTGTGGAGTCTTCAGTGCTCCCCGCCTTCCGGGTCTCTCAGTACTGACTCCCGGTGTGGAGTCTTCAGTGCTCCCCGCCTTCCGGATCTCTCAGTACTGACTCCCGTGTGGAGTCTTCAGTGCTCCCCGCCTTCCGGGTCTCTCAGTACTGACTCCCGTGTGGAGTCTTCAGTGCTACCCGCCTTCCGGGTCTCTCAGTACTGACTCCCGTGTGGAGTCTTCAGTGCTCCCCGCCTTCCGGATCTCTCAGTACTGACTCCCGGTGTGGAGTCTTCAGTGCTCCCCGCCTTCCGGATCTCTCAGTACTGACTCCCGTGTGGAGTCTTCAGTGCTCCCCGCCTTCCGGGTCTCTCAGTACTGACTCCCGGTGTGGAGTCCAGTGCTCCCCGCCTTCCGGGTCTCTCAGTACTGACTCCCGGTGTGGAGTCTTCAGTGCTCCCCGCCTTCCGGGTCTCTCAGTACTGACTCCCCGTATGGAGTCTTCAGTGCTCCCCGCCTTCCGGGTCTCTCGGTACTGACTTCCGTGTGGAGTCTTCAGTGCTCCCCGCCTTCCGGGTCTCTCGGTACTGACTCCCGTGTGGAGTCTTCAGTGCTCCCCGCCTTCCGGGTCTCTCGGTACTGACTCCCCGTCTGGAGTCTTCAGTGCTCCCCTCCTTCCGGATCTCTCAGTACTGACTCCCGTGTGGAGTCTTCAGTGCTCCCCGCCTTCCGGGTCTCTCGGTACTGACTCCCGTGTGGAGCCTTCAGTGCTCCCTGCCTTCCGGATCTCTCAGTACTGACTCCCCGTATGGAGTCTTCAGTGCTCCCCGCCTTCCGGGTCTCTCAGTACTGACTCCCGGTGTGGAGTCTTCAGTGCTCCCCGCCTTCCGGATCTCTCAGTACTGACTCCCCGTCTGGAGTCCAGTGCTCCCCGCCTTCCGGGTCTCTCAGTACTGACTCCCCGTCTGGAGTCCAGTGCTTCCCGCCTTCCGGATCTCTCAGTACTGACTCCCGTGGGGAGTCTTCAGTGCTCCCCGCCTTCCGGGTCTCTCAGTACTGACTCCCCGTATGGAGTCTTCAGTGCTCCCCGCCTTCTGGATCTCTCAGTACTGACTCCCTGTCTGGAGTCTTCAGTGCTCCCCGCCTTCCGGATCTCTCAGTACTGACTCCCTGTCTGGAGTCTTTAGCGCTCCCCGCCTTCCGGGTCTCTCAGTACTGACTCCCCGTCTGGAGTCTTTAGTGCTCCCCGCCTTCCGGATCTCTCGGTACTGACTCCTGGTGTGGAGTCTTCCGTGCTCCCCGACTTCCAGGTCTCTCAGTACTGACTCCCCGTCTGGAGTCCAGTGCTTCCCGCCTTCCGGATCTCTCAGTACTGACTCCCGTGTGGAGTCTTCAGTGCTCCCCGCCTTCCGGATCTCTCAGTACTGACTCCCCATCTGGAGTCTTTAGTGCTCCCCGCCTTCCGGATCTCTCGGTACTGACTCCCAGTGTGGAGTCTTCAGTGCTCCCCGCCTTCCAGGTCTCTCAGTACTGACTCCCCGTCTGGAGTCCAGTGCTTCCCGCCTTCCGGATCTCTCAGTACTGACTCCCGTGTGGAGTCTTCAGTGCTCCCCGCCTTCCGGATCTCTCAGTACTGACTCCCCGTATGGAGTCTTCAGTGCACCCCGCCTTCCGGATCTCTCAGTACTGACTCCCGTGTGGAGTCTTCAGTGCGCCCCACCTTGGGGCCTCTCAGTACTGACTCCCTGTCTGGAGTCTTCAGTGATCCCCGCCTTCGGAGCGTCTCAGTACTGACTCCCCGTCTGGAGTCTTCAGTGCTCCCCGCCTTCGGAGTCTCTCAGTACTGACTCCCTGTATGGAGTCTTCAGTGCACCCCGCCTTGGGGGCCGCTCAGTACTGACTCCCCGTCTGGAGTCTTCAGTGCTCCCCGCCTTCGGAGCCTCTCAGTACTGACTCCTTGTGTGGAGACTTCAGCGCTCCCCGCCTTGGGGGCCGCTCAGTACTGACTCCCCGTGTGGAGTCTTCAGTGCGCCGCCTTCCGTGTCTCTCAGTACTGACTCCCCGGGCCCGTCTGTCTTCTGCCTCCCTGGGTCCGGTCACTCAGCCTCGCTGGGCTGGCTCTGCTGCGTTCCCCAGGCTCGGTCCCGGGGTCTGCTCTTCCCCTGTGGGAGTCTCGTGTTGTGAGTCTCACCTCCCTCAGAAACTCACGCTCAGGCTCTGTGTGAAGGCCCCGGCTCGCATCCGCAGCCCGCACCTCCTCTGACTTCTGCTGCTCAGGGGCACCTTCAGCACGTGAGCCAGCCCCACGCCCAGACGCAACTGGTCGGAAACCAAAATCGTCTCCTCCCTTCTACAGAGGGGATTCCTGTGCCCACTTTGCTATTCCTGCCAAGGGAGCCAACGTTCTCTCCATCTCCTGGGCTCCAGACCATTCATTCTACAGAAGTTTATCAAATATGTAGTCTCCACCGTAATGCAGCGTGTAGTCTACTGGGAAAGGCAGAAGCTGATCCAATAACTGCATAAAATGCACAAAAGTACAACTGTGGAATGCCCTGAGAGAAAACACGAGGCCAGGAGGCAGGCTGAGAGCATCCGGGCCTGGGTCCGGTCCTGGGGCAAAGGCCCTGGAGCCCAGCAGAGGACGCTGGACCTCAGGCAAGAGACAAAGCTGGAGGTGCGGGAGGAGGCAGGAGCCGTGACACGGTCTCAAGGGTCTTTATTCTGAAGGCACTGGGGAGCCAGCAGGAAAGACGGTGAAGGTGGGCAAAACGGTCAGGAGTGGGTGGTGCTGAGGCTGCACTGACATCCACACCCTGCCTGGGCTCCGGGGCAGAGGCGGCGGCAAGCAAACGGCAGTGAGGCTGCAGCGAGGCTTGGGCTCTGGCTGGTGGATGGAGCTACGTGGTGGCAGCCGCCTCCTTGGTGCACACGCAGTCACTGATCCAGCTCACCCATGCCTCAGTCTCCACGTCTGTGAATGAACCGCCTTCCACTGGGGCCACAGGGAGAGGCGGACAGAGCCCACCTCCTGGTTGGCTGGTCTGGGCCCCTCTTGCCTGTGCAGTTGATAAGCCCTGACCCTTTGGGCTCATAGGAGACAACCCGCAGGGCTCAGTGTTAGCAGGGCTGATCTTGTTGACATTGTTGTGAGATTAAAGAAACCACTTACGTAAAGCCCTAGGCACAGGGTCGGAGACTTACTTGGTGCCTAATTGATGGTGATGGCTGTTATAGGAAGAGGGGCTTGGATTCGTGTATGAGGTTGCAAAACAAATGTTAAACCAGTTAAGAATGCATCGTAAGAAGCCACTGAACTGGAGGATGGACTATCTGCTTGTGCACAGACAGAGCCTTCCCTTGCAGTGTTTCTTCAGGTTTCATGTGGGCTGAGAGTCAGGTCAGTGCTGGGGAAAGTGAATTGAATCACTTTTGGCAGGAAAACTCGAGGTGTCTTTCCATAGCTGGGCTCCTGCCCTCTCAGTGCATCCCCCGAGACCCCGCGTTTGCCCATTCCTGGGACCACCCTGCCCTGATCCGCCTGACCCCTGAGAGGTGGCCTCATGGAAGCCATGGCATCAAACCAGTGATCCCAACCCTCAGCCTGGCATGCAGGACCCTCTATCCATGACTCCAGCCTGCCCGGGGGCCCTTCCTGCTGCGTGTCTTTCTTGGCGTGCCAGGCACAAGTCATGTGACTTCGCAGTCTGGATCCCCAACCTGGTCTCTGGCTTCCAAGAAGGACTTTCATGCAGCCTCCCCAGCACAGCTTCTCCCGAGGGTTAACCTCCTCCTCCCGTGAGCTTGTACACAAGCCAGGGACTGAATACCGCTTGCCTTTTGTACACCTCGTTTGTTTCATTCTGGACTCTCTGAACAAGTTGCAAGATGTTTGAAGGCAGAAGCCAGGTCCTACATACACTCTCTGGTTCTCTCCTTGTGCTGGACACATCAGAGGAACATTGTTAATGCTTGCTGTTGTATTGTGGGTAGGAAAATAAAAGTGCTGGATGGTGAGAGGTTGTGTCTAGAATGACATCTCCAGAGAGGGGCAGACGCGGCTGGCGGTGGTCAGGCCCTTCACGGTGCCAGCCACCACCAGGGGAAGCAGCATCCAGAGCCCTAAGATCCACACCAGGGCCAGGTAGGGCCTTGGAGGTGGAAAGGCTGCCTCTTTCAGTCTCGGAGTTAGGCTTGGGCTGAAATAAGTACAGCTGTGTAGCTATAGTGTAGACATTAGCATTAGGGAAAAGCACTGTAATTTGTCATTAGTATTCATTGCAAGTTTCAGCCAAGAAGGGTAATTTTGTTCAGGTTGAGGACATTTATAAGGTTAAGGTGATAGTGTTGCTTTAACAGAAAACTTGGACTTGTTTGCAACAGTGTGCCCCATCTTCACCTTCACCAGCCTGGCAGAGGGTTTCCCTCCCGAATGTCTCTTCCTTTGCTGGTGCAGCCCGCAGGCGTCTGCTTGGTATTGTTGGAATCTGTTTTGAGCTGTCCTCATGGTAACCTCTCTCCTGCCCAAACGATTCTACTCTCGAAGCTACTGACCCCCTAAAGCACATCCACACCCAAGATCCCCTATTTAGAAACTTCTCATGGCCCTCAACACTGGTAGAGTTCAAACCTGTGGAGGGGCGTTCATGTCTTCCTGCAGCTGAACCCTTCACTCTCCTTTCCCACCATCTCCTGCTCTCTGAGTAATGCCATCATCAACCTCACCGTCTCCCCTCTGCTGGCAATGCCCTTACCCCCATTAACAGCCGGCCTAATTCAAGCCAAATCAGATTTCCTTGATTGGAATTAACCTCTTTCTTTCCACAGTTTCTGCTGTGTCTTATTAAATCTCGCCAGGTCATGCATTGAAGATGTACACTTTGCTCTGATTGAATGAAAGAAAAAAGATGTGGTTACTGATGGCTTCATGATGAGCCTTTACCTTGGGCCGGCCACCTCAGGTGCCGACAGACCTGCCGTCGTACGTGTGCGACAGACCTGCCGTCGTCCGTGTGCGACAGACCTGCCGTTGTACGTGTGCACTACGTTCGACAACACACTTGACCCACTTCAATGGGACTGTGTCAATTTCTGTGTTTCCAGCGCTGACAGTGGTGAAGGAAACCACCACGGGGAATCCCGGGGGCTGGGGAATGCACCTGTGTGTTTCCTCCCCGAGCCCTTGTCCTTTCAAGGGAAGAAGAGACCCCCCAGGGCACCTGGACCGAGCCTCCTCCTGCCTCTGGCTGGGCTGGCTGTTTCCTCCGCAGGAAGATCAGTTTCCATTGGCTGCAGGAAACCCCCAGGCAGCCAGTCGAGGCAATGCCAGGACCCCTGGCCTGTTGGTGGCTTCACTTCCAGAAACCTTCCTGTTCATGTGATTACAAACTGATGTATTGACGACCGGCTCCCTTCGAAAGGGAGGGGAACAGCCTGGGCTGTGCCTGGTTACAGTGGGCCAAGGGAAAGGTGAGGCTTGCAGCCAGGGCCACCGGCCATCCTGGGCGATCGCGGGCTGCACGCTTGTGTCCTGGCTCTCTCGTTCCGGAGCTCTGGAGCTCTGCAGGCCTGAGCCGAAGGCCTGGGGCACGGCGTGCCACTGCTCACCAAGCACCACTCCAGATGTCTGCTTGGGCTGGTTGTGGCTTTAGGGCTTTGGACACTCAGCCTCCCTCTGCTGCAGGGCTCTGCCAAGAAAGCCGGAGGGACCCACAACACGGGCTGCCCCTCGGAATGGGTCAGCCAGGGATGCCAGGTGCTTAAAATTGCCCCAAAGCGTGTGATCGGGACCCCCACGGCCCAGCTGTCCTCCTGTAGCCTGTTTCACAGGGGTGGAGATGCCTCTCACGCCGTCAGGCTGTTGTGGGTAGAAGCATTCCCCTCTAGCTACCAATTGTATGCAGGTGCCTGTGCAGTGCTCATGAGGCTCCCTCTGTCCTGCCTGCCCATCAGGTTCCTGTGTGCGCTTGCCGGGCTCCAGATGCTGCCCAAGGGCTCTGCAAATGCTGACTGACGCTGGAATCTCCACCATGCTGTGAGGGGGGCACCCTTAACAGCTCCATTTCACAGGGAGTAAAGCAGGGCAGGAGGAGGCTCAGAACTTGTCTCTGGCCAACAGCTTGTGTGTGGCAGAGCTGGGATTCGAGCCCAGTGGTCTGGTTCCAGAGTCCGTGTCCCTCATCCGAGAATTCAGCTTCTGAGGTGTGATGAGGGCAAGAACATTCCAACCGAGCCACTTTTTTCAGCCCTGAGCCTCTGGGTAGAATGGGGATCACTATGAGCTGTAGCCAGGCATTGGCAGGGGCAGCCCCTGGGCCTGGTGGGTGCTGGGCATGGCACAGGCCATACTCCTGGTCTGCAAAGCACTCGCTTGTGCTCTCCTGACAGCCGCTGAGAGTGGAGAGTCACGAATGTGGGTGAGTGCATGCAAGTGAGGGCGGAAGGGCCTCAAGGGCAATCTTGCTCTCCCTCCTGCAACCCTGATGCAGCATCGGTCAGATGCTCAGGTTCGGGACCTGAGGGGGGCAGTGGTCAGATGCTCAGGTTTGGGTCCCCGGGGGCAGTGGTCAGATGCTCAGGTTCGGGACCTGAGGGGGCGGGGGTCAGATACTCAGGTTCGGGTCCTGACATGGCGGAGGTCAGATGCTCAGGTTTGGGTCCTGGCTGGTTTTCTTATTTTCTCACAAGCAGCTGTGACCCCCTTTTCAGCAGGGCTGATGGTCAGTGTGCGTGAATCAGCTCTTAAATGCCAGCACAGGAACAGCTGCAAATCCTTCTGATGAGGAAACGACTCCTGTGATTGCTGGACCCTCGGTCGGTTCCCATGGCGTCCAGGCATGGCACTCACAGAGGCATCTTGACATGGCCCCGCCACAGCATCCAGGTGCCCTCTTCTTTGTGGACAGTCCTATACCGCTCCTGCAGGACCATTAAGGGCCCTTTCTCCCATCTGTGGTCCAAACGACCTGGCGCCAAAGGAGTGAGCCCCTGTCTGGTGCTGGCACAACCGTTTGGGGCCCAGGCGCAGAAGGGATGGAGCTCCAGGAGCTGGCCATCCTCACGCTGGAACCCGGGGGCTGTGCGGTCTGGACGCTGGGGCTGCCCCAGTCTCAGTCTTGACTTTCCCCCAAATGTTAACAAAATCCCCTGTCTCCAGGGGAGATACTGGATTTCAATGTTTCCACATTCTTGCCACAAACAAAGCCGAAGGAAATCCAAATGGAGGATGATATGCCACATGGGGGTGGTTGTTGGATGATGAGTTTATTTTGCTTTGTTTTCAGTGCGGCCTAGGATTCTTCTGGAAGAAGTGGTCTGTTTGATTCCAACAGCAGTGACAGCCCAGCTCCTGTTACAGAAGTGGAAAACCAAATCTGCCACCAGGGACTGGCGTGTGAATTAAACATCCACTTGGAAACCGTATGCCCCACAGAAAGCCAAACCCGATCCCCACTCCTCTTGGGACATGAGAAAGGGAGGCCGCCGGGTGAAGCTGGAGAAGGGGTGGTCTGTGGAGGTCTCCCTTTGTGGAGCAGAGACCTTTGTTGCCACCTGAGGTATGCAGGTCAGGAATGCTGGTCTCAGGGCCCTCAGAGGGGACTCGGGAGAGGGGCTCGAGGAAAGCCATATGGTGGGGGTTACCTCGAACCCATCTCCCATTCCCACACTCTCCTAGAATAGCTGCCTGCCCCAGGAAGTGGGCTTTTCTGCCAACTTTTCTTATTAGCAGAGAACAGGCCCACACAAATGCAAAATAAATAAGCGGCGACTCATTTTTGGTTGAAATCTCATTGATCACAGAGCAGCCTGCATCCAGGAGCTGCTAGGCCAGGGTTTCTGACTTTTCTGCTGAGTGGTCACAGCCTGGGGCATCGTCTTCACCAGGCTCTGCTTTCCTGATGAGAGTGTCAGGTGCCAGCCATCCTGGTTAGCGGGGCTGTGCTGGGGGGTGCACACTTCTCAGGCACCAAATACACCCAGTGAAAATGTGCCACCCGCCTGCGCCTCCTGTGGCCTTCATCCCTGTGCCACTCCTGCAGGGACCCACAGCCTCTGTGCTCTGCAGGGACCCACAGCCTCTGTGCTCCCTGCAGGCAGCAGGTGCAGCCAAACATCAGCACAGCACAGTCCAGGCCTCGGAGGCTGTGGCCTTTGTCCCTGTGCCACTCCTGCAGGGACCCACAGCCTCTGTGCTCCCTGCAGGCAGCAGGTGCAGTCAAACATCAGCACAGCACAGTCCAGGCCTCGGAGGCAGCTTTTCCTCCCCAACCCCAGGGAGGCTGGGTAGGAAGCCTGCGGCCACACTGGCTCCAGGCTGACCAGCTCATCCCCACAGTGAGAGAAGCTGCTGTTCGCCAGCTGTGCAGGGCCACGTGGCGGCACCAATGCAGCTTCCTCCTGGCTCTGGTTGGGCTGCATGGCTATTAGCAGGGATGATGCCTGAGGGACAGATGCGAAGCCCCAGGCCAGGGGGACGGAAGGAGGGAGCAGTGTGGGTGTGTCCGTGTGTGTGCGTGTGTGTGTGCGTGTGTGTAGACCCACACCCTGAACACCTGAAATTTCCAGTTAAAGTGTACATGCACTTGCTTATACACATGCACACACATGTGTTCAGGCATGTGCTCAAAATGCTCACACATTCATAAACACATGCGTACACACTCACACATGCTCACTGTGCACACACGACCACATATTTATGCCCTTGCTCACACACATGCATTCAACCATACTCACAGACATGCACACACATTCTCACACCCAAACACACACAGGCACTCACCCATGCTCACACATATCCACCCATGGTCAAAGGTGTGCACACACGTGCTCACGCCCACACACATGCTTGCTAACACACTCACACTTGCACACTTGCTCACACACGTACTTACCCATGCTAACACACATGCACACACATGCTCATGCCCACTCACACACATGCTTGCTCATGCACACTTATACACATGCACTCACCCATGATCACACACATGCACACACGTATTACCTATGTTCACACACACCCATGCTGTCACACGTGCACACACATGCACTTATGCTCACACACATGCACACAGAACTGCTTGCTCCCATGTATGCACTCACCCACACACACCCATGCACACACGTGCTCACACCCACTCACACACATGCTTGCTCACACACTTACACACTCTCACACAAGCACACATGTGCTCACGCCCCTCCACATGCGCATGCACTCGCACACACAGAGGCCATAGCTGAGTTTTAGGGCCAGCTCTGCTACATCATCACTTCATGATTTGTGAGGCACTGGACAACTTCCAGGGATTGGGTTTTAATGGGTTTTGAAATGTTATCACTGTGCCAGCTGTAAATCTTTAAAAAGAGAGCAAAGTAAAACAGTTACTTTGCTCACTGCCTGATCGATGCTAAGGGAGATTTTTGTCCATAAGAAGGGGATGGCTGTTAAAAATCTCTGACGGCGATTCTTAAGTGTAGAAGCTCATGCACAAGAACATGGCATGTTCCATGGGTGCCCGTCATTCTGAGATCTGTCTCTGAAGTAAAGACACCGCTATTGGGGTTACCCATCGCCCACCAGCTGACAGGCCTGTGCTGGACAATTCCAGGAAGTCAGGAACCTCACCGATGCTCTCAAACTTCCCAAATAGGGGCCTTCACTCCACTTCTCGTCACCCAGGTACTAAGCTGACTACCTGGTAGTTATTTTTTCTGCTCCTCTTCCTCCTCCCACCCTCCACCCTCAAGGAGGTCTCAGTGTCTGTTGTTCCCTTCTTTATGTCCATGTGTTCTCATAATTGTAGTACCCACATTAGCACCCTAATAGGGCCCTCCAATCAGTGCCTTCAAGATGACCTTCTTCCTCCATAGCCAACATGAGAACCACCCCCACCCAAGGCAAGGTGGGCAGTGGGGAAAGCTTGCCCGAGTGCCTCAGGCTGAGAACAACTGCTAGACTCATCACACACTCCCATTTAGTGAGTGGTGCTACCCTGCACAAAGGCCTTCCCAGCTGTGACGGGTGTTTAGGTTGCACGAGAGATGTGTGTACGTGGGTGTGTGCAGGTGTAGGTGTGTAAGAGTGCATGTGCATACATAGGTGTGTGCACATGCGCGTGCATAGGTTATACATGCATAGGGGTGTCCCTGTGTGCAAGGGTTAAATGAGGCAGAGTCTCCCTAATTGCACCTTTCCTCTGTGAGGTGTAAGGCAGGCTTACCCTGAAGTACCAGCCCTGTGCAATAGAACTTTCTGTGCTACTCAATACAGAAGCAGCCAGCCATGTGTGATATGAACACTTGAAATGTGGCTTCTGCTGGTGAGGAGCTGAAATTTTAATCCAATTTAATTTTAACAGTTTCAAATGTGAATACAGATGCACTTCCCAATAAACCATCATAAGTTGAAAATAATCTAAGTTGAGATGCATTTACACCAAAACTACCAACCATCATAGGCTGGCCCAGCCTGCCTTAAATGGGGGCCCGGCCTGCCTTAAATGGGGGCCCGGCCTGCCTTAAATGGGGGCCCGGCCTGCCTTAAATTGCTCCGGCCACTTACATCATCTGACAGAAAGTTTATTTTATAATACATTGCCGACTATCTCATGTTACTTATTGAATACATATTAAAGTGAAACACAGGTCGATTCCATGTCTGTGCTATTGTGAATAGAGCTGCAATGAACATTTGCAGGCATGTGTCTTTGTGACAGAATAGAATACTATTCAGTCATAAAAAAAAGAATGAGATTGTGTCCTTTGCAGGGACATAGATGGAGCTGGAGACCTTAGCAACTAACGCAGGAACAGAAAACCAAACATTGCATGTTCTCACTTATAAGTGGGAGCTAAATTATGAGAACACATGGACACAAAGAGGGGAACAACAGACACTGGGACCTACTTGAGGGTGGAGGGTGGGAGGAGGGAGAGGAGCAGCAAAAATAACAATTGGGTGCTCGGCTTAGTACCTGGGTGATGAAATAATATGTACAACAGCCCCTGTATTAGTCCATTCTCATGCTGCTATGAAGAAATACCCAAGACTGGGTAATTTATAAGAAAAGAGGTTTAATTGACTCAGTTCTGCAGGGCTGGGGAGGCCTCAGGAAACTTACAATCATGGTGGAAATGGAGCATGTCCTTCTTCACATGGTGTCAGGAAGGAGAAGTGCAGAGTGAAGGAGGGGAAAAGGCCCTTATAAAACCATCACATCTTGTGAAAACTCACTCACTATCACAAGAAGAGCAGCATGGGGTGACTGTCCCCATGATTCAATTACCTCCCATTAAAAGGCATTCAATCTTTGTATCCTTAAATAATATATATATATAAAATATGATATCATATTTTATATATATATATTTGTCTAATTACGTGTTTTCAAATCATCTTCAATAATATTTTATACATTTTATATATATGTAAAATATGATATCATATTTTATATGATATCATATATTTGTCTAATTAGGTGTTTTCAAATCATCTTCAATAATATTTTATACATTTCCCCCCTGGAGGTCATTCCTACTTTTGGTTAGATTGCCAGGTTAACTTTCTTTCATTTTAAAGATTTTGTTGCTTCTGTGAATATCTTTTTTTACTATTATTTATTTGCACTCACTGTCTTCATTCTTCCTAGTCTCATTGCTAAATCCAGTGGTCCATTTCCTGGCCTTGTCTGACCCGATTGCCCTGAGCATTTGGTGGAGTGAGTGCCTGCACATCCCTGAGACACTTCCTGCTTTGTGTTCTTCACTGGGCTTCTGGTCTACCATACCCGTTGGCTTGCTCCTGGTTTTCTGGCTGTGACTTCTCATCCTCCAGTGACTTTCCCATCTCTCTGGCCCTTTAATGTCATGCGTCCTCAGGCGCTTGATGATCTCATCTGGTTTTGTGAGTTACTTTAAATATTATCTGTGGCGTGATGATTTTTGTTTTGAGTTTCCAGTACAAATCCCTCCCCCGCATTCCAGATTTGTCTATCAAACATCTCTCAACATCTCTGCTTGGATATGTAATAGGAATCTCAAAACCAGACAGGTCTAACTCTGCATTTCTGATCTCCTCACCCCACACCTCACTGTTCACTGACACTGCTTCTCTGGTGATTCCCCTGAGCAGATGGCATTTCCCTCCTTCCAGCTTGTGCAGACCAGGAACTGGGAGTTCCTGACCTGGACTCCTCCTCGACTCCATGGCGTCTGCAAGTCTTAAAAGCTCTACCTGGGAGACCTCTCCAGCCTTTAGCCCTGCCTGCCCTCCTTCACTGCCATCCTGTCCAGCCCACCATGACTTCTTTCCCACAGATGGAAGTGCAGAAAGTAGACTGGGCCTTCCTTTGCCACATTCGTCAGCTTTCTGAGTGGGAGCTGGAGGTGGTGCTTCCACTGCCCTGCTGTACCCACCCAGCCTCTCTGTGGCTCCTCAAGCCTCTCGAGACACTCCTGTGCCAGGGCCTTTGCACACACTTTTCTCCCTGCCTGAGCACCTCCAACTCCCTCCCTCCTCAGGTCTCTGCTGAAAGTCACCTTCTCAGTGAGGACATCTTGAAACGCACCCCATTCCCTGCTCTGTTACTTTCCAAAGCGCTCGTCATCATCTGTGGTGTATTTCACACTGACCTTGCTCTCACTGTAAGCTCAGGGAGGGCGGGGGGCTTCCATCTCTCTGTTCACGTCTCTCCCCCAGGGCCCAGAACCTTGAGCAGACAGCGGGGGCTCAGAAAACACTTGTGGAATGCGTGAACGAGCATACGTGGATTATGTTTTAAATGGTTATCCTTGGGGAATAGGAAAGAAATTGACTTGATGTTGATGTCACTCAGTTCTGTTGTGAATTTTAATAGGCTGTAGATGCTATAGAATTTTCTAGTAATCATACCTCCCACAAATAATGAGAGTTTTGGCTCATTCCTTCAGTTTCTTGCATCTTTTAGCATTTTTTATTGTTTTATTGCATGGGTCAGGGCTTCTAATGCAGAGTCAAAGGGAAGTGGTGAGAGGGGAGGTCCACACTGTTCTTGTCAATGGGAATACTTCTAAGGTTTCAGCATTAAGTATGAGTTTATTATTCTTTACAGATAGCTTTTGGTTAGTTACAATGTTCCTTTCTATTCCTAGTTTGCTAAGAATATATTTTGCATTTTGTAGCCATGGATGAGTATACAATTGCATCAAATAGTTTTTAATAAAACATTGATTATAAACTATTATAATACTATTATAACTATCAGTTACTAAATTATTGAGATAATTTTTTTCCTTTCAGATAGTATTATATATTTAGTAACAAGTAATATGTTAATTGTACAAACATATTGTTTTGATGTTGAATTACTCTTCCTTTGCTGACATAGTACTAATTGGCTGTGATGTAATTTTTTTTTTTTAGATGTAACTCACTTCTTTCTTGGGGGAGTTTTCTTAAGCATTTTTACATAAGGGAGATTATTAAAAAGTTTCTCCTGCTGTGCTGTGGTCTGGATATTTGCACCCCACCAAATTCATAAATTGAAATCTTGGAACCCCCAAGGTTATGGTGGAGGAGGTGAGATCCTTGGGAAGTGACACAGTCATGAGGGCAGAGCCTCACAAATAGGATCAGTGTCTTATAAAAGGAACCCCAGAGAGCTCCCTCAGCCCTTCCATCACGTGAGGACACAGCAAGAAGATGGCCATTCACCCATAAACCTGGAATAGGCCCTCACAGACACCGAACCTGCTGACACCGCGATCTTGGACTTCCAGGCTCCAAAAGGTGAGAGGCGAGTTTCTGCTGTGTATCAGCGCCCCCGTCTATGACATTTTGTCCCAGTAGCCTGGATGGACTGAGGCACATGGTCCTTGTTTGATGTTTTATATCTAGGGTATAGCAGCCTGATAAAATAGAGTGAATAGTAGTTCCTACTTTTCTATTCCGTGAAACGGTGTGGGAGGGACGGGAGCTGCTGCTCCCTTTATGGTCTGGCAAGACTTTCCAGTATAACCACCTAGGACTGAAAACTTACAGTAAAGGTTGGTTTTTGAATGTATTTTTTTTTGTTTTAATGATTATTCCTTCATTTACTTTTTATATATTTCATCTTGGTTTGATTTTGACTATATATTTAAAAATACTATCATCAACTTTATTGAAGTTTTAAAATTATGGCTACATGATACATCATTCATGATATTCTCTTGTAATTAAATTTGTTTCATTTCATTTCAAATAATGTATGTGGTGTCTTTTCTATTTTTTCTTGTTTTAGTTTTTCTAGGGTTTTATCTATACTTTTAGTTTTGTCAAAGAACCAACTTATTATCTTGTCTTATTAATTTATTATTTTCAGTTTCCTTACTTTATGCTCTTTGATGTGCAGGAGATGGCTTGGATTGAATTTCCATCACTTGTAGCCAAAAATGGCCTTACTAACCTGAGTTTTGCCTGTTTCCCGTAATGTGAGTCATTCTCCTTGGCACTCTCTGCACACCAGCTCCTCCTGGCCACTGTAGGTCTGGCCGGAAGCTGTGTCCAGGCTTTCTGGTGGGATTCGAGTGCCACCCTTCCTTCTGAGATTTTATTCTGTCCTGGGGTTCACATCCCTACAGGGAAAGCCTTGGGCTCCCAAATGTCCCCTCATTTGCTGTGAGCTCTGGGACGAGGCAGCCTGGTGTTTTCTTCTGCCTCTGCACAGATGCTGTCGGGGAGGCTGCTCTTCTCCGGGACACCTTTGACTGTTCCGTGGGTGGCCTGTTTATGCCTCAGTCCACTTCTCTTCGCCTGTGAGGGCTGGGGAGGATTCTTGGCGGGGGACTCATGCTCTTACTGTCTCTCCCCTGCTTCTGGGATGTGGGCGGTGAGATGAGACAGAGCCCTTATTTTCTCTTCATCTTACCATTTTGAAATTTATGACATCTTTCCTTATGTTACTGCTATTCATTATTTTTTGTTTTTAACTGCATTTTCTACTACTCATTTACTTTTTGTTTTTTTGGGTCGTGAGTGATCCTTTATTGAAATATTTTCCTTTGTGCTTCTTAACTAGCCAGCACTCCACATTTCATGGTCATCCGTGGCATGATGAGGTGGTGCCATCGACACCGTGGCTTGCAGACTGGGCAGTCCCTAGGAGCTCTAGTGGTTCCAGAGAGTTCTCTGGCTAAAGATCGGTGCTGCATCTGTCTGGCAATGTTGACAATCTCATCGCAAGTGATATTTCCACTCTAATATTTTTCTGTTTCTTTCTGCTTCTTGGTGGTTCCTTGAGGGCTTTGATAATCAGAGCAGAGGCAGATGGCATGGCCTCCGCCTGGGCCTGTCTGTTCTAATGGTCGGTTTCCCTGTGGTCCTCAGAACCTTCTAGTCCCTGGTTGCCTTGGTGATGTCATCAGCAACCTTTTCTGGAGACAGACCCAGGGGGCCAATCTGGGGGGCCAGGGCAGACGTGGCACTGACTTCAGCACCAGTGAACTTAGGAATTCGACTTTGATCTCCTTGGGGTCAAACTTAGGTGCATGGTGGCGGTGGCCACTGTCAGGTAAACCCAGATTTGGGACAACCAAGAAAGTTTCACCTTGGTCTCTCCTGAGCTGAAAATAAAGAGCTAATTTTTTGTTGTCTTTTTAATAAACAGTTTCCTTTGGTGCATTTCGTTAGGTTTGGTGGGAGAGGATTTTGCGATTCAGCTTCATGTCACTGTCACCATCTTTGTCTGGGAGACCAGGATGTTTATCTTATTTAAATGATAGAGAAGCCACAGAGAAGCCATTGATTCTTTGAAATATGTCCTTCCTGGGTAAATACCTAGTTAATCAAAGTAGAAAGGTTTTTAAAATGTTTTAGTTTGCCTTATTTTTGAATTATTATTGTTATTATTATTTATTGATTTCTTTATTTTTGAGACAGAGTCTCGCTCCTTTGCCCAGGATGGAGTGCAGTGGCACGATCTTGGCACATTGCAAGCTCTGCCTCCCGGGTTCACGCCATCCTCCTGCCTCAGCATCCCGAGTAGCTGGGACTACAGGCGTCTGCCACCATGCCCGGCTAATTTTTTTGTACTTTTTTTAGTAGAGACGGGGTTTCACCGTGTTAGCCAGGATGGTATTATTCTTATTTTGAAATCACACTTTTAACTTGGAGATAATTATAGGTTAATATGCTGTTGTTAGAAATACCACAGAGGCTGTGTGTGGCCTTTACCCAACTTCCCCATTCATCACATTTGGTAAATGGTGGCACAATCACATAACCTGGATGATGCCATCGGTGCAGTCAAGACGCAGGCCATTCCCATCAATCCCAGATCCTCCTGCCTCCATCCCCATTCTCAGCCCCTGGTGACTACTCACAGGTTCTCCGTTTTAATAATTTTGTCATTCCAAGAATGTCACATAAGTGAAACTATGCAGTGTATGCCTTTTGAGATTGTCTTTTTTTTCCACTCAGCGTGGTTTTCTGGAAATCCATCTGAATTGTGTATCTGTAGTGTGTTTCCTTTCTTGCCTGGCTGTATTTCACAGTGTGGATGCACTATGGTTTGTTTAACCTTTCTGGTTGGAGGACATCTGTGTGTTTTCCCCTTTTGGGCTATTACAAATAAAGCTGCTACAAACATTTGTACTCAGGATTGTGTGTGAACATATGTCTTCTTTTCTCTGGGATAAATACCCTGGAGTATTATTGCTGGGTTGTATGACAGTTGCATATTTTGCTTTTTAAGAATCTGCCAAACTGTTTTTCAGAGTGACTGTCCATTGTGCATTCCCACCCACAATACGTGGGTGATGCTTCCCCCACATCCTTCCTGGTATTTGAAGTTATAATTATTTTTATTAGTCATTTTGATAGGGGTGTCGTGGTTTTAGTTTGCATTTCCCTAATGGCTAATGATTCTGAACATCTTTTCATGTGCTCATTTGCCCTCTGTATATTCTTCTAGGTAACTAAGTCTGTTCATGTCTTTTGCCCATTATCTAGCTGGAGTGTTTATTTTCTTTCTATTGAGTTTGAGAGTTCTTTATATATTCTGGATATCAGCCCTGGGACATATGGTTTGCAAACATTTTTTCTCAGTTTGTGGCTTGTCTTTTGATCCTCTTAACAAGGTCTTTTACAGAGCAAAAGTTTTACATTTTGATGAAGTCAATTTATCAATGTTTCATTTTATGGATTAGGTTTTGATGTCAAGTCTAAGAACTTTGCCTAGCTCTAGATCCTGAAGATTTTCTCCTATGACTTTTTTCCTAGAAATGTTATCATTTTTATGTTTTGCCTTTAAATCTGTGATCCATTTTGAGTTAACTTTTGTATAAGGTGTGAAATTTAGGTCATGGGGAAATGCCGCCATGTTTTTCCTGGGGATATTTAATTTCTCCAGCACTACTAACTCAGAGAGTGATCTTTCCTCCATTTAATTGTTTTTGTACTTTAAAAAAAATCTGCTGGGCATATTTGTGCAGGTTTGTTTCTGGGTTGTTTATTCTATTCTATTGACCCATGTGTCTACCTCTGTCAATATTATAGTGTCAATTACAATAGGGGTATAGTAAGTTTTCAAATCACGTAGACTGATTCCGTTAACTTCCTTCTTATTTCTCAAAATTGTTTTAGCTAGGCTAGCTTTGTCTGTCTGTATGCATTTTTGAATAATCTTGTCTAAATCCAAAAAAATCCTGTTGGGAGTTTGACAGAAATTGTGTCAAATTTATATATTGATTTGCAAAGAATTGACATCTTTATTGTGTGGGGGCCTTCCAATCTATGAACATGGTATCTCTCCCCATTTTTATAGCTCTTCTCTGATTTCTTTTATGAATGTTGTGTAGTGTTCCACACACACACACACTGTCCATGGTGTTTTAGATTTATAGCTTAGTAGTTTATGTTTTTTCAGCAATTGTAAATGGTATTGTATTTTAAAATTTAGTGACCATGTGTTTGTTATGAACAAGAAGAAATACAATTGATTTCTGTAGGTTTCTCTTATATCTTGTGACCTTGTTGAACTCTCTTATTAGTTCTTTCATAGATTTCTCGGAATTTTCTACGTAGACAGTCATGTGATTTGCAAACAGGGACAGTTTATTTGTTTTCTATCTGTATGCTTTTCCTTTTATTTTGTCATTGCACTGGCTAAACTTCCAGAACTATGTTGAATAAAAGTGGTGAGAATGAATAGGCTTAGTGTGTTTCCAATTTTAGGGAAAAGCATCAATATTCACCATTAAGTACAATGTTAATGAATGGTAGAATTTGACAGATGCTCTTTATCTAGTTGAAGACGTTTCCCTGTATTTTTATTTTTATGAGATTAAAAAAACCCAAGATGGACATTACATTTTGTCAAATTTTTTTTTGCATCAACCGATACGATGATGTGGTTTGCCTTCTTTAGTCTGTTACGTGGTGGATTATAATGATTAGTTTTTGAAGATTAAACTAGCCTTGAATTTCTGGAATAAACCACACACTTGGTCATGGTGTATAATTTCTTCCATATGTTAATAAATTTTATTTTCTAATGTTTGTTAAGGATTTTTACACCTGTGTTCATGAGGGATATTGGTTTGCTGCTGTTTTTTTGGTGCTGTCTTTGGTTTTGGTATCAGGGTAATACTAGCTTCATAAAATGAATTGGGAAGTGCTGCTGCTTCTATTTTCTGGAAGAGATTTTATAGAATTGGTGTTAATTCTTCTATGAAGCTTTAGTAGAATTCTCCACTGAAACTGTCTGAGCCTGGAAATTTCTTTCTCTGGGGGCCTTAAAAGCACAAACTCAATATCCTTAAGTGTTAAAGCGCTATTAAATTACCTATTTTAAATTGGGTGAATTGTAATAGATTGCATTTTTAAAGGAACTTGTCAAGTTTGTCTAAGTTGCCAAATTTAGTTTTATAGAGTTATTCAAAGTATTCTCTTATTATTCTTTTGATGGCTCTAGGATTTGTAGTGATAGCCCCTGTTTTATTGCAGACATTGATAATTTGTGTCCTCTCTCTCTTTTCAGTCTTTCTAGAGGTTTGTCAATTTTATTGTTTTTGTTTCAGAGGAGCTTTTTGTTTCACTGATTTTCTCTACTGTTTTTCTGTTTTCAATTTCATTGACTTATGCTTATTTTCCTTCATTTGCCTCCTGCAGGTTTATTTTGCTCTTTTTTCTAGGTTCTTGAGATAGGAATGTAGTTTATTGATTTCAGTCTGTTTTAATGTGTGAATTTAGTGCTATAAATTTTCCTCTAAGTGCTGCTTTAGCTGCATCCCACAGGTTTTGATATGTTGTATTTTCATTTCAGTTTTCAATGTTTTTTCCTGATTTTTTACAAGAATTCCTCTTTGACTCATTGATTATTTAGAGAAATATGTTGCTCAATTTCCTGTGATTGGAGAACATGCTCCTTATAATTTCTTTTTTCTTTTTCAATTTGTTGAGGTTTGCTTTATGACTCAGGAGATGGCCAATCTTGATGTATATTCCATGAGCACTTGAAGAAAGTGTATTTTCTGCTATTGTTAGATGGAATATTCTGTAAATATCTATTAGATCTTGTTAGTAAATTGTGTTGTTGAGTTCTTTATTCTTGTTGATTTTATATCTAGTTGTTCTACCTATTGTTGATAGAAGGTTGTTGAAGTCTCCAACTATAATTGTAAATTTTTCTATTTCTTCTTCCGCTTATCACTTTTTGCTTCTTGTATTTTGCAGCTCAGTTGTTTAGGCCATACATATTTAGGATTGCTATAAATTTTTTGGTGGATTGACTCTTTATTATAATATAATGTCCCTCTTTGATAATTTTCTCTGCTCTGAAGTCTAATATGAATAACCACTCCTACTTTCCTTTAATGTTTGCATGCTATACATTTTTATATCCTTTTACTTTCAACCTTTATGTATTGCTATATTTGAAGATTGCATCTTGTAGAGTGTAAATATTTGGGTCATCGTTTTTAATCCACTCTGCCAATTTCTTTCTTTTATTTGAAGTATTTGGACCATTTACATCTAGTGTAATTATTGATATGTTAGGGCTTAGGTTTGCATGTTTTTTGTTTTTTCATTATTCTCTCTCATTTTTGTTGGTTTTCTTTTTCTTGACTTCCTGTGGTTCACTTGAACATTTTTAGAATTCCATTTTGATTTATCTATAGTGATTATGAGTACATCTTTTTGTAACTGTTTTAGTAGCTGCTTTCGGTATTACATTATATATAGGTAACTTATCACAGTTAACTAGTGTTATCATTTTACTGGTTTAAGTGAAGTAGAGAAACCTTTACTCTTTTTAATCTTCCTTTGTTATACCCTGTTTATAATATAATTGTTTCAAATATTTTCTTTATATACATTTAGAAGAACAGCAGAGAGCAGTATAATTTTTGCTTCAACATTCAAACATAATTTAGAAAACTCAAGAGAAAAAAATCCTATTGTATTTATTTATTTATTTATTTATTTTTGCTTACTGGGTTTTTTTCTGACTTCCTGATTTCTAAAACACCCCCTTTTATCATTTACTATTTGTTTAGAGAACTTCCTTTAGACATTATTTTAGAGTAGATCTGCTGATGACAAATTCTCTTAGTTTTCTTTCTTCTGAGAATGTATGAATTTTCCCTTCATTCCTAAAGGACATTTTCACTGGATATAGGATTCTGAGTTGACGGTTCTGTTCTTTTAAAAAAAATTGTGGCACTTCCTGCTGGTCTCTATGGTTTCAGATGAGAAATACACTGTTATTGCAACTTTTCCCCCAAAGGTAAAATATTTTTCTCTGGCTGTTTTCAGGCTTTTTTTCTTTGCCTTTAGTTGTCAGATGTATAATTATGATGTGTCTTGATGTGGATTTCTTTTGGCTTACCCTTTTTAGGGTTTGTTCAGCTTCTTGAACCTGTAGGTTTACATCTCTTGCAGAATTGGAGATGTTTTCAGCTATTATTTCTTTGATCACATTTTCTGCTCCATACTTTCTCCTCTTTTCATCACTCTAGTGACATGAATGTTAGATCTTTGTTATAGTCCTATAGAAGACCCCTAAGTCTCTGTTAATTTTTTAAGCAGTCTGTTTTCTTTCTGTTGTTCAGATTGAGTAATTTTTCTCATTCTGTCTTCCAGTTCACCAATTATTTCCTCTGTCCCCTGCATTATACTGTTGAAGTCATCCGCTAAGCTTTTTATTTTGGATGTATTATTTTCAGTTCTATGATTTCCCTTTGGTTCTTATTTACATCTTCTATTTCTATGCTGAGACTTGCTATTTCTTTGTTGTGGCTTCCTATTTTTTTCATTTGTTTCAGGTGTGTTTATAATTTCTTGTTGAGGTATTTTCGTGATAGCTGCTTTAAGATCTTTCTATTGTTTCTAATATCCCTGTCAGTGCTGGCAGGTAGTGATTATTTATTTTTCCATTCAGTTTGGGATCTTCCTGGTTCTTGGTACAATGAGTGGTTTTTGAATGAAATATAGACCTTTTTGTGTTGCATCGTGAGGGTGCTTTTTCTGGAGCGGCTCTGGCAGGGGTGGGATGGGGCTGGAAGTCCAGGTTTCCTATGTGGTCCTGTTGACAGAGGAAAGACAGTGCTGACTGTGAAAGCTCAGGCTTCCTGCATGGTCCCTGCATCACAGCGGGGAGGTGTGTTTCGGCCTCTTCCACCACCACTCCAGTGGGGCTGGACAAGGCTTGTTGGCAGAGCCTCATGAGGGTGGACTCCGAGGCCCTGACCTGACCTTCCCTGGCATGGTGTGGGGGTGGGACCACGTTTTCTTTCTGTGGTGTTGGCAGGAATGCAGTGGTCACCATCTCGAAGAGTTCTGTCTCACTGGGCGGCCCCTCCAGGGCCTTGGTTGCAGAGAGCCAGCATCTGTGGGGCTGCTTCTGGGCGGCCCGTCCAGGGCCTTGGCTTCAGAGAGCCAGCGTTTGCCGGGGCTGCTTCTGGGCGGCCCCTCCAGGGCCTTGGCTGCAGAGAGTCAGCGTTTGTGGGGCTGCTTCTATTTGTGCCCGTTGGTGTTTCTGGGTTGTGGCTTCTGCACTTCCAAGTCTGAGATGTGTGAGGCAAAAAGAAAGCCCAGGAACTTGCCACCCTGCTGTCCTTTGGGTCCTGGGTTCCCTGGCTGGTCTTTCTTTTCTCCCTCATTCAGCATCTTGTTTTATAGGTAACATCCAGGGTTTTTGTTGTGCTTGAAGGAGTAGGAAACAGTAAGTCCACCCCGTCTTTCTGGAAGCAGAACTTGCATTCGTGTCACTGCTGCGGTTTTCTCTGCTTCCTTGTCACGAAGAAACTGCTCTTTGGCTTATGCTTTTATAGCTTTGACGTCTTTACATGAGATGCCCAATGTTGCAAAGTAGTTATACTGTCAAGTATTTTTAAACAGTTTTGTCCATCAACCTGAAGTTTGCTGACTGTCCTCTTGTTCTTGCTAGAATAGTCTCCAAAATCTTTAAATGCTTGCTCCGTGGAGGCTCTTCCTATGCACTTCACATGTCGCATTCGGTCATCACAGCTTTCTGAGAGATCAAACACCGCCAGCTCCTTATGGCGAGAGGATGGAGGCTTGGAGACTCCAGACCCTGGTCCCAGGGGCCATGGCTGGCCAGTAAAGGAGCTGGGTGTCCAGGCTGCCTGGCTTCAAAGCTTGCACTGGTGACAGACACCGTGTCCTCTTTGGGAAGAACGGCTTGAGTGAGGGGCGGCTGGACTGCGGTGTGGCAAGGCTGTGGCCCCAGCTAGGACCTCACTCTGCAGAGGCTGCCTCCTGTGTGGTCCCAAGAGAGCAGGGCCTGGGTTATCCTGGTGGCCAGGACATTCCCTCTTCATTCCTGATTTGCTCTCTGAGAAACAGGCACAGCCAGAGAGTAGCCGCTCTTACCAAGGTGCACCCGGGGGACCTGGCACCATCTGCTTTAGCTGCACTTGGCGAATGCCCATCTGTCCTGCCAGCCAGGTGTCGCCAAGGGTGGCAGTTGTCCCAGACTCACCCAGGAACCCTGTGGTCTCCATGCTCTGCCCCATGCACTGGTTCACATTGTGATGACGTCATGTCACAGCAGGTATGAGAATGTCAGAGACTGCGGTCTCCCCACAGCAGGTTTGAGAATCTCAGAGACTGCAGTCTCCCCACAGCAGGTTTGAGAATCTCAGAGGCTGCGGTCTCCCCACAGCACGTTTGAGAATCTCAGAGACTGGGGTCTCCTCAGAGCAGGTTTGAGAATCTCAGAGACTGGTGTCTCCCCACAGCACGTTTGAGAATCTCAGAGACTGCGGTCTCCCCACGGCAGGTTTGAGAATCTCAGAGACTGCGGTCTCCCCACAGCAGGTTTGAGAATCTCAGAGACTGGGGTCTCCTCAGAGCAGGTTTGAGAATCTCAGAGACTGGGGTCTCCCCACAGCGGGTTTGAGAATCTCAGAGGCTGCGGTCTCCTCACAGCAGGTTTGAGAATCTCAGAGACTGCAGTCTCCCCACAGCAGGTTTGAGAATCTCAGAGACTGCGGTCTCCCCACAGCAGGTTTGAGAATCTCAGAGGCTGCGGTCTCCTCACAGCAGGTTTGAGAATCTCAGAGACTGGGGTCTCCCCACAGCAGGTTTGAGAATCTCAGAGACTGGGGTCTCCCCACAGCAGGTTTGAGAATCTCAGAGACTGCGGTCTCCCCACAGCAGGTTTGAGAATCTCAGAGACTGCGGTCTCCCCACAGCAGGTTTGAGAATCTCAGAGACTGCAGTCTCCCCACAGCAGGTTTGAGAATCTCAGAGACTGGGGTCTCCCCACAGCAGGTTTGAGAATCTCAGAGGCTGCGGTCTCCTCACAGCAGGTTTGAGAATCTCAGAGACTGGGGTCTCCCCACAGCAGGTTTGAGAATCTCAGAGGCTGCAGTCTCCCCACAGCAGGTTTGAGAATCTCAGAGGCTGCGGTCTCCCCACAGCACGTTTGAGAATCTCAGAGGCTGCGGTCTCCCCACAGCAGGTTTGAGAATCTCAGAGACTGGGGTCTCCCCATGGCAAGTTTGAGAATCTCAGAGACTGGGGTCTCCCCACAGCAGGTTTGAGAATCTCAGAGGCTGCGGTCTCCCCACAGCAGGTTTGAGAATCTCAGAGGCTGCGGTCTCCCCACAGCAGGTTTGAGAATCTCAGAGGCTGCGGTCTCCCCACAGCAGGTTTGAGAATCTCAGAGGCTGCGGTCTCCTCACAGCAGGTTTGAGAATCTCAGAGACTGGGGTCTCCCCATAGCAGGTTTGAGAATCTCAGAGGCTGCGGTCTCCCCACAGCAGGTTTGAGAATCTCAGAGGCTGCGGTCTCCCCACAGCAGGTTTGAGAATCTCAGAGGCTGCGGTCTCCTCACAGCAGGTTTGAGAATCTCAGAGACTGGGGTCTCCCCATAGCAGGTTTGAGAATCTCAGAGACTGGGGTCTCCCCACAGCAGGTTTGAGAATCTCAGAGACTGGGGTCTCCTCACAGCGGGTTTGAGAATCTCAGAGACTGCAGTCTCCTCACAGCAGGTTTGAGAATCTCAGAGACTGGGGTCTCCCCATAGCAGGTTTGAGAATCTCAGAGACTGGGGTCTCCCCACAGCAGGTTTGAGAATCTCAGAGACTGGGGTCTCCTCACAGCGGGTTTGAGAATCTCAGAGACTGCAGTCTCCTCACAGTAGGTTTGAGAATCTCAGAGACTGGGGTCTCCCCATAGCAGGTTTGAGAATCTCAGAGACTGGGGTCTCCCCACAGCAGGTTTGAGAATCTCAGAGACTGGGGTCTCCTCACAGCAGGTTTGAGAATCTCAGAGACTGGGGTCTCCTCACAGCAGGTTTGAGAATCTCTGCTGCCAAGTCTGGAGCAGAGGCGCGCCCTCATTTTTGGCCTGGCCCTGTGGCTCCAGCTCCTGCTCCATGGGATGATGTGCCAGTCTGTGAACAGGCATGGTCTGCTGACCCTGGGAACGTTGTCTTCTTGGGTGTCCTTGGTGCAGAGGTCAGAGAGAAGGGGATGGATTATAAGACTGCTGGGATTTTTGGTGAGAAGACAGCTCAGTGCTGCTGGAAAAGCTCCCTCTGATGCATGCTCCTAGGTTTGGTGACCACCTGTGTCCTGCTCAGGCAAGCCAGGCAGAGACTTGCTCATTAGTGGCCTTGCGTGACCTGGAGACACTTTTGTGAGTAGCGGGCTTGTGTGTTTTATACCAGAGTGGATGTGGGGCCCAGGTGTGGGCCAAGCAGGGCAGCGCTTGCTCTGCAGAAGCAGGTTTGTAACATTGTTGAGCGGGTATGTTCTATGCAAGAGGGACTTTTTATTTAAAAAGGTCATGAGATAGTGTTATTTATTTATTTATTTATTTTTTGCCTAGAATAAAAACGCAAATTCATAATTTTTGAGGGGTGGGGGTGGGAAAGGGGAGGAGAGAGAAATAGAATGTGAAATGATTGAGCATTCACAAGTGACAGACGCTTCACCTCAAGGGCATTTAGAAAAGGCCTGCATAGATCAGGTGCTCTTCCTTCACGCCAGTGGCATTTAGAAAAGGCCTGCATAGATTGTTCCACATGAGACTTCACTGAAATCTTATAGGGTTTGTGAAACATTCTACCCGGTGTCTGCAGACCTAAATCAGTACTTTCCAAGTTAGATGGAAAGAAGATGGAGTAAAATGAAGCTTTTTGAATCTTAGTAGGCTCCAGATATGGTTTCCTTTTTTAAATATTTGTTCTCAACCCTGGAACTTTGCCTTCAGGGCCGTGCAGCCCACCCAGCCATTGGTGACATCCGTGCCCAGCAGCATGGACAGTGCCTCTGGGCTGTGCCAGGCCATGCTGGGCACTGGTCATGTCGGGACGGCGCTGGCTGTCTGGCAGGAACAGTGAGGAAGCTGCGCGGACGCTGTACCTCAAGTGGCTGTGGGCCCTAGGAGGACAGACCTGGGGCTGCTTGGGACAGGTCCCCGGAGGAGGTGATGATGGAGTCTTGAAGACAGGAGGCCGGCCCGATGTGTGCCAGGCCTGAGCTGCTGTATGCAGCTCTGTGGATCGACATTGTGGGGAGGTGACAGAAGATCCCTGAACTTACAGGAAAAGCAGAATCCTCTCTGAGGCTTGAGGTCCAGCACCTGAATTGCTCTCACTTGGTGTGGCTGAGAAGAAAGAGTCTCTTAGAAAATAGTATTTATCTAGCATTTCAACTATGGGTTTTTTTTGTCTATAGGATGGCTCTGTTGTGACTAATTGCAAAATACTTTTTTTTTTTTAACCTGGAGTTGCAATCTATGTTAAATTGTTTGGAATAAACAGGGGGCTCGTAGCTGGCTCCTGGATTGGACCTGGAGTGGGGAACCCTGTGCCTGCAAACAGGCTGGCCAGCTCGGCCTCCGTGCACCTGCCTGCCCCAGCTTGGGTCTGGCATGCACCCTGGAGGTACACTGGGCTCCATTCCCAGAACAGACGAAGAACCTCCTCTGCTCTTCTCCCCAGTCCAGCCCGGCCCAGTGTCCTTCCCACTCAAGCTGCAGCTGTCCCCTGTGCCCCTGGTGTAACCAGGCTCTTAGCCACCTGCTTGTTTGGGCCAGACCTGTTCCCTAAGGTTGGAGCCCATCCTGTCCTGCTGGCTCAGCCAGGGGCCCTGCTCCCAGTGCACAGAAGAGCCTGTGGGGCTCCGCTGCCCTCCAACTCCAGCTTCCTGGGTCCATCAGCTGGCCTGGCTCCTGGGAAAGTGTGACCTGGCTGGCCTCCCCCCGCCATTGTGGAAGGAGGAAATCAATTCCAGCATCTGAAATGAAGGGGAATTATTACTTGCACAGTAGAGAGCTGTATCTCCAAGGCACGGTCTCTGAACACAGCGAAAAGCAGATATTGCCCAGCCTTTGAGGAAGCGTGGAGTCCAGAACCAGCAAAGGTTCAGAAGCAAGGGGGGCGTGATCCCTGCAGGGCGCTCTGGTAAGGGCAAGGTCCCACCTTTCAGAAGCTTCTGAAGTGTCGTCGCTGACCCATTGGGACGGGGCTTAAGTCACCTTTGTGTTTTACTTGTTCACAGCTTCTAAGGCCAAAGAACCGTCAGGTGTGTCCTTTCTTGAATTTGGAGGACAGGATTTTTATTCTCACCATGCATGGTGGGACCAGCCTCCCCAGGGCCAGTCCAGCAGCGAGGCTGGTGCCTCTGCCCCACAGCACGGTGTCCTTGTCGACGTCCCTCCCAGGCTGGCTGTGAGGAGCAGAAGTTTACTGCGGGTGCTGGGCTTTCGGGTGTCCCCTGTAGGATTCCTCCTGCCCCATTTTCTAGTTCCAGGGCCTTGCACGTGTTACATCTTCACTGCTAATGCAGAGTCTCCATAACACCGTGCGATGAGGTGACGGTGTGGCTGTGTGGCATAAATCAGGAGCCAGGATGCAGCATCCCAGACCTCACCGGGCAGTAGAGACCCCAAAGGCAGGCGAGTGGACCTCTCCCGATGAGGAAGAAGGGGACACAGCTCAGGGACAAGGGGCCCGGGATCCAGGCAGCCATGGACGAGCGGACAGGAGCCAGACTGGGCATGAGAGGTCAGAGCATGGCCAGGCAGGACAGGAGAGGGCCTGGCGTGGAGATGGGGCTGGCTGCCTTGGTGGAATCATATTCGGGGTCTGGTATGCACTCAGCTGTTTCTTATGCAGGAACGGTGGCACCATGCTTCCTTGTGGGGGTCACAGCCACAAGCTCTCACCAAGGAAACACTTGCACCTCAGGTGGGACATGTGGCCGTCAACTGAGTGGGCTTCACGAGTAGACCTCACGGCCTCACACGAAGGCAGCAAAGCAGTGGCCACTGCCCTTGAGTTCTGCACCCTCCTCCAGAAGGCCCAGGAGCATCTGTTGGGGCGGGGCGGGGGGCCTGCCCCTCACCGGGTGTCCCCTGGACCTGTTGCCAGGAATACGGTCCATGCCTCCCCTCCTGGTGGTCTCATCTCGGGCTGGGAGGAGGGGAGGCCCCTACACCAGGAGCCTCCAGCTCCTCTTTGGCAAGGCTGGCTGCCCCAGTTCTGTGACCCCAGGGTGAGATTCCCACTAACCTCATTGCGGGCTGCCTGCTGTCCGTGCCAGGGCGGGTTCTGTTCCCGCCGCTGTGTCAGCACCTGGCCTGGACAATGTTGGGCTTCAAGAAAAAGCAGACACCGAGAGGCTGGGGACCCAGCCAGGTGTCCTGATCCTGTCATCGGGGCTGGGCTGGGTAGGTGTGAGGCTGCCAGGTGGTGGAGTGGGGGTGTTCCCTCCCTGCCCCCCCAGGGTGAGGACTGCATGCTTACCCAGGTGGGCATGGGGTCTGGAGCAGGTCTTGGCTGTCTGGGAGGAGTCAGAAAACCTGCAGCTGAGGGTCCCACGTGTCGTGTGTAATTAGGGCCTTCTGCCCCAATTGCCTCCAGGTGGGTGGATGCTGCTCAGCCCCCGCAGGGCATGTGGTCTGTCCTGGGCTGGCTGGGCTCCCAGTGCAAGCTGGGTTTTGTGTTTTCTTAGCATTAACGCAGAAGAGATTTTCCCGCAGGCTGGCTAACCCTAACCCTAACCCTGGCCTTTTACATTCGGGTGTGGCTGGAGTTCAGCTCCAGGTCTCAGGCGAGTGCTGGGGCAGGCTGCAGTCTAGGCAGGCCCGGCCTGGCACGGCCCTCGCTCTGGCTGGTAAGATTTCTCCCCACAAGGTCTCTACCTCGGCCTCTGCACCAAACTCCCCTGGGCTCGTGTGCTCAGCTCCTTGCGGCTGTTCTGCCACGTGGGGCTACACCTAGGGACCCTGTCACCCCCAGGGGGTATCCTGAGCTGGCCACAGAGGGTGGAGCCGCTTGTGTGCACACAGGTGTGTGTGGGGAGTGGGGAGGAGGCTGCATGTGGCCACGGGTGTAGCCCAGAAGCAATCTGCCCCCAGGGGTGTGGCCAGACAGCAGCTGAGGCCTCCCTCAGTCTTCCTCCCGGGCAGACCACGGTGGGCTTCCCTGAGCCCAAGTCCCCTGCAGTCCCTGCAGTGAGGTGTCGCCTTCCCTAGTGGTGCTGGGTCTGCATGCCCGCAAGGATTCCTGCGTCTTTGTCAGAGATGGGGGTGGGGCAGCAGGGCCCCTCTTTCCTGCCAGGCAGGGTGTGCCGTGAGTGATCTGGGCGAAAGCGGGCCACACAGAGGACCCCGGCAGCCTGAGACCATGGCATCGCCACCAGACACCCCGTGGCTCACCTGGGACAGCGTCTGGAGCCCAGCCTGGCCTGTGCCGGCTTTAAAGGAAGGGCAGATTCAGGAGAGCAGGAAGGAAACGGGAGGGGCTGGATGAGCTGGTTGCTGGGTCGAGCCCACGTTGCCCCCTCCACTGCTGCCTCTGAGAAGGATTAACGCGGCCTTGAGAACATCTCCAGCTCACGCTGGCCTCAGTCCCAGGGAAGCCGAGATGTCTGAAGAAAGGGAGCTGGTGGCTGGGTTCTCTGGGCTCTTGGCTCCACACTTCACCTGAGTTCTCTTTGTTTCTCCAGAAGCTGATGGAACTGCCGCCATTTCCCAAAGTAAAGGAGGTGAGCTCTGGGGTGGGTGAGGTTTCATCGGTAGCCCGGCCTCCGTGGATCGCTGCATGAGCCGGGAAGGTAAGCCGAGCGGTAGGACGTCCGACGGTGAGTGAAGATGCTGGTTCTGTGAAGGGAACGGTGGGCCCCTTTAATCTCAGTGTCCGAGTCCTGCCTGCCAGTGACAATGGGACGTTTGACAAGGTCTCTTAGACTTTATGGAAGCATCATGTGATCAGAATTCTGTGTGAGGGGACGGGCATCCCTGGCTTAAGAATATTTTATTGTTGATGCAAATGAAAGAACAAAGAGAGGCGTTAGAATTACAACATTTTCTAGAAAACGGTACCCGATTCTGCCAGCACTTACTGAGCACTGGGCGGCCTCTAAGCATGGGCGATACCGCAGGGACTGAAGCCTGAGGGCACACACGGACAGAGTCTGTGTGTGTGGCGTCTGCACAGCGTGCTGTGGAGCACAGGAGGAGGATGGGGGGCTGGCAAAGCGTTCCCTGGGGCGATGCTCAGGTGAGCAGCTGGTGCCTCCATTGAAGGGGTGATTCACTTTTTTCCCCTTGCTTGCCAGAAGTCGAGTAATAATAATTATATTTTCTAAACTTCTGAAAAGTTGCAGACACATCATAAACATCCTTAGATACACAAGGATTATTGGGAAAAACATCATTAGTTATTTAATGCTTATTGGTTAATACGTGAAGACAAAGACCTAAAGAAGGCAGATGAGGCGGGGATGAGGCTGGGCGCGGTGGCTCACGCCTGTAATCCCAGCACTTTGGGAGGCCGAGATGGGTGGATCACGAAGTCAGCAGATCGAGACCATCTTGGCCAACATGGTGAAACCCTGTCTCTACTAAAAATACAAAAATTAGCCAGATGTGGTGGCACGTGCCTGTGATCCCAGCTACTCAGGAGGCTGAGGCAGGAGAATTGCTTGAACCTGGGAGGCGGAGGTTGCAGTGAGCCAAGATTGTGCCATTGCACTCCAGCCTGCGCAACAGAGCGAGATTCTGTCTCAAATTAAAAAAAAAAAAAAAAAGAAGATGGCAGATGACTCCCACTCCTAGCTGCAGTACGTTCTGGAAGTGAGAATACATTTAAGTCTCATCCTCTTGCCACATGTGCCAGCTGTTGGTTCACCTCTGCCACAGACAGAGACAACAGTCACCAAGAATCATGAAAACTACCAGGGCCACAGGAAGCTGGTGGCAGGCACCTTCTGCAGTTCCGGAATCAGCAGCCCCTCCTGTGGCTCCGGCGGGCCGTTGCTGTGGCTGTGGCCTTGCTGTCTGCCTCTGGTTATGCTCCCCCAGTATCTGCTGCAAACAAAACCCAGCCCCATCTCCCCATGCAAATGGGCCCAGACACACAAAGCAGCCTGTGGCTTGGGAAGTGCTGACAGGAGCATGGCTTCTGGGCTGTCACTCTGGTCTTGTCCTCGCCTTTCTTTCTAACCCTCTGGATAACCAAGTGGAAAATGGAAATGAGGGAGGTGTTCCTTGGCTGTCGCCGTGGGTATGTGTTTGTCTGTGTTTGACAGTGACATCCCTAGGGAAGAATTCTCATGTACTCATGAAAAGGGGGTCGCAGGAGGTGCTTCACTGTCTAAAATCCTTTCCAGTTGTTGCTAAGTGTTTACAAATAAAAGTGACCAGCAGTAGGAAAAGGGCATACTGTGGTTTTCCCAAAGAGTGCCATAATTCTTCTTGCATTGCTGATCCAAATTGTAATTCAGAAATCCAGCTAGAGCTGGGAGCATGGCATAAAATAACACTATTTTGAATTTTAATTATATCTTTTATCTAATAATTCAAACACATTAGTATTCTCAATTCATTTTTGTCACATGCACTGAGATAAATATCATCATCACCACCATCATCATCACTATCATCACCATCACTATCACCATCAGCATCACCATCACCACCACCACCATCACCCTCATCCCCATCATCACCATCACCATTACCATCAGCACCATCAGCACCATCACCACCATCATCATCATCATCACCATCACCATATCACTATCACCATCATCATCATAACCAACATCATCACCATCATCACCACCACCATGATTACCATCATCATCACTATCACTATCACCATCACTGACACCAACACCACCATCACCACCATCTCCATCATCACCATCACCATCATCATCACCACTACCAACATCATCATGATCACTATCACCACTGTTAAGTTAGCCTAAAGTTGCCTCTTTTCTTATTTGAAAAGTTTCTCTCTACATAGTGCACTGTAACCTAACTGGATCTGTAAACAGACTGTAACCTACTCTTGTGCCAATCACCAAGTTTTGGCCAATCAAAGATGGCCCACTGTTCAAACTGTGTTCAAATAAGGGAAATGCAGAGCTGTAACCAATCTGGCAGTTTCGGTACCTCACCCCTGCATTCTATGCCTCATTTTCCTTTTTCTGTCCATAAACCATCTTGACCACGTGGCTATGCTGGAGTCTTTCTGAAGGTTCTGAGCTGCCTGGTTCATGAAGTGTTCTTTGCTGAATTAAACTCTGTTCAATTTAATTTGTCTAAGGTTTTCCTTTTACCACCACCACCATCAAAAGATCTCTGTGAAGATCCTGAGCGCACAATGCCCTCTATCATGAAAAACACAAAGAGAACTGCGGAGATGTGCCTGTTCACTCTGACTGGGTACTAGAGGATGATGACAAGACAACACATTTTTAGGGCACGAAATAAAAAGATTAGAAAAAGAGGGGTAACTTCAGGGAAATACACTTTTGTGTTTGAAGAGGAAAGAGCATGAATCTTGAGTGCACAATGCGAAGCTCTCAAAGCACACAGCCGAGCACCTGCGCGAGGAAGCCTGATGCCACCGGGAGCTGGTCCCTTCCCCGGAGTGTCACCGTGTGCCCCTGTCTCCCACCTGGAGCAGCCTGATTTCTGATGTTGCAGATCAGTTTTTTCTGATTTTGAACTTTCTGTAGACAGAATCGAACAATATGATCCGTGTGCCTCTGGTCTCTTCCTCGCTGTTTCCTATGTGTGATTTACACTTGTTGCTGCCTGCAAATGTGAATTCTCACTGTTGCCTGTGTGTGATTTATGCATGTTCCCACCAGCAGGTGTGGATTCTCGCTGTTTCCTGTGTGTGATTTACGCGTGTTCCTGCCTGCAGGTGTAGGCGTGGATTCTCACTGTTTCGTCTGTATGATTTGCGTGTGTTCCCACCTGCAGGTGTGGATTCTCACTGTTTCCTGTGTGTGATTTGTGTGTGTTCCTGCCTGCAAGTATAGGCATGGATTCTTGCTGCTTCCTGTTGTGTGATTTCCACGTGTTCCTGCCTGCAGGTGTGGATTCTTCCTGTTTCCTGGGTGTGATTTCTGCGTGTTCCCGCCAACAGGTGTGGATTCTCACTGTTTCCTGTGTGTGATTTCCGCATGTTCCCACCTGCAGGTGTGGATGCTCACTGTTTCCTGTGTGTGATTTCCACGTGTTCCTGCCTGCAGGTGTACGTGTGGATTCTCGCTGTTTCCTGTGTGTGATTTGTGCGTGTTCCCGCCTGCAGGTGTGGATTCTCACTGTTTCCTGGGTGAGATTTGTGCGTGTTCCTGCCTGCAGGTGTGGATTCTGTTTCCTGGGTATGATTTCCATGTGTTCCCGCTAGCAGGTGTGGATTCTTGCTGTTTCCTGTGTGTGATTTGTGCGTGTTCCTGCCTGTGGGTGTAGGTGTGGATTCTCACTGTGGAGGATACAGAAGGCATCCCTCTACTATTGATGGGCATCCATGTGGCTTCCAGCAGGTTTTGGCTGTGAGGAGGGCAGCACTCCCAGGAAAATTCCTGTGAGCATGGTTTCTAGGTGTGGAGCTGCTGGACCGCAGGGTGTCCATTTACTAAAGGTTCAGTTGTAGTGGAGACTAGAAAGGAGCTCCAAAGCAATGGCAGTGACCCACAGTCCCATGAGTGATGAGAGCTCCAGCTTCTCTAAGTCCTTGCCAGCAATGGGTGCATGAGCAGCTTTTACAGAATATGACAGCAGCAGCCCTGACAGCATGGACAATCGTGGAACAGGAAAAGGAGTTCTTCGTACCCATCCTAGCAGAGCCTTTGGACCATGAGCATAATAAAGGACAAACTCCTTAAAGACAGAAGCGTCATCTGGCCCTTTTCTGAGTTCCCAGCTCTTCGCACAGTGCCTTTCAAGCTAGACCATCAACAAGTACTTGTTGGTGTCTTACTCAGGGGTCCATGGGAGTGTGGAGAGCAGTCCCTAATCAATCCGTGTTACTGGGTGAGGTCTTTGCTACAGGAGTTGTGGAGCTGGGCGTGGAGGTCTGGGAGGAAAGCTGGGGACAGACACGGTGCTTCCAGCCAGGATGAGAATCCAAGGTGTCCCCAGCTCTCAGGTGAAGCAGGAGCTCAAGGGAAGCCTGAGGGAGGCTGTGCTCTGTGTGGCTGTGGCCTCCGCAGTTTTCAGCCAAAGCTCTGTTGGTGAGCCTAGGGCACCGCTGGGAAGAGGAGCTGGAGGCTGCGAGGGACAGTGAGGCCCACGGGAACCTGTGGGGTGCTCTGCCCTGCCCTGCTGGAGGGTCTCGACTGCCGCCCCACGTCTGCCTGCAGATTCCATGCAAAATTACTCTTTCACCACCCTCCCAGCTGACCCAGTTGACCCAAAACAAGCCACCACGTCCACCCAGTGCTGACCTGTGCCCCACGCACCTCTTTGTGTGTGTTTGAAGAGGATAGCAAAACTGTGCTCCAACCAAACTTCCTGTCAATCAACCATAAACACGCTGCCTCTCCCGGTGCCAGCGCAGTGGCCCAGGTGTCCATGTTTAGTGGGCGTCAATGTCCCTCCCAGCGGGGCACACTCCTCTCCAGAGCCTGCAACATTGGTACTGGGACATACGCGTGATCACTTCGGAGGCCTCTTACGTTAGAGAATTAGGTGAGTGGGGTGGGGACGAAGACCATCGGTAAACACCTCGCAAATGTATTCCTGTCAAAGTGCAGAGGAAGTGCCTACAGCTGCACCATCCCTCCATGGGCTGGCGTTCTAACTTCTCCACGCTTTCCTCCAAGAGCCAGAGCGAACATGTGTGTTCAGTTAATCTTTCATGTCTTTCAACTTTAACACCATCTAGATTTCTGACATTCTGGAAAAATCTCTCTGCTTGTTTTTAAAGCTCATTTACTCACAGTGCTGTTATATTCATTCTAAAATTCAAAGCATAATTTGAATTTTTAAGTTTCAACAAATGTATCCTTAATTTCCTGTATTTCTAATTGGTTCTTACTCATAACTTTCCATTCCTGAGTCGCAGATACTGCATGTTCCTTTTGGCTCTCTGAGGCTATTGCTTACACTTTAAATGTTCTGTTTCGGTGGTGCTATTAGCTCAGTTTTCTCAAGTGCAAATTCTTTGGTAATCTTGTCTTCATGGCGTTGATGCTTCAGACGTCTGACTATATTTGACTGTGGGGTCGTCTTTGAGGTAGTTATTCCCCCGTACACAGCCTGCCAGAAAAGTCACCTTTTGGGGCTTGAGTTCTGGGTTATCCCAGGGAGAGTGGGAGATGAGTGGCCTCTGACCTCTGAACCTTGCTCTCTGGGCTGGCTCAGGCCTCCCCAGCACATCTCTGGCGCGGCCTCCTCTCCCTGGCCCAATTGCTGCTCTGCCTGGTCCTGACCCCTCTGCCAGCTTCCCAGCCTGGGTAAGGGGATCGGTAGCAGTTGGAAAGCCAGCCCCTTCTACTGGGACCTGGGGAACTCCCGTGTGCTCTCCAGGATGCACCTGCCTGCCTTCCTCCCTGGCGTGGAACTCCTGGAGTGGCTGTGTGCTCCCATGAGCCAGTCCAGGAGTGGGCGAATATTGGAACGGCAGCTGCATCTTTAATGGAACCTGTCCGGGTTTCCTGAGAGCTGCTGATTCTCAGAGAATTCCTGTTCTTTGTTTTTCCAGATGCCTCTCCATATGTTTACTATTTTTTCCTATCATTTCACAGTTTGATGTGCATATGGGGAAAGACTTCAGCATATGCTCAGCTTGCAATCTTAAGAGTGAATGCATTTCTATTCTTTCAAAATGTGATTAATAAGTTATATTCTATAAAGTGGAGCATGCCTTTTTAAATGGCTTTACTATTGTACAAATTCTGTTTATTTTGGAGGTATTGGTTCTTACAGCCATCAATAAAGACACCAATTATGTACTAACATATATAAGTCCCCGGAAGGAGACAAATTTATATTATGTTAGCAAATTGACTGTAAAATCCTCTTTTTCTGGAAAGATGATCTTCTTTTGGGAGGAAAACACAGATCTCCTAGAGAGAGTTTCCTCATAGCTGATATGTCTGAGGACGCCTGCCTAGATTTGCATTTCCTGACATTTTCCTGTAGTTGTGTGTCATGCATTTTAATCTAGTGACTCTAGCAGTTTGGTTGCTTAATGGATTTAGTAATAGGAGTTTTTTAAATAACACACAATCAGATGAAACACAATGCCAACATATCAACTGGTGCCAAGCACAAATATTTGTTTAGTGAACGAGCAAGACACATGTGGGAAGCGTGCGCTGCCTGATCCCAGGGTGCTGTTCAGACGCCGCCTCTCGCTCGGCCTCTAATCTAGGCTGTTCAGACGCCACCTCTCGCTCGGCTGCTAATCTAGGTTGGAAGATTGGTGTTCAAGGGAAGAAAGCCTCTGGTGCCTTTGTTCACTCGTTAAACAGACGGGCATCACGTGTCAGTTCCATGCCTGGCACCGTGCTGCGTGCTGGGGTCACCTTTGCCCCACCCCGCAAGCTTGGTTCCAAGGAGAGCAGCTGATGCAGGGTGGGGTTGGGTGCTGGATGGGGCTGGGGAGGACAGCTGGGTGGCCCTGTCCTGGGTCATGTGCTGGATGGGGCTGCAAGACTCTCCAGAACCCATTCAGGGCCTGGCCGGCTTCCGGGCTGCTTGGAGGAGGCGCTCATATTACAAACCTACAAGGATGGGGCGCGGGGGTGCCTGCCTCAGGCAGTGTGGACCCCACGCGAGTGTACCGGCCTAAGCAAACCTGCATGGGCCCAGCCAGGGAAGCCCCACGCCATCAGCTACTGAACACCAGCTCCAGCTCGCTGGGTTCCTGAGGGCACAGGATCCTAGCCGTGCCAGTCACCTTTACCAGGAAATGTGTCATTTTGCCTGTGGCAGCCCAAATGGGTCCTAGACGAAGGCACCCTGTCTTCTCGTTTGCAGACCTCTGCTGTGCACAGTCATCTGAATCTCCCTCCCCACACATGCACAGCAGGAAAACAAGAGGCTACATGATTTTAGACCTGGAAAGGACCCCACTCTGCAATCCTGCTACACTTGGGAGAGAAGAAACGAGACAGAAAACAGGCCCAGAGAGGCCTGGGCTGCCCTGCCCGTGGCCAACATGGCCCTGGCAGAGCCCGGCACCCTCCTGCCTACCCAGAATTCTTTCTCCTGCATCCAGTGAAGGGGCAGAGCCCCAGGAGCCTGTGCCTGCTGAGTAACGGTGGGAAGATTGTATTCATACACCTGCAAAGGCGACGCCCGCCAGCCTCAGGACGCGCCAGAGAGAAGTCCAGCCGTGTGTGTGACACAGAGGGCTGTGTGGCTCAGGCCTGGATGCCCCGGTCGCCTCTGGTCAGGCACTCACTCTTCTTTGAGCACAGACAGACCTGGGATGCGGTGTTGAACAAGTCGACAGTCAACGAAAGCCACGGCTTTGCGAAGTACATTCCAACTTATTAGGTGCTAGTAAGAAACAAACAGCAGCTTCTGGGCGGGGGCCCACTTCCTGGGTGCTGGGGTCACTTGGCCCCACCCGGCCAGCTCAGGGTCAGGGGTCCCGTGTGAGGTGGCAATGCGTCCAGTGAGAGAACTCGAAGAAAGGAGCTGGCCCCACAGCGCCAGGGAGGAGCAGATGGCAGCAGCCGCCGTGCAAAGGCCCCAGGCCAGAGCTCCAGCTGAGGCCTGAGCCCCGAGCCCCAGAGGCTGCCTCAGTGCATCCATGAGCCAAGGGCATGGGTAGTGGGCCTGGGGGCGCGGGTGGGTCTCAGCACCTTGGGGGCAGCTGCAGCTCTGGATTTTGTTCTAGAAGTAGCGACAAACAGCAGCGCAGATCTCACAAGGAGAGTGGCGTGATCTGTGGTGCGCCTGAAAGGTCGCTCTCGTTTTCTGTCCCTAGGACTCCCTGGGGCTGCCTCCCCCTCCAGCGTCTCTCTGGGGAGGCACAGCAGCCATAAGGTCCAGGGGTGTGGGTGCTGCAGGAAACCTTCAAGAGGACCATGTCCGTGGCCTAGAGAGGGTGGTGGCTGTGGGACTCAGAGCTGAAACCGGCCGCCTGGGCTCTGTCCAAGAGGCAGGCAGCGAGGAGGGCCCCGTTCCCCCTGGATGCCTCCCGACCGGCTGCCCCTCCCCCCGCCGACTGCCCCTCCCCCCGCCGACTGCCCCTCCCCCGCTGCCGGCTGCCCCTCCCCCGCCGACTGCCCCTCCCCCCACAGGCCGCCCCTCCCCCGCCGACTGCCCCTCCCCCGCTGCCGGCTGCCCCTCTGCCATCTGAGGCGGAATTGCGCTCCTTGCTTTTCCTACGTCGCCCATCTTGCACGGCGCTCTCAGATGTTTTCATCTTCAACGTGCTCACCACCCAGCGTCGGGCGAGGCTCCTTCGCCTTGAGAGGTGAAACCCGCACCCTCTCATGTGAATACGTGGCTGTCGGGTGGGCCACAGTGGCCCTCTGAACTCTGGGGTCCCGGCCGTCTGGCCCCACTCCAGCTGTCGAGGGCGGGGACCGACGCTCCGCACGCGGGAATCGCGGTGCGTGGAAACCTAACGCCGCGTTTGTGCCCCGTCGTGCGCAGCCCCCTCTCACTTCCTTCACCTTAAGCCCTGTGATTAAGTCCTTGTAGCGCCTTTGATCAGCAGTAATAGCTGTTTACAGCCGGCCAGGCTGGGCGGCTGTGCTGAGTGGGCGGCCCCGCCTCCGGAGCCAGCTGCCCCGCTGCGTGCCCGGGAACAGGGAGACATGGTTTTATTAGAACCGACACGTTTTCCTCATTTCTCCATTTTCCTTCCCCCGCGCCCTCCTTCCCGGCCCGCTCCTCTTCCCAACTCCACACGTTTGGGGGGCTCAGGGCGGAAGGAGGCCTCGGGCAGGAGTGTCCGGCCACTCTGGGCAGCATCAGCAGCCTCCAGCGCCCCCAAGAAACATGCTGGGGACGCACCAGGGTCGAGCCCTGCCGGGGGCGGACACAGAACTCATGGGCAGCCCCGCCTGGAAGCCATGGCCTCCCTGCCCTCTGTGGGTCCCCCCGGCTCCCAGAGTCTCCGTCCCTGGCCGCTGTGCGCCGCCCCCACCCCTCCCGTCCTTCCCAGGCGCCCCCGCCCTTCCAGGGCCCCCCTGAGTCCGGGACGGGGCTGAGCTGGGGAGGAGCCCTGCGGAGGGGGCAGGCCTCAGGCCGCGAGGCTCAGGCCCCGCAGGGCCCACGCCGGGCAGGGCAGCGGTTTTCTTTGAAATTGGAAGGTTGCCCCGTTGTCCTGCTGAGTCCTGTCCAGGGGGCTCCTTTCGACCTTGAGAAGCGAGCAGCAGCTGCCGACACTTACGAGTGAGGCAAGCCGCGGCGGGAGCAGGACCCCTTCCATTTTCCTGCCGTCTCGTTTTAAATTTGGTTTCAGAAAAGGGTCGTTAGGGGCTGTTTGTGTAGTGGGATGGCTTCGTCTGTGGGAACTCCTGAGAAGGGCCTCGTTCACAAGGAGCTGCCCGCCCCTCTGAGCCACAGCCCGGTGCTGCTTCAGAGCTCAGGGGGGCTGCGTTCTCCCTCCAGGGGCCGAGCCCAGAATCCTCTCCGCTCCCAAGCCGGCTGGGGGGCTCTGTAGCCGCAGAGTGAGGGAGTGGGAAGAGTCCCCCGAAGTTCTCCTTGGGAGGCCCCCGGCCCTGTGGCGACAGGACGCTGTTTCAGCAGGGCAGGGGCGGGGGCGGGGGCGGGGGCTGCCCGGGGCGCAGACCTCGGCTGCAGGGAGAGCTCTGGACCTCCGGGGGCACCAGGAGGAGCCACGTTCCTGCCAAATGGGGTCCCTCGGGGTCAGCCCCCCCAGCCTGCGGGGCTCCGTGGGCCTCCAGCACTGCACACGTGTCACTGGGGTGCGCGACGGGCCCTTCCCTGAGCCCCTTTCCATGGAGCCCAGGCCCCAACGGCGGCAGCTGCCCCTGCCTGACATCCGGACCCAGCCTCACCTCTCCTTTCACAGCGAGCCCTGCTGGCACTGGGGGCCTGCATTCCAGTTTTCCTCCCCAGCTGTGGGATGCTGTTGGCGCCTTGGTGCCAGCCGCTGAGGTGAGCAGGTGGGTGAGGGGCTCCGTGAAGCTCTGGCATCTGGTGTCCGGCCCAGGACTTGGGGGTGCTGGCCTCGCCGCCTGGCCGGGTCATACATAAGGGGTCGGTCAGCTCTGCCCCAGGCCAGGATGCTGCTGGGCCCACAGCCGCCCCAGGACCCCCTCAGCCCAGGTGCCCTCCCTCAGTGCTCAGTTCCGGGGATGACTGTGTCCCCCACCCCGTCACGCTGCTCAGCGAGCACCCTGTAATCCCATATGGTAACTCATGAATCTACCCACTAAGAAACCACAACATGTGATTCCTCGAGGGAGGCTGGGGGGTAGTCGCGGAGTCGTGGCTGGGCCCAGCCGCGGACTCAGGTCTGTGATGGGCTAACCTGTGCCCCCACATCCGCAGGTGGGCGGCCTGACCCTAGACTCAGAGCGTGACTTCTTTGGAGACAGGGTCATTGAAGGTGTGTGTGACGATGAGGCCACGGGGTCACCCCTGACCAGTGTGACCAGTGTCCTTATAAAAGGGGCGTGGACCCAGGCGGGCCTAGAGGGATGGTGGCACAGAGGCAGGAGAAAATGCCCACCAAAGCCCAGGAGGAGGCCTGGGACAGGCCCTTCCCGGCGCCTTCAGAGGGAGCCTGGCCCTGCCAGATGCCTGGTCTCACGTCGGCCTCCAGGACTGCGAGACCTTCCTGCTGTGTGGGTGCCCAGTGCCAGCACTTGCTAAGGGTCCCCAGCCCCAGGAAAGCAGTGCCGTCCCCTGAGCCAAGTGGACCTCTCTCTGCTTCTGTGGCTTCTCTATATTTAGTTATCATGTTTCAAAGGCTTATCAAATCCCTGGGCATAAAACGTTTTACGAATCTGTCTAAATAACGTTCCAAGGTGTCTCATACTCGACGGAATCTTGGACGGTGCTGCCCCTTGCAGGTGGCTGGGACTGCCTGGGTACAGCCTCTCCTTGGTTTTCAGCTTGGCTCTGCCTTCACCCCACATGGGGTTCCGTCTGGCCCTAGCGGGGAGGGTGCTTGGCTCGGGCAGTGGGCTGGGCGGCCCCTGGCCCAGGACGGCTCTGGAGAATAAGGAGGCCACCACAGGCCGGTAGGCCTGAGACCTCTGCCCCTTCTGAGGCCGCGGGGTTGAGCAGCTGAGCAGCTGACTCTCCCATGGTCAGTGAGGGCTCAGCATTTTCTCTTCTGGTTGAAATAGAAACTGGGAAGTTGGAGGCCAAGATTGAGGGGCAGGCGGAGGTGGTTCTCCTGCCAAGCTTCCTAAACGGCAGAAGCAGCAGAAGCAGCTAGGGTTAGTGTTGGCTTCTCTCTCTCTCTCTCTCTCTCTCTCTCTCTCTCTCTCTGTGTCTCTCTGTCTCTCTCTGTCTCTCTCTCTCTGTGTCTCTCTCTCTCTGTCTCTGTCTCTCTGTCTCTCGGTCTCTCTGTCTCTGTCTCTCTGTCTCTGTCTCTCTCTCTCTGTCTCTCTCTCTCTCTCTCTCATTTATTTCTAGAGCATTTACAAATTAATTTTCCTGGTCTAAACCGGGAGGGGCTGCCATGATAAAATGAAGCTGTTTGGTGTTCCATGTCGATCTCCCTGAGACAATGCACTCCTGAGCCTGCTGGGCCCTGCCTCACAGCTGAGTCCTGGTCAGGGCCCTGCCCCTTCTTCCTCTCCCTTGGCCCTGGTTCCACAGAGACCTATTTCTCCAGGGCATCCAGGAAGCACCTACGGTGATGGGGGATTGCATTTCAGCAGCAATCCATGTGTGAACATTAAAACGATCTCCTTAAATATTCATGGTGACCATGACCTCATCTGGCTGCCTCGGGCCAGGGCTGGGTGCAGGTCAGGGAAGGGGGCTCAGGCCCTGAGACCCCAGCCTGGTCCCCAGCAATACAGCTCCCCTCTGTCCTCTCCTCTCTGAGTCAACCCCTCCTGAGAGCTCCGATGTCTCCTCTCTGGGGTGGCAGAGGTGGGGGCTGCTTTCCAAGCAAAGAAATGCTCTGGGGCCACGTGGGAATAAATATTTCATGGGAGAGCAGACCTAGCCAGTAAAAAATTAAGCAGCTTTACATCATCAGAGAGAGAAAGAAAGGGTTGCCTCATGTTATGAGTCTGCTGGTGTCCTTAGGACAGAGACAGGGAGACTGAGGTTTTGGGGTAAATTATTTAGGGTGTTGTAGGCTGGTCTAGGAATGTTAAGCTGAAATGAGACCGGCCCTGGAAGACGACAGGGGGAGCTGGGGTAAGAAGTGCTGCCTTATGGAAGGCGTGGCGTGCAGAGACGCTGGCCACGAGGAACCCTTTCCCCGTGCACCTGCGCAGTAGCGCCTGCCTCGCGGGAGGCCCCACAGATGTTGTTGAATAAAGGGGCAGTGAGTCAGTGAGGCCATTTCAGCCATTTTTCTGTTGCCGCCTCACTCTGGATTTATGAAAGTACTTGCTAATCGACGATCGTCTTCGCCCGGCATGCTGCAAATTCACGTTTATATGCCCCCTGCCTCCCCCAAATCAGCTACGGCAGAGTCAGGGGCAGGGACGGGTGGGCATGGCCGGGCAGCTGCTCGGCTGCGTCACGCCGGGGGTGGCTGGAGCTGATTCGGAAGCAGTGAAATGTGGGCCCGCGTGGCTTCCCTGGAAAGAAAACAGGTCCTTGCCTAGAAATTCAGTGGGTGACCTAAGATGATTGAGGGCTGTGTCCATGTAAATTTTTCAGTAAGGTGAGGGGCCAGTTTGTCAGTAAACTCCCTGGTGCTGTAATTAGGGGGCTATGTTCAGGAACTGGCTTCCTAATGTGCATTGAGGGCAGTGCTGACGCAGCCCATGTACATGCTAAATACACGTGGGAGTGTTTGTGAAGAGACAGGCCTGCACAACACAGGGGACCTGACACTGAGCATCCATGTGGCCCTTTCTGGTACCCAGAACTGTGCACCCCCCTGTGCAGCATCTCACAGGACTAAACAGACAGTAACACAACCCCGAACAGACAGTAAAAACCCGGAACAGAGAGGAACAACCCTGAACAGACAGTAACAACCCGGAACAGAGAGGAAGAACCCCAAACAGGCAGTAACAACCCCCAACAGGCAGTAACAACCCCGAACAGAGAGTAACAACCCTGAACAGAGAGGAACAACCCCGAACTGAGAGGAACAACCCTGAACAGACACTAACAACCCAGAACCAGGCAGTTACAAGCCTGAACAGACAGTAACAACCGGGAACAGACAGTAACAACCCTGAACAGACAGTAAAAACCCGGAACAGAGAGGAAGAACCCCAAACAGGCAGTAACAACCCCCAACAGGCAGTAACAACCCCGAACAGAGAGGAACAATCCCAAACAGGCAGTAACAACCCCGAACAGAGAGGAACAACCCCGAACTGAGAGGAACAACCCCAAACAGGCAGGAACAACCCTGAACAGACACTAACAACCCAGAACCAGGCAGTTACAAGCCTGAACAGACAGTAACAACCGGGAACAGACAGTAACAACCCTGAACAGACAGTAAAAACCCGGAACAGAGAGGAAGAACCCCAAACAGGCAGTAACAACCCCCAACAGGCAGTAACAACCCCAAACAGAGAGGAACAATCCCAAACAGGCAGTAACAACCCCGAACAGAGAGGAAGAATCCCAAACAGGCAGTAACAACCCTGAACAGACAGTAAAAACCCCGGAACAGGGAGGAACAACCCCAAACAGGCAGGAACAACCCCAAACAGGCAGTAACAACCCTGAACAGAGAGTAACAACCCCGAACAGACAGTAACAACCCCGAACAGGCAGTAACAACCCCAAACAGAGAGGAACAACCCTGAACAGACAGTAACAACCCTGAACAGACAGTAAAACCCCAGAACAGAGAGGAACGAACCCAAACAGGCAGGAACAACCCTGAACAGGCAGTAACAACCCTGAACAGAGAGTAACAACCCTGAACAGACAGTAACAACCCAGAACAGGGAGGAACAACCCGGAACAGAGAGGAACAACCCCAAACAGGCAGGAACAACCCCAAACAGGCAGTAACAACCCCGAACAGAGAGTAACAACCCCGAACAGACAGTAACAACCACGAACAGGCAGTAACAACCCCGAACAGAGAGGAACAACCCTGAACAGGCAGTAACAACCCTGAACAGACAGTAAAACCCCAGAACAGAGAGGAACAACCCCAAACAGGCAGGAACAACCCTGAACAGGCAGTAACAACCCTGAACAGAGAGTAACAACCCTGAACAGACAGTAACAACCCAGAACAGGGAGGAACAACCCCAAACAGGCAGGAACAACCCCAAACAGGCAGTAACAAACCCGAAAAGAGAGTAACAACCCCGAACAGACAGTAACAACCACGAACAGGCAGTAACAACCCCGAACAGAGGGGAACAACCCCGAACAGAGAGTAATAACCCCAAACAGGCCGTAACAACCCCGAACAGGCAGTAACAACCCCGAAGAGAGAGGAACAACCCCGAAAAGATAGGAACAACATCGAACAGAGAGGAACAACCCCAAACAGGCTATAACAACCCCGAAGAGAGAGGAACAACCCCGAAAAGAGAGGAACAACCCCGAAAAGAGAAGAACAACACTGAACAGAGAGGAACAACCCCGAACAGGCAGGAACAACCCCGAACAGGCAGGAACAACCCCAAACAGAGTAACAACCCCGAACAGAGAGGAACAACCCCGAACAGAGGGGAACAACCCCGAACAGAGGGGAACAACCCCGAACAGAGAGTAACAACCCCGAACAGAGAGGAACAACCCCAAACAGGCAGTAACAACCCCGAACAGGCAGTAACAACCCCGAACAGAGAGGAACAACCCCAAACAGGCCGTAACAACCCCAAACAGAGGGGAACAACCCCGAACAGGCAGGAAAAACCCCAAACAGGCAGTAACAACCCCGAACAGAGAGTAACAACCCCAAAGAGAGAGGAACAACCCCGAAGAGAGAGTAACAACACAGAACAGAGAGGAACAACCCCGAACAGGCAGGAACAACCCCGAACAGGCAGGAACAACCCCAAACAGAGAGTAACAACCCCGAACAGAGAGGAACAACCCCGAACAGGCAGTAACAACACCGAACAGAGAGGAACAACCCCAAACAGAGAGGAACAACCCCAAACAGAGAGGAACAACCCCGAACAGAGAGGAACAACACCGAACAGAGAGGAACAACACCGAACAGAGAGGCACAACCCCGAACAGAGAGGAACAACCCCGAACAGAGAGGAACAACCCCGAACAGAGAGGAACAACACCGAACAGAGAGGAACAACACCGAACAGAGAGGCACAACCCCGAACAGAGAGGAACAACCCCGAGCAGGAAGTAACAACCCCGAAGAGAGAGGAACAACCCCGAACAGGCAGGAGCAACCCCAAACACAGAGTAACAACCCCGAACAGGCAGTAACAACCCCGAACAGAGAGGAACAACCCCGAACAGGCAGTAACAACCCCGAACAGAAAGGAACAACCCCGAAAAGAGAGGAACAACACTGAACAGAGAGGAACAACCCCGAACAGGCAGGAACAATCCCGAACAGGCAGGAACAATCCCGAACAGTCAGGAACAACCCCAAACAGAGAGGAACAACCCCGAACAGGCAGTAACAACCCCGAACAGAGAGTAACAACCCCGAACAGAGAGGAACAACCCCGGACAGAGAGGAACAACACCGAACAGAGAGGAACAACCCCGAACAGACAGTAACAACACCGAACAGGCAGGAACAACCCCGAACAGGCAGTAACAACCCCGAAGAGAGAGGAACAACCCCGAAAAGAGAGGAACAACACCAAACACAGAGGAACAACCCCGAACAGGCAATAACAACCCCGAACAGAGAGGAACAACCCCAAACAGAGAGTAATAACCCCAAATAGGCTGTAACAACCCCGAACAGGCAGGAACAACCCCGAACAGAGAGGAACCCCGAAAAGAGAGGAACAACACCGAACAGAGAGGAACAACCCCGAACAGGCAGGAACAACCCCGAACAGAGAGTAACAACCCCGAACAGAGAGTAACAACCCCAAACAGGCAGTAACAACCCCGAACAGGCAGTAACAACCCCGAACAGAGAGGAACAACCCCGAACAGGCAGTAACAACCCCGAACAGAAAGGAACAACCCCAAAAAGAGAGGAACAACACCAAACAGAGAGGAACAACCCCGAACAGGCAGGAACAATCCCGAACAGGCAGGAACATCCCGAACAGTCAGGAACAACCCCAAACAGAGAGGAACAACCCTGAACAGGCAGTAACAACCCTGAACAGAGAGTAACAACCCCGAACAGAGAGGAACAACCCTGGACAGAGAGGAACAACACCGAACAGAGAGGAACAACCCCAAACAGACAGTAACAACACCGAACAGGCAGGAACAACCCCGAACAGGCAGTAACAACCCCGAAGAGAGAGGAACAACCCCGAACAGGCAGTAACAACCCGAACAGAGAGTAACGACCCCGAACAGGCAGTAACAACCCCAGAGAGGAACAACCCGCAACAGAGAGGAACAACCCCGAACAGAGAGGAACAACCCCGAACAGAGAGGAACAACACCGAACAGGCAGAAACAACCCCGAACAGGCAGGAACAACCCCGAACAGGCAGGAACAACCCCAAATAGAGAGTAACAACCCCGAAAAGGCAGTAACAACGCCAAACAGAGAGGAACAACCCCGAACAGAGAGGAACAACCCCGAACAGGCAGGAACAACCCCGAACAGGCAGGAACAACCCCAAACAGGCAGGAACAACCCCAAACAGAGAGTAACAACCCCGAACAGGCAGTAACAACCCCAAACAGAGAGGAACAACCCCAAACAGAGAGGAACAACCCCGAACAGACAGTAACAACCCGGAACAGAGAGTAACAACCCAAAACAGGCAGTAACAATCCCGAACAGGCAGTAACAACCCCGAACAGACAGTAACAGCCCTGAACAGAGTGTAACAACCCCGAACAGAGAGGAACAACACCGAACAGGCAGTAACAACCCCGAACAGAGAGTAACAACCCCGAACAGAGAGGAACAACCCCAAATAGTCAGTAACAATCCCGAACAGGCAGTAACAACTCCGAACAGAGAGTAACAACCCCGAACAGAAAGTAACAACCCCGAACAGAGAGTAACAACCCCGAACAGGCAGTAACAATCCGGAACAGAGAGTAACAACCTGGAACAGGCAGTAACAACTCGGAACAGGCAGTAACAGCCCTGAACAGGCAGTAACAACCCGGAACAGAGAGTAACAACCCTGAGCAGGCAGTAACAACCCGGAACAGGCAGTAACAACCCCAGCTAAACCAATAGAACCGGCCTGGCAGCCACTCCTGTTCCAGTGCAGCACTCCACCATGCAGAGGGGTCGGAGAAGCAGTTGTAGGTCACAGCAAGGAGTGGGCCGTGGGGATCATGGCCAGGTCGTGAAATCCAAGTGGCACCCGCCATGGCACCAGCCAGAACAGGTCCCCTCCTTTCCAAAGGGCAGAGCTGGGGCTGGCCCTGGAGATGCTGGGGTCAGCAAGGGCTGGGGCTGCGCTCCCTCCTGGGTCTGTGTCAAAAGCAGCCAGCACCGAAGCCTGTCCACATCGGCCAGGCCCTGTGCAAGCCGCGCTTCCCAGCAGACGGCACGGAATTGCTGGTGAGAGTGGACGCTGGGCCGGAACAGAGCGGCGCTTCCTGTCCCCTGGGGTGGTGTCCGGAAGGCTGCAGGGTTCTTCCTCCCACTTGCCCATTAAAGACGTCAGCATTTCCCCACCTGACCTCAGGGCACCTCAGCAAGGAGCCCGCACTGGCGGCTCCATCTGAACGATGTCCTGGCTTCCTGCAAAAGTCTTCATGTGAACGCGGCATGTTTCCCAAAGGGAGCGTGGTGGATCCCTCGTTCTGCTCAGAGCTCCCTGCCAGAGTGTCCCCAGGTTGAGTGTTTGGGAAACGCTGGTCACCCCATCCCTGGGAGTCACGTGCTCAGGAGACCTGAGGGAGATAAGTGTCCAGGCAGAGCCCCTTCCCTGCACCCCCACATTTTTTTTTTTTTTGAGAAGTGGTAACTACAATTTGTGGAGCACTAGGAATTGTGCCAACCACAGTCCTGAGTGCCTCATGTGCGTGAAGAGATGTATTTTAACTTTCTGGATCTTTCACGGTTAGACTGCGGGAATAAGAGCTCTCTTGCGCCTCTGCGGAGGCATCCGTCCTGGGGGTGGGCTTTGGTCCTGAGAGAAGCTGGGAGGGGACAGCAGCCTCAACCTGGGCACAGTGGGGGCTTCCAGAGCAACTGTCAGCTTGGGGGTCTTTTCTAAGTTCCTTTATTCTGTCCCTCAGCTTATCAGCGACTGAGCTGGCCGTGTTTAGGAGGACGGGGTGATGCCACTGACACTGAGGGAGGCGTGAAGCCTGAGACGCGCCTGTGAGACCGGGACCGGTGGGGCCGGCGCGCGCCCAGATTCCAGCTCTGCCCCAGGAGCCTGAAGCCCCCAGCAACCTGCAGTGTGGGCTCTGAGAAACTCGGTGAAACAGGGCTTCCCTGCAGGTGGCCAGCGGATGGGACAATCAGGGCAGACTTGGAGGTCTCTGAAGTCTTGGAAAGTCTGAAGGGCAGGCCAGCCTGGGAGATGGAGGACACACTGGAGTGGCAGGTGCCTCGGGCGGCCGGCTGAGCACCAAAGAGGGACTTCTCACACACAGGTCCGCTTGGTCTCCTACACGCTTGCCCACGCGCTCCGTGGATGCAGGAGCCGTGGTTATCCTTGGCAGAAGGTTGAGTAGCACCTGCCTTGCCAGGGACCTGCTCCAAGCAGGCACGTCTGGTGAATGCTGTGCCAGGCCCTTCCGGGAGCAGCCCCTCCCCGGGTGCCGGGGTCACCTGGCTCTGCCTGCCTGCATGTGGATCCCTGCGGGGCAGCGGGCACCCGGATGACGTGGTTTTCCCTCACTGGATTGGAGTGGAGTGAATTTAACCCCCTCGTGGCTGCCATCATTTTCACTGTGAGGGAAGAGCAGCCGTGCCGTGGTGGTTTTAGATGTCGTCTGTGGAGGACATCAGGCTGACATCCACGTCCTGGACTCCCCCTCGTTTGGTTTCAGAATTTCTCTTAAAGACAACATCATATTGTGACCCCAAAGCATTCGATAGAAATATCAAAATTTTAAGGCACTTTGAGAATTAAGATAAAATATCTGTAAATATTATGTCAAATTTCACCAGACTTTTCTCCTGTCTCGTTAACTCAGCCTCCTCTAATCTTGTCTCTACTCACATAATGTGCTTAACAGCAGCCGCCTCCCGTCCCATCCACATTCCCTGTGCTCCCGGGGCAGTGCACTGTGCTGTCGCCCGACCTGACGTCGCTTTCTTTTGAGACATGTTTCTCCCTCTCCTCCTGCCTGCTGGTTGTCTCATGGATAAAACAGTTCAGCGCTGCAGCTGCAGTGCGATGCCCACGGTGCCCAGGTCCTATCTGGGTGTAAGACCATCAGGGTCAGAGCTGGGCCGTGAGGAGCCCACCTGGGCCATCCCCAGCTTCGCAAAGAGGGGCCTGGCTCCACACACAGGGTGCGCCCGACACCTCTCATGGCCCAGCTGCAGCCTCCCTAGCTCTGGGCTTGGTGCTCCAGCCCACGCAGCCTCTCTGTAAATTATTTTTAGAGTCCCAGGAATGTTGCACTTGGAACTTCTGAGTCTCCCTTTCCAGGATTAGGAGGTGAGGAGGTGAGGGAACAGGCTGTTTGTGTGGTTGGGATGTTTCTAAGGGGAAGCCGGCATCTGCTGCCATGGCCCTGAGCCGCCGGCATGACGACGCTGGTGATCTCAAGGGCTGCGAAGCTCAGGTGAGGAGAGAGTGCATGGGGTGTGATTGTGAGGGGACGGATGGGCTGTGTGGCCATGCAGGGAGAGAGCACTGGGAGGGGGGCGGTGATCTGTGTGAGGGATGGATGGGGGCTGCGTGGCCCCTGCGGGGAGAGAGCACCGGGGTGGGTGATGTGTGTGAGGGATTGGACGGACTGCATGACCCCACCCCGAAACACAAGCCATCCCCAGAGAGAGGCAGGCCTGCTGGGAGGGCGGCGACCATGGCTGGGGCTGGCAGGGGGTGGCCGGGACTGGGACGAGCCCACTCTCATGGGGTGAATCAGCAAGTCTGGCCAGAGTGCAGAGCAGCCCTGACTGACTCCCAACTCCAGCTTCCAGGCAGGAGCAGGCGGTGGCCAGCAGGGGTTCCTGTGAAGTCCCAGGAGTCTGTAGCTGGAAGTGGGCGTAGGGAGCACTGGATCCGTGCCTAACCAGGTGGCCATCCGGGTCCCTTGTGCTGGCTCTGGCTGGACCTCATGCCAGGTCACTGTGGGGATGGCCCCGGAAAAGGGCACCCTGGGGAGTCACTCCTGGAAGCTCGTTCGTTCTGACCTCTCGTTTACAGACCCTCCTTTACGATTTCTCAAAGTCTGAAGTTCTCCTTGGAGTGGGGACTGATTTCCTACTGCCGCTGTAATCACTCACTTGGTGGCTTAAAGCCACACACATTTATTATCCTACAGCTCTGTGGCTGGAAGTCTGAAAAGAGTCCCACTGGGCTAAAACTCTAGCTGTCGTCAGGGCTGGTTCCTTCTGGAGGCCGCAGGGAGAATCCTCCCCTAGCCCCAGGCCTCTTCCAGCCTCCAGAGGCGGCTGCGTTCTGTGGCTTGAGGCTGCCACCTCCACCTGCAGAGCCAGCCATGGGGCTCAGCCCTTCTCACGCACGTCCCCCCGATTCCTGCCTGTTTCCTCTCCCACGTCCAGGGACCCAGTGGCACCTCAGACCCGGCACAATCTCCCCTCTCGGGTCAGCTCAGCCGCGCCCTTCATTTCGTCTGGAGCCTAAATTGTGTTTTCCATGTAGCATGACACGTTCACCAATGCTGGAGTCTAGGATGGAACATCGTTGGGGGGCACCGCTCTGCCTACCACAGTGTGGGATGATGGTCAGAGAAGCCATGGAGATGAAGCAAACGTGATTGGCACAGCCGGCCACGAAGCCAAGGGCACCATGAGCACATGTGTGCTGTGAGCACCCTGCACACATGGCCATTCCGGGGTCATGTGGTAGGGGGGAGCGCATCTCTGGGAGGGGCCCCTGGTGAGCTCTGTGCTGAGTGTGGCCCTATCTGAGGGAAACAGGTACTTTAGCATGCGTGTGTGTGTGCTGTGTGTACACACATGTCCATGCACATATGCCTGCACGTGTGTATGTATGTGTGCACACTTCAGGAGTCAGAGGTCACCCCCACAGCGCTGGTACGTGTGTGTGTCTCTGTGTGTGTATACGTGTGTGTCTCTGTGTGTGTACGTGTGTGTGCACATGCTTCAAGAGTCAGAGGCCACCCCCACAGCGCTGGAGTGTGTGTGTGTGTGTGTGTGTGTGCGTGCATGAGCTTCAGGAGTCAGAGCCACCCCCACAGCGCTGGTGTGTGTGTGTCTGTGTCTGTATGTGTGTGCACATGCTTCAGGAGTCAGAGCCGCCCCACAGCACTGGTACGTGTGTCTGTGTGTGTGTGTGCGCGTCTGTGTCTGTGTGTCTGCGTGTGTATGTGTGTGCATATGCTTCAGGAGTCAGATCCACCCCCACAGTGCTGGTACGTGTGTCTGTGTGTGTGTGTGTACGTGTGTGTGTGTACGTGTGTGTCTGTGTGTGTACGTGTGTGTACGTGTGTGTGTACATGTGTGTGTGTACATGTGTGTGTCTGTGTACGTGTGTGCACATGCTTCAGGAGTCACAGCCACCCCCACAGCGCTGGTACATGTGTGTCTGTGTGTGTGTGTCTGTATGTGTGTGTGCATGTACGTGTGTGTACATGCTTCAGGAGTCAGGGCCGCCCCCACAGCGCTAGTACGTGTGTGTGTCTGTGTGTGTGTGTCTGTGTGTACGTGTGTGTGTACGTGTGTGTGTGCACACTCTTCAGCAGTCAGAGCCGTCCCCACAGTGCTTTCCCTGGCTTTTCTGCCTCATTCCTACAGGCTCCGCTGTGGTGACTGCAGGCTCCTGTCCCTGTAAATCAGCCCATCCTCAACACCGGCTCTTCACTCCTTGCTTCAACCACCTACAGTAGCTTCAAACCCCAGGAATGTGGTTATAAAAATGAAAATATGTAAAGTGAGACGCCATCTAATGCCACCCTTTTGGTGGAGAGCAGATTTAGGCTTAAGACAGCTGGTGCCTGAGCGTTTGCGAGTTCACGTTCTGAGGCTCGGGAATGCTTGCAAGTGGATATCCAGGCAGCAGCATCAGTCGGTGGTCTTAAAAGCAACAGGAAGACATTTTTGTGTTGCCAGGAGAGGCACATTTTATGACTTACTGTGCTAGAAATCTGCATATACAAAATATTGATGGAATGGAGTTAGGATTTTTAGGGTCAAAAAATACACACCAAGATAAGAATTGTAAAAATATAATGAACGGTTGGGCCAGAATTAGTACAAGCGGAAGTGACTGAAAGGAAGTTTGGTGACGGGAGGGTCCCTCGTTGCGGTTACTTTGGGGAGACTGTGAATCCTTGAGGGAGGGTGTGGCCTGGCTCCGCCCAGGGTTGGCCTCTGACCCGCTGTGCAGCCCCGGGCGACCCCCAGCGCTCAGGCCTCCGCGTCTTCATCTGAGGAGAGTGGGAAAAAATCCTTCAGAGGAAGGAGGGCTGCCATGGGGATGATCCTGAATCGCTGGTGTACCTGGAGTACCTGATGTGTGTCTGCTCCGTGAGTTCTCTGGGCGTTGGAGCTGCCGTTGTTACTGATGGCTGCAGCCCGTTGTTGGGTGCCTATGGTTGCCGAGCGCTGAGCTTGACCCGGGCTGTGTGCTGGGATCACTTCAGAGCTGCATAAAGCCCGGTGTCCAGGGCCGCATCCCAGACTGACTAAGCCGGGGCATTCGGGAGCAGAACGGGCTGCCAGGAGGCGCCCAGCACGTGGTCCAGGTCAGGGCCGGTGGCTGCTCCACTGGACAAATGGGACAAACGGGACTCAGGGCCAGGTGCTCTCCTGCCTCACTGGGAGGGTGACAGACGGTTGTGGTTGTTGGGACCTCTGGCAGAGCAGGGAGGGGACCGGAGCCAGAGGCTGAGACGGGCGAGTGGGATCAATACCAGCCAGCACCGTGGGCTTCAGTGCAGGGCCCTCCAGCCACCCTGCCCCAGAGTGCATTCTTGAGCTCCTGCTGTGGGGTTCTGAGTGGGGGGGTCCCTCCTGGCATCCCCCAGGGGCTGTCTGTGCCTGCGTTCCTCCTCTTGCCAAGTCCCGGGGACGGGGCTACATCTGGGGCTTCCGGATCCCTCAGACGCTGGTGAGTGCAATCCTTTGCACACAGAAGGCACTCAGTAAGAAGTGTTGAATTGGTTGACTATTCTTGCCAAATTTGTACATCTTTCTTTCTGTCCCCAACACCCTGGTATGTGGCAAGCCTTGGGGTTAAAGGAATGAGCCCCGGGGTGAGATCAGGAGGAAACTTTGCCCCCCTGGAACTAGCTGTGCTCTTGAACCAGTCACTTCGCCTCCCCATTTAAAAAGTGGAGATGGTGAGGCAGACGGATCACGAGGTCAGGAGATCGACACCATCCTGGCTAACATGGGGAAACCCCGTCTTTATTAAAAATACAAAAAATTAGCCGGGCATGGTGGCGTGCACCTGTAGTCCCAGCCACCCGGGAGGCTAAGGCAGGAGAATCACTTGAACCCGGGAGGTGGAGGTTGCAGTGAGCTGAGATTGCCCCACTGCACTCCAGCCCAGGTGACAGGGCAAGATCGTCTCAAAAAAAAAAAAAAAAAAAAAAAAGTGGAGATGGTAATTTCTGCCATCCTCACTATGTTAGAGGCTGTGGGGATCAAATGATAGATTTTTGCAAAATATTATACAAATACAAAGTCTTATCCCGGGCAATAGCACCCTAGTCCTAAGCCCAAGCTTTGTACCTGTCAGGTTCTCCTGGGAGGCCTCTCACACATCCAGGGACCCGCAGCCACGCCAGGCAGGGTGCTTTAGGCATAGCTGCAGCGCGGCCTGGCCTGCTGTGTTCGGTCCCTTGAGTTCTGAGAACGCCCTGCCTCTGCCTCCCCTTGGAGCCTGGGGTCTGTTTGGGCTCCTCCTCCCCTCAGTCCAAACCCTCTTTAAAGCCAGGTTGATGCTGACCAGAACCCAGTGTGACTGTGACCCTGGGCACACCGCGCCCCTTAATTTGTCAATTTGGGGAATTAATCTGTGGAAGAATGAGTGAGAGTCAGGGGTCAGGCCTGCTGGCTGGTTGTGCTCCACAGGGGGCTAATGAAGACCCCCCGGCGGGGAGGGAGCGAGGCCAGGAGGGTGCCCTGCCCCCGTTTCCTGACGGCCGGTCAGCAGGCTGTGGGGTTATCTGGGAGCCCCACAGCCCAGCCTGCAGGAGTCGTGGCCTGTCCTGAGAAGAGCTGCCTCTTTCGGGAAGTTCGAGCTTTAACTGTGGAATGGACTCTGACTGGCCTGTCCAGGGCAGCCCCCACACAGGAGCAGGCCCAGGAGTGCCCAGGTCCACCTGCCTAGACAACAGATTCCACCTGCCAGTGCCATGTCCCTGGAAAGGCTGCCCGCCTGCCTGAGCCACAGCCCCAGAGGGCCACTCACCTGCCCATGCACCCCAAGGGTGGCCCATCTGCCCATGTCCCTGGAAGAGCCGCCCAACTGCCTGGCCGCGCCCTTGGAAGGGCTGCCCACCTGCACATGCCACGCCCCTGAAGGGCCACTCACCTGCCCATGCCCCCCAAGGGTCGCCCACCTGCCCACGCCCCCGGAAGGGCCGCCCACCTGCCTGGCCACGCCCCCGGAAGGGCCGCCCACCTGCCTGGCCACGCCCCCAGAAGGGCCGCCCACCTGCCTGGCCACGCCCCCGGAAGGGCCGCCCACCTGCCTGGCCACGCCCCCGGAAGGCAGCCCACCTGCCTGGCCACGCCCCCGGAAGGGCCGCCCACCTGCCTGGCCACGCCCCCGGAAGGGCCGCCCACAGACATCCTTTTGGCTGAGTTCTGCTGCCTGAAAACTTCTGTCAAAACACAGAATCGTTTCTGGAAGTGAGACGATTGAACTGGTTTCTTGCCAACAGGTGTCCCAGAAGGAGCGTTCGCAGCTCCCTGGAGGCGGGAACGGAGTCCCCCGGGGAGAGAGTGGTCCAGGGTTTGCCCTCAGGCGTCCACACTGTCCGCCGGCGAGGCTGGTCCTGTTCCCAGCACCCACGCTGCTAGAGCCACCGGATCTCCCAGGAGGAGACCCAGCTGCACTCAGAAGAATCACGCTGGCCTAGGAGATGGACGGCGGCGTGCGGGGTGAGGAATAAAAGTCCTGCTGGTGCTGCCCGAGGCCCGGGTTGTGTGGACGGCGGGGGGCGGCACCGGTCTCTCAGTGCCCGGGTTCTGTCTACGTTCTGCCGCCTCCCTGGCCGTACCCGTACCGCTATTAAGAGGGATATGTTCACCGCTGCCCCACCCATAGAAAACAGACTCTGTGGTGCCCGTGAAAACACACGTTGGTGAGACTGGCACGCCCATGTCACGTGGCCTCATGATCACTCCGGGCTAGGCCCAATTTCCAAATAAGGGTGTGCCCACGGGTGCTGGGTCAGGACCCCTCGATTGTCACCCAAGAAGCCGTGCCGGGCTCTGGCCTATGCGACCTGTGGTCGTCTGTTACAGTAGCGGGAAGCAGCCTGGGGCCGTGGAGCTGTGCGGGGGCAGAGCTGGCTCCTGGGGTTTGAGGGAACGAGGGCCTCAGAGGGGGTCTGTGGAAGACGGGATCTGGGCAGCCCCTTGCTGGACGCTGAGCAACGTCGGACTGCAGCTTCCTGCCGGGACCTGACATGCAAACAGCAGAAACCATGGGGGCGCGACGCACTTGCTGGGGCAGGCGGGGTGGGCAGCCTGGCGCCAATCACCTCGGCTCTGCAGCCTGGAGCGGACGGGGCAGGGGGCTTCTGCTGCATCCGAGGGCCGAGCGTGGCTTTCCATTCCCAGCCAACGGGTCTGGAAAGCAGACCGCACGGGTCCAATAATCAATCATCCACTTAATCAATTAGGAGTATGCTAATGCAGGAGGATGGCGGGCGGCACTGCACAGGGCCCGGGCTGGATGCTGGTCCCCTAATCAGTGGCAGGTGAAGGGGCTGGGGCGGGCCGGGGGCGTCTCCGTGCTTAGAGGGAGAGGATGCCCGGACGTGGGCCTGGGGGCTCAGCCAGCCGCCTGCCCGCGAGAGGAGGCGCCGCTTTGTCCCGCAGTTACCCTGTAGGGAGGGCTTTCCTGGGTTGTCTGTCACTCAGCGCCAAGCGAGGCAGTTTCAGGGAACATTTTCATCACTTCTAAGACCTGGAGAGTGCACTGAGTCCAGCCTCGAAACGATCCCTGCTTTTCATCACAGAGGGTGAGTCTGCTGACTTTTGCCTGCAAACCCTGAGATGCGGTGACATAAAAAGTGAGAAAATCGCCATTCCCTCTCAGCAGCGCAGGTGAGCTTGAGAACCGCCTGCCCCCACGGGGCCGCAGCGCCCGACCCGTCTCTAAAACAGCAACAGCGGCGCCTGCACCGACGTCTGCTTCTAGGCCCGGATAACCTAATGCACCTTAACGCACTTTGCCAACGCTGCTGGGAGCACAAATGCGGATTTATTATAATTGACAATGAGTCTTGTTTCCATCGGTGCAGTGTAAATATATGTGAAATTTACTAGGAGAGACACCACTTTTTGCAAACTGTGATGCTATTTCCCTCTGAATTCAGCCAGTTGGAGCTTTTTAAAGCATCTCCCTTTCTCTCGGGGTGCGGGTGCCCGGTGTACTCTCCCTGTTGCCACCTCTGCCCGGCCCCTTTCCTGGAGGCTCCAGGAGAGAAGGCACACAGCTGCCCTCCACGCTTCCAGCTTCTCAAGGCTGCCCATGGCTTGCAGCCTCTGCCTTTGACCCAGCAACGCGGGTCGCCCTCCCCCACCATCTCTTGGTGGTCCCAGCATCTCAGGTCGGCCTCTCCCACCATCTCTCTCTGGTCCCAGCATCTCAGGTCAGCCTCTCCCACCATCTGTCTCTGGTCCCAGCATCTCAGGTCGGCCTCTCCCACCATCTGTCTCTGGTCCCAGCATCTCAGGTCGGCCTCTCCCACCATCTCTCTCTGGTCCCAGCATCTCAGGTCGGCCTCTCCCACCATCTGTCTCTGGTCCCAGCATCTCAGGTTGGCCTCTCCCACCATCTCTCTGTGACCCAGCAGCGCGGGTCGCCCTCTCCCACCATCTCTTGATGGTCCCAGCATCTCAGGTCGGCCTCTCCCACTATCTCTCTCTGGTCCCAGCATCTCAGGTCGGCCTCTCCCGCCATCTCTCTGTGACCCAGCATCTCAGGTCGCCCTCTCTCGCCATCTCTCTGTGACTCAGCAGCGCGGGTCGCCCTCTCCCACCGTCTCTTTGTGGTCCCAGCATCTCAGGTTGGCCTCTCCCACTATCTCTCTCTGGTCCCAGCATCTCAGGTCGGCCTCTCCCACTATCTCTCTCTGGTCCCAGCGTCTCAGGTTGGCTTCTCCCACCATCTCTCTGTGACCCAGCAGCGCGGGTCGCCCCCTCCCACCATCTCTCTCTGGTCCCAGCATCTCAGGTCGGCCTCTCCCGCCATCTCTCTGTGACCCAGCATGTCAGGTCGCCCTCTCCCGCCGTCTCTCTGTGACCCAGCAGCGCGGGTCGCCCTCTCCCGCCATCTCTCTGTGACCCAGCATCTCAGGCGGCCTCTCCCGCCATCTCTCTGTGACCCAGCAGTGTGGGTTGGCCTCTCCCACCATCTATCTCTGGTCCCCATGCCCCCCACAACCTGAGGGTCTTGGGGTTATATTGGGCCCAGCAGACCATGCAGGATGCTCTCCCCACATTGCAGGGCCCAAAGCTGTGTGGGGCTTTTCCTAATCATTCTTCTGGATGATCTGTATGAAATTCTCTCACTCCGTGGCACACAGAGACACATTTGAGGGCCAGCATGAGACCAGCTCAGAGGGTCACCCTTATGTGAAGGCCTCGGGCCACAAGGCTGTGGCTCACCTGTGGAGGTCCTCGCTGCTTGCTGGCAGAGCCGGAACCAGAGAGGTCTCTGGAGGGGCTGCAGATGTGGGGTGGGCACAGCCTCAGCCTCAGTGTTTGCTATGGTGTTGCTGCAGGCAGGAAGTGCCTCCGAGGGAATCTGGCATGGGGAGGTCATGGCCTGACGGGAGCCCTCGGGACCATGTGTGCCAGGCTCTGGGGGCCCTGGGGTGGAGCTCGGGCTCTGACCAGCTGGCCTGTGGCTGCCGGCCTGGGAACCAGAGTTGTGCATGGCTGCCTGAGACGGCAATGGCCTCGACTTGGAGTGTCTGGCCAGTGGCACGTCAGAGCCCGTGGGATTTAAAATGTCCTGGGCTCAGTCTCCCTGGTGGGAGCCCAGCCTTGGGGGGTCTGCAGGGCCCAGGTGATGCTGGGAGCCCAGACCCTTCGCTTCCTGTCTTCCCAGCAGCACCCCCAGTGCGTTCCAGGTCGTGCGGGCGCTGAGATGGGTGTGAGTGCGTCTCCTGCTGCCTCTGTGGCCCATGTGTGGCGCTGGAGTTCTGGAAGTCCTTAGAGTCCCAGGGGGCCCCTTCCCTGCCTCAGGCCCAAGTTCTGCACCATTCAGGCCTATGGTGTCTGCACAGGAGAGGGTGGGCGCCCACGCAGACAGGAGGCCCTGTGGGGGCTATGGGAACGGGCAGCTTCTCCCGGAGGACGTGTGGTCATAAAGCCCATCGTGGCTCCCGGGGATGAAGGGGCAGGTGACTCACAAGGGCCCCTTGGGGAACCCTGTGTCTACTCTAGGCCTGCTGCGATGGAGGTGGCATCTGTGCACCCCACCCCACAGCGGTGTCTGGCTTTCCTTTGGCTGACCATCCCCGAGCCCTGCCCCCTTCTGTGGAAGTCAATTCGGCTGAAGGCGTGGGGTGGTCCGCGTGCACCTGCCCCGCAGGGCGCAGCCTCCCTGGTTCAGAACAACTGCCTCCCACCCGAGTGGATGCCAGGCTTTCTATAGGAACATCCGTGGAAAGATTTTTCTTCTGAAATCTTACCCAGGTTCTCAACAGTTGGGACCAATTTAGCCCCAGCTTTATCACGGCCTATAAATTGGCTTCTCATTCTTTGGGTTTAAGATTCCATCCCAAGCATATAATTACTTCCCCAAACATGCTTTTATGCTCCTAAGTGACCAGACATCATGTCCCTAATCCTTTATCTTGATTAGAAATGGATCCCATATTTTAGTGGGTTGTCAGCCAGCCCCTCGCCCTCTGGACCCGCTGTCTGAAGTTGGCAGTGTGGTTGTAAGCCCGTTCAGTCCCGAAATAGCTGACCGCCGCTCACTGCATTTTCCATCTCAGCAGGACCGTGTGCGGCTGCAAAGCTGAGCTGTCGTCTTGCCTGTGGCTTCCGAAATGCAGCCCTGGGCCCTGTGATCGCTGCATTTTCTCTGCGCAGCTTTGAGGGACGGAGTGTGCTGACCAACAGAAGAAAGGCAAACAGCAGAAACTGACACTGTGGTGGCCACTGGACGTGGCCTCGGTCGGCTGCGGAGAGAGAATTTATTTCCACAGCGACCCTCAGGAGGCGCAGGTCTTGGCCAGACCCATTCTTAGAAAGGAACATGAGATCAGAAAGGCTTGTGTGTTGTTTTAAAACAAACCCTGCATCCACTGCTCACCTAGTCCTCTGTGAGGCAGGTGACACCTCCTCCTGAAGAGAATCGGGGCGTCCCGCAACTACCCCACTCTTCCCACTGCCTGTGCAGTGCAGAGCAGGACACACCTGCAGGGGCCAGGGGACAAGCGCTGGGTTCCGTAGAACGGTCCTGGGTCCTGTAGAGGGGTCCTGGGTTCTGTAGAGGGGCCCTGGGTTCTATAGAGGGGCCCTGGGTCCTGTAGAGGGGTCCTGGGTTCTACAGAGGGGCCCTGGGTCCTGTAGAGGGGTCCTGGGTTCTGTAGAGGGGTCCTCGGTTCTGTAGAGGGGTCCTGGGTTCTGTAGAGGGGTCCTGGGTTCTATAGAGGGGTCCTGGGTTCTGTGGAGGGGTCCTGGGTTCTGTAGATGGGTTCTGGGTTCTGTAGAAGGGTCCTGGGTTCTGTAGAGGGGTCCTGGGTTCTGTAGATGGGTTCTGGGTTCTGTAGAGGGGTCCTGAGTTCTGTAGAGGGGTCCTGAGTTCTGTAGAGGGGTCCTGGGTTCTGTAGAGGGGTCCTGAGTTCTGTAGAGGGGCCCTGGGTTCTGTAGAGGGGTCCTGGGTTCTGTAGAGGGGTCCTGGGTTCTGTAGAGGGGTCCTGGGTTCTATGGAGGGGTCCTGCGTTCTGTAGAGGGGTCCTGGGTTCTGTAGAGGGGTCCTGAGTTCTGTAGATGGGTTCTGGGTTCTGTAGAGGGGTCCTGAGTTCTGTAGAGGGGTCCTGGGTTCTATGGAGGGGTCCTGCATTCTGTAGAGGGGTCCTGGGTTCTGTAGAGGGGTCCTGAGTTCTGTAGAGGGGCCCTGGGTTCTGTAGAGGGGCCCTGGGTTCTATGGAGGGGTCCCTGGGTTCTGTGGAGGGGCCCTGGGTTCTGTGGAAGGGTCCTGGGTTCTATGGAGGGGTCCTGGGTTCTGTGGAAGGGTCCTGGGTTCTGTGGAGGGGTCCTGGGTTCTGTGGAGGGGCCCTGGGTTCTGTGGAGGGTCCCTGGGTTCTGTGGAGGGGTCCTGCGTTCTGTGGAGGGGCCCTGGGTTCTATGGAGGGGTCCCTGGGTTCTGTGGAGGGTCCCTGGGTTCTGTGGAGGGGCCCTGGGTTCTATGGAGGGGTCCTGGGTTCTATGGAGGGGTCCTGGGTTCTGTGGAGGGGTCCCTGGGTTCTGTGGAGGGGCCCTGGGTTCTGTGGAGGGGCCCTGGGTTCTGTGGAGGGGCCCTGGGTTCTGTGGAGGGGTCCCTGGGTTCTGTGGAGGGGCCCTGTGTTCTGTGGAGGGGCCCTGGGTTCTGTGGAAGGGTCCTGGGTTCTGTGGAGGGGCCCTGGGTTCTGTGGAGGGGTCCCTGGGTTCTGTGGAGGGGTCCCGGGTTCTGTGGAGGGGCCCTGACTCAGGGCTTGCCCAGGGGCATGGGCTTTTCTGGCCGATACTGCGAGGCCTGGGGCTGACAGCAGAAGAGCACGACCATGGAGGGAGGAGGCCGGGGCTGTGAGGACCCAGGAGGGCGAGGAGCTAGGCAGGCCATGCTGGAAGGCCTGTGTGCACCAGGGTCTTCCCGGCAGGGCTGGAGAAGACCCTCCTGGAAGGAACAGGAGGCGAGTGCAGCACCAGGTGCAATGACCCGTCTTATCCATCACTACCTGGCCTGCAGGCCTGGGCTGGGAGGAGGGAGAGCAGGCAGGCCTGGGCTGGGAGGAGGGAGAGCACACAGGCCTGGGCTGGGAGGAGGGAGAGGGGTGTGCAGCTTTGCCTGCTGGCTTCCATGTCTGCAGTGAGCCCAAGGGCCAGGATGGTGTGGGGGAGACGCCCCCTCCAGCCAGTACCCCTGGGGCCCTGGCCCCTACTGGCTTGTCTAGTGGGAAAGGACCTTCCCATGCACCCTGACTGGGCTTGTCAGTCCCCCTTTGTGCCTCCTGCAGATGGAGATGAGGGTGCAGTCGAAGCGCCCGGTGCCTGTGAGTGAGGACCCTCCCGAGCCCCTCGCTCTCCTCCGGGGACACAGGGCACCTCTGACTGCAGGCGCAGGGAGGAAGGTTGCTGTGGTCCTGGCGGCCCCTGCCGGTTTCCCAGCCTTGCTCTTTCCGCGGTTGCTTGTGGATTGGAGTCAACCTGGGCGCCCACCTACTGGAGTCCACTGGGGTGGGCGTGGGTGGAGGGGGCCTTCTGCAGAGCTAGTGGGGTGTTGTGGGGGCCGGTGTGCGGGTGCTCGGTGCAGGCCACCATGTGACAGGCGTGTCCGGCTCATGCAGGTGGGACTGGGGGAGTCATGGTTGTGAGGTAGCGATCGCCTCAAAGGCCTGACTTTCTGGGAATGGTATTTTTTTGTCAGATGTGAGCCTCTTACTAACAGCACATGCCTCCTTCCCCCTCCCCCACAGCCCCCATTGCCACAAACGAGGTGATAGAGGGCAGTCTTCAGCTTGGGGTTCACTGGGAGGCTCCCCCTCTGCGTGGAGATGGCTCGCTCTGGAAGTTCTGCAGGAGTGGGCTGGCCGCCAAACTCTCAGCACCTGCCGGCAGGGCTGCTGACTCATGCTGTAATGGGGACATTGATGTGTGAGGAATTTATGCAGCCGGGCGGCAGCCCTTCACTTTTCTAACAGTGAAGCACTTCACAGAGAAAACACAACGGGATCAAATCACAATTAGAGTCAGTCCCAGCTCCTGCAGGGCAGCCGCAGCCTGGCGGGCGGGCGAGCACAGGGCCTCCAGCCAGCCGGTGGGGGGGAGGTTGGGAGGGCAGGGCCAGAGCTCACCCCATAACCTGGCTTACTGGGGTGCAGGGAACAGCACGGGCAGCCTTGGGCCGAACAACCACCCCACGTTTGATCTGGCAGAGGAACGTCCCTCTTGGTACGGCTCGTCCTGAGCACCTGCGACTGGTTGCACGGTGTTGCTTCAGCTCAGGGCGCCCTGGAATCAGCTGCACCGTGTCCACCTCACAGCAGTCCCCAGCTCCAGATCCTCCAGGCAGGGACCTGGGACGGTGTGGGGCGGGGCTGAGGCTCTCTGGCAGTCTGAGGCGCTGGCCGGGGCCTCACCCGATGGCCCTCCCGCTCCAGCCTCCAGATGCCTGCCTGGCCTTAGAGAACAAAGGTAATTTGTAAAGAGATCAATAGGAAATGCTGATCAGACAGTCACAATGCGCCTTTGCCTGAGGACTTGAATTCCCGCTTCAAGAATCTGTGGCTTCCGCTGCTCAATGCTGGGGACAGACGTCAGGGGACTGTGGACGTCATCGGCCGAGTGACTATTTCCTTATGACCAGCCTCTCTCCGAGCTGATTTTCCTGTTCTGTGCTCTCTCAGCCAAGCTGTTTGAGGTTTGGCTCAGGAAACTAGGCCAACAATGGAATTCAAAGACAATCCCACCAAAGAGAAAACCAGCAGGGTGGGCGACGCCTGGGCTCCAAGAACCGGTGGGGAGCTCCATTTCCCTCAGATGGAGCGTTTCCTAACCCCGGGGCAACTTTCCCGAAACATGGCAGGCTTGCCTGACCCAAATAGCCCCTCATTCTTGGCTGCACTTGTGACCACCGGGCCGAGCTCCTCGGAGGCGTGGACAAAGGAGGCCTTGGCGAGAACAGGGTTCGGTGGCCAGTGGGTGGAGAAGTCGGTGCTGGCTGCGCCGTGGAGCCCGTGGATCAACATTTGCTGAGGACCTCAGTGCGGAAAGTCGTGGTCGCACTTCCTTCCGGGTCTGCTGAGCTGCCACTCACGGCGGGAGAGTTGGGACGTCCTGGAATTCTGGAAAGCCTCCTGCTCTGAAGGAGTTCAAGGTTTTCCTGTCCGGTCTGACATCCCCAGACGTTTGCCCTGCTAGGGCTGGAGAAAGGTGTCCAGGCATTGAAGGAACAATTTGAGGGACAATCTGGCTTTTTTTTTTTTAACAGTTCTTTTCTAAACACCTCAGAATGAATGAAACAAAGTCCTATTTATCACTAGAGATGAAGACACATCCCTGATTTACGTTGCCACGTGGGGAGAAGTGCTTTGTTTCTACTCAGCAGAAGGAGACAGGGGCAGGCGGGAGGAGCTGTCTCAGGAACACCAGCCTGGGTTTCCCACCCTCCCTGCTGTGGCTCTCAGCTGATCCGAGGCTGGCCCAGGAGAGGAGGGAAGCATGCCTGAGACTGCTCTGTCTTTCTGCTCCAGCAACAGAGAGCCAAAGAAAAGACACGAGGCCCAAAGTATCACCTTCTAAATCACCTCCCTCAGCTACTCCCCCAGGATTTCCAAATACCCAGGTTCCCCTCGGGAGCTGCCTGGAGCTGCCTCTGCCGCCCGCTCCTCTAGGCGTCCATGATGAGCCCAGGGCTTCCCCCTCAGGAACCAAACCGAACTGACTGTCTTGGTTTTCTCCTTGTTCTCCACGAATCCTCTGCACATTTTAACCTTCCAGGCAGCAGCTATGAATCCGTTCCCAGAGCCAGGCTAGACAATACAACACCCATTTCCCAGCTGCTTGCAGCTCTTGCATTAGCTGGGAAGCAGATTTACCTTAAGGGAATTTACCACCCTTAGAATTTTTTTTTTTTAGAAAAATATACATTTTTTCTTTCCTTTTAAAAAAGCCTTCAGGCTCTTGCTAACTTCACAACTGGAGCCCTATCAGAAAAAGGCAAGTTGTCAAATGGCAAATATGAAGTCCATGTTGTTGAATTGTGAGCGCCGGGGGAGAATAGAGGGGGCTGTGGAGCTGTCTCGGGGTCAGAGCCCTGCGGAGACGCCAGGGCTGGGCGGGCCTGAGACCTCCGCCTGCAGTCAGCAAGGCCCCCTTGGCTGATGGACCTGAGAATTTCTGTGTTACTTCTTTTTATTTCTGCATGCTTCACGTCACACAATTTTCGAAAAGTGGCAATAGAACCAAATGATAAAAGCAATTCTAGGATAGAGCGTCTTGCTTTCATATGAACAGCATTCCATCTAAGACGGTTCAACACTTCCTAATTCCTGTCCACCATCTTCAGGGTTCCTTGGAGTGGTGGCCCCCTGGTGACCAGCTGGCACAGTGATTTGATCATGTCCTCACAGCTCCTGTGTTGGAAATTTAATCCCCAAAGCAACGGTGTTGGGAGGTGGAACCTTGAGTAGGTTCTGAGGCAGCAGTGCCCAGCAGTGCCCGCCCCAGGTGCCCCGTCATGATCCCTGGGTCCCCAGCCCCACCTGCCCATCTCTCTCCAGCTCCGGCTTCACTGTGTACTGGGGATTATGGAGATGATGTCACGGAACTTTCTGGGATTCTCCCGTGAATTGCCAGAGGCAGCACCTGGATCACTGTGTACACTGATGGCAGAGTTTGCAGCTCCTCCAGCAGCTGCTGCCCAGGCCGCCCTCCACCCACACTCACCCACATGAGGGGCCTGAGGACTCAGGGAGGGATTCCTCCTCCCCAGAAGCCACTGGGAAGTGAGTGAGGCTCTGTCTGCATTGCAGGTAGTGGAGGGGCGGCTGGCAGCAGGCTTGTTGGCAGGAGGTGAGCCTCTGTCTACACTGTAGGCAGTGGAGGGGTGGCAGGCAGCAGGCTTGTTGGGGAGGGTGAAGATCTGTCTACACTGCGGGCAGTGCAGGGGCGGCAGGCAGCAGGCTTGTTGGCGGGGGATGAGCCTCTGTCTACACTGTAGGCAGTGGAGGGATGGCAGGCAGCAGGCTTGTGGGGGGGGTGAGCCTCTGTCTACACTGCAGGCAGTGGAGGGGCAGCAGGCAGCAGGCTGGTGGGGTAGGTAAGTCCCTGTCTACACTGCAGGCAGTGGAGGGGCAGCAGGTAGCAGGCTTGGCGGTGAATGAGCCTCTGTCTACACTGCAGGCAGTGGAGGGACAGCAGGCAGCAGACTTTTTGGGAGGGGTGAAGCTCTATCTACACAGCAGTCACTGGAGGGGTGGTGGGCAGCTGGCTTGTCAGGTAGGTGAGGCTCTGTCTACACAGAAGGCTTGTGGTGGGGGGTGAGGCTCTGTCTACACTGCAGGCAGTGGAGGGGTGGCAGGCAGCAGGCTTGCTGGGGAGGGTGAAGCTCTGTCTACACTGTAGGCAGTGGAGGGGCAGCAGGCAGCAGGCTGGTGGGGTAGGTAAGTCCCTGTCTACCTGCAGGCAGTGGAGGGGCAGCAGGCAGCAGGCTGGTGGGGTAGGTAAGTCCCTGTCTACACTGCAGGCAGTGGAGGGGTGGCAGGCAGCAGGCTTGTTGGCGAGGGTGAAGCTCTGTCTACACTGCAGGCAGTGGAGGGGCAGCAGGTAGCAGGCTTGGCAGTGAATGAGCCTCTGTCTACACTGCAGGCAGTGGAGGGACAGCAGGCAGCAGACTTTTTGGGAGAGGTGAAGCTCTATCTACACAGCAATCACTGGAGGGGTGGTGGGCAGCTGGCTTGTCAGGTAGGTGAGGCTCTGTCTACACAGAAGGCTTGTGGTGGGGGGCGAGGCTCTGTCTACACTGCAGGCAGTGGAGGGGTGGCAGGTGGCAGGCTTGTGGTCGGGGGTGAGGCTCTGTGTACACTGCAGGCAGTGAAGGGGCAGCAGGCTTGTGGGGTGGGTGTTGTCCCACGCCCTGCCCTTACCCTCTGAGGCCTTTTTCTTGCGTGAAGCATGAAGGGCGACTTTGCGGCTGGAGCCTGGTCCCGCTTCTTCCCATGAGTGTTTTGTTTTCCCTCCTGCGTGGTTTTTAAATGAAAGATGAGTAGACATGTGCAGGCAGCAGCTTCCTGAGCTCAGTCTGCATTCCTGTTGGTCTTGGTGGGGACAGTGGCTCTTCACCCCTCCCCCACCTAATGCTCACCTGGTGTGTCCACTGCCTCAAGACCACGTGGGGGACTGCAGGTGACAGAACGGCCCCCTCGCTCTTTCTCGCAAATGCATAGGGACTGTGCACAGGTGCTCTCTGCCTGGAAAGAAGTGGCCGTTGGGCAGCTCAGGAGAGACTCGCACCACGGCGGGGTGGCCTCCTACCTCAACGCACCTGGGGAAGATGTCCCTCTGTTTGTGTAGACAAACACACTCCTCCTACATCTCAGCTGCTTAAAAAAATACTTAGGTAGTTCTACTTCTGACTTATTATATGTAGATACTTGGGAAATTAAAAAAAATCTGAGCCTCAAATTGGTTAGGAATTTACAGGAGAGATTTCAGGCAGGTGTGCTATGGTTGTCTGTGTGAAGTATAACCAAGCCTGGCATTGCCTGTGAGATCCATCGGTGGAGGCAGATGGGCACCGCGGCGTCAGGAAAGGGAATCCTGGCTGGGTTGCAGCACGGGCTCCAGCTGGCTGGGCCTGGGGTACGTGTTGGTAGAAGGCAGAAGGAGTTGGTGGGAGCCACAAAATGGTAAAAAATAAACAGGAGAAGCTGTCTCAGTGGGGAAGGAGGTCGAAGTGTGGGCCAGTGGGCTGGCACAGAAGAGAGTGTCACGGGGCGCCCACATCCTGTGCTGGCCCAGACAGGCAGCTAAAGAGGGGTCTGCGGAGGAGAGGAGAACCCGCCCACACCTCAAAGCGGCCACCAGGGCTGACGGCTCAGGGACAGGATGGGGAGGAGGAGGGATGGGGCTTCCGGCAGAGCTGTCCTGCTGGCTGGAGAGACGCCGGCAGAGCCAGCAAGCGCCAGCCAAACACTGAAGGGTGGATTTAGGGCCCAACCAGCGGAGAGCAGCAGTCTCTGGGCACCATCGGGGCGAGACCTGGGACCTGGAGGGGTGTAAAAACTAGAGGCGTGTCCAGGGCCGAGCTCGGGGGGTAAATGGAAGCGAAAGCTTGGTTCTCTGAATGAGAACTTCGGAAATTTCACACCTGGTCACAACTGAGGCTTGAATCGGCTCAGGAGGAAGCGTCCGCTCCCCACACACAGCAGCAGCCCCACACGAGCTGTGGGAGAGGCACGCAGAGACCTGTGCCCTGCCCTTCATTTCATACTTAACTGGAAACACAATACTGATCGGAACCTTCAGTTTTAGTCAAAGCTGGAGCGATGATACGTTGCTGCCAACACTAGAAACGGAGCTCCTGTGGGCTGTCAGCTGAATCAGAGTCCAGCGTTGGCTTAGCCCAGCACAGGAATGGCCTTGCCAGGGGCTCCCTGTGCTGGGATCGGCAGTGACCTTGGGTGTGACCTCCTGGTGTGTTTTTCTCTATTTGCAGCCATGCGCACGCTGGCTGGGAGACCACGGCGCTGACCTGATGGCTGGGTCTTTCCTGCTGCCTGAGCTGCTGTGGAGAACATTTCTCAACAGCGTCCCCACTCCTGCCTGGCCATCGAGACACTGCCCTTGTTGGGACCAAGGTCTCCCTATGTCCGTCCTGGCTGCACCTGCGGGGCCCCTGGCTCCACCTGGTCCTGGCTGTTGCCTTGCTCACCCTCTGACGCTCACATGTCCATGCTGGCTGGTGGCTTCTTGATGCTGCAAGCTTAGTGAACACACAGGAATCCTGCTCCTAGGGCCAGCACACCCTCCGTGGCTCCTTCCTTGGCCTCACTGTAAAGCAAGCTGGCAGCAGAGTCAGGGCTCTGGGACGTCTGAGAAATCTTGGGCACCAAGCGGCCCCCCGGCCTCCCCTTCTCTCCTGTTTCCTCCTCTCTCAGGCTATGCTTGGCATTTGGGAACCACGTGGCACCGTTGGCTCCTCCCTCCTGCTGCGGTCATGCCAGGATGCTGCTGCCTGGCCCTCATCTGTCCGGATCGGTGCCGCCTCCTTTTCTTCCCCGGGAGAGAAACTGGAGTCCCAGTTCTGAGGCCTTGCTCCGAGCTCGGTACCCTCCTGTGCCGACACCTGCCCCTGTTGTCCTGTTGGGACCTTAACATTCTGCAGCCAACCTTTGGACTAAGTGTGTGCAGAGTCTCCATGCCGCGTCTTGCCCCCGAAGACTGGCCCTGCCTCCGCAGGCCTGGCTGCCGTCTGGGTTGGTGTCCAGGGAGTGGGTGTCGAGCTCTCCCTCAGCTGCCACAGCCCAGACCTTCCTGACATTGCTGCTTGGAGCAGAGGCCTGGGCGCGACCCCTCTGTCTTGGCAGAGGGGGTGACTCTCACTTCGTGTTTGTCAGGGAAGAGGTGAAGTGTTGAGAATCTGGTCCTTGGAGTGGGCACATCTTTGGGGAGCAGCAGGGCCTGCTTCAGAGTTTGTTTCCTAAATAAAACAATGGCTCTCCAGTGACTTCTCCTGTGCCCTCGATTGTTTTTGAGGCTGTTGCACTTTTAAAGAGCAGTGTGTCCACACCACCGTTCCTGTGGGCCCACTGTGGGGACAGCTGCTGAACCTTCCAGGACACACCTACATACCTCATCCCACCTACACCTCTCACCCTCCTACACACCTCACCCTCCTACACACCTCACCCTCCTACACACCTCACCCTCCTACACACCTCACCCTCCTACACACCTCACCCTCCTACACACCAAACCCTCCTACACACCTCACCCTCCTACACACCTCACCCTCCTACACACCTCACCCACCTACACACCTCACCCTCCTACACACCTCACCCTCCTACACACCTCACCCTCCTACACACCTCACCCTCCTACACACCAAACCCTCCTACACACCTCACCCTCCTACACACCTCACCCTCCTACACACCTCACCCTCCTACACACCTCACCCTCCTACACACCTCACCCTCCTACACACCTCACCCTCCTACACACCTCACCCTCCTACACACCTCACCCTCCTACACACCTCACCCTCCTACACACCTCACCCTCCTACACACCTCACCCTCCTACACACCTCACCCTCCTACACACCTCACCCTCCTACACACCTCACCCTCCGCAGTGTGCTTATCACCACTGCACCCACGCTTGTGGCTGCAAGGAAGTCCCTGGCTGATGTGAGTCCTCCTCCCACACACTGGGGCCCATGGCTTTGGTGTCTAGAAAAGAATGACAATAAGGTCAGTACAGGGCAGGCTGGTCAGACCACCTTGATGAAAAAAAAGACAAGATGGGGCTTTCATCACAAAATGAGCACCACCCTTAGACTGTGCCCGTTTTCTTTTCTGAGAGAGTCACTTTTGTCTTATCAGACCCAATGTAGGAGTGGCAAAAATGTGGATCAAAAACGTTACAGACAGAGTCTATGGCACAGGCAGGGAGGGCCGGGTGCAAAAACAACACAAAACAAATGAACAAAAGGGAACCTGCAGCAAAAATGAGGAGGGTCCCAGTGAGCTCCAAATGCTTCCAGAGGGACCAGGAGTTCAAAAGGAGAGTTCTGGTCTCCCCTCCTCTCCCTGCTCTCTCCTTCCTCCCCAGCTCCACTTGGTGACCTGGGCAAGCAGAAGGAAGGGCTGCAGAGCGCCCGCTGGGGCAGCTACTGCCCTCAGGACACAGCAGAAGGTTTACCTGGAAAAGGCCCAGGGGAGACAATGTTACAAAACCTGATAAATGTGCTGCACTTTGCTCGCAAACCCAAAGTCACCAGGGTGCATGCTTTAGCTTCATTAATTGAATAAACTATACAGAAATTACTGCCATAAACATTGAAAAGCACCCCAGAAACCGCTGTTCAAGAAGTTTACCTACACAAATTAAGTCCTTGAGCATATGATGCAAAATATTTACCTAATTACAAGGGCGAGAGTCAAAATGTTTAGTCACTAGTAAGTCTTGCCTACAGTTAATCAGAATGAGTCATGAGTTCAGTAGAATGGGCATGAACCATCAGAACAGGAATCAAACATAAGAACGGGAACCAAACATCAGAACAAGCACCAACCATCAGAACAGGAATCAAACATAAGAACGGGAACCAAACATCAGAACAGGCACCAACCATCAGAACAGGGGGTACCAACCATCAGAACAGGAACCAACCATCAGAACAGAAACCAACCATCAGAATAGGAATCAACCATCAGAACAGGACACCAACCATCAGAACAGGAACCAACCATCAGAACAGGACACCAATCATCAGAACAGGAACCAACCATCAGAACAGGAACCAACCATCAGAACAGGAACCAACCATCAGAACAGAAACCAACCATCAGAACAGGCACCAACCATCAGAACAGGAACCAACCATGAGAACAGGAACCAACCATCAGAACAGAAACCAACCATTAGAACAGGCACCAACCATCAGAACAGGCACCAATCATCAGAATGGGAACCAACCATTGTAATGGGCATCAAGCATCAGAATAGGAACCAAACATCAGAACAGGGCACCAAGCATTAGAGTGGGCACCAATGATCAGAACAGGAACCAACCATCAGAACAGGAACCAACCATAAGAACCAGCACCAACCATCAGAACAGGCACCAAGCTTCAGAATGGACACTAACTTACCTGAAGAGGGTGCCAGCAAAAGAAATGGATTGGCCATCAACAACTTGTATAGCTGAACATCAACCCTGACTTATTTTCAAAGTTCGTAAGCAGAGTTTTGGTTTTGCTTTCCTTTTTAACATTATATTTTGTACATTTTTCTTTATAACAATATTAAGGGTTTTTGAAGTATATTTGCATTTACCTCCCGTATGAGGCCATCCTAGCATTGCTATAAAGAAATACCTGAGACTGTGTGATTTAAAAATAAAATGATTTAATTGGCTCACAAGTCTTCACATTTTACAGGAAGCATGATGCTAGCATCTGCTTGGCTTCTGGGGAGCCCTCAGGAAGCTTCCAATCATGACAGAAGGTGAAGCGGGCAGGTCATATGGCCAGAGCAGGAGCAAGAGAGAGTGGAGTGGGGGGCACACACTTTTAAATGACCAGATCTCATGAGAACTCCTATCAGGAAGACCAACCAGCATGAGGGATCTGCCCCCATGACCTGAACACCTCTGGCCAGGCCCCACCTCCAGCATTGGGGATTACAATTCAGCATGAGATTTGGGTGGGGACAAATGCCAAAACTACATCATCTTCTTAAAAAGTTTTAAAACCAGCAGCCCTCTGTCCCTTCCCCTCGCAGCCCCAGTTCTGCACCCCAGAGGTAACCTTTAAGAATAATGTGCTGTTTATACATTTTCCACAGTAAATGCCTGTTTGCATGTTCAAATGTTGGTGACTTAACTCTTGCAGGAGCAGGAGCCTTCCCCGTCCTCACTGAAGGCGCACCGTGGCTCTGGGTGCACCAGGCTCATGGGGCTCTCACAGCTGAGCCACGGAGGGAACTGTCATCACGTCTTTGCACAACCTTTAGCTTGTTCCTGGACTACTAATCGAGTCAGTTTCATTTCCTAGATCTCTCTGCACTGACCAGTGCATTTTTGCAAACGCTTCTGCAGGTCTGTGGAAGGCCTGGCAGGGATTCTGTGGCTCGGCGAGCTCCCGTCTGCATTCCCCCTCGCTGCCCCTGAGGTCCCCTGAGCCCCCGACCACCCCAGGCAAGGCTGTTTACCGAATTCCACAGCTGCTCTTTCTCAAGTTGTCCATTCTTTCTGCCGGAGTACATCCTCCAGTATTTTCCTAAGGAGAATTGTATGGGAGGAATATTTTTTGAGTCCTTGTGTGTTGAAAAATATCTTTGTTTTGGCCTCAGACTTCATTAGTAGTTTTCTTGGTATAAACCTCTTGATGGAAATAATTTTTTTCTCATAACTTTCAGGTGATCTTTTGTAGGCATTTACTATGGCTGTTTATAAGACCAATGCTATTTTTTTAAAATAAACTTTTTATTTGGGAATAATTTTAGGTTTTTAGAAAAGTCACAAAGACAGTTTGGGGTTCCCTCACAGCCCCACTCAGACGCCCTGTGTTCAGCAGTGAGCATGGTCAGGACATCCTGTGACCTGCACCCCAGGAGCCACCCAGGGGCCTCGGTGCCTCGTCCCTCCTCAGGCTCCCCTTGGCTGTGGCAATTTCTGTCTTTTGTTTTTGTGTTTGGTTTTTCATGAGTTTGACACTTTTGAGGGGTACTGGCTGAGTATTTTGTAGAATGTTTTGAATTTGCATTTGTCTGATGTTTTTTCAGGGTTACCCCGGGGTTATGAGTTTTAGGGAGATCCTGGGGACGGGGGGAGGTGGTACACTCTGGCATCACCCACGGCACGTGCCGCCACCGGGGAGGCTGACCCTGATTCCCGCCCTTCCTGGGTTTAGGGTCAGGGCTGTTTTAACTCCAGTTCTTTTAGATGTGATCTAGCCATTTTTCCTTCTCTGGAGAATATGATTTTGGCTCCCAGTATTCTGAATGTTCACAGTGATAAGGAAATTAAACTCCTAAGTACCATTATCGTTTTTTTTTTAATCACTATCTATTGATACAACCTATGGAATGGGAGAAAGTATTTTTGAACCATTTATCTGATCAGGAGTTAATATCTAAGATATATGAAGAATTCATACAATTCAATAGCAAAAACAAAATAACTTGCCTGAAAAAACTGAGCAAAAAATCTGAATAGATGTTTCTCAAAAGTAGACATATAAATGGCCAACAGATATATTTTAAAAGATTCACCATCAATAATTATCAGAGAAATGCAAGTCAAAACTGCAATGAGATATTGCCTCTCACCTGTTAGGCTGGCTGTCTTTAGAAAGACAAAAGTGAGTGCTGGTGAGGGTGTGGGGAGGGAACCCTGCACACGGCGGGGATGTCAATTGGTGCAGCCATTGTGGAAACAGTCTGGTGCTTCCTCAAAAACCTAAAAATACCCAGCCATGCGATGCAGCAATCCCACTTCTGGGTGAACATTCAAGGGAAATAAAATCAGTGTCTTGAAGAGACACCTGCCCCCTTGTTCTCCACAGCCCTCTTCACAACAGCCAAGTACAGGACCAACCTAAGTGTTCATCAGTGGGTGAACGGAGCAAATGTGGATCGTACACACCGTGGAAAACGATTCAGCTTCAACAAGGAAAATCCTGCCATTTGCGACAATGTGGATGGATGTCCTGTTACGTGAAATGAGCCAGAAACAAGGACAAATACCTCGTGATCTCACATGTGGAATCCAAGACAGTCGCCCTCGTAGAAGCAGAGTGGAAAAGAAATTACCAGGGGGCCAGCGGGATGAGGAATTGGAAGATGCTGGTTAAAGAGCACAAAATTTCAGTCAGGTACGGCGAATGGATTCTGGAGCTCTATTGTATGATGTGTGGACTCTAGTTAACAGTAATGTATTGTGCACAGTCCTGTTGCTCAACGACGGGGATACGTTCCGAGAAATGCATCCTTAGGCCATTTCATCATTGTGCGAACATCACGGAGAGACGTGTACATAGCCGGTGTAGCCCAACATACACCTAGGCTAGGGGTAGAATCTATTGCTCCTGGATAGCAGGTTACTGTGCTGAATAATGCAGGCAACTGTATCGCAATGGTGTTTGAGTATCTAAACATAGAAAAAAGGTATAGTAGAAATAATGCAATTATAAAAGACAAAACATAGTGGCCCCGTGCAGGGCATTTGCCATGCATGGAGCTTGCGGGACTAGAAGCTGCTCCGGTGAGTCCATGAGTGAGTGGAGAGTGAGAGGGAAGGCCAGGACATGACCATACACTGCTATAGGCTTTATACACACTGCACACGCAGGCTGCTCCGGTGAGTCCATGAGTGAGTGGGGAGTGAGTGGGAAGGCCAGGACATGACCGTATACTGCTGTAGGCTTTATACACACTGCACACGCAGGCTGCTCCGGTGAGTCCATGAGTGAGTGGAGAGTGAGTGGGAAGCCAGGACATGACCGTGCTGCTGTAGGCTTTATACACACTGCACACGCAGGCTGCTCTAGTGAGTCCATGAGTGAGTGGGGAATGAGTGGGAAGGCCAGGACATGACCGTACACCGCTGTAGGCTTTATACACACTGCACGTGGAGGCTGCACCAAATTTATTTAAAAATTTCTTGCTTTAGTGACAGATTAACCTTAGTATACTGTAACTTTTTTACTTTATAGGCTTTTATATTTTGACTTTTAGATTACTTTGTAATAATACTCAGCTTAAAGCACACATTATACAGCTGTACACAATTATTTTCTTTATATCCTTTTTATATTTTTAATTTAAACAAATGTTTAGCCTATTACACTTTTTTGTTAAAAATGAAGACACAAACACACATTGGCCTAGGCCTGCACTGGGTCAGGATCATCAAGATTGCCATCTTCCCCTCCATACCTTGTTCCAGTGGCAGGTCTTCAGCGTGATGAATGCACAGAGCTGTCACCTCCTGTGATCACAAGGCCTTCTTCTGGACACCTCCTGCAGGACCTGCCTGAGGCTGCTTCACTGTTAACTTTTGTTTGTAGAAAAAGTACACTCTAAAATAATAATACAAATATAGTATAGTGAATACATAACCAGTAACATAGTTGCTTAATATCATTACCAGTTATGCACCATTATTACCAGTTATGTACCATATATGATTCTGTGTGCGAGACTTTCATACGGCTGGCAGTGCAGCGGGTCTGTTTACACCAGTCACCAGTGCTGCCGCAAGCACGGAGCGACGCGTTGTGCTGTGACGTAATCATGGCTGTGATGTCACCAGATGATAGGAATGTTTCGGCTCGATTGGAGTCTTATGGGACCACAGTCATATATGTGGTCTGACTGAAAACTCATTATGTGGGGTGACTGAACTTAAACCTTGCTGAGAGTAGACTGTAAATGTTCTCACCACACACACACGTACATGAGGTGGCGGAGGTGTTGATAAGCTTGATATAGTCAGTCGCCACAGATACAATTTTTGTCAATTAAAAAATAAACATCAAAATCACTACATTTGATAGTGACGTAAAGAGCACCTGTGCACGTGATGTTTTTCTGCAAGAGTATTACCTCAGGCTTAGCACATCCGAGCTGGGAGTCCACACACCCAGGGTTGTAGAATCTCAACAAGGATCAAAGTGTGTGCAGCTATGGAAGTGCCAGAAGGCCGCAGGCTCGGGACGTTTAAACACGCAGCGTGAAGAGCTGGTCAGGGTTAGCAAGAGGCTCGCGGAATGGCTTAAGTGAGGGAGTCAGAAATAGGTTGGGTCTGCCCAGGCTTCTGGGAGGACGGTCAGGGGCCCTGGCCTGGAGCTGGAAGAGGGTGCAGGACACACACAGGGTGCAGCCAGGGCACCGCCGCTCACTGCGCGCTCATGGGCACTGCCACTTCTCACCTCTAAAGGGCACTGCCGTTCTCCGAGTGCTCAAGGGCACTGCCGTTCTCCACGTGCTCACGGGCACCACCGTTCTCCATGTACTAAAGGGCACCGCCGTTCTCCACGTGCTCAAGGGCACCGCCATTCTCCAGGTGCTCACGGGCACCGCCGTTCTCCACGTGCTCAAGGGCACCGTCGTTCTCCACGTACTAAAGGGCACCGCCGTTCTCCACATGCTCAAGGGCACTGCCGTTCTCCAGGTGCTCACGGGCACTGCTGTTCTCCATGTACTAAAGGGCACCGCCGTTCTCCACGTACTAAAGGGCACTGCCGTTCTCCAGGTGCTCACGGGCACTGCCGTTCTCCATGTACTAAAGGGCACTGCAGTTCGCTGCATGCTCAAGGGCACCGCCGTTCTCCATATACTAAAGGGCACCGCCGTTCTCCACGTACTAAAGGGCACTGCCGTTCTCCACGTGCTCAAGGGCACCGCCGTTCTCCAGGTGCTCACGGGCACTGCCATTCTCCATGTACTAAAGGGCACTGCCGTTCTCCATGTACTAAAGGGCACTGCAGTTCGCTGCATGCTCAAGGGCACCGCCGTTCTCCATATACTAAAGGGCACCGCTGTTCTCCAGGTGCTCACGGGCACTGCTGTTCTCCATGTACTAAAGGGCACTGCCGTTCTCCACGTGCTCAAGGGCACCGCTGTTCTCCAGGTGCTCACGGGCACTGCCGTTCTCCAGGTGCTCAAGGGCACCGCCGTTCTCCATGTACTAAAGGGCACTGCAGTTCTCCACGTGCTCAAGGGCACCGCCGTTCTCCAGGTGCTCACGGGCACTGCCGTTCTCCATGTACTAAAGGGCACCGCCGTTCTCCATGTACTAAAGGGCACTGCAGTTCGCTGCATGCTCAAGGGCACTGCTGCTCTCCACTCGTTCAAGGTCACCGCAGCTCTCCACGGCTTAACGGCACCACCGGTCTCCACGTGCAGCCAGGGCACCACCACTCTCCACCCGCTCAAGGTCACCGCTGCTCTCCACACTCAAGGTCACTGTCGCTCTCTGTGGCTCAAGGGGATTGGGGGCTGCAGTCACTGTTCTGTCTCTACTGATGGCCAGGCAGACACATGGAAAAGTGAAGCAGCTTTTTATGGATGGACAGGACCCCGAGGGCACGCAGCACCTGCAACCCCGTGGGCCTGCACCTGGTGGCCCTCTGAATGCTTGTGCTGCTGTTTGTGGGGCCACGGCAGGCACTCAGGACAGCCACCGTTGGTCCTTCTTCTCTCTCCGGGGCAAGGCCAAGGCCCCCCCGATCCTGGGGCCCTGGAGCACCTGGAGCACCGTGCAGTGTGAGCTTTGTCTCTGAGAAGGGGCCGGCATAACTCTTGCAGGATCAGCTTAGCCCCTGCCGGGGAATCCCAGGAGGAGCCTGTGAAGGGGCTTCCCACCTGTTCCTCCTTCCCGCCTGTTCCTCCCAGTCCTGGCTCCCCACTGTGAAGCGAGAGCCTCTGAGGCTGCGGGGCTCCGGGCTCCCCCTCCCCACCCCCAATTTCAGTGAATGGATTTCCTAGGTCATAAGATCTCCCTTAAGTCCCAACCCTGGCAGGGAACTGAGGGCCAGGGCCGGGCCGGGCGAGGCCTGGTAAGACGGCGCCGGGCAGCTCTTAAGGCTCACAAGTTCTCTTTCCTCATCCTACACGTTTCTTCACGCCCCGCCTTTTCTGAGTTAGTTTGAATTTCAAAACAAAATAAAACTAATAAAAACAAAAACACCACCCCCTCAACCCGACCCCCCAAAAAGGTGCTCCTTGGAGCAGGCGTCTGCCCTGGGCCCCGGCCTCTGCAGCGCCTGGTCTGGTCCCTGGGGCTCTGACCTCATTCCAAAAAGAGTCCGGGTCTGAGATCCTGTTTATGGCGCCTCGGGGCCTTTCATCTGCAGGAAACACTCTGCTGGCTCCTTCCAAAATAGCTACTGCAGGGACGCGCTGTATTTTTAGGACACAGGAAGGGCTCGGGACGGGCCTGTGCGTTTTTTATGGCCTGCGAGTTTCCTATTGCTTCTCAGAAACGGGCCTGAAGCTGAGGGGCAGAGGGAGCGAACACGCTCGCCTGGAGTAAAAGGCTGCGAGAGGGCAGCTCGGCAGATGGGCCTGGCCTTGTCTCGCCGGCGTCGCTCTCACCAGGCTGGGATTAATGATCCCCGAGTCATCCTGTTATTTCCCTCCCACAGTCCTGGGCGTTTGCCATCCGATTCAGCAAAACTGCAAAACAGCCCGAGACACTTCGGGAGAATCCGACATGAAGGAGCGTGTTCTAAAGGACTCAAATGAGAGCCACAGCTCAACGCTCCTCCCGCCCAGGACTTGCGAAACTCAGCATCGTTCCGCGTGGGAGGACTTGGGGCTGGAAGGGCCGTGCAGGGCGGCGGTGGCCGCAGGGCCGGAGCGCCCCGAGAACCACGCGCCAGGATCCCCAGGTCCTTCGGGCCTCGGCGCGCGGAGGTCGGGGGACGTGGCTGGAGCCCCGACGCCTGGACCACGGGAAGGACTTGCGCTTTCTCAGCGTCCTGAGCCACCGGAATCCCGGCCTCGGCAAGGGCTGTGATCTCTCCGGCTCCGGTGCGCTCGGGCTCGGCCGCGGGTGCGGGTCGCCAGGTCCCGCACTGTTATCTCACCGTTTCTTCCATCGCGGGCGAGTCGTCGTCAGCGTCCCTGTGCGCAATGGCCCGGGCTGGCGACCCGGTGCTGCTGGCACGGAGGCCCCCGGGGTCTCGTGGCGTCCGTTTCTGACCCCGTAGGTGGCGAGGCCGTGGATCCGGTGTCTCGCGGGTGCCGCCCCTGCAATGCTGGCGCCGCTGGTCCGGGGGCCACGCGTTGAGTAGCAGGTGGAGGACGGTGCTGATCAAGTCAAGTGGGAGAAAAGTCCGCGGGGAGGGCGCGGTCTGAGGAGCCGGTGGCAGGAGACGAAGCGCCGACCAGCCCAAGGTGTCCAGGGTGTCGGTGCCGGCTTTGTGCCCAGCCCTGCGCGGCACTGGAGGGGGAGCCGTGAGCACTCAGGCGAGGTCCCCGCTCTTGGGAAGGTGCCCACCAGCTCCTCCCGCGCACACGAAGTAGGGGCCCAAGGCCTGCCGCAGGCGGGCCCCGCACACGCAGCAGCAGGAGACTCACGAGAGAAGGAAGAGCCCGGGGTGGCGGGGCTCCCGGAGAAGGCTCTGTGGAGGGGACGGGCTCTGAATTGGGCCTTTAGAGAAGCAAAGGGTGGACGGACGGGGTAGGGGCCGGCCATCTGGGTGGCCTCCCAGAGAGAAGCCAGCGTGCCGGGGGCTCCACACGCCCCGAGGGCAAAGCGAGCAGGGCGCTGGCCAGGCCCGGGCGGAGGCTCCACTCAGACGTCCCCAGGCCCGGGCGAGCGGGGGCTGTGTGAGCCTCTTCCCCTCCCAGTGCACCTGTGAGGCTGGCGGCCGCCTTTGCCTTTCCAGCCCGCAGCTGGTGTTGCTGCCCCTCCCTCGGGGCTGTTATCCGCTGTCTTCTGTCCTCCCGCAGAGTCACCATTATCATCAACTCAGAGCTGTCCGGGGACACCGTGGGCCTGGTTCCCACATAGCCTGCCCATGTAGCCTGCGTGGTGATGGCCTCCGTGGGGGCGCACACTGGGCTCCCTCCAGCCCAGCAGCTCCCTGCACTTCCAGGGACAGGCGCCCTTGGCGGTGTCTGGGCTTCGGCGAGCTCTGGCCTCTGCGAGTGGGAGCGGGAGGGGCCGTGATGGGAGGAGGCAGGCAGGGATCTGAGGGCACAGATGTGTGCGGTGGAGGCTCGGGTCAGAAAGGCCGGCTCCGGCAGGAAGGGGAGGAGCTGGCAGAGAGTGGGGCTCCTCTCACCCTCCTCCAAAGACCAAGAAGGAAGACGCAGCTTGCACTGCAATCTTCACCTTGTCTTGAGGGAAAGGCGTCTCCAGCAAACGGAGGAAAAAAGCTTCCCGCAATTTCAGGGGTCGGCAACGGCCCTAGGGCGAAACCTGGCCATGGCCGTTTCTGTAAATGAAGTTTCACTGGACGCTGCCCGCTCCCTCCCCTCCGACCTGTCTGCCCAGGAAGCCTGAGGCTCACGCTCTCTGGCTTTTTACAGAACAAGTTTGCAGGTCCTAGATCTAGATAAAGAGGAAAGCAAAGGGTCGGATGTGTGGAACGTGTAGCATTTATGACGGAAGTACTTACAGTGCCCACGGACATGTGAGTTTTATTAGCCTTTGTTTCGTGCACATTCGTGCGGAGGAAGACGGCAGCTGTGGTGCGCACTGCTTGTTTCTCGGTGGGAAGCCATCATTTCTAAGGTAGAAACGTTTCTGAAATGAGAGAATTCCAAGTTCCAGCTGGCCAGTGCTGACCCTTGGGCAGCAGAGGTGTGGGATGTGGAGGTAGAGTCTGCAGCTCTACGAAGCTCCGCGGTGACTGAGAGGTGGCAGGAAATTCACAGGGCATTTTGGAAACCGCTGGCCTAGAGTAGCTTCCACTGCTCACCCAGCAATGGTCTCCGGGTGTGTGATTTGTGTTCTGGAACTTTCTACATCTATGGGAGCCATATGAGGCTGTGCGCCTCTCCTTCGAGGTCTGGTGAGGGAGAGGGTGTGTCTGTGTGGTCATGGCTGCACCCTATGGGGCAAGCTGACTTGAGAGGTGGCCTCGGGTAGGGTGGACTGTGGAATTTGAGGTGCCACGGTTCCCTCTGCTAGGACCCCTTGCTTGGCACTACCAGGGAAGTGTGGCTCTCAGATCTGCAGCTGCTGGAGGGAGAGGTCCGGTCCCATGACCCAAGTCACGCTTGGTAGCCTGGGGTGTCCCATGTCACACAGCAGCCCTGGGCAGGGCAAAAGCCCCACCCCATGGATTTCTCCCGCCCCTGGGGTGTCCCACGTCACACAGCAGCCCTGGGCAGGGCAAAAGCCCCACCCCGCGGATTCCTCCCACCCCTCAAAGCCCCAGACATCTTGTTCTCACCCCGGCCTTCCGGGCCCACGTGAGACAGGCCGGGACGAGCACGTGATTGAACCTGCCGGCTACACCCCACCGGCCTGGATTCAAGTCCTGGCCACAGCTTTGCGGCCTCAGCCCTTGACTCCTCCTCTGACTCAAGTCTGTATCTTCTTAATGGGCTTGATGAAGTACCTGGCCCCTGTGTTTTCTCAGCAGTGAAATAAAAAATGGAGGCAAACTCTGGCAAGGGCCCGGCTCACGGAATGCAGGACAATCTGGCCAGGGCCCAGCTCACCAACATGGGACAAATGTTAGCTGCTCCTGTTGTGGCCAAGTCCTTCGGCTTCCTGGCGGCATAAGCAGGCTCATGCGCTCCTCTCCGTGTAACTTCTGACCCTGGCCATGGCCTCCGCAGCCCGCAGACACACACTGGTGATCTGCGTGCGGTCTCCTGGCTTTGCTCCAGGCACCCTGATCCCCTGCATGTGATGGGGCTCCCATTACCTAATTCATTCCCCCGGCGCTAGTGCCTGCACGGCTTCTGCTTATCTCGAATGCATTCCAACTATTTTTCTTAGACAATGGGCTGCCGGCGCCTTTGCCTGCTCTGCGCAGCTGCAGTGTATTAGGTTGCACTGAGGCTGGGATACCAGGTAATGCAGAACCATTAATGATCACTCCACAAATATTGGCATTAAGGGCAGGGTTTAGCGATGGCTTTGTCCAGTCGCGCGGCTCTGCAGGTGGTCTGCCCAGAGCTAACTCCAGTTGCCTGAGAGGCAAGCTCCAGCATATTCTCATTCTGTGTGTGTGAAATCAGGGTTTGCCTGGAATATTGATTCCTATTTCGGCTCTCACTGTCTTCACTAATTGGGGAAGCTTTTATGCCACTCTGGAGGTGAGCTGTGGATTAGAGGGTCTTGGCTCGGCGGAAGTGAAATCTGAGGCATCTGCCATCTAGGTAGATGAGAAGTGGGGGCTGGGTCTCCTCTACCCAGTGAGGCACCTGCCTGTCTAGGTAGATGAGAAGTGGGGGCTGGGTCTCCTCTACCCAATGAGGTACTTCCCCAAATAGGCAGATGAGAAGTGGGGGCTGGGTCTCCCCTACCCACTGAGGCACCTGCCCATCTAGGCAGATGAGAAGTGGGGGCTGGGTCTCCTCTACCCACTGAGGCACCTGCCCATCTAGGCAGATGAGAAGTGGGGGGCTGGGTCTCCTCTACCAAATGAGGTACCTACCCAAATAGGCAGATGAGAAGTGGGGGCTGGGTCTCCTCTACCCACTGAGGCACCTGCCCATCTAGGCAGATGAGAAGTGGGGGGCTGGGTCCCCTCTACTCAATGAGGTACCTCCCCAAATAGGCAGGTGAGAATTGGGGGCTGGGTCTCCTCTACCCACTGAGGCACCTGCCTGCCTAGGTAGATGAGAAGTGGGGGCTGTGTCTCCTCTACCTGCTGAAGCATCTGCCCATCTAGGTAGATGAGAAGTGGGGGCTGGGTCTCCTCTACCCACTGAGGCACCTGCCTGTCTAGGTAGATGAGAAGTGGGGGCTGTGTTTCCTCTACCCACTGAAGCACCTGCCTGTCTAGGTAGATGAGAAGTGAGGGCTGGGTCCCCTCTACCCAATGAGGTACCTCCCCGAATAGGCAGATGAGAAGTGGGGCTGGGTCTACTCTACCCACTGAGGCACCTGCCCAAATACGCTGATGAGAAGCACGAGCTGGGTCTCCTCTACCCACTGAGGCACCTGCCTGAATAGGCTAATGAGAAACTGAGAAACGCAGGCTTGTCTGCTCTACCCACCTTGACCTTGTGTGTGTCGGGGTGCCGGCCTGGCACCTGAGACTGGAGGTGAGTTGATGGCTCAAGCATGCAGATAGATATACCCAGAGAGGAAAGGGTCTCCTGTGGGCCACACACCGTCTTTCTTCACCTCGTGCCTCTGGAGCCGGCAACGTGGGGCCTCCTTGTTGGCACATGCGGGGTGTCGGGGGTGCAGCAAAGCCTGAAGGCGCCTGTGTCTAGCAGAAGTGAGGGTGTTCTGTGGCCTGCAGCCAGCCCTGTTGCCTACAGAGCCCCCCATGTCTGGGGCAGCCACTCCCCTCCTGTGCTTGGGTGGTGCTGAGCCAGGCTCAGTGGGATCAGCTGTGGAAGACCTGGCTCGGCACTGATTCCTCCAGGAGCAAGACCCAAGTTAACAGTGTCTTGAGCCTTGGGTGGGGCGTGGCTCCCCCTTTCCTCTTTGTACCCAGCCTTGGGTGGGGCTTGGCTCCCCCTTTCCTCTTTGTACCTAGTGTTGGGTGGGGTGTGGTTCCCCCTTTCCATTATGTACCAGCCTTTGGCGGGGCGTGGCTCGCCCTTTCCTCTATGTACCCAGCCTTGGACAGGGCATGGCTCCCCCTTTCCTCTGTGTTGCGGCCTTCCTCCTCCTGGTGTGGCCTCGGGGGCTGGGCTCCAGCGCAATCAGGCTTCCAGCAGCTTCTCAGTGGCTTCTGGGCCCGTGGGTTCCCTCCTCCCTTTTGCAAGGACAGGGTTGTCCATGCAAAGGTGAGTTTTCATCCAAGTCCTCATTCAACCCCAAGCCACACCCTTTGTGTGGAGTAGGCTCTGAGACCCCAGCCTCAGCTGGGGGGATTGGGACGGGCCTCCCTCCGTGCTGATTAAGTCCTGTAGCATCGCAGGCTTGGTACCTGGGCACTTGGCCCCTCGCTCTAACCCGGCTGTGCATTCACAACGTTAAACAATTTGAGCATAGAATTTATCCAGACCAGGTGCTGTGGCTCACTCCTGTAATCTCAGCACTTTGGGAGGCTGAGGTGGCAGCATCACTTGAGGCCTGGAGTTTGAAATCAGCCTGGAGAACACAGTGAGACCTTTTCCCTATAAACAATAGTAACAAAGGGTTAAGAAATATATAGCCTTTCTGTGGTGGTGTCACAGGTAGGGTAGCTGTGTTAGCTCAGTCTGCTCTTGTGTGGATTCACTGAAAGACACGCCCAGCTCCGAGCCCCTGTGGTCCCTCCGAGGCTGCTGGGCCAGCCCCCTGGCGGCTCCCCTTCCCTTGTGGCTGGAGGATGGACTGTGGGTGCCTGCTGCTCTCCCAGGCCTCATCACCCCATGGCCTTGGGCTCAGTTTCTGGGGCTGCCCTTGTGGACGGGCACCTGTTTTGGCCCCCAGTTCTTCATTCAGCCATGACAGTGAGTGCCGGCTGCACACGCAGCAGTTGTGAGCCCCAAGGCCCAGACGGGAGCACAGTGGACACAGCCCCAGCCTCTGGGACCGTGGCCCGGGTGGGGAGATGGAGGAGGCAGGAGAGCCGTCTGATAGGGGTGAGCAGCTGAGAAAATAGGGCTTTGGTGAGGAAATGAGCTGGAGATGTTCCCTCAGTCCTGAGCACTTTATTCCCGAGGAGACGACCAGGCACTTAAACCCTCAGTGTGTTTGGGGTGAGGCAGTGGGTTCTGCCTCCCACGACCACACATTGGAGGCCAAGGACACTCCAGCCAGACCTCAGGGGAAGGGGAGGGTCAGACGAGATGCCCTTGACCTCCTGGAGGAAGTCTCAGCTGGGGCTGGACAGGCGGCTGTCTCCGGATGCCAGCTGGTACGAGCAGGTGAGCAGCAGCAGGGGCCGGGGGTGCCAAGGCCTGGAGCATCAGGGTCACCGTGGAGGAGCTCGGGGCTCTGGGCAGAGGACTGGAGATCAGGTTTTTGGTGACACTTCTCAGATGTGGCCTGGGGATGAGGAGGGCTGCCACAGATCCCGGGGCACAGTGCTGGGGAGAGGGCCTGCACGTCTGTTTGGGGCCTGTGCAATGGCCATGAGTCTGGCAGGCAAGTGGAGGCCCAGGGTAGGGGTGTGGAACCCTGTGTGTTGAGGGGGAGGTGCAGGTGTCTGGCCACAGCAGACAGGCTGTGTGGCCACCCTGCCCACCCAAGGGTCTCGGGAGCCCAGCCTGGCCTCGCTCTCCCTGGTCTGGGCTCCCCAGTGTGCCCGGACTCAGGTGGAGTGGCACAGCGTGGCTCAAGAGCCGAGTGAGCACCTTTATCAGAAAAACGCTCTAGCCATTGCTAACCAGTGTCTCCGGGTCAGGAGCTCCGGTTTTAGTTTGGATGCACACGGCTTCTCTCTGACTCAGGATCCTCCTGCTCTACTTCCCTCCCTGCAGCCGGGGGCCTGGAGTACCCCACACAGGGTCGTGGGAGCATTCAGGGAGGACACGTTGGGCGGCGCCTGTGGAGGGTGGTTCCTGCTCAATCAGCTCTTGGAGTGCATTACATTTGTTTCCTGCAGCAGGTGTGTGTCCTCGCAGACTGGGGCCATCGACCCAGTGTCCGGGGATGCCCTTCTGACTCCTAGAGGGCCGGACTGTCACCAAGCATGTGTCACCTACCCGGCCCACGCCAAGGGCAACATACTGGACTGAGCAGTGTGGGTGCGTGAACACTGGCGCAGGGTTTGCCCCTGAGCCTGGGCTGGAGGCCTGGGACCCTGGACCCCAAGTTGCCTTCCAGGAGCGACAATGACACTTCAAAGGGTGGGCTGGGGGCAGTCGGGGGGCAAAGTCTAGTGGAGGGGGTGACTTCAGTCACCAGGAGCTGCTCGAGCCGCCCTACAGCTCTCGGCAGGCTGCCCACACCCCATACCAGAGCAGCTGGCTCTGCGCCAGGCTGGCCGGCTCTATGCTGGGGACTGGCTTAGAGCACACTGGGCTCCCACACCCTGCACAGCTGGGCTGCTCACAGCAGCTATGAATAGAACGCAACATTCAGAGATGCTTCCAGGCCCTGCGGGCGGGTGTGGGAACAAGGAGGCAGGTGGAGTTCTGGCCACGAGAAGCAATACAGGCAGAGCCACCCTGACCTCCCAGGTCCTTGCACGGTGTGCACAGAGCGTGGCTGTGCTCGTGGCCATTTCACTGATGCTGCCTCACAGGGTGGGATTATCTGGTGGGACTAGGGGAGGCATTGCAACTGTGTTGCCATTTTACTGAGAAGAAAATGGAAACCGGAGGGGTTGGGGGACTTGTCTGGAGTTGCAGGGCCTGGGACAGGGCATTGCCAGGTCTTCTGACCCTGAGCCCCAGGTGATTCTGTCCACACTTGACAGGTGGGATGGAGGGGCTGCTCCAGCAGGGCTGGCAGCCAGGAGTGCAAGAAGGGTGCGGGGCTCTGAGCCCAGGTGGCCCTGGGGTGGACAAGGACGGCATCCCGTGCCCAGACCCGAGGTCCGCCCGGCTCTTCCTCCTCACCCCTCTGCAGAGCAGGATGTGAGTGGTTCTGGGAGGGTGACTTTTCTGTGCATTTTACTGTGTTTTGCTGCCCCCGCCCCCAAATGTGAAGCGACTCCCAGGGTGAGAATCCATTCTCCCAAGGAGAATTGGGGAAATTCCCAGCACCCTGCAAGGAGCACCTGCCAAAGAACGAGCCACTGAGCCAGTGCGATGGGCAGGGGCGCAGGTGTGAAGGGCCCCGGCTGCTGCTGCTTCGGCTCTGCCATGCGGCGTCTGCTGCGGCCGGGGTGTCGGCCATCGTGTGGGCCCCAAGCCTGTGCCTGAGATGAGGGTCCTGGAGAAGCCTGGCTCTGCCATGTTCAGCTCAGGGATGGCACTTGTGCCCCACTGCAGCTAAGACTGAACTTGGGAAGGCATTCACGACGGCCTAGTATCAAGGTCTCGAGCATCCCGGAGGAGGCGAGGCTGCAAGCATCGTGTAGACGCCTGAGACCTGCGGGGCAGGGCCCGCTGTCACCAGGTCACAGAGGGAGCAGCGCTCACGGGGCTGAGGCCCCTGCACGTGGGGCGTTCGGGGGCCAGGGCATGCCCCCCAACCCGCCTGCTTCCTGGGACCCTCCTTGCAGCCTGAGGCTGCTCTTCTACCCTCCAAGCCTTGGTTGGCTTCTGCCTGCCCACGGCAGGGCTCCCCTGGACCAGGGAGGCAAAGAGGAGAACTCCCGATTGCAGCCTGTTCCTTCTCATCTGAACAGTGCGCATTTTCACGTTTTCTGAGGACTGCGTTAGTTCAGCCATGCACAACCGCCCACTGTGGGGAATGCACACCCAGGCAAAGCCACAGTCAGGCTGTGAGGACCACCTACAGCATCCTCCACCTGCACTCCTGGACTCAGGTGATCCTCCCACCTCAGTCTCCTGAGTAGCCGGACCACCGGTGCAGACTACTATGACTGGCTCATTTTTTAAATGTTTTTGTAGAGATGGAGTCCCACTATGTTCCCCAGGCTCGTCTCGAGCTCCTGGGCTCAAGCGCACCTCCCGCTGTGGCCTCCCAAAGTGTTGGGATTACAAGTGTGTCACCACACCTGGCCCCAAAAGATGTATGTTTTATTAATACAATGCCTTTGCAAAAGAATTCAAATCTCTCTCTGAAATCTCACCATAGGGGGAAAAGCTGTCCTAAATACTGCATTTCTTTCCAGATTTTCAACACACATGTAAAATACAAGCTAAATATTTACTATAAATGACAAACTACGTATTTACTGCAAGTTACATCATTTATACATTTTACTCTATAATATTTTTGTTTTTGTGTTTTTCTGACTGTGGAAGTAATAAATGCTTACTGTAAAATATTTAAGCTACTCTAAAATAAAGAAAATTAAACAAAAATACCATAGTCACATCCCCCAAAACAATTCTTATACGTGGTTTGGTGTGCAGCCTTGCAGACTTTTCCTATGCATAACAACACACATTATTTATTTTACAGAAATGGTTTAGAGTAAACATTTTATTATAAAATCTGCTTTTCTCATAACTTGTCATGTCCAGCTTTGGATACTGTAACACACAGGTTTGCCTGGTTCTTTCTTAAGGGTGCGTGTACTGCATTTCTTAGTGCACGTGGTTGCCTAGGTTTTCTGTATTTTCACAATTATGATTAATATTGCATAATATTATTCTCATGCATCTATGCTCAAGTTATGCATATCCTTCCACAGCAAAAATTTCTGGAAGTGGACCTGCTAGGTCAAGAGCAATGAGCACTGAATACCTTGATGGTTATTGTTAAAGGTTCTTCACATCGGACGCACCAGCTTAGACTCTCGTTAGCAGACGGTTCCAGTTTCTCTGTTAGCACCTCAATGCTGGAAAATATTGATCATTTCCAACTTTGTTAATATGATAGGATGAAAGTTACTCATGGTACCAATCTCTGTTGCGCATAACAATCCACCAAAACCCTTAATGCTTTCAGAGCCATGGCCATTTTGGCTGGGCTCAGCTGGGCAGCTCTTCCACCGGTCTCATCTGCAGAGCTCAAGCTCCGGGTGTCTGGGGGATTGGCTGGGGCTGGTCTTGGCTCTGCCCCATGCAGTCTAAGTGGGTCTTGACTGAGACGGCCTGGCTGTGCTCCATGAGGTCTCTCATTCTCTAGGAGGCAAATCCCAGTGCTCCACACACGTTTCTGTCCGTCAGGTTTTCTGACACCATACCGGCTAAGGGCCCATATCTCCATAAGAGAGGGCTGCACAGGAAGCATGGTTCCCTGTGGGGACTGTGCTATTGCTGCACGAATCTACCACACTGGCGATTTCAGTATATGAAACTGCATTTCTTTTTTTTTTTTTTTGAGATGGAGTCTCGCTCTGTCGCCCAGGCTGGAGTGCAATGGCATGATCTCGGCTTACTGCAACCTCCGCCTCCTGGGTTTAAGCAATTCTTCCACCTCAGCCTCCCGAGTAGCTGGGAGGCACCGCCACCACGCCTGGCTAATTTTTGTATTTTTAGTAGAGATGGGGTTTCACCTTATTGGTCACGCTGGTCTCAGACTCCTGACCTCAAGTGATCCACCCGCCTCGGCCTCCTAAGCGTTCCTTTCATTACTAGTGAGGGTGTAGCATATTTTCATGCAGTTATATATAGCTTTTGGTTGTCTTTTCCAGTGACATTTATACCTTTGGCTTACTTTTTGTCACACTGCCTCTTTCTTGTCAATTTGCATGAGCTGTTTCTATTTTTGTCATGTTGCATGTTGTCTCACTGACCTAGTCTTGGGAGTCACTCTTCGTTATTTCTGCAACGTCCTTCCAGTTACACCAGCGAGGCTTACTTAGTGTGGGAGGGACGCGAGCTCCAAGGATCAGGGACTGTGAGGCTGTCTGTGAGGCTGGCTACCACGGAAGTTGCAAATAGGGATGATTTTCCTACTTTTGTTCCTTATCTTCTGACCTTTAACAGGTCATTTTCTACAGATCTGTCAGTCTTTTTATTTGTACTTTTTAAATTGGTATTTTGCTAAGGAAGGCCTTCTTTACCTCAAGATTGTAAAAATTCTGGGGAATCTTTGAGAACAAGCATCCGAGAGTCATTTTTCTGATCTTTCTTCATTTGCACTGGAGTGGCGATGCCAGGCTCTCAGAGGGTGTCCCATGCACGATTTCTCCTCACCCTCGGAACAAACCTAGCAGGTAAGTATTTTCACCATTCCCAATTTAAGTCTGGGGAAACTAAGGCTCAGGGCCGTAAATGAACTCACTTGGGGTCAGAAGGTGGGCAGGAGGCAGACCTGGGACCACTGCCGATCCCTCAGCAGGCAGGCCTTTGTGTGTTCAGATGCTCCCCCGAGCCCTGTCGTGCGTTCAGATGCTCCGCCGAGCCCTGTCGTGCGTTCAGATGCTCTCCCGAGCCCTGTCGTGCGTTCAGATGCTCTCCTGAGCCCTGTCGTGCATTCAGATGCTCCCTCGAGCCCTGTCGTGTGTTCAGATGCTCTCCTGAGCCCTGGGCTCTCCTTGTGGTGACTGTGGGGTCCTCGCTCTTCTCCCAGCTGGACGAGGAGGAGCAGGGCCAGGTACTTTTGCCTCCACTTTCCCAGATGGAGGGGCTTCCAGGCCCCCAGGGCTCTACAGACTCCTGGCTCCAAGAAGCCTTGACTGCGGAGAACCTCAGCTGTGCCTCCACGAGGGCTACGATGCTGGCCCTGAGCGTCTTCTCTGTAGGTCCCTGGCCAGTTGGAGCACAGCAGCTGGAGAAGCTGATTCCAGCACTCACCGACCCTTGCTCATGTTATTGTGAAGCTTTCATTGAAATGGCATCTGGTGCCATGTCCCACAGCCAGCCAGGCCGCGTTGCTCCCCTCTGCTTCAGATCAGAGGCTGTGATCCCAGATGTGCATTTGGACCAACTGAGAAATGCCTGCAGCAACTCGTAAGCCTGGATACCCCACCTCCGAGGCACATTCAGCAGCTCTGGGGTGGGGCCAGGCCTGTGAAGAGTTCAAAGCCTCTGCAAGGCAGATTTACCAGGAAACCAAGGCAGTTTCAACCTCCTCATTTCTTATTTGCACAGGTCTTTTCTCAGGCTGTAGTAATTTTACATTCATAATTTGGAATTGTTCTCTCACGAAGAGACTTCTGAGCTATACACGTTTCAGGGCCTCTGAAACACCAATCTGCTGCTGCCTTTAGGTAACAAAATCACTTTAGATTTTTCTTTTTGTCACTTAAATTTCTTCTTCCAACCATAGCCTAGAGTAGGCAGGACAAACAGTTTTGATCATGTTAATTTTAGATAACTTGGTCAGAGCTTCCTGCAGTGCTGTGTTGAGAAGGGTTCTGAGGGGCTGTGCTCAGCAGGAAAGAAGGCCGAGGTTGACCGGGAATGGGTGACGTGGGCGTGGGTGGGGAGGTGGA